>NC_000017.11:36935980-37560980 GCF_000001405.40 Homo sapiens
GCCGCTGGAGCCCCCGGTTTCCCGCCTAGTCGTTTGTTTTTGTACGTAAAAGGTGTCTCCGGATCACAGTTTTCTCACAACTTTCTCGCCAGGGTTGCAACTCCTCACCCGAGGCGCTTCCCGGTCCACTCCTTCCCCCGCGCCGGCGCCGCGCCTCCGGTCTCCCCGCCCCCATCAGGAAACCGCCCGAATCAACTTTGCAAGAGTGCTCTGCGGGAGACAGACACTCAGCTCGCCCAGGACCCGGACCCTGTGGACTTTGGATGGATTGGGGGAGGGGGCACAGAAAGAGGGACGGGAGGAGGGAGATTCTGCTGCTAAGAGCCTCCTCCCCCTCCAAAGATGTGCGCTGCGCTTGGGACAAACTTCCAGCTCAAGAAAGTACGGGGGGACAATGGCAACAGCCGCTGAATTGCAAAGCCCAGCAGTGCAGGGGAGCCGCCTGGGATTCCGGACCCGGCTGCACCCCAACCTTCCACAAGGCTCGGTCTTGGACTACCCCCACTCTACAGCAGAACTCTGGCCTCCGCCTGCGCCTATTCCCGCTCTCTCTCTGTCCCTCCCATCGAAACCCACGCCTTACCGGAGCAGGAGGGGGCCCAGGCACGGTGCTGCCCGCCGTCCGCGCCGCGCGGGGCCGCGGGTGCCGCCGCCACTGATCCTCTAAACGCGGTCTCCCCGCACTCTCCCGGGCCGGGGGATGCAGAATGGTTTACAGAGGGACCGCGAGGCGCTGATTGGTCGCAGGCCGCAGTGACGTCAGCGGGCGCTGCATTAAGGCGAGGGGGCTTCCAGAGCTCAGCCAACAGCCAGGAGCAGTGACCAAGCCGCCGGAGCTGGGGAGAGACGCACCGGGGCGGCGACTGGGCCAGGAGACCAGGGACTGAGGGACGCGCCCGGGGAGGGCCAGCAACGAGCCGCGGCCCGGGCGGCGACAGCGGCGGTCCGCGCCGAGCCGTTCCAGCCGCCGGCCTACTGTAGCCGCTGCGCCAGGACATTTTTTTTTAAAGCTCTCCAAGCTGCCCCCCTCCTCCCCGACTCCTCCCGCTGCAAAAGAAAAACAAAAAAAAAAAAAGGAAGGAGGCTAGAAAGGAAACCCAGATTTGCCACCACAACGAAAAAAAGAAGGGGAAAAGGAAAAGGAGAGAAAGTCGAGCGACTGTGGGGTTAGACGGAGGCAGACAGAGCGTGGGCCGAGCGATGCGGGGCTGTGCGCCCAGGCGGCCGCGAGTTGTGACTGGAGCCACGATGCACGGCCAGGCGCGGTGAGAAGCCAGCCCGTAGTGCCTCCCGAAGGAGCCCGGGCGCAGGGAGGGTCGCCCTGAGGACACGGAGGCCGCCAGGCAGGCCAAGGGCCGAGGTGACTGGGCTGGGGCGGTAGGGAAGGAGCGAGTGCGCCTGGCTGCCTCCGCACGGAGTTGTCCCTCTCTGTTTTCGATTGACACAAACACTTCTCCAAAAGCGGGGAAACCTAAGCAACAACAGCAATCAACACCAAGATCTTCCTCCTACCCTCCCCTCTTTCCCTTCTCCCGCGGTCGGCCCTCGCCCCCTCCCCCAGGCCCAGCGCGGGCGCTCGGCGCGTCCAGACCCGCGGCGCGATGCCGGCAGTTTAGGATCCAAAGCTTCTCTGCTCCTTTTGTTCTTTCCTTCCCTTTTTTAAAAAAAGAGGGGGGAAATCCCAGTGGTGGGCAGCCTGGCACGCACACAGTCGCCCTCATACCCCGACAAAAGCAGATGCACTTTGACTTCTGACAGCTCTACCTCAAGCCCCGGAGAACTCAGCGGCGCTTTCCTCGCAACCCGAGCTCGGCGAGTCGTCGTCTTCTTCTTCTCCGTTTTTATTTATTTATTTCCGTTCCCGCCGCCGTTCTCGCTGACCTTCACTCCTCCGCGGGCTCTGAGCAGAAGGGTCGCATTCTCTCCCGCCTGAGACTTCTTTTCCTCGCCCCGGGAGCTCAGGCGGCGCCGCTCCAGCCCGGGGCCCCGGGACTCCCCGGCTGCACACTTCACTGAGACGCCCCCCCAGGCCCCGATCAGCCTCGTTTCCTCCACCCTACTTTGATTTCCTGGTGCGAGTTTTGGCTTGCACGGCCGAGTGTGTGTCCTCTTTTTGGAGAGACTGGGGAGCTCGTGCCGATTGTCTTCAGGAGTCATCCCCTGGGCTCTACTTTGCCCCTCTCTCTCTCTGGGCCTCATCAGACCAAACCAAAGACCATGGTTCACTGTGCCGGCTGCAAAAGGCCCATCCTGGACCGCTTTCTCTTGAACGTGCTGGACAGGGCCTGGCACGTCAAGTGCGTCCAGTGCTGTGAATGTAAATGCAACCTGACCGAGAAGTGCTTCTCCAGGGAAGGCAAACTCTACTGCAAGAACGACTTCTTCCGGTGAGTACTTTCCTCCCACGCCTCTGCTGCTACCTCCCCGCGGGCCCTTCCCGGCCAGCTTCGGATCAGAGGTTAGCGTGGCCTCGCTGCCCAGTTAGGAACTGCTTCTAGAGAGGGCAGCCAAGTCCCGCGGGCGCCCGCCTCTCCGCCAGCTGGCGCGCTGGGAGCCCGGGACGCGGCCCTGCTTGCATCCTGGAAACTATGGGTCTGGGTTTGGCTGCATGTGCCTGGGAAGAAAGGGTCTGAGCCTGACTCGGCCCAGAAGCCCCTTCAAGCTTGGAAGAGACAGGGCAGCCTCGGGCGTTGTAGCCCGGACTGCTGTCTTTCCCGGAGCCAAGCTCTGCAGCAACTGCATTCTCCAGGCCTTCGGGGTTGTTTGCCCTCCAGGCAGAGCCCAGGCTCCCTCCCGGCCACTACCTTTTCCGACCCCGAGCGGTCTTGGCGGTAAGCTCCGAGCCTTTTGCGTAGAGTGTCTGGGCCAACTGCCCTGTCAGCGGCAGGAAAGAACTCGGCCTTAAAGCCGATCCTGCACGCCCGGGGGTCTTCCCCAAACCCGGACATGCCTCCGAGTGCAGACCTGGACAAACTGCTGCACTGTAGCCTGCGAAGTGCCCGGAGCTTTTTCCTGCTTCCCTGGCTGCCGAAGTTGTCTGGTGGTTCGGCTTCAGCCCCAGGTGACTCCGACTCCCACGGGCTCCGCTCAGTAGTCCTCCTAGGAAACTGCCAGCCACAGCCAGCAACCTCCTTGATGAAACCTGGGGGAAAGCCGAGACCTCCAGCTTGCTGGTGGGGAGACTTCTCCCTACCCCCCTTATTCGTTTAGCATTTTAATTATATTATCGTACACTCACAATTTTGCCGCTCCATTCACACAAACACACAAGTCAACAGAGAAGAACGGGCACAAATGCGAATTGTAATTCCACCCTACGGATGTGAAATATCGCAATTTACTCGGCTGACTTGGTCTCTGCTTTTCTGAGTTTGTGGTCATAGTTCAAACCAGGGAGCAGGAGGAAGAGGGATTCAAAGCCACTCAGAGGGCCAAGACGCGCTGTCCCCAGTGCCGCTCCAGGACTCGTGGCTGGGGTTGGGTTGCGTGGAACCATGAAGCAAAGCTCCGTGCTCGCTGGTATTTCGGGAGAACGCGCAGGCTGAGCCTCTGAGCCTCCGCGGGCTGCCCGGTTTTCCTCAAGGACTGGATCATAGCGGGAGGGTGGCAAACCGTACTCGTACCCGCTGCCAGTGGGTCCCTGAGCCTGGCTTCCACAACCCGCGGCAGAGCGCCCAGAGCCAGCTCCCGCAGCTCCCGCTTTTGCCAACCTGTCCCGCTTTAGGCAAGAGCGTGGCGGCGGCCCCGCTAAGGCTACGGAGGGGGGCTCTCCGCGGCTATGTTTGTTTACCAACAGCGGGGCTAGACATCGCCAACCCCATGCCTATGTGCGGGTCCTTTTGCGATGAAGGAGAGAAAAGCGGCGCTCCGCGCACGTTTATATAGAGTTCTAATTGTAATTCGACTTTTCTGAATCTAATCGGAAAATAAGTGCCCCGTTCCCCCCGCCCACACAGGTCACTGCCTTGCCACCTTCTTTAGACGATGCATCTTTCCTCTGGGATAACGCTGGGAGTGAGGCTGGGGCTTGGCGGGTAGCTTGGGCCCCTGGCTCTAACCGCGTGTATCCCCTCCCTAACTCTTCCCTGGTGCCGCGCTCTCTCTCCTGCTGCCTCCTCACCTGCTTAACCGGAATTCTGCCTCTCTTTATCTCTCTCTTCCCTTCTTTCTGTGCTCCATTCCTCCTCTCCTACTTCCTCCACTTTTTACATCTTCCCTCTTTCTCGCTGTCATCTTTCTCTCCGCCTGTCTCCCCTTGCCCCTGGCTGACCCATCCCCGCCCCCGCCCCCCACCCCCACCCCCCCGCAGGTGTTTCGGTACCAAATGCGCAGGCTGCGCTCAGGGCATCTCCCCTAGCGACCTGGTGCGGAGAGCGCGGAGCAAAGTGTTTCACCTGAACTGCTTCACCTGCATGATGTGTAACAAGCAGCTCTCCACTGGCGAGGAACTCTACATCATCGACGAGAATAAGTTCGTCTGCAAAGAGGATTACCTAAGTAACAGCAGTGTTGCCAAAGAGAACAGCCTTCACTCGGGTGAGGCCCCAATTCCTGGCTGGCTAGGTGCAAGCGGGTCCTGGGGGAGGAAGGCTCGCCAAGGCCCCGGCTCATCTGTCCTTTCCCTCTTAGCCACCACGGGCAGTGACCCCAGTTTGTCTCCGGATTCCCAAGACCCGTCGCAGGACGACGCCAAGGACTCGGAGAGCGCCAACGTGTCGGACAAGGAAGCGGGTAGCAACGAGAATGACGACCAGAACCTGGGCGCCAAGCGGCGGGGACCGCGCACCACCATCAAAGCCAAGCAGCTGGAGACGCTGAAGGCCGCCTTCGCTGCTACACCCAAGCCCACCCGCCACATCCGCGAGCAGCTGGCGCAGGAGACCGGCCTCAACATGCGCGTCATTCAGGTCAGGCCCCGGCGCGCCTCTCCATCCCACAGAGGCCCACACTGCCACTTTGGGCACCCAGGCCGAGCCAGGAGAGCCCAGAATCCAGAGAGAAGTGAGAGATGGAGTCCAGAGGTGGGGTGCCTAGACACATCCCGAGCCTGCGGGACCTATGAAATGCCTGATGCCTTCGAGCATCTAGAAAGTCCTCTTCCCAGCCCAACAGAGGTGATCGTGGCAGTGGAGGGGGAGGGACGGGAGTTCAGCCAGAGGCTGGAGGAGGAGAACTGTTGAACACTCTGGAGAGAGTGGGGAGCCCTCTTTCTGCACATACCCCACCCCACCTCGGGTTCGGAAGGGTCAGAGAAGTCTCAGTGTCCCCCAGAGTCAATCAGTCCCTCTGCCTTCTGCACAAAGTGAACTCTTCCTAAGTCTGCAACTCCAACTTTGTGATCGCTTGCTCCAATTAGACAAGCCCCAGATCAGGGACTTCCCCTCCAAAGAGAGGTGGTTCCGCCGGGAGTCAGCTCTGCTTCCAGCGGGTTGGAGTGAAATTTGGGTATGGGAGCCTACCTGGAGGCAGCTGGGCCTGTGGGCGGAAAGGAGGTGAGACTGCTGAAGCTCCAGGCCAGGGGGAGTCTCTGGCTCAGTGCTAGGTGTCCGGTTCACCGGGCCTGATGCCCTGCGTGGCTGTGGGTGGATGTACCTGCCTGGGAGGCTGGCTGTGCATGTGCACATGTGTGCAACACGGAAGGCCCTGAGGCCTACAGGAGACTGTGAGAACCTGTGTACATGAATGAGAAGTCGTGTGTCTGTGTCACTATTGGCAAGAGGCTGTGGATAAGTATGTTTGGCACTGTGAGATTGTACATGGGTGTGAAAAGGAGATTGTAGGTTTTGGTATCATAGGCTGTTTCTGTGTCTCTGTCATGGTTGGGGGGAGGGTTGCTGCAAGAGACCGTGAAATGGAAACGCGGTGTGTGTCTGACATTATTTTGGAGAGGCGTAGTCTCTATGTGTGTACAGCCCCAGAGAAGCGGTAACTGTGATAGTGTGACTGTTAGAAAAACTCCAGCTATACCACAACTCTCCCCCTCCAGACACGGCGGCCTGTCCAGGTCCTCCTGTGGGATTCCTGCTCACCATTGGCTCAGGGTCCGCCCTGAGTGGTCCTAGTCAGAGATCGCACCGTCACCACTACCCTACACACACACACAAGCGCGCGCGCGCGGTGTCGGCTAGCCAGGCGGTGAAGGGGTGCTGGCTAGGCCCGGAGCACCCCGGGGTCGGGGGTGGAGTCTCGGTGGCCTCACCCCGCCGCCATGTGCTGCAGGTCTGGTTCCAGAACCGGCGCTCCAAGGAGCGGAGGATGAAGCAGCTGAGCGCCCTGGGCGCCCGGCGCCACGCCTTCTTCCGCAGTCCGCGCCGGATGCGGCCGCTGGTGGACCGCCTGGAGCCGGGCGAGCTCATCCCCAATGGTCCCTTCTCCTTCTACGGAGGTGGGTGCGCGCCGAATGGCGGGGCGCGGCCAGGTCGGGGCGGGCTTCGTTGGAAGCGGGTGGCAGCGCGGGGGGGCACGCCTCGCTCTCTGTAAGCCACTGGAGAGTTGGGGCGAGTAGGGAGAAGGCTGGGAGTAAATCAAGGGGAGGCGGCGAGACCGAGGACCCAATTCACGGCCCTGAATAACGGGGGTAGCTGGTAAGGGGCAGCTCCCGGGCTTGCGCCCAGCCTCCTCCCTGCACCCAGGCCCGCGAGGGCTCCCCGCGATCCGCGAGTTCCCCGCGCGGCCTTCCTCAGCCCGCCGAGGTCGCGTCTTCCCTCCCTTTCGGTCCCGCCGGCCCCCGGCCGGGCCCTGACGTCCTGCGCCCTCCCCGCCGCTCCGCAGATTACCAGAGCGAGTACTACGGGCCCGGGGGCAACTACGACTTCTTCCCGCAAGGCCCCCCGTCCTCGCAGGCCCAGACACCAGTGGACCTACCCTTCGTGCCGTCATCTGGGCCGTCCGGGACGCCCCTGGGTGGCCTGGAGCACCCGCTGCCGGGCCACCACCCGTCGAGCGAGGCGCAGCGGTTTACCGACATCCTGGCGCACCCACCCGGGGACTCGCCCAGCCCCGAGCCCAGCCTGCCCGGGCCTCTGCACTCCATGTCGGCCGAGGTCTTCGGACCCAGCCCGCCCTTCTCGTCGCTGTCGGTCAACGGTGGGGCGAGCTACGGAAACCACCTGTCCCACCCCCCCGAAATGAACGAGGCGGCCGTGTGGTAGCGGGGTCTCGCACGGTCTGCGGAGTTCGTGGTTGTACAGAAATGAACCTTTATTTAAGAAAAATAGAAAAAAAAAAACATAAAAAGCAAGTCCCCACCCCCTTCCTCCAGCCTCGAGAACCATTCTCCTTCTGGGGAGACCGGATGGAAAAGGGGGACACGAAATAGGATCCAAATCGGCCTCGAGGTGGGACTGGGATCCGCGCACTGGCTGTCGACGTGCAGAACTGGGGCTCCCCAAAGGAAACGCAGACCTCTCCCCAACTCCCACCTGGACCCGGATCCGTAGACAGACCCCGCGGGCGTGTGCGCCTGGCAGGCGGGCGGCGAAAAGACGTCCAGGGCAGCCGCGGGTGCGCACAGCCGTTGGCGATGCCAGGAGCCGTGGGGAGGGAGGCCGTGAGCACAGCCGGGTGAAGGAAGTGAAGCGGCCCAGGGCGCTCCCGGGCCAGCCAGGAGGGTTCTAGCTCTGGGATATCCCTTATTAGTGTTGTCTCAGAGTTCAACAACAGCGACAAAAAACTCTTATAGCTTCAGAAACGCCGACCTGCCGTGCATCAGGTGGGACTATATATATATTTTTTGTCTATCTGGATTTTTGGTTTTTGTTTTTGCCAAAATTGCAAAATTCTAAATGTAAAGCCCTCCGTATCAACTCTTCTACCTTCGCAAAACTACACATACACACATACACACGTACACGGACACACTCGGTAAGATGGTCTCCAGCCAGACCGCTCAGTAAAATGACTTGAACATCAGCTGTACAAGAAAAGTATTCTACCTTCACACACAAAAAGTTAAAAAAAAAAAAAAAGACTATTGAACTAAAAACAGTCAACTGTTTACGTATAATGTTAAATTCAGGAGTTCAGTGTTTTACTAATATATCCTGTTTTGAAACCTCTTGTTCGAAAACAAAATGTTTTGAGCAATCAACCAAAATTGTTCCTTTTCTTTTCCTGTAGATGTTCTGACAGATTTGCAGGGCTTTCGGCTCACTGTGCTAGTATGTAAAAAGGTGTTGTTTACACGAGGCAAAGAGAAAACATGCTATTCAGACAGTTGCCAAATAGAATAATTATAGCACAAATACTGTAAAGGTGCCTGGCACCAGCAACCTGAGAAAGTGTTAAAAAAAAAAAAAAAAAAGTGTTACAAGATTTAAAAAAAAACATCTTTGCTAATTTTTTTGTCCTGTTGAACATTCATGGAATTGTTAATATGACTTATATAGACCCACACAGGTTTTATTTTTGTGTCTTTAAAATAAAAGTCCAAAATATTTAAATTTTATGGTCAAATATGCAGTCAACAGCTGCTACTTTTTCTTTATATATTAAATTTCTCATATGTCTTTTATTGTTCTAATAAACCTAAGCTTGTGTGACCTCCAGTGCATATTAGACCATTCACTGTATGAAAGAAAACATGTTGAATAAATTTGTGAGTTTTTAATAAAAATAGAAAATCTGATGTTTAGATAATTGGTGTGTTATTTGATGTTTTCAAAGGGGAACCCTGATGGGGAGCTGAATGGGTCCTCAGAAGCCAGGTGGAAAAGAGAGGCAGGATTGGGATGATATATCTGTTTTTGCCTTGGCTATGGCTGAAACCTTTTGCTAATGCCAGCCAAGCTTTTCTCTGTGGCTTCCTGCTGTTATTAGCTACAGATTTACATCCTGTGGATTTAACTGATACCGTTGAAGAGATGTTTGCTGATAAGTTAATATAGAATTTGAAATAGAAATCAAATCCATGGCTAAAAAATGAGTGGTCCAGGTCTGTGATTAGGCATAAGATCCAAGGCATTCCCTCTTTCACTCTCCCTGCACATGCAAAACTGGGCTTGTATCAGATACTTGTAATACATAGTTAGAGGTGGTCCTTTTCAGTTTCATTTCATTTCCTATAGATAATCCGGCTTTCTAATTTGGTAGTTTGAAAGATAATGTAAAGGCTTTCTAATTTGGTGGTTTGAAAGATAATGTAAAATGAATGTATAGTACAGCTAGAAATGAAATACTTTAATCCCTTTCACAGAACTGATATGAAATTGTTGTTTTATAGTATTTGTTACCTTTGAAGTTCCCCAGAAGGAAAACTATTTTGCCTGGCACAAGATACATATTAAGTTTCTCTGAAAGATGAACAAAAATAACTAATATCAAAATCAAATTTCAACTCAAAAGGTTCTAAAAGTAGCTCGATTCTTTCCAGTCCTTCATTAGACTTGGAAGAAATTTGAATATTTTATCTACTATGAAATATTCTTGTGGATGTGTGTGTGTTTCAGTATCAGATGCTATTAGAGTTCCAGGATTTCTTTTCCATATCACCTAGATTTCACTCTGGATTATTTATTTCCTTATTTAAAAAGTCAAAGGTTTGACATTAAATGGTATATAATTTCCAGTGCTGTTTTCAAATTTTGTTAAGACACAGCCAAGTTTATCTTTCCTGCAGAGAAGGCTTTAAAATAAGCAATATTTCACTGCATCCATATGATGGCTTATCTAATGGGGGAGGAGGCTATCCGGGAGGAATCTGGCAGTGTTCTTTCAGAAATAAAAATGTATGAAATACAGAGGAGACTTTTGAAACTCCCAGCCTCTGCATGCAGCACATTTCTTTATTTGCTTTATATGCAATCACTGGATCGGCTTGTTTTTACCTTTTTAGCATTTATACACATTAAATCCTAGCTAACTTATTCATTATAGCCTCTACTCCCTAGCCCCCTTTAAAGACATTCATTTAAATGAACTGCGCTCACTGGGAAGCTGCATTTTCCTATCAAGGCTGCTGAATTATTTAGCAGCTTTATTGTGCAATCGGGGTATTTGATAAGAAGCGTTTTCGAGTTGGGCACACGATGTGGATTCGATTCTTCTAACAACGTGGTTGTGGCGCAGTCTCTCCCCTCGTCGCGGGATTCAGAATCCTGGCGAAAACCCGAACAGGTGGCAACGCTCAGCAGTCAAATTTGGAGCCGAAGGCCCCAAGGAGGAGGCCTGGAAATGTCAGGGCCTGTTCTCCTTCCCATCAGTGCTGTGCCGCCCACCTCTGGCCCCGAGGTGCGGGGACGTGCGGCACCATACCTAGGCGGAGCTCCCGCAGGAGGCGCAGCAGGAGGGAAGCGCCACTGCAGTCCCCTCTCGCCTGGGAGGGCAGCCTGGTTTCTCCCTGTGGCCATCTTAAAGCCACCACCTCTGTGCCTCTCGCCACCTGCCTTCAGGGTTCCAGCAGCAGGGAGCCACCATCTGCTCTGGCGAGGGAGCTGAAGCTCACCCACCCAACTTCTCCGGGCTGGCTGCCGCTGGTAAGCTGCTCTAGGTGAGGCACTTGGGGAAGTATTACCTGTGGAGAGCCAGGATAGGCATTGCCAGGGCTGGCACCTGAGGGTGGACAGCATCTGAAGAGAGGCAAGTGGGAACTTGGTTTTCCCAAACTCTTGAAACTCCTTGTCAAGTGAGCAGACAGTTGTTTGGGACAATTGGAAAGTGTCACCCCTTGCCCATCCTCTGCTGTGCCTAATCGCCTGCCACTTTGCAGCCCTTGGAGGGCAGGGAGAGGGATTGTGGACTGGGCGCCCCTCCGCCTTCTCTGGAGAAGGCCATTCTGTTAGGGAACTGCTCACCCTTATTCTCCTCTCCCTGTTCCTCTCATCTGCTCTCATCTCTACATCAGTCAGAGGTTGAAACTCCTCGCCACAGTCCACTCTCCATCTCCATCCCTACCCCATCAATAAGCCCTTCCCCCACCATCTCAAGACACTGGAATGCAGGTAGGGAGAGGCCCCCAGAGGGAGTATTTGAGAATTTGCTCCCCTGTCCCTTGCCTCAACTACTCTCAGTTGCATCTTAATTCCTAGAATTACTTCCTCTTCCCTCCACTCCTGGAGTCCTCTTTCTACCTTCAGTATAAGGTCAGGCAAACATTTTGGGGGGCCCTGGGATGTGTGTGACAGTAGAACGGTCTTGATTCCTTGCTAAAATGGCTTCCCAAGTCAGTAGGGACCAGGACAGAGAAGGGAGAGTAAGTAAACAGGTCTATGGCATTTTCTGCTGAGTGTTTGCCCAGCACAGCCCCCAAATTGACCAGCAGTGTCCTGTTTGCATGACAGCTTAGAGGTGGTCTCTGCAGTGACTCACCTCCCTTTCTCTTTTCTTCCTTCTCTTTACCTCAAAGGCCAGGTTTCTAAGCATTGTAAGTACCCAACATAGCAAGGGGATAGGATTGCAGGAGGTAGTTTCTTAAATGTGGGGTGGGAGAAACATTTTTGTCCTTTGAAGCCCCATGGCACCTTGTCAAGGAGCAAGGAACACACTTTTGCTTGGGAGGCCCGGACACAGGCACAAGACTGCAATTATAGAGGATAAACGAAAAACTGTTCTCTTAGGCTAAGCTCTCTTATGGATGGTAAAAAGCCGTTTTCTTCTCCTGAGTGCCCTGCCTAGCCTGGCATTCTTTTCCTTCCATGTCTGAGGGGGTTTACCCTCAGACAGGTTCTCCTTCCCCTCTGCAGCCCTGGTTGTCTTCATTCTTCAAGGGCCACTTTACAGGGACATGGAACAGGCTCCACTAAAGTGGTGTCCTCTTATTGCTCTTGGCCCTGAGGACATATGAAGATTGTGAAAGTCAGAGATCCTCTCTTCCCTTGGTTTTCATGGGAGACAGTAGAGAGCTGAGGGTTCCCCAGTTGTTCAGCTGTGGGATCCAACTGGCCCGGGCTGTACCCAAGGGGCACTGCCACAGTGCACCACTAACATCTCTTTTCTGGATCCTTTTGAGGCAGATTCTGTTTAGAGGGGTCTAGGTCTCTACAGGCAACCTCCAACAGATACCATAAGAATAGACCACTTTGTAGTCACACTTATCATCCCTTATTGCAGTTTCTGTTTACATGTTTGTCTACCCTCCTAGGCTGATTACCGTGGGGGGGAGAATCCAACTTACTTATCTTGTATCTTATCTAGCAGTGCCTGCCACATAGTGGGCAGTCAGGGAATGCTTGATGAAGGAAAGAGGATGTAAAGCGATTGTGTCTTTCCGTGTGCGGGGTGCAATTACATTTATACTATTAAGTCTTTATATTTTGAGTCTGTCCCTCTAACGGTAGACCTGTATTTTTCTGCATTTGTGCACCTGCTTAAGCTGCCTGAGCATGCCCTCATCTCTGAACAGCAAAGATAATCAATACCGAGGGGTATGCAGTGGAGTAATCCACACCCCACCCCCTTTCCCTTGCTCAGGCAAGGGTACTTAGAGACGCTACTGAAACTATCTTTAGCCACAGCGATTCCTAAGTATTCCCATTAAGAAAGACGCCAGCAGTCCGCCACACACTTACACGTGCATATCCCTGACATAGGATTCCCAAATCCTGGCCGCTGAAGGGCGGGAGGCGTGTGCCCGGCCTCAGACTACTATAAATTGCGAAATGACAAACCTGCTTTGGGTCCCAGTCTCTGCGTGCCCGAGTGCGCACCCGCGATTCGAGCAGCTTAAGCCCTACTCCCTCCTCCTTCCCAAATCAGCCACCGTGGGCCACGGCTACGCTATGCTTTATTCCTAAGCGAATCTCGCACAAATCTCGAGGCATATTTTGTACAAGGGGACACTGGCCGCGCGCATCGCAATCGCATCTCAGCGACAGAAGCGGTCACGTGCCTTGGCGCGCTTCCGCACCGCCCCTTCCCGCGCACTCGCACGCGCACGCGCACACGCGCCCATACGGCTCCAATCCCTTCAACCTTCTGCGCGCTTCCGCCTTCATGCTAGCAACGCCCGCAGTGACGCGCAGGCCCCGCCCCCTCCCGCGCGCCTCCCGGAAGTGGCCGGTCCAGAGCTGTGGGGTGGCCTCCGCGCGGTCTCTGGCGGAGTCGGGGAATCGGATCAAGGCGAGAGGATCCGGCAGGGAAGGAGCTTCGGGGCCGGGGGTTGGGCCGCACATTTACGTGCGCGAAGCGGAGTGGACCGGGAGCTGGTGACGATGGCGGGGCCGCAGCCCCTGGCGCTGCAACTGGAACAGTTGTTGAACCCGCGACCAAGCGAGGCGGACCCTGAAGCGGACCCCGAGGAAGGTGAGGCCGGACTGGGGCAGGCCACGTGCGGAGCGGTGGGCCAGGCCCTGTGGGGCAAGGGGGCGGCGTGGGAGGGGCGTGCGCGAGGCCGCCGGGCCTGCGCTCCTTCGCTTGGCGCAGAGGAACGTCGCCTCCCGCGAGGGTGGTCCCGGCCTCGGGAGGAGGGCTTCGGCTTCTTTTCACACGCACTCGAAACTTGGTGCTCGGCTGGATGGGCGGAACAGATCGAGGGCTCAGGCCGAGAGGAGCTGGTCTTCAGGTTTACTTGCTCCAGGCCTGTTGGAGGGAGCCAGAGAGTCTGCTAGCAAGTTGGAAGTTAGCTTTGAGGATGCCCTTTCTGGTATTGCGTTAGAAAGGAGGAGAAGAAAGTCGCATGTTTTTAATTCAGGTTGCCCTTCAAAACTAAGTTGGAGACTGATGGAAGGATTTTCTGGTGCTGTTTAAGTCTCTTGAAGTCTCAAGACACTTGTTCAGTGGCTGACGACTGAGACTCCTGTTCTGTAAGCTGATGTTCAGAGTCTAGCTGGGAGTAATCCCGCTTTAGACTTGAGTCGGAAGTGTGAGAAAGGGATAATAAGGAGGGATAAATGCGAGTGCTGAACCGTATCTTAGGAAGATCAGTTGAAGAAACTCGGGACTGTTTAGCCAGAATAAGCAAAGAAAACTCCCCAAAGAATGGGACAGAGTGAGGGGAGAACGTGATGACTGATTTAAGATATTGGAGCGACTGTCACACATTGAAGAGGAATTCAACTAGTTTGATAGGATCCAAGTCATAGAAATAGATCCCACTAGTAGATGCCAGGAGTCAACTTTCTGTTTAGAAACAGCAGTAAGACAGTGTTCTACTTTGGGAGAGAGTGAATTTCCTATTCCTGGAAGTTGGTGGGGATTTCGTAAAGGACGTTCAACTATGAGATAAATGGGTCGACCAGGGTTCCCGTTAAAGTTTCTGCTAACCTGGAGATTCTGTTTACTTTTCCCTCTCCCCCGACAGCCACTGCTGCCAGGGTGATTGACAGGTTTGATGAAGGGGAAGATGGGGAAGGTGATTTCCTAGTAGTGGGTAGCATTAGAAAACTGGCATCAGCCTCCCTCTTGGACACGGACAAAAGGTATTGCGGCAAAACCACCTCTAGAAAAGCATGGAATGAAGACCATTGGGAGCAGACTCTGCCAGGATCGTCTGGTGAGTAGACATTTTTGAATGGAACTCTTCTCTTCCCTAATTTTTTCAGGGTTAAAATCCTCCGGTCATCCCCCATGATCTTTGCAAGAGTAGTCTGCGGATCTTTTTTTTGAGACAGAGTTTGGCTCTTGTTGCCCAGGCTGGAGTGTGATGGCGCCATCTCGGCTCACCGCAACCTCCACCTCTGGAGTTCAAGCGAGGCTCCTGCCTCAGCCTCCCGAGTAGCTGGGATTACAGGCATGCACCACCACGCCCGGCTAATTTTGTATTTTTAGTAGAGACGGGGTTTGTCCATGTTGGTCAGGCACCCCTATCTGTTATCTTAGGAGAGACCATTGATTTGGTATTAGAAAGGGTCTTAGAGGTTACTTCATTTCACTTCATAAGGAATCTAAAGCCCAGAGTGATTAAGTTGCTATACTCCTTATGTTCGGACTAATGGCTCACCCTACAGTGGAGTGACAGAGAAGGCAGTGCATTTTGGCTACTGGAGAGGGTTATGAGCTGAAAAACCACTGTGTCTGATGAACATGTTATCCTTGAATTGTGACCCCTGACCTTTGGTTTTCCAGGACTTGCATTGAAGCACTGTGTGATATTAGTTATTTGTGAAACTCATTTTTTGCCATTCTAAAAAATCACATAATCCTTCTCTTCCCTGCAAAAGAGTTAGGAGTCTGTGCGCTTATAGTTTTAAAGAATTGTAAATTTCTCAGAGTGGAAGAAGGGGCTAGATATGGTGATTATTGGGAGAATGTCATTTGTTTTCCTTTAGAAAGGTCAGGGGTGTCATGTTGAGAATCCACAGATAATATAAAAGGAACTATCATTTAGGTTATGATATCTATGATTTAGTCCTTGATGTAGTTCTGGGAGCTCCTGATAAGCTCATTTCATATTCTTTGCCTAGAGACTGATAAAGGGACCAATCATGAGACAAATATGATAATATTTATTGAGTTCTTACCATGCGTCAGGCACTGAGTTTAGCTCTATAATTTAAGTTCTAAGAGCCTGGGACACAGTAAGTCCTCAAAAAAAAAATTATAAAATTACCTGGAATTAGACAGATTTTTATAAAAAATTATCACCATTATCACTACATGTGTCACCTAATTTAATCCTCCCAATTGCGCAGGAAGTTATTACTACTTAGCCCCATTTTACAGATAAGGAAATCGAGGGGCAAATTGGTTACATAAGTTTGCTCAAGGTCATATAGTTAGTAAGTGGAAGAAACATGATTCAAATGTAGGCTGTCTGACTCCAAGATGTACACTCTAGTAAACTCTGTATGAATGTTTCTTAATCTGAGAAATGGCGTACATTCAAAGAATTTAAATAATAATTTCTGTTTACTGTTTTGGCACTTAGTTTTTGTATTTATATTTTTGGCAGCTTTGTGTCTTAAGTTTATATATACCTTTTTAAAGAAGCGCTGAAGACCTGTCACGCTTTCCTAAAATCTTTATTTTATTGAAGAAAGTTTTTGGAAACTGGTCCCTCTATCTTAGAATCATACTTGAAACACATGGGGCTTTTATGTTCTACCATGGAACAGATTGGATAAACTGTAAAAACCTCTACATATCAGATGATACTCTAAGCATAAGTCAAACAAAGAGCCTTAACTAGCACTCTGTCTACTATAGGATCAAGTTCAGAGTCCTCATGAAAGACGAGACCTTTCCTGATTAGTCTCATCTCCCATCACTTCCTTGTGCATCCTGCACTCCAGTGCGTTTTCCCTTCATTATCTATGAGCTGTTGCCTTATGCTTCATAAGTAAAATTATAATGTCTCCTTCTCCACATGATACCATCCCCCACCTTTCCAGGAGAGTTAGGTGGTTCCATCTCCATACACTGTGTACTAATGACCTTGTAATATAATTATTGGCATGCATATCTACCACTCCCACCAGACCATGAACTCCTCCCAGCAAGTATTAAATTCTATTTGCCTTTCCTTAGCCCCTGGCTCATAATGAGTGCTTAATAAGTATTTAGTAAATAGGGCAGACGGATGTGATAGATTGTACATTTTTTCAGATCAGGTTTGGGAAAACTGGTAATTCTCTAACACCAGTTGAAATCTTACTGTTCTTCAAGGGCCAGAGCAAATGCTAGCTCTTCCTTAGAGATTAGCTTAAATTCACTTGCCCCACAGTTAAAATTTCTCACTCTTCTGGGTTATTGAAATTTTGTCAAAGCACTTCTGATGCTTCCTTGAGTTGTAATGTTGTGAGTCTGTCTTTCCCACTAGCTCCTTTTGTTAGGGTAGGACCCGTGTTCTATTCATCTTTGCTTCTCCCTTAGCATTTTGGAGATTGTAGATGTGTAATAAATATATTGTTGAATTGAGTGCAGTAAGAGATTTTCCCCCTGATGCCACAGTGCTTAAGTTGAAATGAAGTCTATGGCTTGGTATTTTCTCCAGGTAATACCCATTTTTCTCTTTCTTCCCTCTCTTCTTTGTAGATGAGGAAATATCTGATGAGGAAGGGTCTGGAGATGAAGATTCAGAGGGACTGGGTCTGGAGGAATATGATGAGGACGACCTGGGTGCTGCTGAGGAACAGGAGTGTGGTGATCACAGGGAGAGCAAGAAGAGCAGAAGCCACTCTGCAAAAACACCGGGCTTCAGTGTCCAGAGTATCAGTGACTTTGAGAAATTTACCAAGGGAATGGATGACCTTGGGAGCAGTGAGGAGGAGGAAGACGAAGAGAGTGGCATGGAAGAAGGGGATGACGCGGAAGACTCCCAAGGCGAGAGTGAGGAAGACAGGGCTGGAGATAGAAACAGTGAGGATGATGGTGTGGTGATGACCTTCTCTAGTGTCAAAGTTTCTGAGGAAGTGGAGAAAGGAAGAGCCGTGAAGAACCAGATAGGTTTGTACATGGTTTTGCTGATTGCCTGTTTTTCAAAGTATCTGCATTTGGTCTACTTTTCATTTGTTTGTTTTTGGCTATTCTCTATCTCCTGTGTCCTTTCAATTAGTTTGTGACATGCCCCACTTACCCAGAAGCCTAAAGCCCTATTCCTGTATGCTTAGCCAGCCATTTCTGCACTGATCTGCTTAGCTGGTTCTGCTCTAGTACTTCCTGCAACTGGGGAAGATTGAAGAGAAGAGTGTTTTCTCCTCTCCTTGGGTTTTAGCATTCCCACTCTGCTGTAGCAAATACTTGCTTCATGGATACTGAATTTATTTTCTCTAATAGAGAATATTTGTTTCCATGGCATTAAACTGCTAAAGCTGTGGTGCTTAGAGACTGGTGTGGTTTCCTGTTCTTCCCCACCCCTGCCACCTCACCCCCAGAATATTTTATTATTGAGGAATGGGATTCTCTTTTCTTCTTTTCAGCACTGTGGGACCAGCTCTTGGAAGGAAGGATCAAACTACAAAAAGCTCTGTTGACCACCAACCAGCTTCCTCAACCAGATGTTTTCCCATTGTTCAAGGACAAAGGTGGCCCAGAATTTTCCAGTGCCCTGAAAAATAGTAAGAATACTTATGTCCTGTTGGAATACTTAGAACCACTTTGTCAAATGAAGACAGCTTTGATTGAAGTGGACTGGGAGCTTGAGCCATGTTTATTGTGCTTTCTTCTCATCTGCCCTTGCTCTCCCCTCCCCATCCCCCTTGGCTTTCCAAGTTGCTTTTTTTTTTTTTTTTTTTTGAGACAGAGTCTCGCTCTGTTGCTGAGTCTCAAGTACAGTGGCGCGATCACAGGTTACTGCAGCCTCGTCCTCCTGGGCTCAAGCAATCCTCCCACCTCAGTGATCCTCCCACCTTAGCCTTCCGAGTAGCAGGGACCACAAGCGTGCACCACCCTGCCTGTAGAGAGGGATATTTTGTAGAGACAGGGTCTCACTGTGTTGTCCAGGCTGGTCTCAAACTCCTGGCCTCAAGCAATCCTCCCACCTTTGCTTCCCAAAGTGCTAGGATTACAGATGTGACCTACTGAGCCTGGCCCTGAGTTAATTCTTTAAAGCTCAGGGGACACTGGTTGAAAACCCACTGATGTAGAAAGGGAGAAAAAGAATGTCTAATTCAGCTCATTAAACTTGGTTGTATCATGTGTTTAAAAGATGCTTCCTATGTTTGAGAGGTTTTTAGAACAATGTGCTAAGATGATCTTATTTATATCTTTCTTTGAGTGACATAGAGTGAGGAAAGATGATATGCCGAGGGAGAAACACATTTTAGAGGAGAATTACTGAGCTATAAAGAATTCTAGAAGAGGAAAAGGAATTGAGAGACTATTTGGTTCCCAATGTCTTCATTTTACACATGAGAGAATTAAGACCCAGAATGACTTGCCCAAAGTTGCAGAGCTTATTTGTGTATGGCGGAGATGAGGCTCCAACTTTTCTACCTTATGATGTAGGAATCTTCCCTCTGCACCACACTGCCTCCTGTGTGCTGCTTGCCTGTGTGCCCAGTGGCACTGAAGGACTGGGGCAGAGGGAGATTTAGGGTGAGTGTGCTGTGTTTGGGATCTGTATATATCTATATCTAGATATTCAGAGTCCTCATGAAAGAGATATCTATATCCATAGATATAGATATATATGTATAGATTATGTATCTATCTCTCTATATATATATTTGGGAGGCCTTGGCCTCCCAAAGTGTTGGGATTACAGGCATGAGCCTCTGCGCTCAGCTGAGATCAATATGTCTTACTTGCATGCTGAGACTTCATGTTTTCATTTGCTCTTTAAAACTTATTTTTTTAGTATCATGGAGTTAGAGTTGGAAGGGACCTGAGGAGGATATCTAATTTGGCATCTGCCTGTAGGTAGAACCGCCTTAAGACATTCAAGATCAATGTGTAGGATTTCCCAGGTAGGGAGTTCAGTGAACGTTTCTTGTAGGTGAATACCTGATGTAATTAGGAATGGCTTCCTAGAGTCCAGTTTTTGGGTTTTGTGTCCCGCCACACTTAAAGTCTGCTTCTTCCCCTGTGGGAAGTCTGGGCAGTCCTTCCCAGGAGCCTTACGTGGCCTGTGTGGGTGAGGTGGGCCATTTATATCCCCGCCCCTGTCTTTGCCTCCTTTCTCTCTCAAATAGATGACAGATTGATGGTTTTCAAGTTTTTTGAGATTTTTGGAGCACTTCTCTGCTATTTTTAGTGTCCTAGTACCCTAATTCCTGGTATGCCTTTGGAATGAGACCTAGACTGCTCTAGATTAAATGTTTTAAATGTTTCACGATAAGGCCTGTTTTCATTTTGTTACTCATTATTCTTTTTGCTTGAGCCTTTTTCATTTTAAAAAATTCATATTTAAATATAGATATTTTAGGGGTTAGTCAGTGTCCAGTATAATGGACACATATTCTTGGATACGATTTAATTTCTTTTTGTTATGAGACAGGGTCTTGCTCTGTTGCCCAGGCTGGAGTGCAGTAGCGTGATCATAGCTCGTTGCAGCTTCGAACTCTTGGGTTCAAGTGATCTTCCCGCCTCAGCCTCCTGAGTAGCTGGTACTACAGGCATGAGCCACCATGCCCGACTAATTTTTTCTTTTTTTGTGGAAATAGGGTCTCACTATGTTGACCAGGCTGGTCTCAAAACTCCTGGTTTCAAATGATCCTTCCGTGTCAGCCTCCCCAAAATGCTGGGATTACAGGTGTGAGCCACCATACTCAACTCATTTAGTGTCTTTAATCACTGCAGTGTTATTTAACTTTTATTTTGTTCTGATCTTTTTACTCTTTTTTGTACTTAACCAATTGCCTTTACCTCATTGATGAACCTCAATTAATCTGACAGCATCTATTAATCTGACAGGGTGGGTTGTGGTGGAGGAGGGAGAAGAAAGGAAGTTTGGTATCACATATTCTAAGGTGGGAGGGTAGGGAGTTTTCAAGTAATGAGCTGTGCATTTGAAGAGTAGCTAATTTTTCTTGTGGCAATATGACATAATATGTTGTATACTCCCCTGTCTTGATAAACAGACTTTAAGAAAAAAATTCTTGGCCGGGTGCAGTGGCTCACGCCTGTAATGCCAGCACTTTGGGAGGCCGAGGTGGGCTGATCACCTGAGGTCAGAAGTTTGAGCCCAGCCTGGCCAATGTGGTGAAACCCCGTCTCTACTGAAAATACAAAAATTAGCCAAGTGTGGTGGCAGGTGCCTGTAATCTCAGCTACTCGGGAGGCTGAGGCAGGAGAATTGCTTGAACCTGTGAGGCGGAGGCTGCAGCGAGCCAAGATTGTGCCATTGCACTCCAGCCTGGGCAACAAGAGTGAAACTCCGTCTCAAAAAAAAAAAAAAAGTTCTTGGCCGGGCACGGTGGCTCCCGCTTATAATCCCAGCACTTTGGGAGGCTGAGGCAGGCGGATCACTTTAGGTCAAGAGTTTGAGACCAGCCTAGCCAACGTGGTGAAATCCCATCTTTAATAAAAATAAAAATATTAGCCAGGTATGGTGGTACACACTTGTAGTCCCAGCTACTTGGGAGGTTGAGGCAGGAGAATCACTTGAACCCGGGAGCAAAGGTTGTAGTGAGCTGAGATCGTGCTAGTGCACTCTAGCCTGAGCGACAAGAGCGAAACTGTCCCCCCCGAAAAAAAAAAGAGAGAGAGAGAGAAAATTCTTGAGCACATTACTCTGGATGACCAATTTATTACTGTGCTGTATAGCTGGTGTGGAACATAGGCTGAATTTGTACCAACCCCAGAACAACCACTGGAACTTACTGTCTTTAATTAAATCTCTTTTCAATTTGCTTGGTCTTACAGAGTAGTTAAAGTCAGACCGGCTTGGTTTAGATTTCATCTCAGCAATGGATTAGCCATGTGACCTTGGGCAAGTTACTTAACTTCACAGTAAAATGGGGATAATATGGTTGTGAGGATTAAAGGACATAATCAATAGAAAGCATTAGCACAGTGTCTGGCACACATCTCACCATGAATGTTAGGTACTAATATTATCTTTTTCTGCTCAAAGAGGCATTTGGCAGTGTTCGACCATGTGAGCAATCACTCAATAGTTATCAGTGTAACTGAGCCTCACTAGTCTTCAGTGTTTTTTACTTTTTTATTAGTATTTGGATTCTTTATATAATTTAAATTAACTAATTGTTCTGGAAAGTGTTATAGTTTACTAATACTTACAATGCAGTGTTGGCCTCTTACGACGCTATGGAAAGATGGCTACAGATTTCCTTATTGCTATACCCAGCTACTACCTCCTTGAAGCGTTTAACTTTTCCTTGAAATACTTTTCTTTGGCTTGGTGACACTACCTGTGCTGTTTGGGTTCTCCTACCTTTCTGATCTCTTCTCTGGTTCCTTTTGTATCCTCTCAATGTAAATTTCATTCCGTTTAGAATCCTGTCCTCAGGTTGCGTTTTCTCAATATAGTCTCTCCTTGGCACTGTCACTTACTCTGATAACCCTAACTATTGCCTCTAAAATAACAGACTTCCAGCTGTATTCTAGCTCCAGTAAACTCCTGAGTACCATGCCTTTGTAGCTTCAGCACCCTAAACTCTACTTTTCAGAAACTAAATGAATATCTCCTTCCTCTCCACACACCACCCCAAACACGTAAACTTAGTCCCCAGTCACCTTGGTGTTACATGTTGGTAATTTAAACTTGAACTGTGGAAGTGATTTCAAAGACATCGTCTGATATTTTAGTGGCTGCATAAGTGGTAAGTCATGGAGTAATCTTAACAAAATTAAGGGATTTTCTGTGCACAAAACCATTTCTCTAAAAGGGTTTGCTTTTTCTCTCTTTCTTTTTTTTCTTTTTTTTTTGAGATGGAGTCTCTCTCTGTCACCCAGGCTGGAGTGCAGTGGTGCGATCTCAACTCACTGCAACTTCTGCCTCCCAGGTTCAAGCGATTCTCCTGTCTCTGCCTCCTGGGTAGCTGGGACTACAGGCGCATGCCACCACACCCGGCTAATTTTTGTAATTTTTTTTAGTAGAGATGGGGTTTCACCATGTTGGCCAGGCTGGTCCTAAACTCCTGATCTTGTGATCCACCCACCTTGGCCTCTCAAAGTGCTGGGCTTACAGGTATGAGCCACTGTGCCTGGCCTTCTCTCTTTTAGAATTTCTACTGTATTAGGAAATACATCTTTTATGTTGGTGGCAATGATATGTAAGGAAGAAGGGAAGTTACTTAAGGAAATCTCACCATGAGTTATTTAAAACTTTTCATTATGGGATATATCAAACTTATATAAAAGTAGAGAAATAGCACAGTGAACCCCCACATGCCTTCACCAGCTTAAGCAATAATCAATTCATGGTCAATCTTATTTCATCTGTAGTTGTACCAACTCTGCTCACCTTCTGGATTATTTTGAAGCAAATAATACACATTCTCTCATCAGTAAAATTTTCAGCATGTATGTTCAAAAGATAAGGATTTTAAAAAATTATACCATAATCTCATGTAAAAACATTAACAGTAATTTCTTAATAAACATAACTGGCCTGGTGTGGTGGCTCATGCCTGTAATCCTAGCACTTTGGGAGGCCAAGACAGGTGGATCACCTGAGGTCAGGAGTTCGAGGCCAACCTGACCAACATTATGAAACCCCGTCTCTACTGAAAATACAAAAAATTAGCTGGGTGTGGTGGCGGGCACCTGTAATTCCAGCTATTCAGGAGGCCAAACAGGAAAATCTCTTAAACTCGGGAGGTGGAGGTCGCAGTGAGGCGAGATTGCGCCACTGCACTCCAGCCTGGGCAACGAGCAAAACTCCGTCTCAAAAAAAACAAACATACAGACTGGGTGTGGTGGCTCATGCCTGTAATCCCAGCACTTTGGGAGGCCAAGGTGGGCAGATCACCTGAGGTCCGGAGTTCAAGACCAGCCTGGCCAACATAATGAAACACCGTCTCTACAAAAGTACAAAAATTAGCCAGGCATGATGGTGGGTTCCTGTAATCCCATCTACTCAGGAGGCTGAGGTGGGAGAATTGCTTGAACCCAGGAGGCAGAGGTTACAGTGAGCAGAGATCATGCCATTGCACTCCAGCCTGGGTGACAGAGCGAGAGTCTGTCTCAAGAAAACAAACAAACCAACAAACAAAAAACATGACTGATTTGGATGGGTGGGAAAATTGTAAGTAAATGTCTTTTTTGTTTTTTTTCTTTTCTTTAAGGCAAAAGGTCCTAGAGAGTATTTCTGTAACGGGTACTCTACTGTCTTTTTCAGAGTTTGCTCTATAGCTTTAAATGAAGTGATTAAAGGAAAGCTAAACTTCAGTCATAATAAGTTGACCTTTTAGTGCAATGCATGTTATTAATGTATTTAATGAGATGCATTACAAACTGCAGTGAGCACCATGTTTCATTACAGGTCTAAAATGCAATATCATTAAAGACCTTTAATAGAAACAATGGTTGTCATTTTGATATTTCCCGTAAGCAAAACATCCAAGAACACAGCATAATGTAATATAAATACAGAGAAAGTATTAAGATTTTTTACTTTCCTAAGAGTATGAAAACAGATTTCACTATTAATAAATTATATTTTGTTTGCACCCTGTTATCTTCCCATTTCATACTTACACTCTCATATCTTTGTGGTCCTTGCCCAAAAGCCCCAATTATTTTGACTTGACTAGACTAAAATTTTTTTCCCCCCCCGAGATGGAGTCTTGCTCTGTCGCCGAGGCTGGAGTGCAGTGGTGCGACCTTGGCTCACTGCAACCTCTGCCTCCCGGGTTTAAGTGATTCTCCTGCCTCAGCCTCCGGAGTAGCAGGGAGTACAGGCATGCAGCACCACGCCCAGCTAATTTTTGTATTTGTAGTAGAGACGAGGTTTCACCATATTGGCCAGGCCGGTCTTGAACTCCTGACCTCAAGATCCACCCGCCTCGGCCTCCCAAAGTGCTGGGATTACAGGCATGAGCCACTGCACCCGGCTAGACTAAAATTTTTAATGGTAATTTGTCCTCAGCAATAATAGATACCTTAAATAATAATGTTTTAAATTTTGCGTAAGCTGTGGGAAATCATGGAGTCTTGATAATGTTTTGTTTTTAAAGTTTTACTTATTTTTAAGTAGGCAGTACATTCACATAGTTCAAAATTCAAAAATACTAAAGACTATATATACAGTGATAATCCTGTACCCCTGCCGCCCAGTACCCTGTCCCACAGGCAACCAATTTTATCACTGAAATCCCCCCCTTTTAAATTACTTAGTTGCCTTAGGTGACAAATCCATAAATGATTATTTCGGAGTTCTCTCAGTTAACACTTTATGGGTTCTTGGCAAAGTTCTCACAATGTTCTGTAGAACCTTGAAATATTTTTAATTACTTGGGATGGGTTTAAGTATTGCTTGGGATAAAGGCACTTGCAACCCCCTCTAATTGTAACATTGTGTAGGCTTAAGGACCCTTATTGCTGCAGACTTCATCTAGCCAAGATGATGTGAGTAAGATTGATCTTTTTGCTTCAGCTGATGGCTATCATTTTTTAAAATAGCTTCAGTGTTCTAATTATAAAAGTATGTCATGCTTATTTCAAAGATCGGAAAATACATAGAAGCATAAAGAAGAAAATAAGGATTAGCTGTAATCCTACTGCCCAGAGATAACCATAGTTGTCATTTTGATGAATATCCTTCCAGACCTTTTCGCGTGCACACACACACACACCACACACTTTTTAAAACAGAAAATGGAATCATATAAGTATGTACTATTTTCAAGCTTATTTTTCCTACTTAATATTTCATGTCAGTATATTTAGATGTACATCAGCATTTTTAGGAGTTGAAGTATTCCTTTTTATAGATTTACTGCAATTTAGTTAACCAATCTGTATTGATGGGTGCTTAGGTTTATTCTAGCTATTCACTTGTATAAAACATGCTTTAATAAACATCCTTGTACATACATATTTGTGCAGTTTGTCTAAAAATAGCACTGTCCAGTAGAAATATAATGCAAGCCACATGTAATTTAAAATTTTTTAATAACCACATTTTAAAAAAGAAACAGTTAAAATTAATTTTAGACATATTGAACCCAATATATCAAAGATATTATAATTTCAATATGTGATCAATATAAAAATCTTAATGAGATATTTTACATTCCTTTTTTCATGTTAAGTCTTTGAAATCCAGAGTATATTCTATAATCACAGTTCATCTCAATTGGGACTAGACACATTTTGAGTGCTTAGTAGCCACGTGTAGCTAGTGGATACTGTATCATATTGCCCAGATCTATATTCCCTGGAAATGTAGTTGCTGGGACAAAGGACTTGTACATTGATTTTTTTTTTTTTTGGAGACAGAGTTTTCACTCTTGTCGCCCAGGCTGGAGTGCAATGGCAGGATCTCGGCTCACTGCAACCTCTGCCCCGCCGGGTTTAAGCAATTCTCCTGCCTCAGCCTCCTGAGTAGCTGGGATTACAGGCATCCACCACCGTGCCTGGCTAATTTTTGTGTTTTTGGTAGAGACTGGGTTTCACTGTGTTGGCCAGGCTGGTTTTGAACTCCTGACCTCAGGTAATCTGCCTGTCTCAGCCTCCCAAAGTGCTGGGATTACAGGCGTGAGCCACGGTGCTGGGCCTTGTACATTGTTTTTTTAAAAAGGCTTTTGGAATATATTGCCTAACTAGCCCCTGGAAGAATTGTAACAATTTAAATTCTCATCTGTAACAGTTGTTTTCCTACACTCCTGCCTCCACTAGGTATTATTGATCTTCTTTTTGCTAAACTGTAGGTGGGAAATGAAGGCAATCATTTCTTGATAAGTTTCTGTTTGGTATTTACATAATACCTGTTAGCACTGAAATAACATATGCAGTGTTTTATCTATTTATTAGAGAGTGAGTTCTGTGTAGGAAGACTTTTTGTCCCTTTTGAGCTACTACTTTGTCCAACTTAGTTAATTAGGCATTTATATAATGTAGAGAGTAAAGCTGGATCACAGAGCAAGAACTTTTCCAAAGTCACCAAGTGGTGGAATGAGGAGGGGAGTGTCAGATTCTTATGCACTGATTCTACCTACCCTAAGAGTATAAGCCCTAAATGGGTCACAGACCTGTGTGAGCTAAGGGCAGCTTAAAAACTACTGATACCAATCTAGCTAGAAAATGCATTTCACTGTTTTGGGGTTGGGTTTCTTAGGAGTGAGAGTTGTCTTCAGCATCAGAAACAATTTTTTTTTTTTTTTGACTGCTCCATAGACAGAGCAGGGCTATCCCATAGGCAGAGTGGCCCAGAGTAGCTCAGAAAAATAATTTTTAATAGTAATGAGTTAGATAAGAAAGTAGCCCTGACTTGGAGTAGCTAGTAGCTCCATAGTAGGATCACTGTGTCACTATATTCATGGTGAAGTTGTACATATCATTGCACAATGGAACCTCTTTATATGTACATTTAATTAACTCAAACGTAACTATATGTGCCTGGCCAAAAGAAAAAGAGGGAGAGGCTGGGCACTGTGGCTCATGCCTGTAATCCCAGTACTTTGGGAGGCCGAGGCAGGCGAATCACCTGAGGTCAGGTGTTCGAGACCAGTTCAACATGGTGAAATCCCCTCTCTATTAAAAATACAAAAAATGAGCCGGGAGTGGTGGCGGATGCTTGTAATCCCAGCTACTCGGGAGGCTGAGGCAGGAGAATCGCTTGAACCCGGGAGGTGGAGATTGCAGTGAGCCAAGATCGCACCATTGCACTCCAGCCTGACAAGAGCAAAACTCTGTCTCAAACAAAACAAAACAAAACAAAAACCAAGGAGAGAGAAACTGTTTATATAGTGCCAATAATTCTGCCTGCCACTTTATTCAGTGAGCGTAGGGTATGCATGAGATGGCAGGTGGATTCTTTTATTGCCTTGGTTATTTTTTGTTCTTGGGTACCTCTTTAGTGAGCATCGATCAACAGAATATCAATCTAGTGCTTAAAGTTACAACATGCAGTCTTTGTACAGGACGGTCCCTAAATTGAATCATCTGTGTTTAATTGACAAAGTGCTGTATGGGCTAATGTTAGAGGGGAAAGACTGGCTGTGTTGAACTTATTGAAAGATAGCACAATGCCACACATTATGTACAATATAAGGGATTTTCAAAGTGGTTTTGTCAAAACTTGATTTTTTGCTTTATGCTTAGACTTTAGAACCCAACTGCTGCATAAGATGATACTCTATTGTTTATGTCTTAAAACCTGTTCTTAAATTGTTTTTTTAAAATCACACAGGAGTAAGATAAATATACAGAAGCCTTCAGGAAGACAGTACTCCTTTGACTGACATTCAGTCTCATTTTATTTGTTTTACTTCTGTAACTTTAGATAATTTCTTTATATCTCTGTCTTGATTTATTTATTCTCTGATATGAAAGGTGAGACTGCTGCTAATGGAAGTAAGATGGGGATTGAGAACTGACTTATCTAGCAACATGGTGGGCATCCTTGACCTTGATGGAGTTTGGCAGGCTAGTAGGCTTACAGGCTTGACTGGAATGGGTTTAAGAGAGAATGGAGTGGCTGGGCACAGTGGCTCACGCCTGTAACCCTAGCACTTTGGGAGGCCAAGATGGGCAGATCACTTGAGCCCAGGAGTTCAGGACCAGCCTGGGCAACACAGTGAGACCCTGTCTCAATTTTTAAAAATTAATTTTAAAAAAGAAACAAAAAAAGAGAATGGGGAAAATGAAATAGTAAAGTATAGGCAACTCTTTGAAGGGTTGTTGCTTTAAAGGGGAGCAGAGAAATGGGGCATTGGATGGTGAAGGATGTGGTCAAAAGAGGGGTGTTTTGCTTTTTTTTTTTTTTTTTTTTAAGGTGAAGTATCAGCGTGTTTGCATGTTGATAGGAGTGACCCAGCAGAGAGGGGGAAATTGATGATGCAGGAGAGGGGGACATCTGTTGTCACAGTGTCCTATAGTGGGTGAGTGGGGATGGAGTGGAGATGGGCCAGTGCACAGGAGTGCCTTAGATAGCAATGTGGACCATCTCATGGTGGCGGGTGCCTGTAATCCTAGCTACTCAGGAGGCTGAGGTAGGAAAATCACCTGAACCCAGAAGGTGGAGGTTGCGGTGGGCCAAGATTGCGCCACCGCACTCCAGCCTGGGTGAAAGAGCAAGACTGTCTTTAAAACAAAACAAAACAAAAACCAATAAACTGCATTTACAGTGTATTACCATGTAAATAAGGTAGACTACTAGGACAGGGAAGAATTGGAAAATTGTGTTTTCTTCCCTGTTTTTTCAGTCATGGCTCCTAGGCCACTCAAAGGAGAATATTCCTAGTTTAGTTCAAGTTTTTAGTTGCTCTCCATTACCTGCTTAAAATCATGCTATTTTCAGTTCGCTTCCTATTTATTTATTTTTTCCCTTTTGCCCCCCTCCCCCCCACTGTAGCTCAGTTTTATCATCTCAATCCTTTTTTTCCTAAACTTTACATCATGCCATCTCTTGTGTTAAATTTTCCATTTTGAGCTGGTTGTTCTCTAGGAGTAGTGCACAGCTGTGCTCTTGGGCCTTTCATTGCTCTTCTGGGGAGAGCTACCGCTTTCGGGTTTTCAGGCTCTCTTTTGTTATCTCAGTTTACTGTCAGTTTGCTGCCAAACATGCATCCAGAGTAAGTTATCTGAGTTCTTGTAGGTTTGAAAATACTGTGCCCTCATTCCTCATTGATGTATTCTTGTTTGATTGGGTAGACCTTTCTAGATTGAAAATTACTTTCCCTCAGAATTAGAAAGTATTGCCTGTTACTGGTTTCCTCTTGCTGCTGTAACAAATTACCGCAAGCTTGGTGACTTAACAGCACACATTGATTATCGTATCGTTCTGGAGGTCACAAGTCCTAAAATCAAGGTGTCAGCAGGGCTTTGTTCCTGGAGGCTCTAGGGGAGAAATCTGTTTGCTTGCCTTTTCCAGCTTTTATAGGCGGCCACATTCTTTGCTCATGGTCCTCTTCCATCTTTAAAACCAGCAATTCCATCTCTCCAACCTCTCCTTTCCTGACTCTGACCCTATTGCCTTCCTCTTATAAGGACCCTTGAGATCACATTGGACCACCTGGCTTATCCAGGATAATCTCAAGATCCTTAATTATATCTGCAAAGTCCTTTTGACTTTTTAATATGTTACTGACAAAGCCACATTCACATGTCTGGGGTTTAGGATGTAGATATCTTTGGGGGACCATTATTCAGCCTACTATGTGCCTTATTGTCTTCTACCATCCCAGTGTTTTCCAGTGACAAGGTATGAATCTCATTCCTTTGTAGATGACTTATTTTTGGTCTCTGGACATGTTTGGGATCTTCTCTTCATTATTTTTTCTTGTATTTTTATTTTTTATTGAGAGAGGGCCTTCATCTCTTGCCCACGCTGGAGTGTGGTGGTGCAATCATGGCTCACTGCAGCCTCGAACTCCTGGGCTCAAGTGACCCTTCCACTTCAGCCTCCCAAGTAGCTGGGCCTCAGGTGCGTGCCACCACGTCCAGCTAATTTTTTTCTTTTTTCTTTTTTATAGAGATGGGGTCTTGCAGTGTTCCCCAGGCTGTCTTTATTCTTGATTTTCTGAAATTGCCTGAAGAGATGTCTAAGTATGGGTCATTTTTTATTTATTATGCTAAACATTTACCTTAGTAAGTATGAAGACTGGGGTCCTTCAGTTTTGGGAAAATCTTTTCTAATATTTCTTTAATAATTTTCTTCCTTCCATTTTCTCTGTTCTCCTAGATTTTAAGCCTGAATTAGTGTTGTGTCTCTTATGTGTTATTTAACATTTTCCATCTTTTTGTGATTTTACCATGTTTATGTTCCGAAAGATTTTTGAAGCTGATTTCCAGATTTTTTTTAAAAAAATCAATTTTTTAAGTTGTTATTTTTAAGCTGCTGAGTACATATTTTATTTTATTGTAAGACAGGGTCTTGCTGTGTTGCCCAGGCTGGAGTGTAGTGATGTGATCATAACTCACTGCAGGCTCAGACTCCTGGGCTCAAGTGATGCTCCTGCCTCAGCCTCCCAAGTAGCTGGGACTACATGTGTGTGCCACTGTGCCTGGCTAATTTAAAAAAAATTTCTGGTAGAGATGAGGTCTCACTGTGTTGCCCAAGCTGGTCTTGAGCTCCTGGGCTCAAGTGATCCTCCCGCCTCAGCCTCCCAAAATGCTGGGATTACAGGTGTGAACCGCCATGCCCACCCTGAAGTTTTCATTTTAAATCATATTTTTAATCTTTAAGGGGTCTTTTGATTCCTGAGTGTTCCTTTTCTGTATAATTAATAAGAGTATAGGATGTAAATTTAAAGTTTTGTTGTTGTTGTGGTAAAGTCATTTTAATTCCTGGAATTGTTCCTGTCTCAACCAGATGTTTTGTTTATCTTGGACATTTTCCTTTCTTGGCAGGGGAGGGGAGGAGGTAGAGATGGGGTTGCCCACCATGTTGCCCAGGCTGATCTCAAACTCCTGGCCTCAAGTGATCCTCCTGCCCTGGCCTCCCAAAGTGCTGGGATTACAGGCATGAGCCACTGTGCCCTCATTTTAAAATTTGTATCCAATACCTATATACAATTTAAAGAGTCAGATAATTCTAGGAAGCTTGTTATGAAAACCAGTAGTCTGCTGCTTGGGTGTATCACTTCTGTGCCATAACCCTTTCTCCTGAAGCAACAATTTTAAGTTATTTTGTTATATCTTTTTTTGTTTTTTGTTTTGAATCCATGGGTTTCTCTAATTAACATGGTTTGTTTCTACTTGACTTTTCAGTTTTAGGCATTACTTGTTGACTCCCCTTTATAAAAATGAAGATTTAGCTCTTATTCCTACTACACTCATGCATACTTTCTGGTTATGTTATTAATTTGTCCCTTTGTGGTTATATTGTAGTTTGGTTAGATCAGTGTTCAGTATTTACATTATTATGTCTGTAAACACTTTTCACAGCTGAGCCATGTAATAAATACACTATGATTATTTTCCTTTCCCACACATTGTTTTGTTTTCTAGAGTTGATTGTTACATTTTTGTTTGAGTTTTCTGTGTAGTAATTCAAGCCCAAACTTTTCTCCAGTTAGCTAAATCTCTTCTCAAGTCTAAAGTTGCATCAAATATTGTGCCAGTTGATGTTCCTTAAGTCTCTCCCAGAGCTTTTCGACCTGCTGTCATCTGGCCTGTTCACCTTCTCAGGTGTCCAGCTGTCATGCTGGGATGTGCCTTCACCGTCATCCTGGGTGTTACCTTAGCTTCTTGCTTCTGTGGATCTCCTATTCCAGAGTCTTTCTTGGCTACTTCCAATTTTTGTTGCACATCCTCTCATAGCTTGCTGAGAAGGGGTGTGTGGGAGGTAAATTTTTTTAGACTTCAGTTGTCTTAAAATACCTTTATTCTATCATCACAATTGATGGTTTGTATATAGAATTCTATAGAATGTTACATTGTATTTCAGCTTCTAAAGTTGCAATTGGTAAGTCAGAAGCTGTTCTGATTCCAGACCTTGCCTTTTTTTTTTTTTTTTTCTTTTTGGAAACTGCAGACTTTTCTTTGTCCACAGAATTCTGAAATTTCATAATGATGCACCGTAGCGTAGATCTGTTTTTGTCTGTTGTCTGGAGCACTTGGAGGGCCTTTTCAATCTAGAAATTCATATCTTTCAGTCCTGGAAAATCCTCTTGAAATTATTTTGTTTTTTACTATCTCCCCTGTGTTTCCTTTCTCTCTGTCCTCTCTCTTTCTGGAAGGCCTATTACTTGGCATCAGACTGTTTCTGTGATTCTTTTTCTCTTCAATTTTTCATCCCTCCCTCTCTCTTCTAAGACATTTCCTCAGCTTTATTTTCAGTACTTTCTATTGAGTTTTTAAAATTTTCTTCTATTTTTTTCTTTTTTCTTTTTCTTTCTTTCCTTCTTTCTTTTTTTTTTTTTTTTTTTTTTTTTTTTTTGAGATAGGCTCTCACTTTGTCACCCAGGCTTGATCTTGATCTCGGCTCACTGCAGCCTTGGCCTCCTGGGCTCAAGCAATCCACCTGCATCAGCCCCACAAGTAGCTGGGACTACAGGTGCACGCCACCACGCCTAACTAATTCTTTGTAGTTTTTGTAGAGATGAGGTTTTGCTGTGTTGGCCAGGCTTGTCTTAAATTCCTGAGCTTAGGTGATCTACCTGCCTTGACTTCTCAAAGCACTGGGATTATAGGCGTAAGCTACCGTGGATGGCCTCTTCTATCATATTTTTATTTTATTTTATTTTATTGTTTGGGTTTTTTTCTTTTTTCTTTTTTCAAGAGAAGGTCCCACTCTGTCACCTAGACCGGAGTACAGTGGTGTGATCATAGCTCACTGCAGCCTCAGACTCCTGGGCTCAGGTTATCTTCCTGCCTTAGCCTCCTGAGTAGCTAGGACTACAGGTGCATGCCATCCCATCTGGCTATTTTTTATTTTTAGTAGAGATGAGGTCTTGCTGTGTTGCCCAGGCTGGTCTTGAACTCCTGGCTTCGAGTGATCAAGCGATCCTTCTGCCTCAGCCTCCCAAAGCGCTGACATTACAGATGTGAACTTTAGCGCCTGGCCTATGTATTTTTGTATGTGTTCTTCCTGCATAGTCTGTTTCCTCTAAGCTGCTTTTTTTGTTGTTGTTTTTTTGCTTTCGCTTTAACTCCTGTGTAACATGTTACATGTTTTTCTTGGATTTTTGGTGATCCTCTGCGGTCTCTGTTGATTTTTAAGTGTATCATACCAAAAAGTTGATTGGGAACTTTGTATGTTGGATGGGGCTTTTTGTCTATGGTTTCCATTGTAAAGCAATCTATCTGCACCATTTTGGAAGAACTCCCAATGGCAGTGTCTTTAGATCTTTGCTCTTTATGAGATCAAAATCTAGAGGACTTCCAGTTTCCTGCCTGGTGGCCAACATTCTAGGAGGTGGGTAGGCTTGGGGATCTAGGCATTCAGTCTGTAAACTTCAGCTTAGTCCCCCTGTTTTCAATATTATGCCTTTGCCCTCAACTATGATCTGGAATCTCCCTGTCCAGAGACCCTCTCTTTAGCTCTCTTCAAGGATAAACCTCTAAATTTTGTCTAAATAAGAAGATATGATATTTTAACTGCTCCACTTGTTTTTAGGCCTGCTTTGATCTCCTTTTCTAGAGGTGCTGGGCACTGCCAGTTCCTGAGTCCTCTGCATTCTGTTTCTGGACTGTAAGTGAGGTTGCATCTGATTCTTCATTGCTAGCACCCCAGTCATCTTGCTTAGGTTAGCTAAGTCAGTTATTATTTGTCCATTTGCTTTTTCAAAAACTGGTTTGTTGAGATATAATTGACATAATAAATTGCCCATATGTCCAGTGTGTAATTTGACATTTATATACACCCGGGAAACCATCACCAGTCAAGATAATGAACATATTCCTCATCCCCAGAAGTTTCCTCAGCCTCTTTATAATCTTTCCCTCCTGGCCTTCCCTATTTGTCCCTAGGCAACCACTAAATCTGCTGTCACTATGGGTTAGTTTGCATTTTCTAGAAATCTATATAAGTGGAATTATACAGTTTGTATCCTTTTTAGTCTGGCTTTTGCTCAGCATAATTATTTTGAGCATCCTCCATATTTTTTCTTGTGTCAGTAGTTCATTGCCTTTTGTTGCTGAGTAGTATCCCATTGTATGGATATACCACAATTTGTTTTGTTTCCAGTTTTTGGCTATTACAAATAAATCTGCTACAAACATTTGTATAGATGTTTTTATATGGACATAGACTTTCATTTCTCTTGGGTAGCTAAGAATAGAATGGCTGAGTCGCATGGTAAATGCATGTTTAACTTCGGAAACTGCCAAGCTATTTTCCAAAGTGGTTATACCATTTTGCAGTCCCACCAGCAGTGTATGAGATTTCTAGTTGCTCCACTTCCTCAGAACATTTGGTATGTTCTTAATTTTAAACATTCTAATAATTGTATAGGTAGGTTACAGAACTGAGTTGCTATCCTGTCTCTCATTCTTTGCCTTTCTTTTGTGGGTTTACTCCTTTTAAAAGTTACTTTTTAAAAAAGTTACCTTAATCAGTGGAATAGAATAGAGAGTTCTGAAACAAATTCATACAAATAATGGGCAGTTGACTTTTAAAGGTGCAAAGTCAAGTCAGTCAAGTCAGTGGAGAATGGATAGTTTCTTTCTTTCTTTTTTCTTTTTTTTTTTTTTTTTAAGAGACAGTGTCTTCCTCTTTTGTGGAGGCTGAAATGCAGTGACGATCATGGCTCACTGCAGCACTGAGCTCCTGGCTCATGCAGTCTTCCCACCCTAACCTCCTGAGTAGCTGGGACTGCAGGTGTATGCCATCATGGCCTGCTAAATTTTCTTTATTTTTCTTAGAGATGAGGTCTTGTTACGTTTCCCAGGCTGGTCTCGAACTCCTGCCCTCCTGCCTCGGCCTCCCAAAGTGCTGAGATTACAGGCATGAGCCACCATTCCCGGCCTGGATAGTCTTTTCAACAAATGGTGCTGGGACAATTGTGCACTCATTTGCAAAAAAAAAACTTCAACCTGTACCTCATACTTGATATAAAAATTAACACAAGACAGTCAATTTATATTAACTTAAATATAAATCATAAAGTGTTTTGAAAAACATATGGGAGAAAACTCTATGTCATTGGGTTAGGCAAAGAGTTTTTAAATACAATATCAAAAACAGAATCCATAAAAGAACAAATTGATAATTGGGCCAAATCAGAATTAAAATCTTTTGCTCTGTGAAAGATATGTTAAAATAATGAAAAGATAAGCTATAGACCAAGAGGAAATGTTTGCAGATCACATAATTAACAATCAGCTTGTGTCCAGAGTGTATAAAGAACTCTCAAAACTCAACAATAAAAAATACCCATTCAAAAAAAAATGGGCAAAAGATTGGACACTTTACCAAAGACAATATATGATAGCAAATAAGCACATGAAAAGAGATTTAACTTAATCATTAATGTTTAGCAAGATGCAAATTAAAACCACAAGGAGATACCTCTACATACCTATTAGGCCAAACACAAATACACACCTGACAACACCAAGTGCTGGGAAGAATGTAGAGCAACTGGAGCTTTCATACATTGCTGATGGGAATGCAAAATAGTACAGCCACTTTGGAAAAACAGTCTGGCAGTTTTTAAATAAAGCTAAACATATATTCATCATACGAGCCTGATCCAGTAGTCTCTGTCTTAGATATCTGCCCTAGAAAAATGAAGACATACATTCACACAAAGTCTTGTACATGCACGTTCATAGCAGCATTATTTATAATCACCAAAAACTGGAAACAGCCCAAATGTCCAAATGTGCAACAAATTGTACATTAGTCAGCAATAAAAAGGAATAAACTATTGATACATGCAAAAACGTGGATGAACCTCAAGGGTATTATACTAAGTGAAATATGCCAGCCTCAAAAGATTTTATACTTGGAAATTCCATTTATATGACATTCTGGAAAAGGTAAAATTATTGGGACAGATCAGTGGCTACCATGGATTAGGAATGGGAGAAAGGTCCGAGTGCAAAGAGGCAGCCCAGCTTTCTTCTTTGTTTTCTATGAGTTTCTATTTTCCTCTCCACTAATCTTGTTTCCTTGGAGTATTTTCCACCTGTTTTCCACAGTGGCTCTCTGTTGAACCCTTCAGCCTGGCTTGATTGTTGTGTACGTTTTGCTTGGATTGAGGGAGGGGGTATATGTGTGCTTATTCCCAGATAACTCTGGGAATATTTCTTATGGTAATGGATACATGATACAGTACTTCTAGGGATAGAGGAATGGGCCACATCAACCTATAGTGTCATTTTTGCTTGAAATATATATCCTTGGTACTGAAACCTTACCCAGAAGAGAATAATAGATTACACAGAGCTTCTAGATTTTGATGTGGGTTAGAACTGAAAAATGAGATGTCTTTAAACTCTTTTTCCTTCTCTCTTTGATAAGTGATATAATGTGGTTTGGACACTCAGAGATTCCTGAGATTCCAGGTTCTGGTTGATGATTTACTGCAAAATTGCTTATAAATTGAAGTAGAAAATGTTTTGCAGACCTGGCAGCTTTCTGGCTTCACACCCATTTGTCACCCAGCATTTCCCTTTGTGTATAGAACAAGAATTAATTAGGCTGCACTGCAGGAAAAGTTTATGGCTATAATTTATATAGGATGAATTTTTTTTTAAAGAGACAGCATTGTTTTGTTACACCTATATACATGTAAGTGTGTGTGTATAGAAAGTGTTTTTTTCCCCCTCTTAAAGCAGTGTCTGTAAGCTTCTGGAGTAAACATTTTTTTTTTTTTTTCCTAATGCAAGATGATAGTGTAATAGATGCATTTATCATGATTGCTGTCTGATGAAACTGTTGGGGTTTTTTGTTTGTTTCTTGTTTTTTAATTCATTGTTTACTAGTGAGAACACTCAGTTTTAGGTTTACATTTTAGACATTGGTCAGACTTGTCTGGTTTCCAGAGCTTTGTATTCTTTCTGTCTCTTGGAAGACTCGGGATTCTGTCTTTTTTAGGGTCTTGCTCATTCAATTAATGTTTTCATAATCAATGCAAGTCAGAACTTGCAATTTGTTCCTGATTTGCACATTAAAGAGCTCCATTAATTAAGAATCTTGGTGTTTGGCATGTTCCCGCAGGATCTGTGCATTATTTACATGGTGAAAGTGCAAGATGCAAGTTTCTCAGTTGTAAGGGCAATTGCAGTTAATCCTGCTTTTTCTTTTCTTCTTTCTTTCTTTTTTCCTTTCTTTTTGCTTGTGAGTAACAATTATTTCACAACTCATTGAAACTCCTTAAGGATACATTGTACCAAAATAGGAACAAATTATTCAAAAGAGGGGGCTATGGTGAAAAAGTAGAAAGTAAATCCTTTTTTTAAAGGATTTTAAAGGATTTATCCTTTTTTTAAAGGACTGTGTACAACACAGTCACACAATTGGTGAGAGGCAAAGCCAGTGTAGAAACTGAGGTCTGCTGTGCCTCACAAACGTTGCTCTTGGCCACACTGCCCACTCACTATGCATATGGTTTAACTTAACTCTTTTCATCTGAGGGTTTTCTCCCCTTTTCAAAGAGAGTATGAAGAAACATAGATATGGAATAAATGTCACAGCTTAAAGCAATGAAGGCAGGAGAAATATGGAGATGAATTTGTTATAGAACAGAAGGCTTAGAGCACAAGAAGTAGACATGTCCTTCAGTTTTTCTAAAGATGCTATTTCCTGGATACTGTTTCATTCACTAAGAGTTAGACTTTCAGGGGGTCAGCTGATCTAGTTCCTTCTCCTTTAGGCAGGTAAGACCATTTTTTAGGTGATAAATAATGTTTTTTTCTCATGATAAATTATAAAAATACAATATGTATTCCTTATATAAAATTTAGAAAATAGCCAAGCAGGCTGGGGACGGTGGCTTACGCCTATAATCCCAGACCTTTGGGAGGCCGAGGCAGGTGGATCACTAGAGGTTAAGAGTTCAAGACCAGCCTGGCCAACGTGGTGAAACCCTGTCTCTACTAAAAATACAGAAATTAGCTGGGCGTGGTGGCATACGCCTGTAATCCCTGCCTCGGGAGGCTGAGGCAGAAGAATCGCTTGAACCTGGGAGGTGGAGGTTGCAGTGAGCCAAAATCGTGCCACTGCACTCCAGCCTGGGCGACAGAGCGAGAGTCCATCTCAAAAAAAAAAAAAGGAAAAGACAGAAAATAGCCAAGCAAAATTAAGGAAATATTTCTTCCCTAATCCTAGCAGCTAAGAGTTAAGTATTTTTAATATTTTGGTACATGGTAAATATCTTTTCTAGGTTTTTCTTCTCAGTGGCTATGTACTTAGAACAAAAATGGGACTCTATTCTGTAATTTGTTTTGCAGTCCATTTCTTTCTACTTAACAGAAATTATGAATATTTTTCCTTGTCATTAAATATTGTTCTATAGCATTATTTTTAATGATAGCATAGAGTTTCCATTGTGTGGATAGTTTAACCAGTTCTTTATTGTTGGACATTTGGATTGTTTCCAGGTTTTCATTTTTATAAATGATGTAGTAAACATCATTATTAGTAAATCTTTACTCATATGCATACTTACTTTGTTGCATAAATCTCTAAATGTGGAATTAGTATATTTTCTAAGAATATGCAAAATTTTAAGGCTTTTTATCTATATGGCCAAGTTGCCTTCCAGAAAAGTTGTATTTGTACATGCTCACCTTTTTATATGAGTGTCAGTTTTCCTTATCCTTGTCAACATCGGATACAATAATTTTGTTTCATCTTTGTCACTTTGACAAGTGGTATCTGGGAAATGGTATCTGTTATTTTAATTTACATTTCCCAATGTTTAATGAAGATAAACATTTTTGCTCCCTTACATTTATTGGTCCTTGCTATTTCTTTTGTGAATCAAACAGGGAAAATTTTGAACTGGTTCTAGGGATAGATGATCTTCTTGTCAGTCAACCTTAATGCCACTCTAATTCTCCTTTTTTTTGCTTTAATCTGTTTCTTCTTGTTTGGTTTTCTGGAATTATATCTACCTCAGAAGACCTCTTTGTATTGTTGAAGTTTAATCTTAATTGCCTTAAAAAATAATAAAAGTAAAACTTGTTTGTTGTGAGATGTTATTTTCTTTCAGACAGTACTGAGTCTGTTTCTTCCTGCCCAACAATACTTAGTGAAATATGTAACGTAGATTGTGAAAGTATTATTTTTCCCACTCGTAAAAGTGTCCTCTAGAGATAACCATTTTAAATAATTTATCTGACTTCCAGATACTTTGTGTCAATATAAACTTTTTTCAAAACATAAATGAAATTATGCTTTACATCTTCCCATGTCAATGCCTGCAGGTCTTTTTTTTCGTTAAAATTAATGTTTGTTATATTTGCTTTTTTTTCTTTTTGAAGCGTTTTAAAGTAAATTACAATCATGCCATTTGCCTCTAAATATTTCTGTTTATAGCTCTAAAAAATGAGGATGTTTCTTAGTAACATTGTCATCTCACCTAACTAAATTAATATTCCTAATACTGTATGCGTACTTCATATTCACTTTACTTCGTTTATCCCAAAAAGTTTTTTATAGTTTGGTTTACTTAAGCCAAGTTCCATTTTATACTAATCCTTTTCAACAGCTGCACAAAAAGTTACCTGGCTAAACTAAAATTAAGTAGTCCCCTATAAATGGACACTTAAGATGTTTGCAGTTTCTACCTATTATAAACAATGCTGCAAATAACATTTTTGTACCTACCTCTTTGCTTTAAAAGTATTTCCTGAGGGTTAGTTTCTAGAAGAACAGTAGGTCAGGAGCTAGGCATATATAAAACTTTGATACGTTTTGCCAGATTGCTTTCTGGCTATGTCATGCTAACTAAACTCATCAGTTGTGTACGCAGAGTGCCCCTTTCGGCACGTTTTTGCCAGCATCAAGCATTATCAGAAAAATATCCCACTGTTTTAAGTTTTTCTTTAAAAAATTATTTTTATTAGTAAAGCTAAGCATCTTCTCTGATGTACATGGGCTTTTGAATTTTGGAGACTATTAATCCATTTGTTAACATTCTTCTTTCAAATTCAGCAAGTATTGCTTTATCTTGCCTTACTGGACCTGCTTTCCATCCATGTGATGTGGGCTTCCTTTAGTGTCTCCACTGTTTTTTCAAGTGTGGGAATCAAGTTTGGACATGACATTTTAACAGAATCTCACTTGTGTTTTTTATCATGTGATGGTATTGGGGAGGGAAGTTTTGTCATTTTTTTAGTAATTGAAAATTTCATTACACTCTGTTTCCCAGATAGTTTTGATACATAACCCTCAAGGGTACATTGATCTAGAAAATGAAAACTGTGCAATTGTTTTTTAAGCTTATAGTAGTGTTTCAATTTCTGTATCTGTAAAATGGTGATGCAATAATAGTATCTACCTCAAAGGATTGTTAGAGGACTTAAATGAATTAGTACATATAAAGTGCTTAGGCGAGTGTGTGGTACTTAGCAGGTCCTTACTGAGTATTAACTATTAATCTGAATAGTGATGGTACAATCTTTTAAGGATATAGCTCTTGGGCCACAGTATTTGTTTTCCTCTTCTTGAAAGGATTAGGTGAATAAAGACAGTACTATACATACAGCTAGTTCTTTGAAGACTTGAAATGCACATGTAAAAAGTACATACCAAGGAAGATATTAGGATGTTATTATTTCTTTTTCAGTTATTCATTCAATACCATTTGCCAACACCAAACATACCCAAGTGAGTAGTTTACAGTTTCTGCTCTCAAGGAGCTCATAGTAAGGTGAAGCTGCTTTTAAAGCATCATTTAAGTGTTTTTACGTAAACACAACCTCTCAAAGTGTTTCATTTTGAGTTGGAGAATAAACAAACCTTAGTCTTACTAGTATTAAAAGAAACACAATTAAAACAATCTTTTATTTTCTGAGTCTCAGTGTTTCAATTTAAGCGATGGTAATTACTAAATTTTCAGGAGAATGCATTGTAATGTGCCTAGCAAAAGTTGTTAATTGTTTTTGTTTTTAAATTTCTGTCTGGCAAAATGGTTTTGAGACACTCTAAGATAATCGGGAGTAGCCCGATTATCTTATAGTTGGTATATTAAAATAAAGAAAATGTTGTTTGACTACTTGCTTAACAAAAGGTCAGTTTGTTGAAGATACATAGTTGATATTAAAGTTAGGAAGTATGTAGTCTACATTTTGTTTGTCAGCATTTAGATTTGGAAGTGGTAGTGTGATCATATTCTGCCATGCGACTTAGGCAACATCTCTCTAAATGAAGAAAACATTTGTAGCATACCTTTTATGGCCCAGGTGATGTGTTGGATGCTGGATGACAGGCTGAAGCTGCCCTGAAGCAGCTTTAAGGTGGTGAAATCAGACACAGCACAAAATGGTTAAGTGTTGTAACGATATGAAGAATCCTGAGAGAGGAGTGATTAATTCTGCATGGAATCCCTGTTTTAGAAAGGTATTTTCTGAATCTCCATTTTCATCAGTTTTTTCCAGACCCATACTATAGAGAGAATTTGGGCATTTGCTTAGAGACAGTTTCACCACAGCAGAGGCTGTTTTTTTTTTTAAAGACGTTATAATATGAAAGAGTGAGACTTCTTAAAAATCAGAGGGGTTACTTGGATTGTGGTTCTAATTTTATTTTTAATAAGTTTCCTTTCTTCACAGTTTATTTTAAATTTTAATAAAATTTTAAATTGTAAAAGTAATATATGCTTATAAAATATTCAAACAGTTCAAAAGTATATCAAATAAAAATGAAAGTATCCGCACTCTCCCTGAGTAACTACTGTAAGACAGTTTAAACAATTACAGTACTTGTAAATAAACTTGGTTTTTAAGTATCTCATATTCTGAACATTTACTCTTTTCTGTTTAAAGGGGGAGAGTAAATTTTCCTTTTTGGCAAAGTGCTCAGTAGCGATGCAGGTTGTCTAGGAACTGTGAAGTGGAAGGTAACTGTAGTAGATTTCAGGAAGTACATTGATCAGCTAGATTGCTGTGTCCTATAGGGCTTTTTAAGGATTTATTGACATACTTCATCAAGGTATTTGAGAGAGTATTCAGGGAAACCTAAGAAATTCTGCAGTTCTTTTCCCTTCCTTATAAATTCATGCCTGGTCAGAAATTACAGCTTGAGTGGGATGTCCCTCCACAGAACTCAAATGCACACTATCTATCATGTTACTTAGTGTGGCAGTAATGTAAAATGGTAAGAATTTTTTTTTCTTTTTGTTTCTTTCTATGAGGAGACTCACCCAACATATATTTTATCATATGTCTCTTCAGCATTCCCTTATTTCAACTTGTACTTACTCCCCCAATTCCCCACATCATTCTCTTAAAAGAAAAAAATAAGTTTTGTCCACTGAATCCTCTTTCTTATTTGATTTAATATATCTTGAGTTGAACGTTTCTCACAAAAACACTTTGCATTCAGAATTAGCCTATCAAGTTGTTTCCTCCATACACTCCTGCATAGATCGCACGCCTTCTACTGTGGTGCCCTCTGAGATATGAAAACCCACGTCTGCTTTTGGCTTAGCCTTCATGATTTTAGAATATAAGTCTCTACATTCTGCTTTGAAAAGTTCTCCTTGTGGTTATTTTGTACCATAAAAAAAAAATTCTACTTTTAGTCCGCAGAGCTCACCAACAAACTGGGACAGAAGTCCTCACACTATTCCAGTTAAAACCATGGTCCTCATAATAGCACACACATTTATCTAAATCTGAATATATATACACATATACCTGTATATGTGTATATACACTTGGATATCTAGAAATTCTAGTTGGCCATATGTTGGAAATGATAGCAACTTATCCAAATGGTTGATGTTGAGGAATTTGTAACCTGCAGTCCTCTGTCTTACTGGTAACGCCATTCTGCTTGGGGAATATAGAACAAGCCCAAACAGTAATACTGACAGAATTCGGAATTATGATACAGTGGAGCCTTCACGCAATTCTTTGTTGAAGAAGTTAGGGCCTAAATGTTAAGGCTTATTGTTATTCTGAGTTGATAATCTCTGCCTTGCTTTAATAATTTTTCCTCATGCCTGGGTAGCCCGCGAGTTGCACAATAATCACTCACACAGCTTTGTAATCAATGCCCAAAGTAATAGGATTCCTCTGGCCACCGGCAATTAATAAATTTGTGTCTTTTTTAAAACACTAGCAAGTCGGGCCTGAAATACGACTGACTGGCTCTCCTCATTTGCATATTTATTGCAGTGGAAAAATTCTTACCAGATGATTGATGCTGAGCCTGCCTCTTGAATTCCAAGCAGCACATTATTATGAAATGAAAAATGCCGGCCATACAGTTGATTAAAGTTGAAGACAGTGGAATCGGTGTTTTTTAAGATTGTGGGAGAATTAAAGGCATATTTTAATAGATGTTGACAAGAAGTGAACTAACAAAAGCAAAGCAAAGGATTTGCTTGAAAAGATTTAATCAAACGTCTTTCTTGGGGGATTAATTGCTGGGGATGACTAGTGCAAGTGGCAGGCTTGTGTGGATTTGAATGAAAAGTATTGTTCTCAGGCCAATATATCGTGTGTCATTTTGACCTATAGTTTAGCTCTAGTTCTAGAGTTACTTTTGAAGGAGAAAAAAATGCTCTTGTAATCTGTAAATTCCAATTCAATGTATTTATCTGGGGTAATATGAATGGGGGAGTTTATGTGTACTTGTACATAAATAATTGTAATGTTTGCGTATTTATTTAAAAACAACTGTATAGATATTTAAAAACTGATAAGCTTTATTTACTTTATACACTCACTCTTCCTGTTCTCGCTTCACGCCATTGCCAGAAATTGTACTTACTGGTTTATAATCTAATTAATGAACTGTGTGTCCATGCCCAAACTTATTCCTCGCTTACAGTTTTGTTTATGTTGGACAGCCTAGATGAATCAGGGAAAAAAATAAAGCTGTTAGGTGAAAATGGTTTTTAGATTGGTGACATTTTATATATAGAATGCTTGCATATGGGTAGCATATAAATGAATACCTAATATAGGAGTCTGTGAATACTGTCCAATCCTAGTACAAGCAGAGCTTAAGATTTTTACCATGTGAAATATGATTTTTGATAGTAATATGCCTTCTATTTTTACAGCATTAAAAAAATTCTAAAATGCCTTAATATATAATAACACAGTTACTATTTTTACCTTATTTTGTAAGGACAAGCAAAGGCTTGTCCACATTTTATAAACGAGAAAATTGAGACTCAAAGAGATTAAATTGGTCCATTCAGCATAACATGACTAGTTAGTGACAGTGTCAGTTGAAATACAGGGCCCCTAACCCCCAGTAAAGTACTGTTTACATTTATCCTCTACTGAAAATTATTCCTAAAGCTGGTGGCCAGATGCTAAGGTTGAATCTTGGTAATATGATGAGGCATATGTCCTTCTTAATCTCCTCTTAAGGGAAAGACCTTTGGAAATGGACCATGTAGGGTAAAATAAACATATATATTCTTGACAGTATCCGTTTGTTTTGTGGCCATGTGCCAAGAGGGAGAGGGAAGAAAGTATATGAATCTTTGCTGCTTTTCTTAACTTTTAACTCTTGTAATAATTGGGAGAAAAATTAGAGGTGAATTAGAAACTGTTGATTCATTCTATTTATTATTCACAGGGTTGAACAGCTAGAATTCAGTCCTGTATGAATAATAGAGAGTGGTTTTTTTTTAAATGTGTTTATTTGTTTGTTTTGGCTGGGAAGAATTCACTGTTGGATTTGAGTTTCCGGGAGAGAGTCTTTCCCTCACTCTTGTCAGCTCTGGCTTGGAGGAGGCTTACCATTTGCAGCAAAGGATTGTCCCATTGTCTCAGATTTTACATGCCATCTAGAAGGAAATGCAGCCCTAATATTGCAAAGAAATAAGAATTGTGTTCTAAATCTCTTTATAGGAAGTTGTCCATGTATTGGGCCACTGGTGACATTTACTTTGATAAACTTTTTTTTTTTTTTTTTTGGTGGTTAGAAGTACAGATTTGCAGATTTCATCTCTGGTAGGTCTCTTGACACTTTGATGCATGGTAGTGCTATCCCTGAATGGAGCCTAAATACTCCAGGGCCACTTTCTGACTGGGTGAAGGGGTGTATAAAATGAGAACATATGAGAGAGTATTAACAGAAAGGCACACTTTGATTTACTGATATTGGCTCTCTGCTTTCTTGTTGGATTGATATGCTGCCTAATATATCTGCAATGGATTTTTTAAAAACTGACTTGAACAACATAAAAAGGCTCGCATAGCTACTTGAAAATGGCCCTTAAAAGTTGTAGTCTTTTGTTGGATATTTTCACAATTCTTGGGTATGCGATATGTTAGAGTCAAATTCTGACATGCATGTTGAGGACAAGTAGCTATAAATAATATAGACTGCTTTGCAGCTTATTCTCTGGGTGGTTGTTGATTTTATTTTTTAGATCGTGGACACATGGTACTTACAGGAATTAAGGGTCAGACACTTTGCTCTTCTTGTTCTTTTAACTTTTCTTTCTTTTTTTTTTTTGAGACAGGGTCTTGCTTCGTTACCCGGACTTGAGTGCAGTGGGATGATCATGGGTCACTGCAGCCTCGAACTCCTGGGCTCAAGTGATCCTCCCACCTCAGCCTCCCAAGTATCAGGGACTATAGGCGTGTGCCACCACGCCTGGCTGATTTCTTCTTCTTCTTTCTTCTTTCTTTTTTCTTCTTCTTCTTCTTTCTTCCTCTTTCTTCTTTCTTCTTTCTTCTTCTTCTTCTTTCTTTTCTTTTTTTTTTTTTTTTTGACAGTCAGTGTCTCACTGTGTTATATAGGCAGGTCTCAAACTCCTGGGCTCAAATGATCCTCTCCTTTGGCCTCCCAAAGTGTTGGGTTTACAGGCATGAGCCACGGTAACTAGCCTAAATTTTTCATTGTGGTACACAACATATAACAAAATTTACTATCCTAACCATTTTTAAGTGTACAGTTTAGTAGTGTTAAATATATTCACATTGTTGTACAACCAATCTCCAGAACTTTTTCATCTTGCAAAACTGAAACTCAACCCATTAAACAACAGCTCCCCATTTCCCTCTTTCTCCAACCCCTGGTAGCCACCATTCTGCTTTTCTCTCTGTGATTTTGACTACTGTAGGTACTTCATATATTGGAAATAGTATTTGTCTTTTTTCTAACTGGCTTATTTTACTTAGCATGATGTCCCCAAGGTTTATCCATGTTGCAGCATGTCAGAATTTTCTTCCTTTTTAAGTCTGACTAATACTCCATTGCTTTTTCCTGTTTGTTTTTTGTTTTGTTTTTTTTTTTTTTTTGAGTAGGCTCAGTTTGAAGCATTATAGATGACTCTTTTCTATACAACGATGAACTGTGATGGTGGGATTATTTATTATACTCTGGTTTTGGGATTTTTTTATTTTTATTTTTATTTTTCCTTGAGATGGACCCTTGCTCTGTTGCCCAGGCTGGAGTACAGTGGTACAATCTTGGCTCACTGCAACCTCCCCGTCCCGGGTTCAGGAAATCCTTCCACCTCAGCTGCCCGAGCAGCTGGGACTACAGGCACGTGCCACCACGCCCAGCTAATTTTTTGTATTTTTAGTAGAGATGGGGTTTCATGGTGTTAGCCATGATGGTCTCCATCTCCTGACCTCGTGACCACCCGTCTCAGCCTCCCAAAGTACTGGGATTACAGGCGTGAGCCACCGCGCCCAGCCCAGTGTTTTTTTGTTGTTTTTTTTGTTTGTTTGTTTTAATGGTGGTAAAATATACATGACATAAAGCTTATCATTTTAAGTGGACAGTTCATTGTCATTAAGGACATTCACATTGTTGTGCAACCGTCACCACCATCCACCTCCAGAACCTTTTCATGATCCCAAACTGAAACTCTGTATCATTAAACAGTAATTCTCCATTTCCCTCTTCTCAGCCCCTGGTAACTACTATTGGACTTTCTGTCTCTATGAATTTAATGATTTTAGGTACCTCATGTAACTGGAATTATACAATATTTTTCCTTTTGCAACTGGCTTATTTCACTTAGCCTAATTATTTTAAAGTCCCTTCTGGGAAAATTTTTTTTAGTGTTTCTTTTTTTTTAATTTTTAAAAATTTTATTGTTAGAGACAGCATGTTGTTCTATCACCCAAGCTGGAGTACAGTGGCGTGATCACAGCTCACTGCAGCCTCAACCACCTAGGCTTAAGGGATCCTCCCACCTCAGCCTCCCAAGTAGCTAGGACTACTGGTGTACGCTGCCATACCTGGCTAATTTTTGTATTTTTTTGTAGAGACAGGGTCTTCCTACATTGTCCGGGCTGGTCTTGAACTCCTGGTCTCAAGCAGTTTATCCACCTCAGCCTCCCAGAGTGCTGTGATTACAGGTGTGAGCCACCACATCAGGCCTTAGTTTTTTTGTTTTTGTTTTTGAGATGGAGTCTCACTCTGTCGCCCAGACTGGAGTGCAGTGGTGCAGTCTTGGCTCACTGCAACCTCCACCTCACGGGTCCAAGTGATTCTCCTGCCTCAGCCTCCCGAGTAGCTGAGACTACAGGCATGCGCCACCATACCCGGCTGATTTTTTTTGTATTTTTAGTAGAGACAGGGTTTCACCATGTTGGCCAGGCAGGTCTTGAACTCCTGACCTCAAGTGATTTGCCGACCTCGTCCTCCCAAAGTGCTGGGATTACAGGTGTGAGCCACTGTGCCCAGACTGATTTTTTTCTTAAGACAGAGAGCAACTGGTTAAGAATCTTGGTTTGGAACAAAGGCATTTTGAGTTTTTTTGGTGATAGTTATGTATTACAAATTCTCCCAAGTGGTATGATATGCAGATTATAAAGGATTACAGAATTTAGAAATGATGTAATCAAAGACCTTATTTTAAACAAGGAAGTTGTATTTATATAGTTTGATATGCAGATTATTTGAAGGAATGCAAAGTAGTTATTGGACCATTGAGTTCTTTCTGACTAGTCTGAGATGGCTCTCTCAGGTAGGTTGGCTCTCAGGCCTGACATTGAAATAGAATGCTATAGTATGAAATATATGGAGAACTTGTCTAACTCATGTATTGGTGTCCTACTGATGGAAAAAGTTGGGATATAAACTAGTGAGAAGTCTGCTCATGCTGGACAGGGTAGAAGCAGAAGCAGAAAAGAAAGAATAAGACATAAAAATCATTTAACCTAAGTTTGTGTGGGCTACAGTTTGTGTGAAATGTAAATATATGAATGTCGGGATTGTTGAACGGAAGTAGGGATGCTTGTGAGACTACAGTTACTAAGTGAAAAATGGAAGGAGTGATAGAAGCATGGCCAGAGATAAATGGGCAATTATTAGTGACAGTAAGAATGGAAAACACAGAATTCAGCAACCAGTTAAACATCTAGAATAAGAGCACCCAAATGTGAGTGATCTATGAAAACACATTGAACAATGCAGAGAGGTTCAGACAGGGAGAGGTATTAAGCAGGAAGAAAAAAGTTCTGTTTCTGACACAGTATGTGTGAAGGAGTGATGGAACAACCACATGAAGATTTTCTGGCAGTCACTGGAAATGTGAGAGTTTGATTATAGGAGAGGTGTCTGAGTACTTTCAACACATAAATGGTGACTCTCAGTGTCTAGTTAGCCCCTTGAGTAGGGTTATTCTAATAGAGAAGGTAAGAATTCTGTTGTCAGAGGACCAGTTTTGTTTTTTGCGGGGAGATTTTGGAGACAGCGTCTCGCTCTGTTGCCCAGGCTGGAGTGTAGTGGCATAATTGTAGTTCACTGTAACTTCAAACTCCTGGGCTCCAGCAATCCTCCCATCTCAGCCTCCCAAGTAGTTGGGACTATAGTGCGCACCATCAAAACCGGCTAGTTTTTAAAAAAAATTTTGTAGAGCTGGGGTCTTACTGTGTTCAGCAGGCTGGACTCAAACTCCTGTGCCCAAGCAATCATCCCGTCCTGGCCTCCCACAGTTTTTTTTTTTTTTTTTTGAGACAGAGTCTCACTCTGTCGCCCGGGCTGGAGTAAAGTGGCACAGTCTCAGCTCACTGCAACCTCTGCCTCCCAGGTTCAAGCAATTCTCCTGCCTCAGCCTCCTGAGTAGCTGGGATTACAGGTGCACACCACCGTGCGCGGCTAATTTTTATACTTTTAGTACAGACGGGGTTTCGCCATGTTGGCCAGGCTGGTCTCGATCTCCTGACCTTAGATGATCCACCCGCCTCCGCCTCCCAAAGTGCTGGGATTACAGGCATGAGCCACTGCACCTGGCCTCCAAAGTTCTGAGATTATAGGCATAAGCACTGCCCCTGGCTGAGGATGAGGTTTGTTCAGTGTGTGTGGTTTTTTTTGGAGACAGGGTCTCACCTTCACTCTATTGCTCAGGCTGGAGTGCCGTGGAGTGATCACTGCTCACCGCAGCCTCAGCCTCCTGGGCTCAAGCCATCCTCCCACCTCAGGGCCCCTCCACCAAGTAGCTGGAACTACAGGTACGCACCACCATGCCTGGCTAAATTTTTTTTTTTTTTTTTTTGGTTAGAGCCGGGGTCTCACTGTGTTGCTGAGGCTGGTCTTGAAACTCCTGGACTCAAGCAGTCCTCCCCGAGGACCAGTTTTTTTTGTTTTGTTTTTTCCAGACAGAATCTTGCTCTGTCGTCCAGGCCAGAGTGCAGTGGCATGATCTTGACTCACTGCAACCTCCGCCTCCTGGGTTTAAGCAATTCTCCAGCCTCAGCCTCCCAAGTAGCTGGGATTACAGCCACCCACCACCACCCTCAGCTAATTTTTTTGTATTTTTTTTTTAGTAGAGATGGGGTTTCACCATGTTGGCTAGGCTGGTCTCAAACTCCTGACCTTGTGATCCACCCGTCTCGGCCTCCCAAAGTGTTGGGATTACAGGCGTGAGCCACAGCGCCCGGCCGACCAGTTTTTATTCTGAAAGTTTTTATCCGTAGACTATATACATCATCTTGACCAGCTCTATTACATATGCATCTTATTGGCTCCAAGGAGAACCAGGTGAGAATATATTCTCAATGCCCAAATTTTTAATATACAATTCAATACTGCAAATAGAAAGTGATTCATTAGCTTGGGTTTTCGTATGTGAACAGGAACTTTTCCATAAGGATATGTGTTGAGAGATGGAGTGAAGGATGTGGCAGCTCAAACCAGAGGCACATGAGATCTCCTGGGGGCAAGGTGGAAGGTGTTGGTGGTGGGGATGCCTAGACAAAGTCCTACTCTTTAGGAGAAGAGAAGGAAGTGCTCAAGGAGCTGACTGATAAGGAATAGTCCAGGAGGTCAGCAGGTAACCTGTAGGAAGATACCTAAGAAACTTAACACCAACGGAACAAATTAATGGTTATAATGAGAGGCCGGGGAGGAGTTTGTCAAGCTTAATACATTTAAGAGCTGACAATGTATTGGACTCTTACTCTTTGCAGACACTTTTCTAAGCACCTTACATGCATGATCTTGCTTGTTCCTCACAACAATCCTGTGAGGTAGGCAACGTTGTTATTTCCATTTGGGAATATTTCAGAGAGTATTTAGTTCCTGTGTGTATCCTGTGCCTCCCCTTCACTCCCCACAGCCAGAACTGCTCAGGAGTCATGAGTTATAGGCATCACCTACTTTGGAGAATTGTAGATAATTAATTGTCCTTTCTCTGTCCTTTATTTCCCAGGTCACAAGGCACTTAAAGCATTGTTGAGGTCATTGGTAGGTCTTCAGGAAGAGTTGCTTTTCCAGTACCCAGACACTAGATATCTAGTAGATGGGACAAAGCCCAATGCGGGAAGGTAAGAGAACAGAATCATGGAGTTGCTTATTTTCTTTTCATTTGGATAGTTTCCCATCATTTATGAAAGAAAAGCTAAGTTCTCTTCAGGCAGATATTAATGTTAGTAAAATAGAGTCTCATATTTACCTGATGGTCAGGATGGCACATAAGTTGGTGATTAGATTTTAGATTTTTATATTTAGTTGTACCTGATGTGCTTTGCGGTCTTAGACAAAGGCTTGCCTTCTCTTTAGATCTATTGGAATTAGAAGATAAAAGCACTTTGTTTTTTAGAGATGGGGTCTTACACTGTCATCCAGGCTGGAGTGCAGTGATGTGATCGCAGCTCACTGCAGCCTCAAACTCCTGGGCTTAAGCGGTCCTCCTGCTTCAGCCTCCCAAATAGCTGGGACTGCAGGCACTTGCCACCATGCCTGGCTATTTTTTTTTTTTTTTTTTGTAGAGACAGGGTCTTGCTGTGTTTCCCTATCTGGTCTCAAACTCCTGGGCTCGAGCCATCCTTCCACCTCAGCCTCCCAAAGTGCTGGAATTATAAGCATGGGCCACTTCACCTGGCCAAAAGCACATTTTTAAAATATTAATGCTTAATTAATGTTTATGAAACATTCTGTGCCCATACCATATATTGGAATCACTGGTCACAGCCATCTCCTTTGAATAAAAGCTGTTATTATGAAAGATGGAAAAATTTCAGAAAACAGCAAAATAATTATTTTTTCCCCCTGAAATTATTACATTTGATGAAGATTTTTCCCCCTTTTGTTTACACCTGCTGTATATACCTGCTTGCTTTTTTTCCCTCGAGCTTATCTTTTGTTTCACTTTTTATCTACTGAACTAGTTGGGAGGACAAAAAGGAAACTCACATTTATTGAGCACCTATTATATGTTGAGGTCAGTAATCCAGTGAGTGCAACTGGCAGATAGTTGGAGGTTGTATTACATTGCCATGGCAGTTGCATAGATGGCACTGCAGGTTAGTTAGTGCTAATTGTTGCCTACCGCTTTGAGTTTTCTTCACATTCAGCTTCTCTTGTATTTGGTTCAACTAATATTATTCATCTTTCCTTAACAGTTGGTTACAGAGAGACACATTTCCCTTATTGATTTGAGGATTAAGGTCGTAGAAATATGGTTATGTGTTTAATTTTTAAATACTGTCCTATAATACTGCAGGCCTGGTTCATACACATTTCTAATAATTCTTTTAAAACCTCATTTATTTTTATGGTTTACTTACCTTTTAAAAAATATTTTGAAACTAGTTCTTTTTATATTTGTTTTAAAAGTTACATGAGGCTGGGTGTGGTGGCTCATGCCCTGTAATCCCAGCACTTTGGGAGGCCGAGGCAGGTGGATCACTGGAGGCCAGGAGTTTGAAACCAGCTTGGCCAACATAGTGAAACACCATCTTTACTAAAAATATGAAAAAAATTAGTCGGGCATGGTTGCACACACCTGTAATCCCAGCTACCCATGAGGCTGAGGCATGAGAATTGCTTGAACCCAGAAGTGGAGGTTGCAGTGAGCCAAGATCGCGCCACTGCACTCCAGCCTGGGCAACAGAGCAAGACTGTCTCAAAAAAAAAAGTTACACGAGTTTTTGATTGATCTCATGAATATTCTTCTCAAAGAGCAAAAGCCATCCTTATATCTTTGGTGTTATTTTGAATGGAGACAGAACAGGTAAGGCCTAAATATTCTCAGTCCTTTATGTGAGCCTAGTTTTTAAAATCTAAGTAATGTTTGTTTACACTGGACATAATATTCTTACTGCTTTTCTAGTGAGGAGATTTCTAGTGAAGATGATGAGCTGGTAGAAGAGAAGAAGCAGCAACGAAGAAGGGTCCCTGCAAAGAGGAAGCTGGAGATGGAGGACTATCCCAGCTTCATGGCAAAGCGCTTTGCCGACTTTACAGTCTACAGGAACCGCACACTTCAGAAATGGCACGATAAGACCAAACTGGCTTCTGGAAAACTGGGGAAGGCAAGTGTGTGTATGCGCGCATGTATGTGTAAGATAGGTTGTGGCAACTTGAAGAAGTTTTAAGAAATTGGAACTACAGCTCATTTATATGGATGTTGTCACGATGTAATGGTAATCATTCATTTCTATAGCAAAATCTACTGAACTTCTGGCACTGGGGTTTATACGATTCAGACTTGGGATTTTAACTTTATTAGAAAGAATGTTTTATTCTTAAAATTGAGGCCTTGTAAGTGTTCAAGTGCTGAAAATCCAAATACTTTAAAGGAGTGGATTTCAAAGCAATAATTATTAAAGTATCAGAAGCTAATCTCCGTGTGTAGAAAAATGATATGACCTGCTTAAGACTAACTTTTTTTTTTTAAGAACAATTATAGCCACTCACAAACTCAGTCCTTTACAGAAAGTCCCTCCTGAAAAGATGATTTTCTATCTCTCTGCTGACACAGAAAGATAGAGAAACCAATGTAGCTTGCCTTCAGCACTGATTTTCTGCATTATCTGACACTGCTTAATGTTGTTGCAGGGTTTTGGTGCCTTTGAACGCTCAATCTTGACTCAGATCGACCATATTCTGATGGACAAAGAGAGATTACTTCGAAGGACACAGACCAAGCGCTCTGTCTATCGAGTTCTTGGCAAACCTGAGCCAGCAGCTCAGCCTGTCCCAGAGAGTTTGCCAGGGGAACCGGTAAGAACTCTGTAATGCAGAGTGATTATGGGGAATAGTTTCTATGAGGCTTATTAGCTGAAAAACTTGTAGCTATTACCTGTTTATATAAGAGGTTAGTGAGAGAAAGGAAAGCAACACTACTTTACTGGATTACTGAGAGAAACTTGAGTGTATGTGAGAGGAGAGAGTTTTTAAAAATGGGGCTTCTATTAACTCCTGTGTGTCATCTTCTCTTAATTTTGAGTTTGATGCAGGAGTCTGGTAGTAGAAGCATTCATAATCCAATTTTCAAAATTCAGTTTTAAAGCTACTTCTGTAGAAATGTCAGTATTGAAACAAGTGTGTACTTTAGGCTCAACGTTTGCCATTTAGGTACTTTAGAAAGGGTGCAGAAGTGGAATAGTCAAATTCTTTTGTTTAAAGGAAACATTTAAAATTTTTTAATTATGGAAGAAATATATACTTAATCCTTTTTTAGTTTATAGCAACTTAAAATGAAAAGCAAAATTCTCTACTCTGAAAATTTCACTCCTGAGGTGAAATTTTTTTATTTTTTTTGTCAATTGCCTGTTAACGTAACTCCTGAGGTGAAATTTTCAGTATTTAATAGTTGTAACAAGTTTACAGTTAATAATTAATAGTTGTAACAAGTTTTTGGGTCTTTTCTATTTGTGTAACTATATATGTGTGCAAATAACAAATATATATGTATAAATATGGTTGCCTTTTTTACTAAATGAGAGACATTTATGTAGTATAAATATGTAAAATATTACAACTGTATTTAAAGTCTTGCAACTTTTAAAATCTAATAAGTCCTAGATACTCTTTCCATTTCATTACCTAGAGAGCTACCTCATTTTTCCTAATGACCTCAAAGTATTCCATTGTATGGATATGCACTATCATTTATGCAAACAATGGATATTATGTTGTCTCCAGTTTCAGAAACACTGCTACAGGAAAGATTCCTGTACATGTATTATGTGTTCGTATAAATATATGGGTAGATTTCTTGAAGTGGAAGTGTTAAAGAAAATACACCAAATTCTGATAGATGTTGCCAAATTGCCTCCAAAAAGGCTGCATTAATTTCAGTCGTAGAGGTGAAAAATGGTATCTTCTAATTCTAATTTACACATATTTAATTTGAATGAGGGTAAACATATTTTCATATGATTATTTATGGGTTTTTTTGGTCAACTGCCTGTTAATGTTTTTGCCTGTTTTCATATTGGACTGTTTTGTTTTTTAATTTTAAGAACTTTTTATATCTTAAGGAAAACAGTGCTTTGACTGTTCTACATATTATTTATAGTAGCTACATTAGTTAGATAGCCTTGTTGGGATTCACTCTTTTCTTACTCATTGTTAACATAGGAGATCCTTCCTCAAGCCCCTGCTAATGCTCATCTGAAGGACTTGGATGAAGAAATCTTTGATGATGATGACTTTTACCACCAGGTGAGACTTTTACACTCTCTTGTTACAAATCATGTTTTAGCATTTTAAAGCAGCTTATAGAATTCTCTGAACAAAGAAGTTGCTTATTTTGGAAGGATAGAGTCAGACAGTGAGTTAGAACTCCCGCGTTCAAAATTGACTTACAGTGTCATTGTGGATTTGTTGCTTTTCTTCTATTTTATGTTTTCCTTTTGAAATGAAAACAGCTATAGCTACTTTGTTGTTGCTTGAGTGTAAATTAGCTGTAAAACAGTTTCAGGTTTTTTTCTCTGAGTCAAGTGGGTTCTTTCTGAGCCATTTTTGATGATGGAGGATTTGTTAAGTTATTTGGTTTCTTGTCTCATTACTATTAGAATGGGCCGTGGAGCTGGAGGGCTGGGATCCCAGAGTTCCTGAATTGCGCTACTGATCCTATTATCTGTTAAATCTTGTTCTTAATGTCTTTTTGTGCCTGTCGAAGTCAGTTAAGTATGTATTGAGAATGTCTGCAACTGTTGATTATAATAAGAGCATAGTGCTTTTGAAGACAGAGAGAATTGGTAGAAGTTGAAATATAGTCCAGTTCTCAATATGTTTTCAGACTCCCCCACTTCTTTCCCTGACATTACTCTCTGCTGGCATGCTGTTCTTTTTAATGATGCCAGAGACTGTTAAGATAGACTAAACATTTGGGCTGTTCTAGAGAACTGAAATAACTTCCTGTATTCCTGAGTCTCTTGATAAGTTATACTTTTTTTTTTTTTTTTGAGATGGAGTCTCGCTCTGTCACCCAGGCTGGAGTGCAGTGGCGCAATCTCGGCTCACTGCAAGCTCTGCCTTCTGGGTTCACGCCATTCTCCTGCCTCAGCCTCCCGAGTAGCTGGGACTACAGGCGCCCGCCACCAGGCCTGGCTAATTTTTTGTATTTTTAGTAGAGACGGGGTTTCACCGTGTTAGCCAGGAGGGTCTCAATTTCCTGACCTCGTGATCTCCCTGCCTCAGCCTCCCAAAGTGCTGGGATTACAGGCTTGAGCCACTGCACCCGGCCAGACAAATTATACTTCTTAATAGAGTGTGTGTTTGGCTGTACCCTTTCTAGCTTAGTGGAGAATAGAGGAAGCTGTTCAGCAGTGATATACCAGTTATTGTTGAGCCATTGTTTATCAAGATAATTTTTTTCTCTGTCAAATTTTTAATGTGCTAGCTTTAGCCAAGTAATTTGCGACTGCTTGTTGAGGGTTTAGCCATGACTGCTGTACTGTGTATATGGATATGAAGAAGAACTTCTTAGGAAAATTACATGTAAAGTCAATATAGAACAAGTGATTTTATATTGGGGATACCTCTGGTCTTGCCCTAAAAAGAGAAAGAGACTTTCTATTAATTTTTTTTATTCATTCTATAATGTTTGATAAAATTATTGCCATAAGTAAGTCTTAAAAGTAATGACTAGAGGGTATAGGAAAAAAAGATTGGTGTGGCTGCAGCTGTTCCCTGTCAGAGGTCCTGATTCTTTTTTCCTCTTCTCTTATTATATTCATTTGTCAGAAGAGTAAGGAACTCTATTTTGTTCTAGAGTGTCTAAGGAAGTACCTGATATGGGATATTAATGCTGTATAATTGTGTGAGATCACGGGAGACAATCAAAAATGTTCCAGTCCTCATTAATTGAAGTGTACATTGTTCGATGAAAAGTGCATCATAAATTAAATAGGCTTAATAAAATAAAGTGAAATTACTGGGGAGAAGTTGCCTCTGTTGGCAATCCTTAGTCTGAATTTTTTTTTTTTTTTTTTGCCTGGAGGTCTGTTTAAAAAGAAATAGCATTACTTGATTGGCCCTTCATCCCAATTAATAATTTTAACTTCGATAAATTCTGATTTCAGAGTTATGACTAGTCACATCTTAGCTTTTCCCCTTGCTGGTTAATTGGGGTGCTGGGGTTAATCTAAATTAAAACTTAAACTAATAGAGGTCAGCAAGGCAGCTAAAACACCTGAGTGAAACAAATGGGGCTGCCAGGCACAACTTTATCTTGGCTGTTTCCCAAGAGGGAAGTGGCAGCAAATTGGAGTTGTTTCAGCCTTCTGTAAAGGTGAATGATGGGTGACACTTGTTAATGTACAGCATCTCCGGAAGCATTCCAGATTGCTTTGCTGCTACACCAACTGCTGCCATCCATGCACAGTCAGTAGGAACTGGACCAGTTGCCAACATCTGGCAGCACAGCAAGGAATGGGTGCAAGTCTTGAAACCCTGCAGATTCTAAATATGGTGCTTAGAACTGTGCAGGTTTTAATCACTTACCACTCTTTGGCAGCGGGCTACGACAGCTTATCCTAGCCTCGTACATCACATTCCGACATCTGCTGAGCTGCAAGGCAGCTGCACATTCATTTTCTTTTCTTGCCTTTTCTCTTTGCTTCCCATTCCCCTTCTTCTTCCCACTCCCCTCACCCTTCAGTTTTCCTCCCCCTCCCAAATATGCTTCTTGGGAGAGATGATCTGTAAAGATTACTGCTTCATTGTGTGCAAGTAATTGTGGTGATGCCAGGCCCTTGACAGACACAAGGTAGCACCTGTTCTGCTGACCTGGTTAATTTCTTCTGTTGAGTGGGATTTGCCAGAGATTGGAGCTGAAGCCAATTCAGTGATAAGGCTAAAGAAAATGGCTGTATGTTTTCTGTCACTTCCCAATTAAATTGGCTTCATAAAGTGCTTTCCTTTATTTGTCAGAGTAGTAAGCCTGAGCTAAGTGTTGCATTCAGAAGTGGTTCAATATATTACAATGGGCCTGTGAGTTTTCATTTGTGTGGTTTTTTTTAACATGGTCATATGGAAGAGCTGGGTGGTGAATATAATACATTCCCCCTTTTTTAAAACCATACTTGAAGCCAGACTCTTTGGGTTCATGTTTTGTAAGGAAGAGATTATAGCCACATTGAATTTTAATGTTCCATTGTAAGGGTTTAAAGGCTTACTTGGTTAATTCAGGTGTCTTGAAGCTGTGTGAATGCCCTAACTACTGAGAATGATGTGTGGGCTCAGAACACTCCCCCTCTACACACACATACTCATTCACACTTTCATTCTTTGTTTCTTAATGGGCTTTAAGTTACCATATCTTTCAAAATATACTTGTATTATTTAATAAAGGTACATGTATATATGTATGTATATGTGTGTGTACATACATACATATGTATGTGTGTGGGCCATAGAAGATAGTATCTGATATCATAAATAATCTTATCATTTTTAGAGCTGAAAAGAACCTTAGAAGAAACTGACACCCTGAGAAGTTAAGTAACCGTCTGACATCATATAGTAAATGGCAACACTGGTAGTTAATGTCAGGACTTCTTAGACCAAGTCTTGCTCTGTCCATACCTTTATTTCTTAAATATTTCATTCTTGAGCCATAAAGAGATTTCACTGTAGTATTACAGTTTTCACTTTGTAAATAAATAAGCTTTATTTTCATAGAACCAGAAAAAGTATTTTGTGTTAGAAAGTAATTTTTTTCCTTAGAAGGCAAATGATTTATTGAGCTTTTGTTACTTAAACAATTCTAATGAAAAAATTAGCTTTATAGTTTTGTTACCGGTTTGTTTGGAAACTGGAATTGCTGAAAGCATGAAGTATAGCCAATGGTGAAGGTTTTATGAGAGAAACTGTTCATCTGCTTCAGAAAAGCATTGCAGGATTTTACTTCCAAACAGAATTACTTTACAGTTGGCCTATTTCTTGTCAAAGCGCATTCCTAAAGGCAGTTTCACAAAACATGAAGGTTGTAAATGACCACGAAGGATGAGCCATTCAGAAATATTTTCAGTGTCTGTTTGTTATGTCATGATCCTATCTGCTACTTCATAACATTCAGTTCTCTTCAGATCTGTTGTCTGTATCACCATTTAAGGCTTTTGTTTTGTTTTATTTTTTTAAACCATCAGATGATCTTTGACTTGATAAGCCTAAGTTTTTAAAGAATCAGGGAAGGACCAGGATTTGCTAAACACTAGTGGCGTGCCAGTCCCTGGACTAAGTAGATAGGTACTTGGCATGTGTCTTGATTTAATCCTCACAAGATCCTCGTATTGTGATGTAACTGCACTTAGCAATAAGCTATATAAAGTGGCTGGTTTTCTTCTTTTCATATCCCAGATCGCAAACTAGTTTCTTGTCACTTCATGCGATATTTTGTTCTGAAAGGACTAATTGAGCTTAGATGTTGACAGATCAATACCTGGATTTCTAAGAGTTCATTAGGGTTTTGTATGTTGCTTCTAGCTCTGTTTAGTTTTGATCTGGTTTGTCCTGTCACTTTGACTCTAGCCAAGAGTATCTAGAGAACGGCATAATAGGTTTTGCTCTTTTGATGACCACTTTGACGGGTTAAATTTCTTCTTTCATTTGCCATCAGGACATGTCTATAACTGACCTTGCCACATGCTGAATTTTTGTGTCTAAGACATTTGATAATGCCATAAACAGGTAATTACTAATTCAGTGAACTATTAAAAGTCGATAATGTTGAGAAATAGAGAAGAGGCAGGCTTTTTGACATGACAGTTTAATTAAATTGGTGAGCGATTAATATGGACAGGTGATGTGGTAGAATTGTATGCATTTAGATCTTAGTGTGAATAAGAGGTGTCCCAAGCTACCCTTATGTTAATGGTGATATGATATTTTTTATATATTTGTTGTTTTTATTTATCGATTTATTTTGTTTGTTTGTTTGTTTTTGAGACAGGATCTCACTCTGTTGCCCAGGCTGGAGTGCAGTGGTGCGATCTCAGCTCACTGTGACCTCGACCTCCTGGGCTCAAGCAATCCTCCCACCTCAGCCTCCCAAGTAGCTGGGACTATAGACAGGTACCATCACACCCAGCTAATTTTCATATTTTTTGTAGAGACGGGGTTTTGCTGTGTTGCCCAGGCTGGTCTTGAACTCCTGGGCTCAAGCAGTTTGCCCACCTTAGCCTCCCAAAGTGCTAAGATTACAGGTGTGAGCCACGGCACCCAGCCTGGCAGGATGATATTCTTACTATTGGCATATATCTTTCCAGTGGTTCAACTGATGGTTAATAACATGTTTTTAAGTCTGATTTGAACCTGCCTCTGTGAATGAGTTGTTGGACTCATGTCTTCTGTTCAGGGCAGTATTTTGTTTTTAGTTTTACTTTAAAATGTTGCTGTTATTTGAGATCTGGATAGTGTTTCTTAAAAGTTTGATGAAACTTATTACGCATAGATATTTACGGTTATTTTAGAGAGAACATATGTATGAAGTACATAAATTTTAAAATTGGCCAGGCATGGTGGCTCACACCTGTAATCTCAGCACTTTGGGAGGCCAAAGTGGGTGAATGACTTGAGCCCAGGAGTTTGAGACTAGCCTGGGCAACATGGCGAAACTCCGTCTCTACAAAAAATGCAAAAAAAATGAGTCAGATGTGATGGCACTTGCCTGTAATCTCAGCTACTTGGAGACTGAGGTGGGAAAATCATCTGAGACCAGGAGGTCGAAGCTACGGTGAGCCAAGATCGCATCACTACACTCCAGCCTGGGCGACAGAGAATAAATAAACAAATGAAATAAAAATTAAAAATTGAAATTATGATTGAAGATATAGCATGGAATTAGGTTTCTTGGGGCATAGTAATGGTATTAAAAACAACTCAAAGCAAATACCAGGGCCCAATTAAATTTCAGTTTTAATAACTGCAAGATTATTTTGTATACCATGTGTAAGAATGTTATTGGAACTGCATGGTAGTTTCTGCTTCTTTAAGACATTTTCCACCAAAAGTGCTGCCATTGTATATCTGTCAATGTTTAGACCCAGGTATGTCATCAATATTAGCATTTGGTTGCTAGCTTGGGCTCACTGTTGTGGAAGCTGCACAGAACAGGAAGCAAAAGCCACATTTTTAAATGCGAAGTCTAGAAATTTCATCAAACAGGAGCGTCAAGGTAAGGTGCACATGACTGGCCCTCATTTCTTTCAGGTTTCTTGCTTTAAAAAACATCAGAGCATGACTTGAGTACTACTACTTCGTTTAAACAAAGGTAAAACCTCAGAACGAAGCCTAAAACAGTACATTTTACAGGGCCAGCTGGGAAAGAGATAAGAATTGGCTTAGAAGTGTTGAAGAAACTTTTTCAAACACAAATGGTACCTGGAGAGTTTGCTAGGCAAATATGTGGCCAAAATTACCCTTTTTGTACTAATATGCCCAGTGTCAGCCAACTGAGTGTAAATTAAACACAGGATCCCAGCAGTATTTTAGTAGCCTCAAGTATAGAGTTTGGCACTCCTCAAGAAATGGAGACATTACCTCTTCACTAAAGTAGGCATGAGGTCTTGGTATTAATGTGTTGCTCCTTTAAAAGTAACATATCGGAAAAATGATTTAGCAAAGAAAGGGGAAGTTTATAGGCATCTTCAAATATGTATATGTATTGTGAGAAAATCTTCACACTCTATACATCTGACAAAGGACTGATATCCAGCATCTACTGCAAACTCAAATCAGTAAGAAAAAAACAATCCCATCAAAAAGTGGGCTAAGGACATGAATAGAAAATTCTCCAAAGAAGATATACAAATGGCCAACAAACATGAAAACATACTCAGCATCGCTAATGATCAGGGAAATGCAAATCGAAAGCACAATGCGATACCACCTTACTCCTGCAAGAATGGCCATAATAAAAAAATCAAAAAACAGTAGATGCTGGTGTGGATGTAGTGAACAGGGAACACTTCCATACTGCTGATGGGAATGTTAACTAGTACAGCCACTGTGGAAAACAGTGTGGAGATTCCTTAAAGAACTAAAAATAGAACTACCATTTGATCCAGCAATCTCACTACTGGGTATCTACCCAGAGGAAAAGAAGTCATTATTTGAAAAAGATACTTGCAGATACATGTTTATAGCAGAACAATTCACAATTGCAAAATCATGGAGCCAACCCAAATGCCCATCAATCAACGAGTGGATAAAGAAACTGTGGTATATCTATATGATGGAATACTACAGAACCATAAAAAGGAATGAATTAACAGCATTTGCAGTGACCTGGATGAGATTGGAGACTATTACTCTAAGTGAAGTAACTCAGGAATGGAAAACAAACATCATATGTTCCCATGGGTATGTGGGAGCTAAGCTATGAGGACACAAAGGCATAAGAATGATACAATGGACTTTGGGGACTCGTGGGGGAAGAGTGGAAGAGGGGCAAGGGATACAAGACTACAAATATGGTGCAGTATCTACTGCTTGGGTGGTGGGTGCACCAAAATCTCACAAATCACCACTAAAGAACTTAGCCATGTAACCAAATACCACCTGTAACCCAGTAACTTATGGAAAAAAAAAATGTATATGTATTGTTGATCTAGATAAAAACATAATCATTTTAAAGTTGGATAGCGTCTTTGGAGACCATCAAGTCCAAACTCTCTTTTCACAAGTGCAGAAAATGGAGCCTGAAGGAAGTACATGACTGTTGTAAGATTTACCCACTTAGTGAAATAGGACATTGAAACCTGTGTTCTTGCTCCCAGTTTGATTTTCTTTCTGACACATTATACTCCCTTCTGATTGGACAAGTTTGAAAATCCTTTGAGAATTTTATTTTCAAATCTATATCTGTTTAGGACATTGGAGATCTACTGTATCTTTTAGCACTCTGATGATTCACAAGTATCATTTTTATACAGTTATAAACTTTATTCAGTTAACATTTATTAGTCTGGGCACAGTGGCTCACATCTATGGTCCCAGCTCTTTGGGAGGCCAAGGCAGGAGGATTGCCTGAGTCCAGGAGTTCAAGGCCAGCCTGGACAATATAGTGAGACCCTGTCTCTAAGAACAACAACAAAAACATTTATTATGCCAGATGCTAGTTTTATAAAGGCTAGTAAGACCAAAATCCCTGCCCAAAGAATTTGTGTTACCTAAGAAGAGTGAATATCTATGCAGTCACAAAATTAAGAGTGTGACTTTAATAAAATTAAGGTGGAGAAAATAAATGTTGAAAAGAGCAATCAGGTATTTGATACAAAAATGTACATGTGGTTCTCTAGGGTTCTCACAAACATGCCTCAAGCATTCATTAGCCTACTGGTTTACCCCTCAACATACACCTGATCTAATTCTACAGTAATTTCTCTATAACTTGTAAAAGGCCTTACGAGGCACTATTTGACATAAACATTGGATAATACAAATTCCATATTTTCCAAGAATGTAATCATTGTTGGAAGCCGTATGGAGTTGCTGGTATCCACTGTTACTTATTTCAGGGTAGAAGAATCTTCAGATTGGTGATAGGTAGAAGAGGGTTCATTTTGCTATTGTCTACTTTTGTGGATGTTTGAAAATTTCTGTAATAAAAAGTTAAAGAGGAAAAAAGTCATATTTCTTTTTTCCTTCATTCATTCAACAAATATTTGAGTATCTACTGTGTATTTATTGAGTAACTACTGTCCTAGGCTGTGCTGTCTAATGTAGTAACTGCATGTGGCTGTTTAGATTTAAATTTTGATTAATTTAAATAGTATAAAATAAATGGTTCAGCTCCTCAGTCACACTAGTTATATTTCAAGTGCTAAGTAACCACATGTGCTAGTTGCTATTGTATTGGATAGTGCAAATGTAGAACATTTCCATTACCACAGAAAGTTCTCTTGGAGCTCTGTTAGAGGCTGGAAGAAAACAAAGTTCCTGCCCTCATGAGCGTTCATTCTAGCTTAGAGGTAGGATGAAACAGGGAACTACATTGTGACAAATGCAGTAGAGAATGATGAAACTGGTTATGGTGAAAGCAAGCCCTAGGATAGGGAAGTGATGGTTACTGTTTTAATTTAGGATGTTTAGGAGATAAAGATATTTGAGAAGAGACCTGAGGAAATGACAAACAGAGCCATGCAGTTGTCTGGGGGAAGAGCATTAGGGACAAAGGGGATGGCAAGTGCACAGACTCTGAGGCAAAAGGGAGGCTAGCGTGTTCCAGGAAAATCAGGGAGGCCAGAGTCATGGGGGTCGGTGGGGGAGTAGGCAAGAAAGAGGATGGTAGGAGAGGAAGTCAAGAGGTAATGGGAGGCCAGGTCCTGTGGGACCTTGTAGGCCACTGTAGCACTTTGATGTGGCTGAGATGGGAAACTACCAGAGGATTTTGAATATAGAGGAGTAATATGATTGGACTCATATTTTAAAAGGATCACTGATGGCTGTGTTAAGAGTAGACATGAGAGAATGGGGGGCAAGGTGGCAGACAGGGGACCAGTTAAAAGACTCTAGTGATAATCCAGGCAAGCGATGGCAGTGGCTTAAACTAGGGTGGTTTTGGAAGAGAGAACTGGTTGGATTCTGGATTTATGTTGAAGGTTGAGCTGACACAGGATTTGCTGATGGGTTGTATGTGGTATATCAAAAGAGAGTAGTCAAGAATGACCATTAAGATTTTGGCCTGAGCAGTTGGAGGGATTAAGTTGCTATTTACGGAGTTGGGAAAAAACAGTGAGAGAAGCTAGTTTGGAAGATAAATCAGGAGCTCGGTTTTGGTTATATTGCCCCCTCCTCCCAACCCCTGTGGACCTATGTTGGCTTTATTTTTGTTACTAGGACCTATGTTGGCTTTATTTTGGTTACAGATTAGTTATATTGTTTATGATACTTCTGCCACATTCATGTGGAGTTGTTGAAGAGTTATATATATATTTTTGGAGTTCATGGGAAGGTCCAGGCTGAAGGTATAAATTTGTGAGCCTTCAGCATATAGGTTGTATTTAATACCATGAGATTGAATGAGATTACCTAGAAAATGAAGGCAGAGAGAAAAAGAGATTCGAAGCCCACGTCCTGGAACATTCAAATATTTATAGATTGGGGAGATGGGAAGGACCAACAAAAGTGATGAAGAAGGAGCAACCAGTGATGTAAGAGAGAATAAAGGAAGAGTGATTTTCCAGGTTGCATGTAAAGAAAGTGTTTCAAGAAGGAGGAGATCACTTGAGCCCAGGAGTTTGAAGCTGCAGTGAGCTATGATCATACCACCGCACTCCAGCCTGGCTAACAGAAGGAAACTCTGTCTCTTACCCACCTCCCACAAAAAAAAGGTAAATTCAGTATTATCCTGATACCCAAACCAGACTAAAACATCACAAAGAAGAAATTACAGGCTGTGCACAGTGGCTTAGGCCTGTTATCCCAATACTTTGGGAGGCCAAGGTGGGAGGATTGCTTGAGCCCAGGAGTTTGAGACCAGTCTAGGCAACATAGGGAGACCCCGTCTCTATAAAAAGCAAAAAAACTATCCAGGCATGGTGGTCCATGCCTGTAGTCCCAGCTATTCAGGAGACTGAGGTGGGAGGATCTGCTTGAGGTTGGGAGGTTGAGGCTGCAGTGAACTGTGACTGTGGCACTGTACTCCAGCCTGGGCAACAGAGCAAGACCAAGAAAAGAGAGAGAGAGAGAAAGGAGAGAGGGAGGGAGGAAGGAGAAAGAGAGAGAGGGGAGAGAGAGAAAAAGGTATGGGAGGAGGGAGGGAGGAAGGAAGGAAGGAAGGAAGGAAGGAAGGAAGGAAGGAAGGAAGGAAGAAAAAAAAAAAAAAGGAACATAAAAAGGATTACACACCATGACCAAGAAGGATTTAGCCCAGGAATGCAAGGTTAGTTTAACATCAAGAATCAATTAATGTATTATAACATATCAATAGAATATGGAAAGAAACCACATGATCATCTCAATAGAGACAGCAAAAGCCTTTAACATCTTCTCATGAGAAAAACATTTTTAAAACTAGAGATACAAGGAAACTTCCTCACCTGATAAAGAGCATCTGTGAAAACCACAAATAACGTCATACTCACTGACCAGAGACTGAATGCTTTCTCCTGAGATTAGGAACAAGACAAGGATGTCTGCTCTTGCCACTTATTCAGCATCATACTATCTAGCCAGGGCAGTTAGGCAAGAAAAAGAAAAGACATCCAAATTGGAAAGGATGAAGTAAAACTATCTTTTATTTGCAGATGATATGATCCTATATATAGAAAGTACCAGCTAGGCACGGTGGCTCACGTCTGTAATCCCAGCACACTGGGAGGCCAAGTGGGTCAGATCAGCTTGAGGCCAGGAGTCAAGACCAGCCTGGCCAACATGGTGAAACCCCGCCTCTACTAAAAATACAAAAATTAGCCAGGCGTGGTGGTGTACGCCTGTAATCCCAGCCACTCGCAAGGCTGAGGCAGGAGAATCACTTGAACCTGGGAGGTGGAGGTTGCAGTGAGCCATGATAGCACCACTGCACTCCAGTCTGGGCAACAGAGGGAGACTCCGTCTCAAAAAAAAAAAAAAAAAAAATACTAAAGAAGCCACCAAAAAACTACTAGAGCTAATTAATAAATGAATTCAGCAAAGTTGTAGGATACAAAATGAATGCACAAAAATCAGTTGTGTTTCTGTATACCAGCAATGAATGACCTCAAAAGGAAATTAGAAAAATAATTCCATTTAAAATAGCATCTGGCTGGGCATGGTGCCTCACACCTGTAATCCCAGCACTTTGGGAGGCCAAGGCGGGCAGATCACAAGGTCAGGAGATTGAGACCATCCTGGCTAACACGGTGAAACCCTGTCTCTACTAAAAATACAAAAAAAAAAAAAAATTAGCCGTGGTGGTGGGCGCCTGTAGTCCCAGCTACTTGGGAGGCTGAGGCAGGAGAATGACGTGAACCCAGGAGGCGGAGCTTGCAGTGAGCCAAGATAACGCCACTGCAGTCCAGCCTGGGTGAAAGAGCAAGACTCCATCTCAAAAAAAAAAAAGCATCTAAAATAATAAAATACCTAGGAATAAACTTAACCTAGAAGATGAAATATTTAACACACTGAACATTATAAATATTGCTGAAAGAAATTAAAGACCTAAATAAATGGAAAGCTGTCCCATGTCCATGGATTAGAAGACTTAACATTATTAAGATGACAGTACTCCCCAAATTGATCTAAAGCTTCAAAACAATCCCTATCAACATTCCTGTTGCTGTTTTTTTTTTTTTTTTTTTTTTGCAGAAATTAACAAGCTGATTCTAAAATTCATATGGAAATGTAAGGACCCAAAATAGCCAAAATTATCTTGGAAACAAAACAAAACAAAGTTGGAGCATTCACACTTTCCAGTTTCAAAACTTACCACAAAGCTCCAATAATCAAGACATTGTGGTGCTGGCATAAGGCTAGGCATATAGATCAATGGAATATAATTGAGAGTCCGGAAGTTAACCTTTACATTTATAGTTCATTGATTTTCAACAGGAGTACCAAGACGATTCAGTGGGCAGAAGAACAGTTTTTTGTTTTGTTTTTTAACAAATGGTGTTGGAGCAACTGGATATCCACATGCAAAAGAATGAAGATGGAGCCTTCCCTCACACCTACACAAAAGTTAACTATAGTGAATCACAGACCCAAACATAAGAGCTGAAACTATTAAACTTTTAGAAAAAAAACAGGAGTAAATCTTCATGCTGCAGGTAGATTAAGTAAGATGAGGGCTGAGAGAGAATTGATCTTGGTTTAGCAATGTGGAAGTCATTGGTGACCTTGACAAGAACTTTTTTTTTTTTTTTTTTTTTTTTTGAGACAGGGTCTCATGTCACCAGGGCTGGAGTGCAGTGGGGCTCACTGAAACTTCTGCCTCCCAGGCTCAAGTGATCCTCCCACCTCAGCCTCCCAAGTAGCTGGAACTAAAGGCGTGCACCACCACACCCGGCTGGTTTTTGTATTTTTAGTAGAGATGGGGTTTTGCCGTGTTGCCCAGGCTGGTCTCACACTCCTGATCTCAAGTGATCTGACTGCCTCAGCCTCCCAAAGTGCTGGGATTACAGGTGCGAGCCACCATGTCTGACCAACAAGAACTCTTTTAGTAGAGTGGTGGAGGGGGTTCAAGAGAGAATGGGAGGAGGCCGGGCATGGTGGCTCACACCTGTAATCCCAGTGCTCTGGGAGGCCAAGTTGGGCAGTTCACTGGAGATCAGGAGCTTGAGAACAGCCTTGGGCAACATGGCAAAACCCCATCTCTACTAAAAATACAAAAAATTAGCAGGGCATGGTGGCATGTGCCTCTACTCCCAGCTGCTCAGGAGGTCGAGGCAGGAGAATCGCTTGAACCCAGGAGGTAGAGGTTGCAGACTTTTTTTTGGTGGCTCCCGCCTGTAATCCTAGCACTTTGGGAGGCCGAGGCAGGTGGATCACTTGAGGTCAGGAGTTCAAGACCAGCCTGGCCAACATGGTGAAACCCCATCTCTACTAAAAATACAAAAAATTAGCCAGGCGTGGTGGCGGACGCCTGTAATCCCAGCTACTTGGGAGGCCGAGGCAGGAGAATTGCTTGAATTCAGGAGGCGGAGGTTGCAGTGAGCTGAGATCGCACCATTGCACTCCAGCCTAGGCAACAAGAGCTAAACTCTGAAAAAAAAGAGAGAGAGTGAGAGGAAATAAATTGGAGACAGTGAGTATAGACAGCTTTGAGGAGGTTTGCTGTAATGGGAATAGAGAAATGGGACAGCTGCTGGAAGGTTTGAGAGAGAGTTTTAAGATAGGAGATGTATTTTGTATGTTGATGGAAATGATCCCGTAGAGAGGTAAAAATGGATGTTGCAGGAAAAAGGTAGGAATTGCTGGTCAGTACACAAGTAGGGAGGGGTTGGTGTGATGGATAGAGGGAAGGCAGGACTTATGAGTACAGTTGCAGGGAGGTAAGGGGTGAGAGCATGTGCAGAGTCCTCATGTGAGTGCTTCTATGTTATTTTATGGTATTTCTTATGAATGAAGGAGCCGAGAGTGATAAGATGTAGGAGGATATGGAGGTTTGAGAAAAGAGAGGGTAAGAAAAAGTTACCTCAGAGAGTGAATGGACTAGGAAAGCGTAGCTGCACTGTCAGGTAGCCTAAAAGACCCACAGGTTACTGGTAATATGAAAGTGAGGCCAGTTTGCAAGATCTGGTCTTTCTCTCACTACATTCATCCATGTGGATGCAGGTACTGAGATTTAACATGGCTTGGGGTTTTGCCACCGAAGTACAGGGAAATAATCCCTTGCCAACAATTCCGAGATTAAAAATCTGAAAACTCGTAGTTTTGTTTGTTTTGGTAAGTTTGGCAAACTATTGTGGTGGCAGCACCTGATCTGAATGAACATGAAGCTATTTATAGGCTTTATTTATCACATATATGTGGGAATATATATTTTGCTACAGAAATTTTGTGTTTGACTTTGGGGTGCTGCCCCAGACTCCGCTGACACATTTATGACATATGCAGTGTATTACCTTTCTAAAATATGAAACATTCTGAATTCCAAGATACATCTATCCCTAAGGGACTGTGGGTCTGTACGACAAAAGGATAGCTTGCAGGGGAGTTCAGGGTGTATATCAGGGGTGATTATCCTGATGGATTTTGGAATCTCATTCACCTGGGTAAGGAGAGAAGTAAGCACAGGAGGAGAGGAAGAGGGATGCTGAAAAGGTGGCAGGATTGATGGTTTATTGATTCTGGTGGGGCTGAAGAATTATTGGCATCTGAAGGCTAGAGGGAGAATGCTGGAAATATAGGGAGAGATTTATTTCAGCTGGGCTTTTGGTTCTTAAGGGACATAATCACAGAATACAAGTTAGTACTACCCTTTCAGTTTCCTACTTGTGAATCGTTCTCTAGTTCAGAATGACTTCCTTTTTATTCTTTAAACACAAATGACATATAGTAAAAGAAACCCTGCTAAATAATGCTAAAAAATAGTAACTGAGCTGGTATCTGAGAGGATCTAAAACCCTTCTTCCTGCCTTTATTATAAATGGAGGGGGAGGTACACACCAAGACATCCATCTAGTGACCAATGGGCAGAATTTTTGAAGTGGGAACTCTTGGAAAATCTAAACAGCACCTTCTGTACATTGTTACTTTTAGTATGGATTAGAAAGCATGGCTTGCTGGGTACAGTGGCTCACTCCTGCAATCCCAACACTTTGGGAGGTCAAGGTGGGAAGATTGCTTGAACCCAGGAGCTTGAGACTAACCTGGGCAACATAGTGAGACCCTATCTCTATAAAAAATAAACAGTAAAAAAAGTAACCAGGCATGGTGGCTTGCGCCTGTGGTCCCAGCTACTCAGGAGGCTGAGGTAGGAAGATCACTTGAGCGCAGGACCTCAGGGCTGTACAGTGAACTATGATTGTGCCGCTATACTCCAGCCTGAGTGACAGAGCAAGACCCTGTCTCTAAAAAAAGAAAAAAAAGAGGTTTCCTTAAATTTAAAAAAGAAAAAAAGAGGGCCAGGTGCGGTGGCTCTTCCCTGTAATCCCAGCACTTTGGGAGGCCAAAGCGGGTGGATCAGCTGAGGTCAGGAGTTCGAGACCAGCCTGACCAACATGGTGAAACCTCATCTCTACTAAAAACACAAAATTAACTGGGCTTGGTGGTGCATGCCTGTAATCCCAGCTAGTAGGGAGACTGAGGCAGGAGAATCGCTTGAACCCAGGAGACTGAGATTTCGGTGAGCTGAGATCACACCATTGCACTCCAGCCTGGGCAACAAGAGCAAAACTCCGTCTCAAAAAAAAAGAATTGCATAAGTCAGTCACTTAGTCCTTGTAAAATTCCTTTTATTTGTTGGAAACAGAAAAGCAAATTGGCAAGTTTTTTAGCATTTGAATTGCTTTAATTCTTACTCTGTCTTCACTCATCAGGGCCTAATACTGATAGTGATTTACTTACACTTCTAGTTAATAATTAGACATTGGGAGACACGATATATCATGCCTAATGGAAATATATGGGGTCTGATGAGAAAGTTTTCTGTGTTGACTAATAAATTTTAACCCAATGGCCAAGCTTAGTGAAATATTATGGCCTTTGAAGTATTTTAGGGCTTGTGCTGAGAAAATAGTACTGCTTTATTCAATGAATGAATTTATCATTTCTTCCAAATCATAGGCCTTAGCGCTAGCTCCGGAGTGGAGGCATGCTGCAACGCAGAATCAAAAAGTGGAAAAACTAATCAAATCCTTAAAGACCAAGGGCAGTGAGGCAGAATTAGGCTGACTTTTTCAGTGGTAGCCTCTAGCTATACATTCTCTTATTTGAGTAACCAAAGGTGGACTATTTGTAACTTTAGTATTAAGATGCTTCTTAGACCTTATTTGCATAACCTGATTTCCTTTCATTCTTCCCTGTGTCATTCTGTAAATATTGCACTTCCCCTTGCAAAAGGTGGCTGCTTTTCATGCTTGTTGACAAAATCTAGAAGACTGCTTGCTACTTGACTCTTTGATTTTAGGAATATTATTTTGAAATAGGGTCTCACTCTGTCACCCAGGCTGGACCATAGTGGTGCAGTCATAGCGCACTGCAACCTCACACTGCTGTGTTCAAGCTATCTTTCCACCTCAGCCTCCTAAGTAGCTAGGACTATGGGTGTATGCCACCACACCTGGCTAATTTAATTTTTTTTTTTTTTTTTTTTTTTTTTTAGCGACAGGTTCTCACTGCATTGCCTAGGCTGGTCTCAAACTACTGGCCTCAGGTGATCCCCCTGCCTCAGCCTTCCAAAGCGTTGTGATTACAGGCATCAGCCACTGTGCCCAGCCCTTAGAAATATTATTGAATAATCACTGTATGCAAAGGCAGTGGTGGAGTTCCAGGTATTAGGGGTAAGAGTTTCAGTCAGATGTATCCCCTGCCTGCAAGAAGCTCATAGTCAAGCAAGCAAGATGACATAAACATAAATAACCAGAACGCTTGGTGAGTGTGTATCGAAGAATTCAGAAAAGGGAGAAAAATAATAGTTTCAGGGAATTAGAGAAGGCTCCAGCGAAGAGGACATGGCATTTGATCTGGGCTTTCAAAGAAGGATGGCCAGGATTTTAGATACTCTGAGGTTGGAAGGAGGCCTTCTACATAAAGGAATTGTGTAATCAGGGTATTGTGGGGGAGCTGAAGGTCAGGAAAAGAGAATCGCAGATAGTTCAAACAGAATAAATGATAAAGGAGAGGATGACTTCTGCTCCAGTTTCTCATGATCTAGTTTGGAAAAGTCCTTTAACCCATAGCATACTTTTTAAATGTATGACTTACCATTTTTGCGGGTTTTCTATACTTGTTACATTTTTATCCTTTCACTCTTATTTGTTACACATCTTATTTGTTACCTATGTTTGAAAATCAGTAGAAAGGAAAATTGAATTACTGTACTTGTTGCTTGTTAGCAGCTGTGGCGATTTAGCTGTGGAAGATGATTTATTTTAACCTAAATGGGGTTTAGGGACTATCTATGAGCATGATCTGATGTTCCACAGTATTTCTGTTTATTGAATACTTACGTTTTGCTGAGTGCTTTACTTTTATCATCTTTTTAAGTCCCAAAACAACTTTGTGAGGTATAATTACCACTTTATAAGATGAGGAAACTGAATCTCAGGGAGCTCAAGGAACTTGTCTTAAACTACACAGGTAGTAAAGGGCAGAGCTGGAATTCAAGACAGGTAAGTCAGACTCTTTGGCAGATAGTTACACTTAGATTGAACTGTGCAGTACACACTTCACATAAGTGAAAATTCATACCTAGAAGCATTAGCTCTTAGAGAGTGGGAGATGGAAACCTGTAACTGGTATTTGACAAGCCTATTTCATAGATAAAAGATATTTAAATAGAAAATCCTGTAACTAGGCTGGGCATGGTGGCTTATCCCTGTAATCCCAGCAGTGTGGGGGGCTGACACAGGAAGATCACTTGAGGTCAAGAGTTCAAGACCAGCCACGGCAACATAGAGAGACCCCATCTCTACAAGAACTGGAAAAAATTAGCTGGGCATGCATGCCTGTAGTCCCAGCTGCTCAGAAGGCTAAGGTGGGAGCTCTGGAGGTCAGGGGCACAGTGAGCTATGATCATGCCACTGCACTCCAGTGTGAGCGACAAAGCAAGGGCCTGTCTCTAAAACCACACACACTGTAACTGAAATTAATTCAGACCTTTATTACAAAGATGTCAAGACATCTGTCTTGCAGTAAAAGGACCAACTTAAAGAGACTACAGGAAAGGTTAAGGTTTGTGGGGAGTATAGAGGAAGCACCAAAGATGTGCTTGCTCTCATTTCCTGAGAAGAACCAACTTTTTCCTTTAGGAAATGAGACACAAGAGGGAGTATAGATCTGTATCATTTTAATAGTCAAAGAATGAGTTTAAATAGTTAAATGGCTTTTTTGTTTTGGTTTGGTTTTTGGGTTTTGGTTTTTGAGATGGAGTTTCACTCTTGTTGCCCAGGCTGGAGTGCAGTGGCGCGATCTCGGCTCACTGCAACCTCCACCTCCTGGGTTCAAGTGATTCTTCTGCCTCAGGCTCCCGAGTAGCTGGGATTACAGGCATCTGCCACCATGCCCGGCTAATTTTTTTTTTTTTTTTTTGTATTTTTAGTAAAGATGGGGTTTCACCATGTTGGCCAGGCTGGTCTCAAACTCCTGACCTCAGGTTATCCACCCACTTCGGCCTTCCAAAGTACTAGGATTACAGGTGTGAACCACCGTGCCTGGCCCCAGTTAAATGGTTTTTTTTATTTTAAATTCAAGTACTCTTGGAATGGGGAGGGGAAAAAAGGATAATTCTCATCCGCTTAAAACCATCCAGGCCGGGCGCGGTGGCTCACGCCTGTAATCCCAGCACTTTGGGAGGCCGAGGCGGGTGGATCATGAGGTCAGGAGATCGAGACCATCCTGGCTAACAAGGTGAAACCCCGTCTCTACTAAAAATACAAAAAATTAGCCGGGCGCGGTGGCGGGCGCCTGTAGTCCCAGCTACTGGGGAGGCTGAGGCAGGAGAATGGCGTGAATCCGGGAAGCGGAGCTTGCGGTGAGCCGAGATTGCGCCACTGCAGTCCGCAGTCTGGCCTGGGCGACAGAGCGAGACTCCGTCTCAAAAAAAAAAAAAAAAAAAAAAAAAAACCATGCAGATTTGTTGAATAGACCAGTCTATGTGTTTGTTGTGTAGGTCATCTGGCCTATGTAAGACATGTGAGAAGGAGAATATTGTGTGGGGAAGTCATATCATTGAAAATGGCAATGACAAAGATATGTTCAAAAACAACTGACAAAAAACAGGTAGGTTTCTCTATTCCTAGGTCGATAATGGTGCCCTGGATTAGAGCCAGGTTATTGTATATTGACTCCTTTTGTGTAAAAACACTGAAATGGTATGTGTGTGTGGTGGGGGAAATGATAAAGCAAACACAGATATGGTATTTTCTCTCAGAAATAATTGTTTTCTGGCCGGGCGCGGTGGCTCACGCCTATAATCCCAGCACTTTGGGAGGCTGAGGCGGGCGGATCACGAGGTCAGGAGCTCCAGACCATCCTGGCTAACATGGTGAAACCCTGTCCCTACTAAAAATACAAAAACAAAATTAGCCGGGCGTGGTGGTGGGTGCCTGTAGTCCCAGCTACTTGAGAGGCTGAGGCAGGAGAATGGCGTGAACCCAGAAGGCGGAGCTTGCAGTGAGCCAAGATCGTGCCACTGCACTCCAGCCTGGGCGACAGAGCGAGACTCCATCTCAAAAAAATTATTATTATTATTATTTTCCCCTCTGTGTATATATGGAGCTCCTTCAAGGGGCCCCTGAAGGGGATGGAGTGGTGATTGTGTTCAGATGGAGTCTCTGCTCTCACACAGCATACAGTCAGCAAGGGGAGGAGGTAGACGTTATCAAGGAGTCCATGAGTACAGTGTACAGTAAGAACAGCAAAGGTATGGTGCATGTGTGTGAGTGCAGCTGTGGTTAAGAAAGGTTTCCCTCAGGAAGAGAAGATGAAGTGGAGATTTAACAAATGAGTAGAGGAGGAGGCGTGGGAGGTCAGTGGCTAGGGAAGCCTGTTCCCGCAGTGCATATGCAGAAGCAGCCTCTGGTGTGAGGGCCCACGGAGCATTTCACGTACAGAATGAAGCCTGGTGGGCCTGCAGCACAGAGGCGGAAGGTGGGTTAGGTTGGAGAGGTAGACAAGGGCCCTAGTGGTACCCTGTTAAATGTCCTGACACATTTGCTTTTTGAAAATACTACTCTTGAGTACAATGAGGAGACAAAAATGGAGGGACAAGAGTAAATGAGAGGAAATCATTACACTGCCTCAGGCAAGACCATGTCTGTTTTATTCTTGTTTCTCCAGTGTGCTCAAAAAATATGTATGAGGGCCGGGTGTTGTGGCTTACGCCTGTAATCCCAGCACTTCAGGAGGCCAAGACGAGTGGATTACCTGAGTTCAGGAGTTCGAGACCAGCCTGGCCAACATGGAAAAACCCCGTCTCAACTAAAAATTTATACAAAAATTAGCCCGGCGTGGTGGTGCACGCCTGTAATCCCAGCTACTCGGGAGGCTGAGGCAGGAGAATTGCTTGAAACCGGGAGGTGGAGGTTGCAGTGAGCAGAGATAGCACCACGGCACTCCAGCCTGGGCGACAGAGCAAGACTCTGCCTCAAAAACAAAAAAAAAGTATGGGGTGAATGAAGATGATAGTAGCCTGTACTGGGTGGAGGCAGCGGAGATGGAGAAAAGTGGACAAATTCGTGAATATAAGACTTGAGATAGTTGAGATATTGGGTGTAAGGGAAGAGGAATTTCCAGGGGTAACTCTTAGGTCATTGAAGCCTTGAGAACAGAAGGAAGTTCTTGGGGGAAACCCTGTGGAGTGAGAAGAAAATAAAGATTGGAACTGAGTCGTGAGGAGTGGCAGTATTTAATGGCTGGCTAGAGGGGCTGGCTGAATGTGGAGTAAAGACAGAGAGATGCCTCACTGATACCGAGAAAAGAGTGTTTCAGTGAGGTGAGAAAGTCCAGTGTCAGTTGCTGCTTCAAGAAGTCTAATAGGATGAGTAGTGCTAGATGCCCATTAGACATAGAGATCTTGAGACCTTAGCACAGGTAGTTTGAATAGAATAATGGAAGCAGAAATATTAGGTGGTGGAGTTGTTGGTTCGGGAGTGAATGGGCAATGTGGAGTGGGAACATATAGTTGGGGAATAGGTCATTTTGTGCCAATTTTGTATTATAGGAAGGTATAGTAATTCCTTCCCAACTATTTGAAATTATAGTATATGCAATTTATTTTTTGTATGCCTCAAATATGGTATATAAAAATTGCAAGAGACTTCTTTTGGGGATAATTTTTTTTTTTTTTAAGTTGAGGTCTCTGTTGCTCAGGCTGGAGTGCAATGGCGCAATCTTGGCTCACTGCAACTTCCGTCTCCTGGGTTCAAGCGATTTCTCCTGCCTCAGCCACCCTAGTAGCTGGGATTACAGGCATGCGCCACCATGCCCAGTTAATTTTTTTGTATTTTTACTAGAGACGGGGTTCGCCATCTTGGCCAGGCTGGTCTCGAACTTCTGGCCTCAAGTGATCCGCCTGCCTTGGCCTCCCAGTGCTAGGATTATAGGCGTGAGCCACCACACCCGGCCCTTTTGGGGATAATTTGAAAGACTAGGGAGCTGAGAACCAAAAAAGGAGGTAAGGCAGGAGGTAGAGCAAAAATAGATACATTTTCACTAAGAAGTCTTGTGGGAGAGAGAGGGAATTCACAGGAAGAGTAAACCCAATCCTTTGAGTCTGCTTTTGTATCTCCCAGTGAGGAAGTTTGAGGAACCCTGACTCAGCTAGGCTAAGTAAGTTTGATAGAGGGTTGCCCCAAGCTTTTTCCTTCTCAAGCATCTGTGGCTATGAACTGTGGAAGCCTAAAAAGTAGGAATCAATAACTCTGGGTCACAAATTCAGAAAGCCAAGGAATATGTGGTCATAAAGCCAAAATGCTTTTAAAGTTACTTGGTTTTTCAACAAGGGTGCCAAGACAGCTCAGTGGGGTAAGTAGTCTTTTCAACAAATGGTATAATGGGATATCCACATGTAAAAGAATGAAGTTGGACCCCTACCTTACACTATATATAAAAATTAACTCAAAATGGATCATAGACCTAAATATAAGAGCTACACTATTAATTATAAACCTTTTAGAAGAAAACATAGGAGTAGAGCTTCATGACCTTGGGTTAGGCAATGGTTTCTTAGATACAAATCAAAAACACAAATGACAAAAGAAAAAATTGGACTGTATCAAAATTAAAAACTTTCCTGCCTCAAATGACACTCTCAAGAAAGCAAAAAGACATTACAGAAGGAAAATGAATAAGGGACTGGTATCCAGAATATATAAAGAACTCTTACAGCTCAATAACAAAAAGACAAATAACCTCATTTTAAAATGGGCAAAGGGTCTGAATAGACATTTCTCCAGTGAAGATATACAAATGGCCAGTAAGCACAGGAAGATGCTCTGCATCATTAGCCATTAGGGAAATGCAAATCAAAGCTGCAATGAGAATGTATCATACCTGCTAGTATGGCTGTCAGTCAGTGTTTACATTATTATTACTAAGTAAATGTTGTTCTCAAGTGTCTTAGTCTGTTCTGCATTGCTATGAAGGAATACCTGAGAATGGGTAATTTTTGAGGAAGAAAGGTTTCTTTGGTTCACTCTTCTGCTGCTGGGAATTTTGGGCTTCTAGTGGAAGCCTCAGGCTGCTTCTGTTCATGAAGGAAGGCGGAGGGGAGCTGGCATGTGCAGAGATCACGTGGCAAGAGAGGAGGCTAGAGGACTGAGGCATGCCAGGCTCTTTTCAACAGCCAGCTCCTGGGCTCTAATAGAGCGGGAACTCACTCCCCACAACCAAGGGAGGACTTCATCTATGCATGAGGGATCTACCTCCATGGCCCAGACACTTTCCATTAGGCCCCTCCAACATTGAGAGCAAATTTCAGCATGAGGTTTGGAGGGGACAAACATCCCAACTATAGGAACAAGCGCTATATTATGATTACATTTTTCTTACAAATTTGTTTTTTCCTAGAGCTAATAATGCCTGTTTTTAAAAGATTTGCCTAGTTTTCTGTGTAACTATTGCTGTTTTTCCCTATATACTCCACATGCCTTGAATATATAAAATAACCTATCCTTTTGCACCTCCCTTCTACTTTTTCCCCTTGGAGACCTCATCCTAGAGCTCTCTGGACTCTTCTGGCGTGGCTGCACACCAGGCCTGCTGGCTGTATTCCTGGGACTTGCCTTTGCTTCTTCCCTGAGTTAGACCTCTCGTTTCTAATATCTTATGTCTTGATTTTAGTATACTCATTTACTGAAGTACATCTTTCTGTGAAAGAGTACACAGAAAGTAAATTGTTGAGTCCTTACGTGTATGAAAAATGCATTTATGTAACTCTCATTATACTTGGTTAATAATTTGGCTGAGGAGGCAGAGGCTGCAATGCGCTGAGATTGCACCACTGCACTCCAGCCTGGGTGACAGAGCAAGACTGTCTTAGTAATAATAATAATAATAATAATAATAATAATAATAAGGCTGTATATGGAATTTGAGTCTGGAAGTCATTTTCCATAGAATTTTGAAGGTACCTTGCTGTCCTCTGCTATCTGCTCTTGCTATTGAGACGTCTTTTCCCATTCAGATTTCCATTCTTTAATATGTAGGGCGACTGTATAATTTATTATCAAAACTGGGACAGGTAAAGTGCTAGTCTGACAGCATATTAGGACAACAGGTGTAAACCAGGACTTTCTTGGTAAACTGGGACATATGATCACCTCTTTATATGTAACCTGTTTTTTCTTTAACTGCTTAGGATCTTCTCTTTACCTCTGGTGTTCTACATTTCATGATGATGTGTCTTGACAGAGGCCCTTTTTTATTCATTGCACTAGGTCTTTGCAGTTGTATTCCTGTTCTTTCTTTGATTTGGGAAAATTTTCAGTATTCCTTCAAACATTTTCTCCCAGCCTTTGTTAGTTAGATGTTTGACTTTCTGGATTATCCTCTAAATTTTTGTCTTGTCTTGCAAATAAGCAAGGGGATATTATCTTTTTGCCTTTTGGCTTTCTTTTTGTTTTATATCAGAGATTTTCATTCATTTAAGTTCTTCTGTTGGATTTTTTAAAATTTTCTGTTTAGTGTTTAATTTCTCATTTTAGTCTTTTTCACAGCATCCTGCTCTTATCAAAGTATACCCTCTCCCACTCTTGGGATATTCATTGTAAGTTTTGGGGGTTTTTTTCTCCTTTTTAATTATTTATTTTGTTCTCTGCATTGCTTCCTTGAGTCTCTTTTCTATTTGTTTGGTTTGTGCATGAGGATTTCCTCAGATGCAGGCGATCCTTAACTGTCTGTTCATATTTAAGAGTAAAGCATTAAAGTTTATTATTCGGAATCTCTGAAACCTGGGCAGAGCTTTTTGGCTTCTTTAAATATAATTATGCTGTGAACTGACCTCTTTGTTAGAGTAGCCTTGGATGTCAGAATTTGTATTTGTTTGCTTTGTTTTCTATATATCTATTTGTTTGTGCTGCTATAGTAAAATACCACAGACTAGGTAATCTTAAAAGAACAGAAATTTATTTCTCACAGTTCTGGAGGTTGTAAAGTCCAAGAACAAGAAGGTGGCAGTTTCTGTTGTCTGGAGAGGGCTGCTGTCTGCTTCCAAGATGGTGCCTTGATGCTGAATTCTTCTGAGGGAATTCACATGGCAGAAGGTGGAAAGGCAAAAGGGACAGACTCCCTCCATCATGCCCTTTTAGAGGGACGCCTAATCCCATCCACGAGGGCAGAGCCTGCATGACTCAGTCACCTCCCAAAGGCCATTCCTTCCAATACTGTTGCATTGGGGATTAAGTGTTCAACATACGGATTTTGGGAGACACATGCAGAAGACCATAGCAACTTTGAAATCTAATTTTGGGGGTGGGAGGGCAGACACCATTCAGTTTCTTCCAGAAAAGGCTCCTCTGCTTTCCTGCCTAGGAAATTATAGAATGGGATGTTAGCTTTCTACAAATGAGGTGGGAGAAAGGGAGAGGTTTCAGAGATTAACATAGAGCCTTTCCCTTGTACCTCATTCCAGCCTTCTTTGCCTGGTATCCTCTATTCTGGAGCTTCTGTGGTTCAATATTTCCAAAGAATAAAATTTCTTTTCTCTCACGAGAGGAGGTGGGTGGTAGAGGTGGTTAGTCACTTGGCTGTGTGGGATAATGGAGGAGGCCCAAGTGGTTCTGCTCCTTCTCTTTTTCCCACCTTGCGTGGTAACTGCCAGAGAGCTGATCCTCACAGGAATTCTGCGGCCTAATACAATTAGCTTCATCTTCACCTTTATTCACTCTGGGCATTTGGGTGATAACTTCTCCATCTCCTTACTGTCTTGGAAAAATTTATGAAAATATGCACACATTAGTGCTCCTTTTCTCTTTTTTCTTAGGAGTTAATATTTATTTTATTCCTCAACTGTCTCTTAGAGGGGTTGAGAAGAGATAAACTAATGTGTTCAATCTGCCATTTTTAACTGTTTCTAGCATGCATTTTTTCTAATGAAAGTATTATAAATGTTGATTAGATGCTTAATAGTACTATTAGTCCTGTTCCTCATGTATATTGGTATGGGTTAAATAGGTTTCTGTGGCCAACCTGAAAACCTAACTGTATCTATGATTTTCCCTTAGAACTAGAGGTATAATCAAGCCTTTCCGAATTGATTATCTGGAGGAATTTTAACAGACTAGAGCAAAAACATTTTCTCTCTCTCCATTTTCCAAATCACATAGAAAATTACTACAAATACTATATCATCATTGTTGAAATAAAAAGCTCTAATAATTGTAACAGAAACTTGAATTTTAGTAGAAAGGTTTATTTGTAAAGTTAAAGCTATACAAATTAAAATCAGAAGTAAAATTGAATTCTTCAGCCAATATCTCAAATCTCTTTTTTTTTTTTTAGCAACTGTTTTGAAAGCAATTTTCTAATTAAATTTAAACCCAGTGATAGTGGTAGCTTTGGGAAAATAGTAATAGCCACGGGAATCATTTGTTTAACTGTATTTTTTGTTGTTGTTGCTTTCTTTTTCTTACCATGGACACAACAGAATCTTCTGAAATATTGGACTGAATAAACTAGACCTAGCTAGATAGACCAATAAAACAATCTTCCAAGTCATGAATGAGTAAAAATAGTTATGCAAAGCACTTGTGTGCGAAAATGCAGCTCAGAATATGTATAGTACACAAAGTGTTTGAAAGTAAATGCTGCACCAACTTGGTGTTGGAATTGCAGAGACCACTGCAGTGGGGAGCTCCAATTTCCAGCCTTTGGCAAGGGCATATTCTTCCCGAGGATCACCCTGTTGTGCTGGGGCAGCCTTCCATGAGCACTTGCACCCCGGTGACCCTGATTGCCCAGTCTCAAGGGATCTGAGAAAATTAGGAAAACCAGGAACGGTTGTTGTAATCTTTTGTATGGCTGGAACGAGGTAAGGGCAATGAAATGCAGTTATTCCATTATTTTCCTTCCTTTTTATTTTTCTTTCTCTTTTATTTCTTCTTCTTTATTATTATTAACCACTCCCCCTCACTCCCCCTACTCCTTGCTTTTGACAGAATATTGACTAGGAACCAGAAGCCCATTTCTGCTTAGCCTTAAGGGCAGCTGTTTACACAGCAGCAGTGTTACATAGGTTTACTGTGTCATATGTCTGTGTAACACTGGATTTGGATCTTGTATTTAGCTGCCAGAAGTGACTGTGATGAAGTAGGAGAGATAAACTGATAGATTGGCTGCCAGAAAGATGTTGGGAATCAATCAGATAAACAGGGTAGAGAAATAGCTTGCTGTTTTCTAGTGATAATAAAACCAGCGGCTTCTGGTCCCTGCATTCTTAAACATAATTGCTGTAGTAATAATGTCCAAAATAAGCAAATGAAAAAACATCATGGGAGGTTTTCTAATTGCAATTGAGATATCCTTTTCCCTTTTGCAATAAAGATTCATCTTTTGGAAGTGAATATTTTTTATAAATTTGTTTTACTTCTTCCAGTGCCTACTTACATAAACATATGAAATTAGAAAGAGATCTGCTTTCAGAGGAATTTATTTCTCTTTCTTCATTTGAACCACTGAAGCCCACAGGCTTCAGCTATTTGATTTGATGAAATATCTCTATTGCCACCATGCCTCACCTACAAAATCATTGCTAATTTTTATGAAGAAACAAGTTTTAAGGCCAAACCTGGATTATTGACAGATGATTAGCAGAACTAGTTTATCTTAGCGTCTTCTCTTAAATTTCTCTCAGAAGATTTTTGGAATTTTAATCTCTGTTTCTCTTTCTCTGCATATAGCACTTATAGTTCTATTATCGTAATTCAGGGTTTTTCTCCCTTAGTGTTTAACTTTTAAAACCATTGCTTCTCTTCGCCCAAGGACTTTAAGATTCAGTGCAGATTCTTAAGTCTGTATGAAAGGTACAGATGTAGATTTCAACTGGGTGCAGAGGAGTCAGGCTTAAAATGACAGTAGGAGAGTCATTTAGAATAACTCCCATGGAGTTAATTGTATTGGATGAGAGACTAATCCTCTGTGGTATATTTGCAGTATGCAAATGACTTTCTTTAGATTCCCTCTTAAAATTTGTGTGGCTATGAATGTGTTGGTATCATGTGTGGCTAAAGCACTTAATAGCAAGCATGGTAGAGTAGCAGCTGTGGAAAACAAGAGGCCGATGCCCACACTTTTAATTACATACAGTAAAGGCTTTTTGCCTGAGGAAGACCTTCCTGACTGTTGGAGGTTATAGTTCAGAAGTTAACCTTGCACCATTATCCTGTTGGTGAGAAGCTGATGCATTTCCCTTTTTGCCACACGGCCCTTCCCACCTGACCTTTTAAAGATTCTCCATTGATATCAATGGAGTGGACAAAACTAATCATAAAAATAATGAAGGGAATGTTGCATACTCATTGATCTATTTGAAATGAACTGCGGTACAATAAGTCTTCCAAATGGACTTCTGTTCTCAGCTACTGCTATAGCCACCTTTTTAAAGATATATAACTATGAAAGCGTTAACGGGAATTCAGTAATGCTCTTGCCACTGGGTTGTCCCTTATTGATTGTAGTTTTAGAGCTGTCACTATGCCATTCAGAATTCCTTCTCTGCCCTTTTAAAGTCAGTTGTACTGGAAGATGATAAATAAATTCGTTGCTTTCCTTTTTCCCCTAGCTCCTTCGAGAACTCATAGAACGGAAGACCAGCTCCTTGGATCCCAACGATCAGGTGGCCATGGGAAGGTAATTTAGATACAGCTTTCTGTTCATGCAAGCAGCCTATGTAATAGTTTCTCCCCTTGAGTCCCTTTAATTCTACCTGCAAAGCAATGATTGGTCCTATAATTATTGAAGTTAAGCAAGTAAGAGCTAGAAAGAAAATGTGACTAATTGTTTACCCTACATTGCCTAAAGTGCAATTTGTAAAGAAATTATAAAACACCTATGTGTTTGTTTTTAGAGTTTGTTTTCCAAAGTCTTTCTTATGCTCTTTGCTCCCTGGTTTTGCATTGTGATTGTATCCATATCAATCTGTTGACCAGTGGATACAAAGCAGCCATCCAAATGTGAGCTCTCAGCTGTCAGAACATGGCACTGCGCACAACAGGTTCTTTGCTCTCAGTCGAATCTGCTTTGTTAGAGTCTGCCCTAATTTAGACCTCCACCTCTTCAGTAAAAGCTTCAGCACAATTAGAAGTGGAACGTGGCAGCATTACCCAGATGTCAGGGCAGAATGTAAAGTAGTGAAGGAAGGCCCTTGTGTGTATGCTTCATCCTGTGGTTGGAAAATAAAAAGGGCATTTAGAATGCTACCTAATGAATAGTGTACATTTAAATAGCCATGAGCCATAATTTGCAAAAGCATGAAAGGAAACAAAAGCTGCAAGTGCCAGAATGGGATTCTAGGCAGAGCAGCCATTCGAGAAAGCAGTGAAAAATTTGTGTTGATGAAATAATTTTATTTAAGTAAAATATTATGTGAATTTTAGGGTAGGATGTTGATATTTCGTTTATCTCTGGAATGTTATAGAGAGCTGTTCGCTATAAATTTAATGTGATAGAGCAAATTGCATTTAAGTGGTGATTATATTGTACATTTATCTGACTTTACAATAAAATAGATTATGGTAATTAAGATTATATTAAGATTACAGTAATTGGATTTCCCTAGATTTTTTTTTTCTGGTGTTGAATTTTCGTTGTATAAATCAGGTAGGATGACTAGCTGCTGCTGCTGTTTCTCCTTCTTTTTCTTTTTTTCACTTTAGTTCATATGAGCAATTTATGAAGATTTTCTTAGCCTAATATCCCTTATTGAAAAATTAATTCCTTCTTATCTAAAATGACTGCAGAATATGTGAATCTTGTTTGGATTCTGATCCAAACAAGCCAACTGTAAAATTGAGACATTCCAGGAAATGTGAAGACTGACTGAATATTTGATAATAAAGAATTATTGTTGACTTTTTTTTTTAGATGTGGTAATGGTATTGAGATTATATTGAGGGGAGAAGAGTCCTTATCGCTTCTCTTGTATAGCAACACGTACTGAAATATTTATAGATGAAATGAAAATTAACAATTTAAACAATTTAAACAATTTAAAACAATTAAAAACTAGTATCAGTAGTGGATAATTATTTAAAAATTAGCAAAAATTGGAAAGCACAAGAAAAAGCACTGGAGGATTACCAAAGGGAAAGTTAGATTTTAAAAATTCATGCATTCAAACCAACCAGCAGTTGCAACATTAGTAACAGAACATGCTGCATAGCTAAAACATTAAAAGAAAACCCAAGTAGCTCTACTAAATCTGATGGGTTTGCCTGCAGACTGGTAGATTTAGTGCTTGTCACAGCAACTCCAAATACTAAGGAGCATTGTGAACCAAATTTGCTGTAGAATTTCCCAGCTGCCGTTTGTTTTTTTACCATTGCACAAATCCTGTTCAATTGATTAGTCAGTTTGGCCCCAAACTAGCTTGAGGAACTTGATGTAGGTTGATGATTTCTTTCTGCAGGGTTGTTAGAATAATTCCAATTTGTCAATATGTATAACTATTTCTGTTAGTGATGATGCATAACATTGCTTGTGAATTTTCCAGGCAGTGGCTTGCAATCCAGAAGTTACGAAGCAAAATCCACAAAAAAGTAGATAGGAAAGCCAGCAAAGGCAGGAAACTTCGGTGAGTTACTTTTCGGAAAAAATGTCAACATATATTGTATATGTATCTCGTCTCTTACATTCTGGCTGTTATGTCATTTTTCTTTTTCTTCTGATGATTCTGTTTTTAAGGATCAGAAAAATAAACAATATTTGAAGGTTTATTGCAACTCAGTTTTTCTTATTCTAAAATGGAAATATAGTTTCATTGACTTTTGTGCTACTGTTGTAATAGATGGGTGAAATAATATATGCATTCCCTTGAAAGAGAAAAAATAAGAAAACAAAAGTAAAATAGTTGAAATTATATTAACTTTAACAATTAATTTCTATAGAATAATATAAAAATGTTATGGCCAGGCGTGGTGGCTCACGCCTGTACTCCCAGTGCTTTGGGAGGCCGAGGTGGGCAGATCACTTGAGGTCAGGAGATCAAGACCATCCTGGCCAACGTGGTGAAACCCCATCTCTACTAAAAATACAAAAATTAGCTGGGTGTGGTGGCGGGTGCCTATAGTCCCAGCTACTCAAGAGGCTGAGGCAGTAGAATCACTTGAACCCGGGAGGCGGAGGCTGCAGTGAGCCAAGATCATGCCACTGCACTCCAGCCTGAGTGACAGAGCGAGATTCTATCTAAAAAATAATAATAATAAATACAAAAAATTAGCCGGGCGTAGTGGCGGGCGCCTGTAGTCCCAGCTACTCGGGAGGCTGAGGCAGGAGAATGGCGTGAACCCGGGAGGCGGAGCTTGCAGTGAGCCGAGATCGCGCCACTGCACTCCAGCCTGGGCGACAGAGCGAGACTCCGTCTCAAAAAAAAAAAAAAAAATAATAATAATAATAATAATAAATATAAAAATGTTATTGTCTTATTGGTCCATTTTTATGATGCCATATGTGCACACAGTATGCTAAAAAGATATAAGTGAAGGACCACAGGGAATGTTAACAAAGTTATTAAATGAGAAGAGAAATAAAATGTTTATGAGAAAATAGAGCAATTTCTGACTTTAGGAAAATCCTCCCCTGTGAGCTCTTTAAGGAGTTTTATAAGGGTACAGATAAAAGAAGGAGCAAGAGTGGAAATTGACCTCGCTATACTTTTAGACTTGGTAACTGCCGTGTGTGTGTGTGTGTGTGTGTGTGTGTGTGTGTGTGTGAGAAACACAGTGTCATCACACAAAGCCTCAGTGTCAAACTACCTGTAATTCAGGTGCACACTGAGAGAAAATCTTAAACTTGTGTTAGGATAGTTTTAGGCAGGTAGTTAAACCCACATCCTTATTAGAACCTGCCTATCATTAAATTCCCTTTAGACAAATGTGGGTCTATCTGATTTTTAAAGATCTTCAGAGAAGTAGATTTCTCAATTACTTTAATGAACTTGTTTTAGTATTTAACACAACTCATCAGGAAATGCTGATTTTTCTTTAACTTTGCAGAAGTACACAGTATCAACAGCTTTGCAAAGTATCGTCCTTTGATTTAGGGTCGCTTTTTTAAAATCTCAGGTTAAATTGTTATAATTTCTTTACCTCTTTTTATGTCTTGAAATTTCCGAATCTTCATAATTCTCTAGGTTCATTTTTAGAGGTGAAGAGCATGGACTTAAGACCCAGACTGCCTGAGTTTGAATCCCAGCTTTGACATTGATTAGTAGTTACTTTGGGCAAGACCCTTAAACTCTGTGCTAGTTTCTTCATCTGTAAAATGGATATGATAATATATCAGCCTTGAATGGTTGCTGTGACGATTAAATGAATAGGGTGTGTATGGCTCTTAGAATAGTGCCAGGTACATAGTTAAGCACTGTACAAGTGTTTGTTGCCATTATTACTGTCATTATTATTGCTATCAGTATTCCAAGGTTGGGTCAGTCTCTTTTCCTAGTGTTCATTTATTTGTTTACTGACACGTCTCTTCCGTACCTGTCTCCCCCCAGCCCCCTTCAAGGATTTAAAGAAAAATGTTACTAATAGTACTTCATAGGTGACTAGGCTGAATGATTATCTTATTTTTTATTTTTGGGATCAAATTTTTCTCCAATACTGTACTTTTAAAATTGTAATTTTATGAGGACATAAATGTTCTCTAGAAGGAAGAGCTTAGGATTTCAAATCACAAGACTTGCGTTCAAACCCTGACTCTGTCTGGTGATATGATTTTGGTTGTTCTTTATTCTCTGGGCCTCACTTTTCTCATTTACTAAGTGGAGGTAATAATCCCTGCTTTGGGGATTTGGTATGGGAATTAAATGAAATCATGTGTAAATATCTGGTACATAGTAGGCATTCAAAAATGTTCAATATATCAGTTTGAAAAGAAAAAACCAGGATTTTGTTTTAATAGCAACTGCTTTTTATATTAATGAATTCAACTAGCTTCATTAAACTGTTCATTACAGGTATGTGTCAATGCAATTAGATACCTTTGCTTTTGCAGCATTTTGATAGCAGTGGAGATCCCCACATTCTCATATCCAGAGGCAGTAAAATCTTATTCTTTTTAAACAGAGTTTAAAAAGAGGCATTCTTTTTAAACAGAGTTTAAAAAGAGGCATTCTTTTTAAACAGAGTTTAAAAAGAGGCATTCTTTTTAAACAGAGTTTAAAAAGAGGCATTCTTTTTAAACAGAGTTTAAAAAGAGGCATTCTTTTTAAACAGAGTTTAAAAAGAGGCATTCTTTTTAAACAGAGTTAAACATGAAAACATAGTAAGTGGTTTTAGTGTCCTTCACCTTCTAAGAAGATGGTCATTAGGTGGTAGTTAAGACCCAGTCTGCCCTCAGGGAGCATACACAGTCATTTGTGCTATCTGTGGAGGATTGGTTCCAGGACGCACAAACAGCCCCACACCCCCACCCCTGCAGAAACCAAAATCCACAATGCTCAAGTTCCTTATATAAAGTGGCATAGTATTTGCATATAACCTACACACATCCTCCCTATACTTTAAATCATCTCTAGATTACTTATAATACCTAGTTCAATATGAACGCCATGTAAATAATTATTACACTACACTGTTTAGAATAATAAGAAAAAAAATTGGGACATATTCAATATAGACACAATCATTTATGTCTTAAGTATTTTTGATCCATGGTTGATTAAATCTGTGGATGCTGAACCCACAGCATCAGAGAGCCAACTAGTCTGGAGAGGATGGCAGACCCTAGCCGACTGAGGTGCTGTGTGGGAGGTGTAGCAGTAGAAATAATCCTGCTCCACCCTTGAGGGATGCAGACTGCTCAGGAAGACTTGCACAAGACGACTTCCTCACTGAGCCTTGAGAGATTAGTAGGCGTTTGCCCAGTGAAAGACAAAGAGAATGTGTACAAAAAGGTTTGTAAGCTTGAGAGAGTCTGGGACCCATTTTGGGAACTGTAATTAATTTGTTTTGGCAGAGACTTTTGTAGCAAACTGGAATTTGAACTAATTGGTCTGATTCCAGAGCCTGTTCTTTTAACCTCTGGCTGTTGAGTTGTTTCACTGGCCAACTGGCCTATACCAGCACCAAAAGTGAATATGAGAGAATGGCAGGAGATAAGGCTGCATGCATGGGTGAGTGCTAGATCATGACCACGTTAAGAATTTTGGACTTTATTCTGTAGACTGTAGTGAGTCATTGAAAGATTTTAGGCAGAGGAATATTGTCATCACATGCACATTTCAGAAAGATAATTGGCTGGGCACAGTGGCTCACACCTGTAATCCCAGCACTTTGGGAGGCTGAGGCAGGTGGATGGCTTGAGGTCAGAAGTTTGAGACAAGCCTGGCCAACATGGTGAAACCCCGTCTCTACTAAAAATACAAAAATTAGCCAGGTATGGTAGCATGTGCCTGTAGTCCCAGCTACTCGGGAGGCTGAGGCGGGAGAATCGTTTGAACCAGAGAGGCAGAGGTTTCAGTGAGCGGAGATCATGCCACTGCACTCCAGCCTGAGTCACAGAGCGAGACCCTGTCTCAAAAAAAAAAAGATAATTGTAGGAGATTTTCTATAAAGGACTAGAAAGTTATGAGAGCAAGGCCTGGAAGGAATAGGAGATGACGGATTGAGAGACATTTATACAGGTGAGTAGTTCTTACTTAAGAGTGGCCACACATGAAGAGGTAAAGGAAAGTGAGAAGGTTGGAATGACTCCCAGAGTTTCAGGGAACTAGATAGGTCTTGGTAGTAATCATTGATATGTATAAGAGAGAGGCTGCAAGGAGAACATCTTTTTTGTTGTTGTTTTTTGAGGGAGGGAGTGGATTCAGTTTCTGAATATGTTGAAGTTTGACACAACCTTCAGAAATCCAAGTTGAGATATTTTTCAGTCGAGAGGAGGATGTGGGTATTTATTAGTTGATAGTTTGGCAACAGTTTAATTGCTGTTTACCCAGGGAGGGTACGGTGTGACAAGAATACAGAGTGACAAGAGTAGAATCCTGAAGAATGTCAACATACGTGAGCTAGAGTAAGAGGAGCCCATAAAGAATGCTGAGGAACAGTGGCCATTGACGGGGGAGGGCAGGAGGAGGTTACGACAGCGATGAATACAGGACAGTGTTTAGTAAGGGGTCAGGAGCGCCTGGTGCCTCAGAGAAATCACAAAAGGGCAGCATCGTTTCATTTGTGATCACATTTCTTCACATGAAATGCCTTTGGTTACTGAAGAGTTCCAGAAACTGCAAACTAAAACTTTCCATACTTGAAAGGCCTCTAGAATTTCTGTGTAAACTTTTACTATCTTGATTAGTTTGTTTCATAAAAGCCTTTTGGAATCCAGTTGTAAAGGGAATGAGAGAAATAGAAAACCACCACTAGGGAAGCCCCACAGTAATAATTTTTGCAGGCAAGGTCCACAATAGATGCTAAAATCAATGGGCAAAAATTTGAGGAGAAACTGTATTTATTTGGTCTCTAAGTATCTCCCCCAAGATATTTGTCCATTACAAAGAGAAACATAGTGGCTTTGCAATAATCTAGCAGATGCCACCTTAACCAAGTGTTCAAGATGAACAGCACCAGTAAAAAGACATATCTATACCCCCTGTGTCTTCAGTAGAAAGATACAACATCATTTCTGTGGTATTCTTGCAAAAAAATGCCTAACCTTAATCTCATCATAAAACAGCATACAAATCCACATTGTGAGACACTCTACCAAATAAATGACCAGTACTCATCAAGTGTCAAAGTAATGATAAAACAAGGACTGAGGAACTGTCACAGATTGCAGGAGACTAAGGAGACATCACAGCAAGGTGTAATGTGGGGTCTTAGAAGCCCAAAATTATTACAGAACAAAAAGTTTTTAATGTAAGTTCATGTGTGTTGAATTGGTTTTGGTTTTGTCATCTGTACTCACCTGGCTCATCTTGAGACCATAAATGTGAGGATGTGGTCAGAATCAGAGAGTAGTCTTTACTCATAGCAATAGCGTAAGAACTAACATCTCCAGAAATCCCAGGTCAGGCACTGCTAATCAGTTTACATGCGGAGGCAGAAAGAGCATAAGCTCTGGAGCCAAACTGCCTAGGTTTGAAAGCTGACTTTTCCATTTCCCGGCCTTGAGACTTTGAACAAATTACTTTACATCTCTGTGCTTCAATTTCCTCATCTGTGAAAGGAGTATAATCATAGAAGTGACAATTTTATAGGGTGGTTATGCAGACTAAATGAGCTAATTCATGTGATGTAACATCCCCAGTGTTACATAGTAAGTAGCAAACTGGGATTTGAACTAATTGGTCTGATTCCAGAGCCTGTTCTTCTAATCTCTGGATCTTGAGTTGTTTCACTGGCAGGACCAACCCTATACAGGCACCAGAATGACATCTTGGCCACCTTAGCATCCTTTCCTAAGGGGTTAAACCAAGTGGCCCCCCAGGCTAGATGAGAATATTATAAACAACTTTCTTGAGTTAAACTTCAAGAACAGACAGTGTATGCCAGCTGTCATCACTGATACTAGGTCCCACCATTGAGCAATTTTTGCTCCTTGTTTGTGATAGGGTTGTATATGTAAGACTTCCAGAAATGTTGTAGCAAAGATTAACATTACCTTCTGGAAACAGTTTAAATAATAACACTTCATTAGTTTAAATGGTACAGCCTGGTCAGACTTGCTAATTGGATGCTAGAAAATAACGTTTTTTAAAAAAACAAATATTTTGGTTTTTGGAAATACAGTAATTATAATTATTGATTGTCAGTATTCTACTCAGCATTACATATAAGTGGATTTAGTTATGATTTAATCAGAAATCATAATGTAAATGGATCAAACTCCCAAGCCTTTAATAATATGACGTCTTACTGTGTTGGTCTGTTCTTCCACAACAAAATAATATTTGTCTTTTCTTAGTATGGTTGGTAAAAGATGATTTAATATTAAAACATACACCCATTTGCAGTGGCACCGAGACTAGATGCTAAGTACAGATTACTAAATGGTCTTTAATCTGATTTCTTCCTAAAGCCTGTATTTCATCATGTAGTTAATAGTTATTAACTATATTGTATTAAATGTAAAGATATTCTACAGAGCAGTACCATCTAATAAAAATATTAATATGTATTATATATGCAATTTTAAATGTTCTAGTAGCGACATTGAAAAAGTAAAAAGAAAAAGATGAACTTAATTTTAGTGACATTTCATTTAACCCAATATATAAAAATATTATTTCAACAATTTACTATTTTAAGAATTATTAGTGATATGTATTTTTTTTGTCCCAAGTCTTCAGAATCTCGTTTGTATATTATACTTAATTACAGTACATCTCAATTCAGACTAGCCCCATTTCAAATGCACAGTAACCACGTGTGGCTAGTAGCTACTGTATTGCATAACACAACTGTAGGGTACAGTTCATAGTCTTTGTCCAGAAAGTGAATTAAAGCCGTCTCTGGACACAGCCAAGAATAGTAATCATACTTTCAGATGGACACTGAAGTTTAGTGAGGCCTAAGGACATTAAAAGATATATTTAATTAACAGTATTTTTGGTTTATATTTAAATAAAAAGGTTATATAAATATTTATGCTCATACATTGACATAACTTTTGGGAAGGCATTTTGACTCAGTCAAGTTTACATATACATACCTTTCAACTCAGCAATTTCACATCTAAGAGTTATGTATTGGCCAGGCTCAGTGGCTTATGCTTGTAATTCCAGCACTTTGGGAGACTGAGGTGGGAGGATCACTTGAATTTAGGAATTTGAGACCAGCCTGGACAACATAGCAAGACCCTCTCTCTACCAAAAAAAAAAATTTAAAAATTAGCCAGGCATGGTGGCGCACACCTCTAGTCCCAGCTCCTTGGTGGTGGTCGGGGCTGGGAGGCAGAGGTGGGGGGATGGCTTGAGCCTGGGAGGTCAAGGCTGTAGTGAGCCGTGATCGCACACTGCACTCCAGCCTGAGCAACAAAGCAAGACCCTATCTCAAAAAAACAAAACATCACCAACAAAAAAACAAGGATACATAGAGGCCTTTTTTATAAAAAGTGAAGAATTAGACTGGGCATGGTGGCTCACGCCTGTAATCCGAGCACTTTTGGAGGCCAACACAGGTGGATCACTCAAGTCCAGGAGTTCTAGACCAGCCTGGGCAACATAGTGAAACCCCATCTCTACTAAAAATACACATATTAGCTGGGCATGGTGGTACACTCCTGTAGTTCCAGCTACTCAGGAGGCTGAGGTGAGAGGATGGCCTGAACCTGCGAGTCAGAGGTTGCAGTGAGCCGAGATAGCACCACTCCATTCCAGCCTGGGTGACAGTGAGACCCTGTCTCAACAACAACAACAGCAACAAAAAGTGAAGAATTAGAAGCAATGTATGTGTTCAAAAATATGAAAATAGGGTACTTCTGTTCCTACGGTTATATGCAGCTATTTATAAATTGTTTATGGGACATTGCTTATAAGGCTAGGTGAGAAAAGAATTCATTCAAAATTGTGTGAATATATATATATATAAGGATCATTATGTGAAACAAACGTAACAACAATTGTCTATAGGTAGAAGGATTGTGTGTGGGATTTTTTGTTTGTTTGTTTTTTAGATAAGCTCATACTCTGTAGTGAGCCATGATCACACCACTGCACTCCAGCCTGAGCTACAAAGCCCAGACCGGAGGGCTCACTGCAGTCTCAACCTCCTAGGCTTAAGCAATCCTTCCACCTCAGCCTCCCGAGTAGCTGGGACTACAGGCACATGCCACCGTGCCTGGCTAGTTTTCTTACTTTTTTATTTTACTTATTTATTTTTTTGAGACAGAGTCTTGCTCTGTCACCCAGGCTGGAGTGCAGTGGCCTGATCTCGGCTCACTGCACCCTCTGCCTCCTGAGTTCAAGCAATTCTCCTCCCTCAGCCTCCCGAGTAGCTGGGATTACAGGCACACACCACCACGCCCGGCTAATTTTTGTATTTTTAGTAGAGAGAGGGTTTTGCCGTGTTAGCAGGCCAGGCTGGTCTTAAACTCCTGACCTCAGGTGATCCACCCGCCTCAGGCTTCTAAAGTGTTGGGATTACAGGCGTGAGCCACTGCACCCAGCCAGTTTTTTTACTTTTTGGTTTTTGTTTGTTTTATTTTTGAAACAAAATCTCTCTGTCGCCCAGGCTGGAGTGCAGTGACATAATCTCGATTCACTGCATCCTCCATCTCCCGGGTTCAAGGGTTTCTCCTGCCTCAGCCTCCCTATTTACTGGGATTACAGGCATGTGCCACCACACCTGGCTAATTTTTGTATTTTTAGTAGAGATGGGGTTTCAACATGTTGGCCAGGCTGGTCTTGAACTCCTGACCTCAGGTGATCTGCCCCCCCTCAGCCTCCCAAAGTGCTGGGATTACAGGTGTGAGCCACCGTGCCTGGCCAGTTGTTTTTACTTTTTGTAGAGACGGGGTCTTGCTATGTTGCCCAGGCTGGTCTTGAACTCCTGGGCTCAGGTGATCTTCTGCCTGGCCTCTCAAAGTGCTCAGGTTATAGGCATGAGCCACTGCGCCAGGCCAACTGTATGTGTTTTCTGTGTGGTTTGGTTTTTTTTCAATTTTCTGTATTTTATACCTTTTGTATTACTTTTTTTCTGGGTTGGTGTGGGGGTATAGACAGGGTCTTACTATGTTGTCCAGGCTAGTTTTGAACTCCTAGTCTCAAGCAATCCTTCTGCCTCAGCCTCCCCAAGTGCTGAGATTACAGGCATGAGCCACCACACCCTGCCTCTATTACTTGTATAATAGGAAAAATCTTAACCAGTATTATTCTTGTAAAATTCATTTGTTGAGATAAAGAATTACCTTTGGGAGGCTGAGCTGTGGGTGATATAATAAATAATTAAATTATTTGATATGTGTAAAAATGTTCCTAAAACTTTAAAATATTATGTATTAAATACATGAAAATACCACATTTTGTTTTATGGATAGTGTTTTGCCCTAGTAGAGTTTTTTGGGTTAGAATTTTATTTTATGTATATAGAGAGGGCACATTATAATGAGTAGAAAAGGATACCCCTTTGAATTATCTTTGGTATGATTTGGTCTGTATAAGGTCATATATTTTCTAGAGCATCTCAAACACATCATACAAAATATTTTTTTTTCCATTTGGTGGGAAATGTAGGTGATATAACTTAAACTTCCATAGTACCTAGACTGAAGATCTAGGAATCAAACTTACTGTGAATTCAGTTGTGTTTCTCCATTTAAAGGTGGGGGAAATGAAAGACCCCCTGGATCTAGTGCATGGAGATGACGTGGAATTGCAGACCCCTTTTCTGCCTTGGGGAACCAGTGGCAGTGTGTGTGGTGTTGGTGAGGTGTTGCATTCAGATACTGTACCACTACCTGTGCTGCTGCCAGTAGATGGCTTTTGTGACATCTATTAAAATGAAAAATGCTTAAGATATATGTAGAGGAAGAAAATGAGGTAGTCAATTCCTCATTGTCTTTAGTCTGGAATAATGTTTAAGGGTTGTATATTGCTCAAAAGCACAAGTGTACCTGTTCTTTTTTGGGGCTGTACTATAAATGAATCTGTGTTGAACTGTCATTTACAGTATACTGTTATCAGACTTTTCTCCTGTAGCATTAGGGAAAAAGGGAAAAATGTACAGTCAGCCCTACATATTTGTGAGTTCCACATCAGTGGATTCAACCAACCACAGATTGAAAATATTCAGGCATGGGGAAAGGAATGTCTGTACCTGTGAACAAGTGCAGACTTTTTTCTCGTCATTATTCCCTGAACAATACATTGTACAACTATTTACGTAGCATTTACATTGCATTAAGTATTTTAAGTAATCTAGAGATGAATTAAGTATATGGGAGCATGTGTGTAGATTACATGCAAATACTATGCCATTTTATATAAGGAACTTGAGCATCCGTGGATTTTTGTATCCATAGAGAGTCCTGGAACCATTCCTCCACAGATACCATGGGATGACTGTAGTTGGTCATCCCAATGACAGTGGTAAGTGCCTATGAATTTTTCCCTATCCCACTTTGTACCCAGATGTTCCAGTGATCAGTTCTGGAGTTTGTTAACTCACTGAATGTGTTTCCTCTCCTAGGTTAATAGTTACTAATGTTGCTGCCTGTTGCTTCCTGCTTTATTTAGGTTTCATGTCCTTAGCAAGCTACTGAGTTTCATGGCACCTATTGACCATACTACAATGAATGATGATGCCAGGTGAGTAATAGATTAATTATGTGTCTCAAATGGCTTCATGACAGCCTGATATTGACCTGCTCTACAGCCTTCGCCCTCTCCATTTCTTCTTATCAGTTAACCATTTGTCATTGGCATCGCAGTAAGGGTCACATCTCTTCACCCTCATAATTACTATAAAACCAAACCAAAAACTTGCATAAATTTCAGTGCTGCCTTTGGTGGTTTGTTTGTTTTTCCTGTTTTGTTTTGAACTTTAGCCCAGCGCCCTGGGACATGTGAGCTCTCTAGGACAGGGCAGGTGGCCCATGTTCTTGCCGTTTGTACTTGGGGCTGTTGTGCATATGCTTTCCTTTTGAAAGTGGCTCTAGTGAGTGCTCTGGAGATGTGCATATGTTGTATTTGTTGGGGATTGTGAGTGTTTTTACAAAAGATGTATATGCTTATTTTATAAAGCTGAAACGAGAGAAATACAGAAAAAAAGTGTATGCTCATAATATTACCGTTCAGGGATAACCTTTTTAAAATAATAGTTTCTTCTGTATCTATTAATTGGCATTCTATAATGAAGAGCTTCCTCTTCTCCCTCATTTATTTACCATTTATTTATTCATTTATATCAATATGGACTCATGTTTTCCTATTTTATTCAATGAGTTATGTTTATTTTGATATTAAAATTGTCCCAGATAGTGGAAGTGCCGTCAAACTGGCTTGTGTCCTTCAAAGTTGTCTTCAGTCAATCTTTGAGTACTTCCTTACTTTCTGGCACAAGAAGATGTTTAATGCTCATCTTAGACTTTCCATCTTCCAGCCCTGAAATCAGTCTTTCTTGAAGGAGCCCTGGCTCTGTTTAGTGGATTGTGGTATTTAGAAACCAAGATCTAGGTACTAGGGGTGCTCCTTGTTAGTGAGTATTGCTATTTCTAGACCTGTCAGCAGAGACGGGAAGTGTATGTATATACACTCACACCTACACAGAAGACAGCCACTTTTAACATCTTACAGCATTTCATTTCAGTTTTTGTAAGTTCCCTTTCAGTATTTTCCTGTTTTTCTTTTTTATATTGAAATTATATTCAGGAAATGTTTTATATACTGAGAGCATTTTCATGTCGTTAAAATAATTAAAATTTTTCAATGACGAAATAATATTGTTATAATATTTATTTAGCCATTCACTGATTGTTGGACATTTAAATGGCTTTTAATTGTCATCATTGTAAATAATGCTATGAGAAGCATTTTTAAACATATTTACCAAGTGAAATTATTGGTCATAACATAGGCACAGGTGGTTTTTGCCAGTTTTATCCCTCAAACTACATATAAACTTTTTATTTTAGAGTATTTTGTTTGCTACCAAATGCCATCAGATTTTCCCCTCCTTGTCTGAAAGTATGAGATCTGCAAATTTTGACAAATACTATTATTATTTTTTATTTGGTTTATTCAGTACTTTGAGCACAAAACAGCCTATGGATGGTTCTGAGTACATTTGTGTCTGGCTTTGTGACCACATCTGCTATCCTGTGCTTTGCAAGTGAATGTCTAGATATGGCCATGGTTTTTTGTTCATTTCTGGATCCAGTCTGTTTAAAAATTGCAGAGTAAAGTGAGTGCATCTTAGATTCCCTGTCAGGATGCTGTGAAAAAATTATATCAAGAAGAAAGCAAAACTAGATTTTGAAAATTAAACCAAACCCTTTAAGGTTACGTTATTATCCCAGGCATAAAATGAAATCTAGTTTAGATATTAGTGGTATCTTTTGATCATAGTACTATGAAATCATTCAGAAATCAACTTTATGCCATTCTTAGTTGGAATTTTACTTGAATCCCTTGAGGTGTACTTAGTTTTTCCAGAATCTTACCAATATTAACTCCTAATTTTTGAAGGTCTACTATTTGCTAGACATAAAAATTATTTGAAAATGACTCTATTAGGATTAATTTGGGTATGGCCTATAAAAAATATAAAACCTGACTACAGAGGCATAAGGAAATGGAAGTTCATCTTTGTGACAGGATAATTCTAGGGGTGGTAGGCAATTGTTGTCCATGGCTTTTGCTTCTCGGTGGTGTTAGGGCCAACATCTCTTGGTCTTTCCCCTGTGGTCCCAAGATGGCTGTTGCAACTTAACGCCATCAAACATGCATTCAAGGCAGGAAGAAGAGGAAAGAACTGTGCCAGCCATACCTGTTTGTTTTTAATCAGAAAAGTAAAACCTTCCCCAGAATTCCCTTCAGCAAACTTTTTGTATTTCATTGGCCAGAACTGTGTTATGTTGCCACTCCAGGTAGAGCAAGCAAGGGAGAAGGGGTTAGGAATGTGTTTGCTGGGTGACAGTCCTTGTGACATTTATAAGGAGAAAGGGCTATCCCTTGTGGACTGATTCCTAATTACCAGCATTGTTCTCCAGCTGGTTTAGCTACTTAAGGAATGGAATAATAGTCTTGTAGCTGGAGAACTGAACATTTGTTTTTACCAAAGTGCGCACCATTCTCATTGTGTTTCCTAAGGATAGGGAGACGTGTCCATATCAACTGCTCAAGCTTTATGGTTTGAATAGGCCAGATTAACTATGGGTACAGTAAATAGGAACTAGCTCTCTCTCCTAGTATCAAAATTTTTAGGGCCAGTAGGTATTGTTAACTTTATCTTAAGTAAGAAGGAAGTAGTAATAGCTTATCCTCCTTTGTTTTTTTTTAGTGGAAAAACAAAAGTGGAAGTAACCTAGTACCATTCTATTTTGTGTCCCATTTGTACACCACAAATAGGAAGCTTTCATAATTGTTAGAATATCAATATCACTGCATGCTACTTTTCCTCAAGTAAATACTTTTGGTTTTCCTAAGTTATACATATGTCATTCTTGGTGTGCCGGGGGCATAGAGAATTTTTTAAACTGATTTCAAGGTAGTGAAGGACTTTATAAGAATGACCACAGGGCCAGAAACTAAAAGGTAAAATATTAATAGACCTGACTACATAAAAGTCACATTGAAAAAGACATCAAAAACAAAGTTAATAGGTAAATGATGAACTTGAACAAAAAAATTCCAGCAGATGACATATTTTTCTACTATGTAAAGAGTTTTTACAAATGTCTAAGAATATCCCAATAACAATAATGGACACAGCATATCAACAAGAAGACTTAAAAATCAAAAAAGAAGGTCGGGCACAGTGGCTCACACCTGTAATCCCAGCACTTTGGGAGGCTGAGGCGGGCGGATCACGAGGTCAGGAGATCAAGACCATCCTGGCTAACACGGTGAAACCCCTTTTCTACTAAAAATACAAAAAATTAGCCGGGCGTGGTGGTGGGCGCCTGTAGTCCCAGCTACTGGGAGGCTGAGGCAGGAGAATGGCGTGAACCCAGGAGGCGGAGCTTGCAGTGAGCCGAGATCGTGCCACTGCACTCCAGCCTGGGCGACAGAATGAGACTCCATTTAAAAAAAAAAAATCAAAAAAGAAAAATTTCAAGGGCCAAAAACCATAAGCACTTTCAACCTAATCAAAGAAATGCAAATTAATATAATGAGATTTCTTTTTATTATTTTTTTTTGAGACAGAGTTTTGCTCTGTCACCCAGGCTGGAGAGCCATGGCACTATTTGGGCTCACTGCAACCTCCGCCTCCTGGGTTCAAGCGATTCTCCTGCCTCAGCCTCCCGAGTAGCTGGGACTACAGGCGTGCACCACCATGCACACACGCCCTCCTTTTTGTTGTCCTTATTCAGTTGGAAAATATTAAAAGGATTAGTAATACCCAGTGTTGATGGTGTAAGGAAAAATGCACCTTTGCATACTGTTTTTGGAAATGTAATTGGCAAAATCTTTTGGGAGGATTATTTGACATTGTGTTTCCAACTTTTTTTTTTTTTTTGAGATGGAGTCTTGCTCTGTTGCCCAGGCAAGAGTGCAGTGGTGCAATCTTGGCTCACTGCAATCTCCACCTCCTAGGTTCAGCAATTCTCCTGCCTCAGCCTCCCATTGGTCAGTCTGACCTCAGGTGATTTACCTGCCTCGGCCTCCCAAAGTGCTAGGATTACTGGCGTGAGCCACCATGCCTGGCCCTGTTTCTGACTTTTAAATGTGTCTGTTAACACAGAAAAATCTACTTGTAGGAGATAGTCTTTAATAGTTGCCAAATACATTTGTGTTAAGGATCTTTATTGCAGTATTGTTTGTAGAAAAATAAAAAATCCAAATGACCCAAACTAAATAATCACAGTAAAATCATTCAATGAATTTATTATTTTTTTTTTCTTGAGACAGGGTCTCACTGTATTTTCTGGGCAGGAATGCAGTGGTGCAATCATAGCTCCCTGCAACCTCCAATTCCTGGGCTCAGGCCATCCTCCCACCTCAGCCTCTTGAGTAGCTGGGACTAACAGATGCACACCACCACACTCCACTAATTTTAATTGTGGTAAAATACATGAAACAAAATGTTCTGCCCTTTTGACTTCTTGTTCCCAGAGGCACCTCCGCTTATGGTTCTTAGTTTACCCACATCTGGAAGTAGAAACCCTCTTCTTTTCCTTAGTTGCTCATTGGTTCCAGTTTACCCTTCCACACGTGCCTAAATTGGATTAATCCTCAGTGGTTTTGGTGGGGTGTCCAGTTGCGTATCCTTGAATCCCCCCCATATCCCTTTTCCAGTTTGAACTCAGTAAATTTGCCCCTGGTTGACTTAAATTGAAACTGGAACGTAGCTCATTAAGGGAGAGAGAGAGATCTTTAACACAGGATATTATCCTGGTGGTATATCCTGGTGGAGAAAGAAATGCTATCTTTGAAAGGATAGTGGCATCTTCATTTTGTTTCTCCTGTTGTGTGGTCTGAGTAGTGTTATCTATTTAGTTAATTTCTGCTGATACAAATTCTTTTCTCACGCTAAGAATTTTTCTCTTCAAGCGATCTATTTTTTTAAAAAAAAAAACCTTTTAAAATGCAAAGTAGCCAAGTTGTGTCCCTGTTGTTACCAAATTTCCCTTTGGGGCATTTCCTTCTAGGTAGATGTTGGATATTGATTTAATGCTTTCGGATCTCCTTTGTTAGTGGAAATCTTATGCAACCCCTGATACTTTCTATGTGCTGGTCTAGTAGATCTTATACTCTTCTCCAGTATGAGGTTACAGATGGTTTGTATTGCATGCCTGATGAGCATTCCCAATATTGAAAGAAAACAAAAGAAAGCCCAATTTGTCCGTGTATTATGTGTTTGCTTGCAAGGGAGGAGGTTACCATAAGCCTAAAAATGATCCCTGGCTTTGCTAAACCCTTGATGCTCTTGACACGGGGTAGCTCAGCTCCCAGGACAGCATCATCTTTTTGTTTTTTTTTTTTTTTTGAGACAGAGTCTCGTTCTCTCACCCAGGCTGTAGTGCAGTGGGGTAATCTCGGCTCACTGCAAGCTCCGCCTCCTGGGTTCAAGTGATTCTCCTGCCTCAGCCTCCCGAGTAGCTGGGACTGCAGGCGCCCACCACCCCTCCCCACCCCCTGGCTAATTTTTGTATTTTTAATAGAGGTGGGGTTTCACCATGTTGGCCAGGATGGTCTGGATCTCTTGACCTCATGATCCACCTGCTTCGGCCTCCCAAAGTCCTGGGATTATAGGCGTGAGCCACCATACCTGGCTGACAGCGTCATCTTTAAGAGGCAAAGGATCACTTGTTTTTGTAGAGCCAGAGCTATCAGTGGCCTAAGGAGAAGAAAAGGCTTGACATCTCATTGGTAGAGAATCCTCTAAGCATATTATCACCAGCAAGAGCGGGTCAGTACTTTACTTGCATGATTTGCAGGGCTGTTGTTCACTTCTCTATTGAAGTTATTCTAAGCTCATCAAGGACCTTTTAGAAACAGTGCTTACATTGTGTAATGTGAAATCCCACCTGCCCCATGCCATTAGACCAGAGGGAGTATGATGTGACCATTAAACATGCTATGCGTATATCAGAATATCACATGCCCCCCATAAATAAGTACACATATAATCTATCAATACAGAAAAAGTAAAGCCAGTGTTGGATGCTGATACGGTTTGGATTGGCATCCCTGCCAAATCTCATGTTGAAATGTAATCCCCAGTGTTGGAGGTGGGGCCTGGTGGGAGGTGATTGGATCATGGGGGTGGATTTCTCATCAGTGGTTTAGCACCATTCCCGTGGTGCTGTCCTCATAACAGTGAGTTCTTGAGAGATCTGGTTGTTTAGCAGTGTGTGGCTTCTCCCCTGTCCCCACTCTCTCTCTTGCTCCTGCTGTGGCCTTGTGAGGCATCTGCTCCCCCTTCGCCTTCTGCCATGATTGTAAGCTTCCAGAGGCCTCATCAGAAGCTGGACAGATGCCTGGTTCATGCTTCCTGTACAGCCTGCAGAACCGTGAGCCAATTAAACCTCCTGTCTCAATAAATTACCCAGCCTCAAATATTTCTTTACTGCACTGCAAGAATGGCCTAATACAGAAGCATTCCAAAAATGAAAATAAAATAAAATAAATGCAGATGATCTCTCACTATAGTTCTAACAAAGTGAAGGAATTTGGGGTTATGGAAATAAGCATCTGCTTTTTGCCTGTGTTTTTGACAGACCCTCTGAGGCAGACTGAGTTAATTGTCATTTGTTGTGTGGATGTAAGTCAGTAAAATGCTAGTATGACAAGACAAACAAATACTGACTGAGACCCCTGAGACAGGAAGAGATGTGTTCCTCAAAACTGGCCACTGACTCAGATTTGGGAAGGGACATTCATGTGAACCTGCTCTGTTGGCATTGGTTTTGGCTGTCAGGATGGAAAGGGTCTGGTGATGGCAGTCAGCTTGATGCATGCCAAAGAAAATAGGTGTTTGCCTTGCATTAAATGCTGCTTCAAGGAGAGGATATTAGATAGATTTGATGCTGGTACTGTCAGTTAAAAGTGTAGGTATTGAATTTTTCTAAATAGATTTCCCCCCCTTATTCCAAAAATGGTAGCAAGATTAACATTTTGTAGGTACTCCATTCCTTTGCAAATAACTTAAAGAAATTCTCAAAATGTACAGCAAGAGTTTCAATTTTAGCTCCCTGTTCTCTCCCCAAAAATACAAAACTACCTTTCCCACTCCTTTTATAAAGCTGCTGGCATTAAAAAAAGAACAAGGAGAGGATCCTTTAATGATAAGTACTGAGCACCAAATACATTATTGTTTTACATCTGGAGTTTTAGAAAAGAAATGTACAAATGCAATCCAGCCTTGTAAAGTGCTTTGTCAACATCACTGCCACGTTGTTCTTGAGATGCCCTGGTATAATAGAAATTGTACAGGCAATTTATCTTCAGCTTGCCATTTTTGTGTATGGGTCTGCACCCTAAATATGGGCATACTCTACCACTCTACTGATGATATTCTTTTCCCCCAGTTGGTAACCCAGAAGATAGTTAAACCATTTCTTGCTCCCCCCTACCTATATTTAATAGGAATATGCACTGAATCATGGTGAGATATTCTGGTGTAGCTTGCTCAGCATTTGAGAACACATCAGCTAATAACCCCTGAAATACCCTCCATAGAGCATTTTCTGTTGGTTAAAAACTTGCAAGCAAGAATGGTTAAAGTACAGATGTTTTCTCTGAGGCTTCGTATCTCCTAAAAAGACACAGGTTATTCTGACAGGTGAGACAAGCCCAGGCAAATATGCAACATTGATCTAATCAGCAAGAACAAGAGTGATGTTTTAACTGGGGCTACCTTTTACCAGCGTCATTAAAGGCTCCCATTACTCTTTTATTAGAGGTTCCCTCTCTTCCTTATCAGATTACAGAATGAACATAACTCATGGCAGTGATTTGATCTCTTGTTAAAGAGGATTACAGCTTTGCATTAACTCGGATTGACATAGTTTATAATTTGCTTGTTGATTCTCAGGTGGGTAGCACCACACGTTTGACCCCCCAGCAGTGCTGAGGGGAAAGGACCCGCATATATCATCATTAAGGATGGCGTCCAGCACAGAGATAGGGGCATGGGGCCTTCTTTCGCCAGTAATGTCAGAAAGGACAAAGGAAACACTCTCAAGTTCAAACCTAAGGCTTGGGCCAGAGTTTTAAAACTGGGTTGGAAAAAAAACACTGCTGTTGTTTCTTCTATTTTTCCTGATTTGCTGCTGTTCAGTCTCTTATTCTAGAGAACTTGCATTGTCAAAATGAAGCCTTGGCTCCAAGCAGGAGGTAGAGTGATAAAAGCACATCTTCTAGAAAGAGATTTGTAGATGCTGAACAGATAAATCCTTCCTCAAAATGGGCCTTTTTGACTATAGTTCTCATTTCTGCACTTATATTCTCATCGCTTCTTCAAAGGATTGTAAATCCTCTTTTTTTCCCAAAGGGATGTTTCACATTCTTTAAAGTGTGTGTAAATGTTTCTCTTAAGGACTTGTTTTTTAATTTTTATTATTATTGGCTTTCTAAATATATTGCAATATCTTACAGATATTGTATTAATCACAGCTAAGTAACTGGCAAGTTACTTGCAAGCCGGTAGGCAATAGCTAAGTTTTTCACCTTAATTTAGTTAGTCATAATCATGTTATTGATGTGCCCCACAGTGATCACTGAGCCAACAGTCGATTGCTGAGATACCATTTCTGTTTCTAAGTGCAGTTATCCTTCGCTCTGATTTATCCACTGTAAGTCTGTCCCCTGTGTCTGATGGGCAATGAAATAATATAGAATAATCATATCATATTTCACTTACTGAGAGTTTACTATATGCCAGACATTGCACTAAGCCCTTCACATATATTTTCATTTGTTCCTCATTTAAAAAAAAAACAGTGATTGATGTTATCTGCATTTTATAAGAATACTAAGGCATGGAACAATTAAATAACTTGCCTAAGCTGAACAGCAAGTAAGTAGTGGAACAGGTGTGTGCATCTAAGAGTGTGGTCCCAACCCCCACTGCTGTTGCCAAGAAATTCACAAACTTTTAGAAATATTTGGGAATCATGTGCCACAGGGAAGGCCCCCATCCCCACCCCTAGCTACTCTTTCAAAAACTTATTTGGGGGGGGGAACTTCTTTAGATTAAAATGCTTCCCCCCCCACGCTTTCTTTTATAGGAGAGATGCTTTCTATACAGGAAGGTTTTGCCTGTCAGTCATTCATATTTTAGTGTGAATCACTGGATTCCCAAACCTGGTTTTATGTTATATCATTCTGGTTACAAAGACCTTAGACCTCATAATTAGCTTTGAATCCTGATCTGGTATATTTAGTCAGTTTATGCATGTAATTCTATTCTCTGCCATAGTCAGGCACCTATCACCTACTTTTCTTAGAGACAGTATCTTTTTCCTGTATAATAAAAATAGTGCATGCTTATGGAAGAAAATTTGAAAAATATAGAAAGGACAAAGAAAAATTTGTCATCCTGCTATTGAGGGTAGAACATTATTAATACTTTTACATGTTTTCTTATAGAATTTTTTGTGTATGTATTTTATACAGATATATACGTATGTGTTTGAATCTTTTTTCAGATTAACTTATAAGCATTTTAATGCCTTAAGTATTTTTAAAAGCATTTTAATAACCTAATAATCTATTATGGAATATGTATTATTGTTGGACATTTAGGTTGTTTGTAGTTGCCTTTCTTTTCAAGTAGTGCTGCAGTGAACATATATATACAGAAATCTATGTTCTAGGTTTTGCTGTGTCTTTAGAATAGATTTCTGGGTCAAATATCTAAACTTTCTAATGACTCTTGATGAGTTTTACTAAGTTACATGACTCTTTTCTTTCCAGCTGAGGCTTATGTCATTTTATCTTTGCTAAGCTGGAGAGCTCTTTTTTCTTTTTCTTTTTTTTTGAGACGGAGTCTTGCCCTGTCGCCCAGGCTGAAGTGCAATGGTGCAATCTCGGCTCACTGCAATGTCCGCCTCCCGGGTTCAAGTGATTCTCCTGCCTCAGCCTCCCAAGTAGATGGGACTACAGGCGTGTCCTATTACACCCGGCTAATTTTGTATTTTTAGTAGAGACGGGGTATTGCCATGTTGGCCAGGCTGGTCGCGAACTCCTGACCTCAGGTGATCCACCCACCTCAGCCTCCCAGAGTGCTGGGATTACAGGTGTGAGCCACCACACCCGGCCGGGAGAGCCATCTTTTAAAAAATATTTCCTATTTAGATATAAAAGTTACTTACTGTTTTTAAGTTCATAACAAATGACACCTTATTGAGGACATATAATATGGTAGGCAGTGGGCTATAATCTAATGTTTATTTTCTCTTATAATAGTAAATTTGAAGAGTATTAATCATGTATTTCTATCATTTGTAGTTGTTTTTATCCTTTGCCCATTTTCTTTTTGAGTTTTGACTTTTCTTTATGAATTTTCTTCCTGTATGAATTCTCTATATTATGGCTATATTTATGGTTATATAACATTTCCTGGTTTTTGTAGATTTCCATATTTTGCTTACCTGTCAATATTAATGATTTTTATTGGTTACATAGAAGTTTTACTTTTTAACCTGATTAAATATATAAGAACCTTTTTGTGGGGGGTGTTTTTCATTGTTTTATGATTAGGCAATCTCTCCTGTATCCCAGAACAATTATTCACCTATATTTTATTTAATTTCATCTGAATTTTTTTTCTTTTAATCTACTTGGGAGCATTATTTTAATATATTATTCAATGATCTTCACTTTTTATTTCTACTGCCTCTTTTTTTGAGTCCAGGTCTTTTTTTTTGTTTTTTTCTTTTTTTAACAAAAGACAAGGTTTTACTCTGTTGCCCAGGCTGGAGTACAGTAGCCCAATTATAGCTCACTGCAGCCTCGAACTCCTGTGCTCTAGTGATTCTCCTGCTGCAGCCTCCCAAGTAGCTGGGACTACAGGCACACACTACCACACCCAGCTTTTTTTTTTTTTTTTTCCTGTAGAGACGGGGTCTTGCTGTGTTGCCCCAGCTGGTCTTGAACTCCTGGACTCAAGCAGTCCTCCCACCTTGGCCTCCCAAAGTGCTAGGATTACAGACATGAGCCACCACTGCACCTGGCCTTTTAATTTTTTCTTTCTTTTTTTTTTTTTTTTCTTTTTGAGACGGAGTCTTGCTCTGTCACCCAGGCTGGAGTGCAGTGGTACCATCTCGGCTCATTGCAAGCTCCTCCTCCCGGGTTCACGCCATTCTTCTGCCTCAGCTTCCCGAGTAGCTGGAACTACAGGCACCCACTACCACGCCTGGCTAATTTTTTGTATTTTTAGTAGAGATGGGGTTTCACTGTGTTAGCCAGGATGGTCTCGATCTCTTGACCTCATGATCTGCCCACCTCGGCCTCCCAAAGTGCTGGGATTACAGGTGTGAGCCACCGCGCCTGGCAAATTTTTTTTTTTTTAATTCCCACATCGACTATTACACTAACGGCATATTAACCAATAGTCTGTATTCTCATCAGTTCTGTTTCATTGCCAGATTCACCTTCCTCCAATATCACATGCTACTCTTTGCCTCTAGCATAAAACCCAGACTCTCAAGCCTGCCAGTCAAGGCCATCGATGACTTGTTGCCTTGCTACTTTTCTCTCCTTATCGCCTATTTCACCCCATGTGCTGTCCAGAGCAGACACCTGCAATCCCTGGGACACACTCCCTATTCTGCATGTCTGTTCATTCTGCTCATAGCCTGCAGCATCTCCCACCCCCGTCTCACTGTTGTTTCCTGTTGAAATATTCAGTCATGAGGTCACCAGCCTTTCTAGGGAGACTTCAGATTCTCCACCCCCACTGAGCTTTCTTCTTTGAACCCATTCTGTTTGTTCCTCCCAAACAGTTAAACTGTTAACTGTATAACAGTTCACAGACACACTTATTGGGGGCTTTTTTCTTGCTAAGTATGTTAACTTAAAAGTCAAAGAAGTATGCCTGTGTGTACTGTAATCTTGTATTTGGTATTATCGAGATTTTATGTTCATATATTTGGAATAATATATTTTAATTTCAATTGTAGTATTTGCAAAACACTTCACTTAAGGTCTTTTTCCAGTTATTGTCGGCCTCCTCTGAGCTCAGCGCTGACTCAGTATTCCTGAGCACCTTATGCCCTCGCTCGTATGCAGTGCCACCCTGGGAAGCCTTCTTTATGGGCCATGGTTTCTTTCTTTTACATAGTGAAAACAGGCCTCTTGTTCACTGGATTCTTGAGAATAAAATGTTCTTTTTAATTTTTTAATTTCTGAGAAGGACTATTTTAAATGTAACCCCTAACAGATAATTATTTAAATAAACAAACTTTGTGTTTTCACATCTGTGTATTACGCCACTGTCCCTCAGCATGCAATACAGACATAGCCATTTCTGTGCAAACCCCAAAAAAAGTTGGGTAGAGGCTTCCTGTCTGAGATGCTTTTAAAGGCCCCCAGCTTGTATGTTTGTTTACAGTTTGCTGTTTACAAGATTATTTTTGCAACTGTCCTATAAGATGAAGATGAGTTTCTTGCCTCTTTTGCTGAAATCTCTCCAAATCATCTCACTTCTTTAATATACTTTCCTCTGCTTCCATGTCACTTTGTATAGATCCATATTATGTATAGCATCTACCACCAGGTTGTTTCCTAATTATTCATAGGTTAGGTCTCCATGCTAAACCATTGCACCGCTTGAGGGCCGGCTCCTTATTTTGTTCTTAGCTCATGGCAATGTTGGAAAAGACCCAGAATGAAAGGTTCTCCTCTGGGACTTCTGATTCCCCACCCTTTGCTTAGAGGGTTTTTGGGGTCATTTTTACTTAGGATTGAACCCTGGGAAAGGCTCTCTCAAGAACACTCTTACATGTCCATCACTTCCAAGACCCTAAACTTTGTATACACTATAGGTTTTCTCCTGCTATATACTATATACTATAGGTTTCTCCTGCTATATACTATATACTATAGGTTTTCTGTGCTATTTAAACCAGGTTTGGTTCTGATGGCCTTCCTATAAATTATTACAGGTCAAGTGTCACCTATCGAATTCTTGCGTCCAGAGGAATTTCGTATTTCAGATTTTCTTGGATTTGGAAATATTTGTATTATCCCCGTTGAGCATGCCTAATCTGAAAATCTGAAATCTGAAGTGCTCCAGTGAGCATTTTCTTACAGCATAGTTCGTGTCGGTGCTCAAAAAGTTTTAGATTTCGGAGCATTTCAGATTTCAGATACTTGAGTTAGAGATACTCACCATGCAGTTACTATGGAGCATGAAGAACCCCAGCAGGGCTCTGTAGTGATTTATAGCTTTCGGTCAGTGTTCTGGACTCTGCTTTCAGGATTTTTCTTTAAGAAGAAAACAGTTCTGGAATGGATTCTGTAAGTGCATTAACAAAGCATAAAGGCCTGGCTGCTTTGTTATTTTTAGTGTTGGTATTAAGTGTCAAGCTAAGAAAGGATATTTAGATCGAGGACCTTACCTCGTTAGACTTGGAGTTCAAGTTGCTGGCAGCACCTGGTCATGGGAAGCTCTCACCAGCCACCCTCAGAAATGAGGTCCTGAATGAGCCATAACCACACCCTATGCTTTACCACTGTCTCCCTGGGGAGCAGAACACTTTATAAACATTAATTCTTTGACCCCCTGGGCACCTCCACTTACGTGGTAAATAAGACTGAAGGCCTTTCTTCTACAATATAGATGAGGAAACATCAGCCCAGAAGGGAAATTACTTGATGAGAGACAGGTGAGCAGCCATGGGCCCCAGGGTGTTTGGAGTCTCAGTAGCTGACCTGCAGCAGCACTCGTGGCTGCCGACACCCAGGAGACACAGTCCTGTTCCGTTCCCCTTTCTGCTTCTCAGAGGGTAGTGGGGGTTGGGCCTTTTGTCTCTTGTATGGAATGTGAAATGCTGCAAAGACGAGCAATTGTTCTTCAATGCTTTGTCCTCCCCTATAAGAAAGAAGAAATCAATACACATTTTCTCATACACACACTTGGCAGCACTCTGCCTTCTCTTCCACAGCTCGGTCCTACAGGGGGAAACACAACTGTACAGCCAGACAGACTCTTCAGGTTCAGGGGAAGAAATGCAAACTGCTCACTTTGCACTTAGCAGTCAGGCTTTTTAGAGCCAATCGTATAACTGGCTGAGGTAATCAAACTGCTGACCTCAGAGACTAGCTGGTGAAACGAGTGGGAGAGATGCCCTGTTGCAGGCCCCCTGTTGCAGGCCTGCTCAGTGCTGCTGGGGAAAGCTCACCTGGCAGGTGTTTAGGACAGATGCTCCTTTTGCTGAATTTCTGATTTGCAGAGGCAGGAAGGAAGTTCTTTGAAGGATACTATTAAAAACCAAAAAATTATGGACAGATTGAGAGCAGCCTTTTTTTTTTAATCAATTAATAGGCATACAGTCTGAACAAGAGCCCCATCTCAGACTGGATTTTATTTTTTCATCAGAAAATGTGGTATCGATATCTGTAATTTTGTCTTACAGCTCACTGCCATTAAACAGTTGTGTGGGATGTGAATAAAAAAGAATTTGCTGCCATTGTTAGGAGAAATGGTAGCTTGGGTGTCAGAAGAGCCTTGCAAGGCAGGAGATGAGTTTAGGGGGAGGGCAGGGGAGCGGGGACTCGGGCTCTGGGGTCCTTCACGCGGAGGAGACCATTAGACCATTAGAGTGTGTGTAGGATCACCAGGGGAGGGTGTCAAAAGAAGAGAGGAAGCCAAGAGCAGAACCTGGGAGAAGGAAGGCAGAGGAGAGCCAGGAGAACACATGCTCCTTGAACGCTCGGGGGGAGACTTCCGGGTAGGGCAGCTGGCCAGCAGCTGGAAGGGCTTGCTCCCCAGGCCCCAGCGGTTCCTCTGTGTCCCCTGACTCGCATTGCAGAGCTGGCACTTTGCATTTGCTCACTTACTAGTTACTTCTTGTGCGTTTTGATTGGTACCCGATTTCTAAGCAAAAGAAATCCTCCAACTTATTACCAGAAGTAATAGCAGAGTGCCTTGCCAAAACTCTATGGGTTGACATTGAATACCCTCACTAATTCCTGCGTGTTGAAGTTAAGCTAGAGCTGAGCGATGCATCCTGTGCTCCCCCAACACACACACACACACACACACACACACACACACACACACGCATGCACACACGCCCTGGGTTGTTGGGCAGCATCCTGATACGGATACAAATGTAACTGGAATGTCAGTCTCACCTTCTGTGCGGCTGGGGGAAGTGATTCACGTCTAAGCAGTGAAGCATCCCCTAGCTTTTAACAGGAGCTGTTAGAGGGGCTGCTGTTTGAACAAGGAGCTTCATCTTCCTGAAGCCAGCAGTCACAAAACCGTAAACACAACACTGGCCAACTCTATTGCGGGGACCGTGGTGGCTTGACGTTAATATTAAACATCTCCAGCAAGGCAGAGAGCTCTGCATCCCAGGTCCGGAATAAAAATAAATAAAAATAAAGAGAAACCCTGCTAAAAGCAGTGTGATGATTTGTCGTCTTTCCTTTGTGAGGCCATTTGTCTTCTCTCACATCAAATCTGTTATAAAACAGTCAAACTGTGAAAGTGGACATCATCCCGGGAATATGGAATATTAATGCGTGGAAGGAGCGGCGCCCCTTTTGTCTGAAGAGTGGCTCCTCCCCCACCCCTCTGCTTTTTTGCAAGTCCGCTAAGGTAAATTATTTTTCTTTAAAATCATGTGGAAGATTTGAAGCTAGTAGTAGGGATGGTGGAAGTTTTGAGTATTTTTCTTCCTTTGTTAAAGTGCAGGGGATTTGTGACTGGCTTGAGTAAGGAGGAAGCACAAGTGAGAAGAAAACCTGTCCACGTGCAGTCCCCTTCTCGCCCCCATCCCTCTCCCCTCTCCTCCCTGTTCCCCAGCCTCTCAGTTCCTTTGTTTGGGGCCTGAACCTGCTTCTTGGAACATTTATAAATCTTGAGTCTGTCTGATCTTTAGGGGACAGGCCAGAGGCCGTGTGTCACCATGTGTAATTTAGAGCTGTAGGGCTAAAAGCTTTTCCAGAGGTTTGAAGGACCTAGTTCTGACCTGACCAAAAGAACGAATTGGAACAGACCTTCTAGAGTCTCCTTCAAGCACTGGGGAGGATGGTGATGAGAGCAGACACACGGGGTAATTTATGGGCTCCGCTGACTGGTGGCTGGGTCCACTTGGAAACGAGTCGTGTACTGCCACCTTGTGGCAGATTCGGGCGGCTGCGGTTTTGTTGTTTTGGAACCTTGTGAAGAGTTTCAGCTAGTGTCGGATTGGACATGATTTGCCTTGTATCTAGATTTAGGTAATTAGTGATAGATAAGGGGTGTCTCTGAGTCATTCTTATTTTGCTAAGTTGATCCTGTTAAGAAATAAGTCTTAGCTGAAAGAAGACTGCTTTCTTTCCCCTTTACCTCCTTTCTTCTGCTTTGTGGTTTTTTTATGGGGGTTTTTGTTGTTGTTCAGTTTTGGTTTGTTTTTTGGTATGGAATTATGATGAGATTTCAGGAGAGAAGCCTGTGATCCTCCTTGGGTTGTTGGGGGATGTTAAGAGGAGAGTGAGGGAGAGTAAGTACCGACTTTTTGGCCGTATTCAGAAATCCTAAGTTTTCTACTATAGTGATTTTTGTGTCATTCTGACTAAATACTAACTCCTTATCAGCACTGTGTCTTTTTACTTGGATTACTTTCCCAGCAATCCAGCCTTCTTGGGGAGCTAAGTTTTTCTTTTCTTTTTTTTTTTTTTTTTTTTTTTTTTAGATGGAGTCTCACTCTTTTGCCCAGGCTGGAGTGCAATGGCACAATCTCGGCTCACTGCAACCTCCGCCTCCCAGGTTCAAGTGATTTTCCCGGCTCAGCCTCCCAAGTACCTGGGATTACAGGCACACACCACCACGCCCAGCTATTTTTTGTATTTTTAGTAGAGACGAGGTTTCTCCATGTTGGCCATGCTGGTCTCAAACCCCTAACCTCAGGTGATCCGCCCACCTTGGCCTCCCAAAGTTCTGGGATTACAGGTGTGAGCCACTGCGCCCAGCCTTGAGGAGCTAAGTTCTAATGCATGTCACCTGTGTCTGAGCCCATTCCCGTGACATACATAGGGCTGCCCCTACCACACAGCCCCAAAGAGCACAGGGCGATTGCCTGCCATTTGGATCAGTATGTTTCTCCTTTTAGGTCATAGAGACACTTCTCAAATATCTTTCTCTCATTTGTAAAGTCACTGATACCGAGTAGGATGAATTTGGGTCGGGGAAAGCAAAGGAATGATGAAAGGAGGGTGCCATTTAGTCCCTCGTGTTGGTTGGGAGCAACTGTAATGCATGCACACAGGTCCTCAGCATGTTGCTCTGTCTCATTCCATTTCTCATGATCATAGATGACGATGCCATTTATGCAATGCGGACTTTGCTTAGTGCTGTAAAAACAGTATGTTTAAGGAAGATATTGTCACCATCTTACTGATGAGGAAGCTAAGATTCAGGGGGCTAAGTAATTTACCTAAGGTCCTAGACCCAGTAAGGACCTGAGCCAGTCAGAACCAACTCTGACAGCACCTTCCAGCCCCTCTGCATTTGTGATACCATGCTCTATGCCATATAAAAGCATTCGCCTTGTTCTATTTAACTATTCAAGATTTCTATTAAGCTGGTTTCTCTAAGTATATAAGAAAAGAAAGCTGCTGTCCAAGCCGGGCGCGGTGGCTCACGCCTGTAATCCCAGCACTTTGGGAGGCCGAGGCGGGCAGATCACGAGGTCAGGAGATCGAGACCATCCTGGCTAACACAGTGAAACCCTGTGTGTACTAAAAATACAAAAAAAAGTTAGCCAGGCGTGGTGGCGGGCACCTGTAGTCCCAGGTACTCGGGAAGCTGAGGCAGGAGAATGGCGTGAACCTGGGAGGCGGAGCTTGCAGCAAGCCGAGATGGCGCCACTGCACTCCAGCCTGGGTGACAGAGCGAGACTCCGTCTCAAAAAAAAAAAAAAAAAGGGAAAGCTGCTGTCCTGTGGTCTGTAGACATTTTTAAGAGGAAAATGGAGGAGTGAGTAGCCTTTGCCCTTTGGCCTACTTTGGTTTCTGGCAATCAGAATGGAGGCACGTGCTTTATTGGAGAAGGATCCCTTTGTTTGGTGCCGTTAGCATGTGCCAAGTGATAATTGGCAAGACATCTTTTTCCGCAGACATTTGGGAGGCCCTGGGCATACTGATAGATAGAACAGAAGAGAGTGGAGGCCTTGGGAAGACAGAGAGAGAAGTATGTGTTCAGAGTGCAGGAGAGATGGAGTCCTGCTCCACCTGCTTTGGGCTCACGAGGGCTGCGGGTTCTGGAGACCTTGCTTTTGGAGCTTTGGCAAATGGAGGGCTCATAGGAGTGCAGTCAGGATGGCAAGCAGACTCGGTCACAGGAGGAATGGAGGCAACTGAGGCCGCTGAACCCGGAAAAGAACAGATTTAGTTAGAAGAAGACATCAAATAGTTGAAGTGCTGCCACAGGGAATAGTAGTCAGCCTTACTTCTCTCTGGCTTTAGAGGGACAAGAGCCCATGGCTGTAAGTCCTAAAATGACAGAATTGGGTTCAGCAGGAGGAAGAATGTTTGTGTGTCTCCCCAAATGGAGTGGTTTGTCTGAGACACACTTACTGCATGTATTCACCTTCCCGATCTAGCTTCTGCTGTGCCTTTCATGTCTTTGTGAACCTCCACAAAATCTAACAAAGTTCAAATAAGCATTCAAATATTTTTAATTAATTGATTATACCTGTAGTATGTTAGGTTTTGAGGCCAGGAATCATATACATCTAGTACATGTTTAAGCTTCCACCACACTAAGCAAATTGTTTTCAAAGACAAACGTGAAAAAAGGCAGCATCAGTACATCACCAATAATTTTAAAAGCACACATCTGTCATTGGTGACCGCGCTGGTCTGTGCAGAGCAGGCGTGTGTGTGAATCTCTGTGCTGACTGACCATATCTGGGCAGACTCTACTTGTAGGGTTTCAGATCGGATCCAGACCCTGCTAGCCGTGAGTGCTGCTATGATTGGAACCCTTTGTCCGACTTGCCTGCCGTGTGCTTTCTTCTTTTCCCTTGATTCTGCAATGTATGTATGGGATTGAGTTAAGGCAGAAGCAAATGCTACAGCACTTTTGTGTGCAGTGTGGGAGAGGTAGAGGATTAGAAAGGAAGGAAGGGCCATGACATTCTGGGATGTGTCTTATGTATTTAGGGAGACCCCCCACTCCTAAGAAGCAACAAATGAACAATTTTTAATTAGTCAAAGGCAAATTATGTGTATCATTTTATGTATTTATTTATTTTTAATAGAGACAGGGTCTCACTGTGTTGCTCAGGCTGGTCTCAAACTCCTGGGCTCAAGTGGTCTTCCCACCTCAACCTCCCAAAGTGCTGGGATTACATGAGCCACCATACCTGGCCTATGAGTCACTTTTCGTCTGGAAAGCAGCAGCATTGTCTCCGCCAGCTCCTTTGGAAGACTGGCACATAATACTTGCTCGGAGACCATGATGCGCTTTGGGAGGCTGCACAGGCTTTTTCGGGGAGCAGTGGAATGGCTGTGTTCTCTCTGCTGTCCACCTGTCTTTGTGGGTAGGTACAGCTCAGGGATGTCTTGGAGGCCTGGGGGTTCCAGGGCCAGTGTAGGAGGAGTGTGGTTTTCTGTAGAGTGGATGGTACAATTCCTTCAGAATCCCCAGTGCTGCAAGCTACTGACCTAGCAAATTGAAAGCCCCACACAGATTATTTGCAGGTTTAATATGCTCCTTTGTACTGTTTGCCCAAGTGACATCGTGAAAGACAGTGATCTGTATTGTGGTGGGGTGAGTGCACATGTGGAACTGAAAGGAACATATTTGGGTCCACACATCGGTGAGGGGCTGCATTCTCATACACATACACCCCCATTTCACTCAGAGCTTTTAAAACCTTACCTGCCACTCAAGTGATTGCAGTTCACAGCTAGCTACAATGTGCATACTTTAAGTCTCTTCAGAAGAATCACATAATAAATAAGCCGAATCCTAAGACAGACAGACAGACAGACAGACACACACACACACACACACACACACACACACGCACATTCTGTCTTTATGGAAAATGGCGGCTAATCCATGATCATTTTTTTTTCTAGAAACAGGTTTTAAGATAATATAGTAAAAATATTAAATTAGAAAATGCCTCACTAAGGGTTATAAAACCTTACTGCACTAGAGATAGGTAATTATCCCCTCTACAGCTTAATGACAGTTTAAAAGAAATAAAAATGTTAGTGCTCATTACTTGCTTTTGTAGTTTGCAATAAAGGGTAAGTTAAATTTTAATTCAAGGAAGAGCCCCTGCTATCGACCTTCTACCTCAGGTCCAAGTCCTGTTAATTACTCCGCAGGCTGCTCCCCTGCATGATACCAGCATGAACGCATTGTCTACAGTGGACACTCCCACTGACCATGAGTGTGTGTGTGCTGGGGGGTGGGGGTATTACAGATCAGTGATTTGCATCTTGATTCTTAATGTGATGGGGAGCAGGAATTATGTGTTTTTTTAAAAAGTTGATTATGCATAGCCTTAAGGGGACCTCAGGTATGAAACTACACACTTACCCTGGAGAATCTGATGGAACAAGGTTAACCTGGAGGATTGATAGTTTAGCTTCTCCACATGGCTAAATCCCAGTTAGGAAGATGCAGCCGGGGGGAAATGTTTATGCAGTGGAAGGCGGTCTGGCCCTCTGTCCAGTGGCACCTTTTTGTAGCCTCGTCTTTACTTGCAGTTTTTCTTGGGATGGGGTAAGGGCTGTGGACATGTTTTGTTTCTTTTCAGATGTCTTTGCCTTTCCCTAAGCACCTAGACACCTGCCTAGGTTTGAGGGAGGAAGAGCTCAGTGCACCCTGTGGCTCAGTCTTCACACTGGGGTATGCAGAGACTTTCCAAGGGGAAGGTAGACACAGATAGTCAAGGAGTCAGTCTTCAGACGTACGCTCTTTCCTAAAGCTGTCTGCCCCAGAGCAGGCCTGTGCTGGAGGGCTAGGTTGTCCTTTTACCCTCGTCCTTCTCTGGCCTTGAAAAGCCTCCCTCGAGCCCCTCCTTAAAGTGACATGGACCTCGGGCTGCCACAGGAAAACCTCCAGGGCCTCAAACCCAAGGACAGCTGGAAATATGGGTACAGAGATTGAGAAAGCAAACGCCTAAGGACTAGAGGACAAGCCCTGTGCAGGCCGGGTGGTTTCTGGGTCTTCACTTCCAGCAGAATCGCTGGAGAACACGAGTTGAATTGAGTTGGCAGTTGGTTGACCGTTAGGACTAATGTTTGGGGACGAGTCACTGTGCGATTTTTTGTGTGTGCTGTATAATTCAGAAAGAGCAAAAAGAATCAAGTGGCATTGCTATGCCAGAACTCTGTCATTCCTATCTGCTTGTTTATATGACAACATTTCTCAGTGCTTATGTCTACAAAAAACAAAAAAATAGGAGTAGAATTGATGCTGAACCCTCCTTCATTCTGGCAATAAATAATATTCCTCCATGGATCCATGAACAAATGGAGGGAAAAGCCTCATCCATATCATTAAGGGATGCATTTCTAATAACATTTTACACATGTATGAATACTAAATTTTCACTAAAATTAGGATATATTATATCATATTATTATATATTGATTATATCCTAATAATAATCCAGAGGAACATTTTTAAACTACTTAGAGCCTTATAATGTCAAACAATTAAAATATTTTCATTTCAATTTTTTGAATTTTAAAAATTTCAAAAGTGCTTTTATTTACAGACTAATGTGGCCAAGAAGTATGATAAGGGTGATTGATAAAAGACATTCAAGCATGAAACCATTATATTAGGACAAAACTCTGTAGGGAAAAGTCAGGTGGAAATAAAATTTAAAAAGAAAAAGGTGCTATAAAATGTCCAAGTTAAAAAGTTTATGTGTGGCCCACGCCTGTAATCCCAGCACTTTGGGAGGCCAAGACGGGCAGATCATGAGGTCAAGAGATGGAGACCATCCTGGCCAACATGGTAAAACCCCGTCTCTACTAAAAATAAAAAATTAGCCGGGCGTGGTGGTGCGCACCTGCAGTCCCAATTACTTGGAAGGCTGAGGCAGGAGAATCGATTGAACCCGGGAGGCGGAGGTTGCAGTGAGCCGAGATTGCGCCACTGCACTCCAGCCTGGCGACAGAGCGAGACTCCATCTCAAAAAAAAATAGTTTATGTGTTACTTGAATGAACGATGAGTATCAAATCATTATGGCATGTAGGTTCCATTGCAGGCATTACAAAAGTTAATTTTCACAACATCCTGGTCATTATATATTTTGTAACTATTTAAACTTACTGTGAAAAACGTTATAAAAATGTGCAACCCTACCTTCTCCAACCTAGTAAAGAGGGAGGAAGGGCTGTGCCTCCCTGTACCACCCAGCTGCTCAGGGCAGGAGCCAAAGCCAGGACCTGGAAAGAGGAAGGGCTGAGGCCAAGCTGAACCGCTGGAATCTACAGTGGGGGTGGCTGGTGGGGGGCGTGTGGGGCGGGGATCTTCATCCCCATGCTGCTCCTGGGCCCCAGGGAGGGTCTGCTTTGTCTGTCTCAGAGAAGGGAGTGGAAGAGTCAGCCAGGAGGTTGTTGCTGTGTGCTTCATGAGAAACGGTGAGATCTGACCTAGTGGAAGCCTGGAGGAGCTGTGAAGTTTGAGATGCTTTGAAGGTAAAAACGGTCACCAGCTGGTGATAGTGGGTGAGGAAGATGTAAAAGTTGAAATTGCTTGGGGACTTTTAGATTGAAATAATCCCCTATTGATATTCTCTCTCTCTGAAAATATTTTAAGAACCCAGACCACTCAGCTTCCCAGGTTGCTTTGCCATGAACAGCTGCATATGTTTGTCAGCTTTGCCCACCTGAGTGTGAAATGATGTTCTATGAAAACATGGGTTTCAGCATTTCACTCTCTGCTCCTGACACGTGAACCCTGCTGCGGACAGTAACTGCTGCCTTCGGCCCAGGCGTTGCACTGATATTGCGCGCAGAGTGGAAGCATTTGCTCAGTGGTAATGATGGGGTCTGGTGCAGGCAAGCGCGGCGAGGCTGGAAAGGGTATGATGTGAAGGGCTAGCCTCGCGCCTCTGCATTTCTTTCTCATCAGACGTTGTTGTCCTAAAGTCACACTGTCCTTTTGTTATGGCAACTCTCCCTTTCACGCCATTTAATTTTTTGTGTGGAAACAGCTAGAGAGACTTGTCTTTACTGGCAAATAGGCAGGCCATGGTGTGATGAAGTGGAGCCTGCCCTGGGCACCGAAGTATCCGTGTGACGGAGCTGCTGATTTGGAAGCCGTGGGTTTGCATTTGGTCTGGGGCTGCCGTCCACCTTGGCAGGCTTCGTCTGGGCTGATTGAGGCTAGTCACATGGATGTGTGTAACAGAAGAGCAGAAGAGATGGGTGGAGCCAAGGGGGAAGCTGTGTCCTTTGTCTGTGGCCTAGGGGTCTGCTGGGTAGTTCAGGGTGAAGGCACCAGCACATTCTTGGGATAAAATTCCTGTAATAAAATTGGAGGCCTGTTGTTTTCTGGCCTGCACTTTCACTGCCTGTCCCTCCCGCGGTCCCCAACATGATAAGGCTAGCTTACATTTGTGGCTTCTGTAGTTCTTCCTTAAGATGTTTTTCTTTTGACTTTTTTAAAGCTTTGATACTCTATTCCTTTTGTTGGATTTCCTAATTGTAGTACCTTTATTCCTATCCATAACTATAGTAGGGTGACTTCAAAAAAAGACCAGTAGTTTTTTGTGTTGAAGCCTTGCTGTTTGAAAGGTGGGGTTTTTTGGTTTTGCTTTTAAAGTCTGATGTGCCGATGCTGACCCTCAGATGATGAGAGCACTTTTAAAACAAGACGGCAGGCTGGAATTTGAGTTCCATCTTGAGAATATCCGAGCAGGTGTAGATTTCTTCTGGGGCTCCTGGCCCATGACCTCAGCCCTGTGTGCGCCTGCCCTGTCTCTGTGAGGGCTACCGGCTGGGCCTTCTGCAGGGCGTGGACATGGATGGCTGCCTCTGCGGCCACGTGCTACACGCCCACCTCCCTGATGACAGGGACGTCCTCACACGGGTCTTGCCTGCTTGGAACCTCATGGGTCCCTCATGTCTCTGCAGGGAGGATCTGCTCTGTATCCACAGGGGAAAGTGTTCTGGAGCTTCTGTCTCAACGATAGGAAAGATCCCTGCCCCACCCACACCCCTTTTAGGTTTTCCAGGCCTTGACACATGGCTTTGGCCGATGTTTGTGTGTATGTTGCATTTAAAAGAGTTTGAAAGTGGTCATTTACTTTTCTTTTTAGGGGCCCAAGACCCTGGCATGTTATTGTTTTAATGTCAAAACCCAACTTTAGAAATAAATTAGCCAATCATATTATTTATTAGACTGAGAATAGAGACAGGGCAGCTGGGGAGTGTGGAAGAAGCTTGGTTCTCTTCCTGAACAACTGCACAGATGATAGTAATTGGAATCGTGTTGCTGGCTCATTTTCATTGTTTTTCAAGTACTGCCAAGTCCAAGAAAATGTATGAAAACTAAATTATATCCCCCTACATCCCATGTCTGATTGAATCCTCCTCATCGGATGGCGGTCTCCTACATCCTATTAAAATATTCAATCTTGTTTTCTTACTTGAAGAGCCTGTCTGCAAAGGGCAAACTTACAGAACACTCATTCCCTGGAGACGGGTGTCCAGCCGCACTGGACCATTTACATATTTTACTGTTTGATTGGGTTTCTTCCTTCTGTTGTATTTGTGAGTAAGAGCTGTGGGGTGCATTTTTAATTACATGGCTGTGTTTTCAACAGAAGAAACAGAATGGGGTATTTTCCAGCTTCTGCGTTCCTTTTTAACCTTGAATAGTGAACCAGTGTGTTAACCAGTTTGCTGTGTTTGTCTTTTAGGACAGAACTGTACCGCTCTCTTTTTGGCCAGCTCCACCCTCCCGACGAAGGCCACGGGGATTGACATCGCCCACCTCCGACACCCAGTGGGCGCCTTGGCTGGTGCGGCTGCTGGTCCAGATGGAGGAAACCAGTGACTTTATGGGGCTGAGCTAGTAGGGAAGCCCCTGGAAAGATGCTGCGTTCCGAACCTGTGCCTAATACACGCAAGGGCGCTGTCCCGCCCAACCCCGCCTTTAAACGCCACAAATAAAGAGCATTGTTACCGCCACCACCGCTTGTGATTTCTTAAGAGGCTGAGAGTCAGTCTGGTTTGGTTCTAGTGGATGACACATTTACTGAGCTTTTTTTTTTCTAGTCCAGTGGCCTCCTCATACAATGTCAGACTTGACGTTTCCTTGACCCACTCACCCTGGCGGACATGTAGATTGTTTGCATAGCGTGGCTGTTGTGGGTGAAATGAACGTGGGAGTGCAGGTGTCCCTTCAACACAGTAATGTCCGTTGATCTGTATATATACCCAGAAATGGGATTGCTTGATCGTAGGATAGTTGAATTTTTAGTTTTTTTAGTAACTCCTTACAGTTTTCCATAATGGCTGTACCAGTCCACGTTCACCCCGGCAGCGTGCCAGAGCTCCCTTTTCCGCGTCTTTACCAACACTTGTTAACTTTCATCTTTTTTAAAAAAAGTTTTTATTGCCATATAATAGTTGTATACATTTTAGGGGTTCATCTTTTTGATAGTAGCCATTATAACAGGTCTGAGGTGATGTCTCATTGTGGTTTTTTTTTTCTTTTATCTTTTTTTTTTTTTTTTTTTTTTTTTGAGACTGAGTCTTGCTCTGTCTCCCGAGCTGCAGTGTAGCGGCACAATCTCGGCTCACTGCAACCTCCACCTCCCAGGTTCAAGCAATTCTCCTGCCTCAGCCTCCTGAGTAGCTGGGATTACAGGTGCTCGCCACCATGCCCAGCTAATTTTTGTATTTTTAGTAGAGACGGGGTTTCACCATATTGGCCAGGCTGGTCTTGAACTGCTGACCTTGTGATCTGCCCACCTCGTACTCCCAAAATGCTGGGAATACAGGCATGAGCCACCACGCCCGGCCTCGTTGTGGTTTTTCTGTGCATTTCCCTAATGATTAGTGGGGCTGATAATTTTTTAATAAGCCTGTTGGCCATTTGTATGTCTTCTTTTGAGAAATATCTGTTCAGATTCTTTGCCCATTTTTGAAATGGGTTATTTGTTTTCTTGCTTTTGGGTTTCTTACATGGATAAGGGGTATTCAGCCTTAGAAAGAAGGAAATTCTGACACTCGCGACAATGTGGTTGAACTGGAAGACATTATGCCGAGTGAAATGACTCAAGCACAGAAGGACAGAGACCCCCTGATCTCAATTATACGTGGAATCTACAAAAGGCCAACTCATGGAACTAAAGAGTAGAATGGTGGTTACCGGAGGCTGAGGGGGGTGGGGGAGCAGGGAATGCGACATGTTGGTCAAAGACTACAGTTTCACGTCAGAGGAAGTATTTGTTTATGTATGTATTTATTTATTTATTTATTTATTTAGAGATGGAGTGCAGTGGCACAATCTTGGCTCACTGCAACCTCCGCCTCCCAGATTCAAGCAGTTCTTCTGACTCAGCCTCCCAAGTAGCTGGGATTACAGGCCCCTGCCAACACGCCCAGCTGATTTTTTTTTTTTTTTTTAGTAGAGATGGGGTTTCACCATATTGCCCAGGCTAGCTTCGAACTCCTGACCTCAAGTGATCCGCCCACCTCGGTCTCCCAAAGTGCTGGGATTACAGGCTTGACCCACCGTTCCCAGCCAGAGGAGGAAGTTTTGAGATCTGTTATACAGCAGGGTGACTATAGTCAATAATGTATTTTTCAGAGTAACTCAGTAAATTTCAAATGTTTCACCATAAAAAATGATAAGTGAGGTGATGGATACATGGACAGGCTTGATTTAATCGTTCTACGTTGTATATACACTATCAAGACATCACATTATACCTTATAGGTGGATACAATTATGTTTGTCAATTTAAACTATTAATTTTAAAAACACTTAAGACCAGGCGCTTCTGCTCATGCCTGTAATCCCAGCACTTTGGGAGGCCGAGGTGGGTGGATCACTTGAGGTTGAGACCAGCCTGGCCAACATGGTGAAACCCAGTCTCCACTAAAAATACAAAAATCAGCCGGGTGTAGTGGCATGTGCCTGTAATCCCAGCTACTTGGGAGGCTAAGGCAGGAGAATCGCTTCAACCCGGGAGGTGGAGGTTGCCGTGAGCCAAGATCACGCCACTGCACTCCAGCCTGGGTGACAGAGTGAGACTCCTTCTGGAAAAAAACAAACAAACAAACAAAAAACACTTAAAAGGAATGATGCTGGGATAGGATGCTTCTTTCTTTTAATTTTTTTAAAAAAAGGTTTCAGCTACTCTGGGCACACTCTGCCTGTGGGGGTACCCCTGCTCTGCAAGGAGCAGTTTAAAAAAATAAATTTAAAAGGGTTTTCTTTTGTGTGTATGTGAGAGACAGGGTCTTGCTCTGTCTCCCAGGCTCGAGTGCAGTGGTGTGATCTGTGATCATAGCTCGCTGCAGCCTCTACCTCCCAGGCTCAAGCAATCCCCTCCCACCTCAGCCTCTCAGGTAGCTGGGACTACAGGTGTGTGCCACCACACCTGGCCAGGATGCTGCTGAGTGGATAATGTTTAGTGGTTTATCACAGCTCTGAGGAGCAGAGACTCCCCCAAAAACCTAGGGGACTTTGTAATTTGGAGGCATTTGCCTGTTGTCACAAATACACGGTTGTTTGACTTTTTTTGTCTCCTCTTTTCACCTATAAAGATTCTTCCAGAGTCCTTTTCCATGCTCACCATTCCTAAATCACTATTGATATTAGCTCTGGTGTAAATCTGGCAGGAGACAATTCACTTGTTTTTCATCCAAAGGTCAAAAGCTGGAAATTAAATCCCCATAAGGGGAATTTATTGGCTTGCTGTGGTCAATATGCAGTGAAGATTATCTTGCATAAGTAATGTGCGCATATGGGTGGCCAGCATGCTGGCCTGAGCATCTCATAGGTCCTTTGCCCAGCTCTTTATTTAGAGCTATGGGATTAGAGAAGGCATTTTGGATCCAGGCAACTGAGTTGAGTTGTAGTTACTATAACTACTTGTTTGTTTGTTTTTTGAGACAGAGTTTTGCTCTGTCACCCAAGCTGGAGTGCAGTGGTACAATCCTGGCTCACTGTAACTTCCACCTCCCGGGTTCAAGCGAGTCTCTCATGCCTTAGTCTTCCAAGTAGCTGGGATTATAGGCTCGTGCCACCATGCCTGGCTAATTTTTGTATTTTTAGTAGAGATGGGGTTTTACCATGTTGGCCAGGCTAGTCTCGAACTCCTGACCTCAAGTGATCTGCTGGCCTCAGCCTCCCAAAGTGCTGGGATTACAGGCGTAAGCCACTGCGCCTGGCCCTAACTACTTGCTTTCAAAGTTGAGTTTTGATATTGCTTTGAAATGTCAAAACCAAGGGACAGATTTTTGTCCCCAGGAATCCTCTATATCATTGCCTTGGTGTCAGGGACAGCCGCACAGTGCCTTCGGCTGGACTGCAGAAGAAGCGAGGCCTGACGTCATCTGCATCACAGTTGAGTTTTAACATAAATGAAACTGCTGAGCTCAGGATGGGGCAGATAGGAGGGAGGAGGGTTTTTCCATCTCATATTAATTGGACCTTGGTATGCAGTGGCTTTTCTTGTCTCTACAATCACCTCTTTGGCTTGACTGTCAGGGAAATGTTTACTTTTCAATGTGTCTCCAGTTACCAAAAAACTCAACCGAAATAGGAGAGTTCCCGCACATTCACTGCTTTCAAAATGATCCCCTTTTAAAATACAGAACATCCAACGTTGTCCATCTAGCCGTGAGGGTTCTGGATGATGCTTGGTAGGACGGCAAGGAAATGACCTCTTAGTACTGAGGTTTCTATGAGCCTGACGCCAACCCGAGTTTCCTAAACAGAACCTTTGTCATCGTTACTCTGATGAAGAAAAAGATTTAAACATGCCCTTCAAAATATTTGGAGTCCAGCAAGTTTAATTAAAATGAGTTAAAAATGAGAGCTGAGAAAGAAGGAACTGACAGAACTTTCACTGAAGGGAGGCTTTGCATTTAAAATTCAGAAGGTCACCCTCCTTCCAGCCAAGAATAAATTGGAAACTATTTTAATTGACACGGATACTGCAATTCAACTGTTACTAGAAAGATTAGTTGATTGATTTGCATTTTAATAAAACTAATACTTTACATTTTGGTAGCTAATGCTGACTTTCAAATGAGTTGAGAACAGTTATCAAGAGTTTCAATCCAGAGCCCTTTTTCAGTGTTGACTGAAGCATTCCTCTCTTTTGTGTGGAGTTTGCGTTTATTTTATTTTTGCCCAGCTGACTGCTTCACACGAGACACTCATAAACCATAGACCTTAAAGATCTCACCAGTACGGCAAGGCGGTGAGCTGGTCACGCTGAAACGTGGCTGCAGCCACAGCTCCACCCTGCCCAGGTGTGCACCAGAGATCTGGGAAAGAGGGCAGAGGGCCTCCCTTCAGGGTAGAGGAAATGCTAAGGCTGGCTTTTTGTCTTATTTATTTTTGAGACAGGTTCTTGCTCTGTCACCCAGGCTGGAGTGCAGTGGTGCAATCTCGCCTCACTGCAGCTTTGACCTCCTGGGCTCAGGTAATCCTTCCACCTCAGCCTCCTGAGTAGCTGGGGCCACAGGCACGCACCACCATGCTGGCTAGTTTTTGTGTTTTTTGTATGGACGGGGTTTTGCCATGTTGCCCAGGCTGGTCTCGAACTCCTGAACTCAAGTGATCTGCCCACCTCGGCCTCCCAAAGTGCTGGGATTACAGGCGTGCGCCACCACACCCGGCCCCACTTGTCATCTTTAGTAATTTGGGGTCCTCTTCTGTGTCTAGAAACAATCATACAGAATAGCCCTGGTGATTCTCAGCAGGGGAGGAGCCAGGGAGCAGTTTGCAGGGGAAGACTTGGTTTTTACTTCTAGACTGTTTGATATTTTTTACTTATCCTTAAAAACAAAATCCTCATGCAGCCATGTCTGCCACCCCCCTGCACACATGTATGCCAGCTGAGAAGCATGGTGCACAGTGATCTGCATTTTAATAGCTCAGTCAGATGATTTCCATGTTTTCGCAGATGTCACACTTTCATTACTAACTAGTCATTCCATTTGGGGCCCGTATCAATATTTCACCAAATCCCCTGTTTGGGGACATTTACATTGTTTCTAGGTTTTTGCTCTTAATATACAGGATAATAGTAGAGGAGAATATTTGTGCATCAAGCTTGTTTATTGTGGTTTTTGAGACTTTTGTTTTCCTTGGTGTATATCTTTAGGAGTAAAAGGAATCAAGTGAAAGAGTCTGTGTGTTTTTAGGGCTCTTGGAACATCGTGGTGGCGTCAGGGCCCTCGTCCACCCCCACTTGCCTAGGCCAGGCCATCTGTAACACAGGGCGTGGAGGAGCCAGGAGGACACTAGCCCTGGAATTTGATCCTGGGATTTATTTCTTGCTCCCCAGGGACCCCTTCAAATCATCATGCTCCTCTGGGAGGATTAAAGAGCTGCTTCCTATAATGTGCTTTGAAATGATGCTCCAATGAAAGATGGTGGATAAACAGAAAGTGACACCATCGTCTCCCTCCCAGGCGCCCGTATTTTTTCCTGGCTGCTGGATCGCATATAATCTGCTCTCCACGTGCCCCTCTTGTTTTCATGCTCTTGCTACTTTCGGAGCCTTCACCCTGGGGTCTCCCAGGCAGGTTTTCCTTGTCCTCTAGACTTTTGGTGTGCAGCCATTTCTCTCCAGGAATGCTGGCTAGGGCTCCCTATTGAACATCATTTGGAACCCCTGGGCGTGTGAGAAGACACGGGAAAGCCAGCCCCCCCGCTCACTCCAGCAACTGACTCTGCATTGCCAGCTTAGGGATGCAGTTTCCTTTTTAGAAGTTGATTTCCTGCTCTCCACATGCATTGCTAAAACCCCTCCAACGTGACTGCCTCTCTCAGTCTTACCATTTAATCCAAAGAGAGCAGAGTTTGAGGCTTAGAATGAATCCAAATATGATGTTGGTCATAAAGGTTTGTACCATTCCCCAGGAATGAAGCAGTCACTCTGTACATGGAATGTGTTAATGCCAAGATCCACGTCTCCCCGGATCCAGACGCACAAATGAGGTAGGTGCGTGCCTCAGCACAACTGTGCAGGTGGGTGGAGGTGAAGGGTGTCAGGGAAGGGCCCAAGGCTGGGTGCAAAAGCATGGGTGTTTTATGCCTGGGCCACTGCCTGCCCCTCTGGTGACATCAGAACCGTGCCACTTTCTATCCTTGCTGTTCTGTTGCCCGTGTTTAATAAACACAGACACAACAGTGAGCCTGGCCTAAAATGAATGAACTTTGTTTCCTGCACCTCAGTTTGTGTTTTTACTTTTTTGTTGTTGTTATTGTTTTGAGTCAGAGTCTCACTCTGTTGCCCAGGCTGCAGTGGCGTGATCTTGGCTCACTGCAACCTCCACTTCCCAGGTTCAAGTGATTCTCGTGCCTCAGCCTCCCGAGTAGATGGAATTACAGGCATGCGCCACCACGCCTGACTAATTTTGTATTTTTAGTAGAGATGGGGTTTTACCACGTTGGCCAGGCTGTCCTTGAACTCCTGACCTCAGGTGATCCGCCTGCCTCGGCCTCCTGTGTTTTTAATTTTTATGTATGTGGCTGGGCACAGCAGCTCATGCCTGTAATCTCAACACTTTTGGGAGGCTAAGGTGGGAGGATCACTTGAGTCCAGGAGTTCGACCTCGAGATCAGCCTGGGCAACAAAGTGAGACCCCCCTCTCTACAAAAAATAGAAAAAAATTAGCCAGGTTTGAGCTAATTGATGGTGTGCACCTGTAGTCCCAGCTACTCAGGAGGCTGAGGTGGGAGGATCACTTGAGCCCAGGAGGTCAGGGCTACAGTGAGCATGATTGTGCCACTGCACTCCAGCCTGGGCAACAGAGTGAGACCCTATCTCAAAAAATAATAATAAATGTATGTATGTGCATGTGTATCGGGGCATTGTACTAGAAATTAAATAAAGCTTGCCTTCATGAAGAGAACCATTCTCCTTTTAAGTTTACTTCTTTTACTTTCTTTTCTCTTTCTTCATAACATTTAAAAAATAATTGCCAGAAATTTGGTAAGTTCATTAACTAATTCTCTCAAGTCCAGGCTGCACATCACCCTGCTGATTCGTGTGGATTCAATTTGTCCAACAGTTCTATCGATGAAGTCCTCATTATCCGCTCCTCGTGTGTGGATGGGAGGAAGGTTGTAAATGCAGCCTGAGTGCACCTTATCTAACTTTTGTTTTTCTCGTAGATCTATAGATTTCCTTTACGGTGCCTTTCTTGCCCATCATGTGGGGTCTGCCAATAGGATCGTTGCCTCAACTGCATTTATATTCCTGAGAAGTTTACTCCATTTATTTCCCCTGGTTCCGGGTTCTTGGAGTTCATTTGTTGAGGTCAAGGACACCATGTTCTCAGGAAAGAAAATTTTAAAGAACGTGGAAAAAAAAAAAAGCAACAGCTGCACATCACTGATCGGGTAGAAAAAGAATATAAGGATCTCAATAGGCATCCGGACGGTAACACATGAAGACTCCTGCTCACCCCTCCCCCACATCTGCCTCTCTACGACTGGGTTGGAAATGAGCTCCATGTGTGCTGGGCAGGCAGGTTCCTGGCACCGGCAGCTGGCCGCTTCTCTTTTCTGCGATCTGCCCCTCCCGTGCTACCAGGTTCTAAGAGGGACTTAAGAACACATTGCTAGTGCTGGCTTTGGCTTGTGTGATGTTTGAGTAGAGGACACGTGTGATTGAAGGCTGGAGTCATGGAGAGAATCGTGGACTAGAAATCAAGTCTGCTGGGGTCTGACCTTGAGGAAGTCACTTCCCTCGGGGTCCTTATTAGTGATCTGAGGGTCAGTTCATGGCTGCTAAGGACTTTCCCATTCTGAAGCCGCTGTTTCTAAGTAAAAGCAGCATCGCAGACGGGGGTTAGTGCGGTGTGAGAATGCTGTTCAAGTCCATTCCTTCAGGTATTTCTTGACCTCCTACTGTGTGACAGGCACTGGGGGAGGCTTAGCAAGGGGCTCTTTTGGCAGGTGACCCAGTCTCTAGGTGGTTTCTGTTGACCTCCTCTTTTCTTCCATAGGGTTCTCTAGACTTGGGTCTCATCAAAAACTGCTGCCCCCGCTGCAGTTGCTCTTAATCTTGGCTGGAACTCCTGGAAGCTCAGGCTCTGGATGCATTTTCAGGTTTAGCATCACTTACTTTCCCAAGGTTCTGGCTCTCCAAGGTGAAAGCGCAGCCTCAAGGGAGGGTGATAGCCCGGGTGCTCAAGGCCCCTTACATCCTGGGCCTTCAAAGTCTGGCTCTGAGAGACCGCCTGCGGGAACGCAGATGCATTAGTATGCAGGTGTGCTGGTACAGAGCACAAAGCAATTAGCCTGCTGCTCTGCAATTTCTGCCTTTCCCCAGCAAGTGTGACTCAAGTTTTGGTTCCTTTGCCTGCATGGCCAGCACCGTCCTTTCTCCTGTGGGGAGGCCTGGGGGCTTCAGGGGATGCCTGTTCTAATTCTAGGAGTGGTCCGGAGCATCTAGACCAGAGCTGTCCGATAGAACTTTCTAGGATGATGGGAATGTAATCCGGCTGTTCTGTGCTATCCCGCATGGTAGCCACCAGCCACGTGTGCACTTGCAGGATGGCTAGCAGCTAATGTATTAGTTCAGATCTGTATGACTATTTTCCAACATTTTGCAAGGCACTGCGAGTGCTAAAGTTAAAGATGAGGCAAATGGTCAGCAGCTGGGGTGGCAGGAGCTCCAGCTGTACCCGGGCTGAGGGTCTCAGTGTCTTCACACACCTGTGCCCACCCCAGCAGGCTGGGTGGAAGGCCCTGTTCTAGACCTGAGCTGGGGCTGGTGGTGTGACCTGTCTCCACTGATTTCTTGGCCCTGAGACCTGGGGTAGGTGGAGGGCGTGGGGAAGTGGGCGGTTTTCTGCCTTGGTGTCCAGGGTGGTCCGGGGAGCCCGGGAGGCTGACTCAGTCTCATCTCCTCCTGAGGGACTGAGCTCGGAGCTGAATCCCTGATGCCATAAAATTATTTTCCAGTTTGACTCTTGTGTCCTTTAAAGTTGTAGCACACTACACTTGGTTTTAAGAGCTAAATGTAAGGCAAATACAGAGCACTTTAAATGTGATAACTCTGAGTTCATATTGTTTGAGGAGATAAGCAAAAAGGAGCAGGTGCTTTGAATTCACTTATCAGCGTTTTCGCAGGCTCCTGTCCCTCCGCACCCCCCACCGAGGTGCCGTGATGTTCCACGAGGATCTTGGAATTGGAGGCTTCCCCGGGCTGTGGGGCCACCGTTTCATCTGCTCACCTTGCTGGTAAGGCCAGGGCTTTGTTCCCGGGAGTGCTCGGGCCGCAGGTGTGTGTGTCCGGGAGGCTCCTGCCGGGCAGGGCAGGGAGAGGGGCCTGGCCTGGGAAGTAAGCCCCCGTGACAGGCTCCTCAAGCCTCTGGAGCCCTGGGGAGAGTTTGCATTTTCGGATCACGTCTCCATCCTCCAGGAGAAGGATGAGAGGGGCCGGCTTTAAGTCCTAGTTCTTGGGTATATAATTAAACAGAGATTTTCCTTCCTGAAGGAACAAAAAGAGGCCAAGGACAGCCTAATTGAAACCTCAGGATTGCTTCTCCAAGAGTGGCCTGAGCAAGTGGGCCGAGGTAGATTTGCAACTCTGGCTGGTGGGGTGGCCCGAGCCAGGGGGGCCCACGTTCGGCTGCTGACGGCGGTCCACAGGAGGGGAGGGTCTGTTGGGCGGGGGAGCCTCTCTCTGCCTTGCTTCCTTTTAGGGTGAGCCTTTGGTTCTCCTGTCCCAAACCGAGGGGGGCCACGTGGGAGCCGGCAGCACACACTGGCCACCACTGACCGCTCCTGCTGTCCTGGCACTTCCGCCCCCTCCCAAAACGGCAGCCCACAGTGACTGGTCGCAAGTGCCATCAGAAATGTGCGCCGCTTACGAGGCTGTCAACCAGGCTGGTTCTTCCAAAGTCGTCCATTACCAGATAAGTGAAGGTAAAATAGTGATGCTTTATTAATTGCAGGTATGGCACGGGTTTTTATACCTGTTTATATACACTTGCTCCGGAGCGGAAGGACTTTCTCATCTCTCCTTGCCTCTCCCCCACCCCCAGAAGAGAATTTCAACTTTAAGACAAACAACTTCATTTACAAGTGTGTCTCTAATTAGCTGCAGAATTAGGAAAGCTGAGCTTTCCCCCATAGATCCGCTCAACCCTCGAGGGAGACTGGTGGAATAGAGAGAATCGCATTTCCAATTATTTTGTTGAATTGCTAATTTAGTTATTGTGCCTGGTGTAATTGTGATGGGTATTGGGTATGCAATTCAATTTGTTTTAAATATTTGTGGGAAGGCTGATCAGTAATGGAGCTGACCTATTTTGTGGCCCAAATTGAGAAAAAAAAAAAAGACTAAAACACAACAGCCACAAAGATACAGTTTGTTTCCATTTTTATTTTGATCTCTCTCATCCCTCTTAAGATCATTGATGCAACAAAAGGATTAAATTAAAAGATGACAGCACTTTGATCTTCTCCCTTTGAAAGCTTAACTGTCCTTGGTAGTTTAATATGCAGATATTTTAGGGTAGAGTCTAGATGCATTGCTGGAGTTGAGTAGTTTCTGCCTCCTAAAATTGCATTTCTGCATGTGCCTAAAAGTGATTTGGGGTACTCAACTTTCTAATAGTGTGTAAAGTAGTGGAGGTGTATCTGTAACAAATAACGCAAAGCCGTGAGAGCCACAAGTTCGCCACTCCTACTGGGCAGAAGTCCATTCCAGAGTCCCGGAACCTTCCCTCCAGGCAGCACCACGTGCAGAGGTTGGTGGCCAGGAACCCCACCCCGGGTGTTTGCATAAAGCTCACCCATTGGGAGCCCTGCTCCTGGTTGATTTGAGCCTGTGCAGGTGAGAGGAGGGCTAGGTGACAAGTTCCCTCATGGCTGGCGGTGACTCTGTGGAGCTAGCTCCTTGAGGGCCAAGCTCCAATGTCCCTCTTCAGCCAGAGTCTGGACCGGGAGGTATGGGCCAGGGAAAATCTGTGATGTAATCTTGTTTACATGCCTATTGGATGCTGAGTCATAAACACAGTCTGGGCCTGGGCCAGGGCTGTGGCTTGAAATCAGAGCTCTGCTGGGACCTGAGGTCACAGAAATAGATTGCAGGAGTTGAGCCTTGGGCACGTACGACCGAGGTTGCTTACAGGTGACTGGAAGCCCTCACCTTCCACAGCATCCCGCCGGGCCCGCCAGGCGTCCTCAGACACAGGCTAACTAGGGCTTGGTTGGGCAAGATCAGAGGGTGGCGGACCAGAGCAGATTTTGAGAAAAGGTTATAATAAAATGGGTCATAGATGCGGCTGTTGTAATGAATTTGATCCTAAAGGATTCGTTTTGTAACTCGATTAGCTTAGCAAGGTGCCAGGGTCAATTTCCGTGCTTAGCTGCTAAAGAGAAGTTTAAACTTCATTACTCTTACGTGAGAGCTCACCGGGACCAACTGGAGGAACTCAGCCCCAGGTGGATCCCTTTTAACAAGCTGTTCTGGAGGAGCTGGGCGAGGACAGCTGATGGCCGCAGCTGCTGATCCTGAGGAGGGGCTGGGTCCCGTGTGAGGACAGATAGGAGGGTGACCATTGAACCAGCCAGGCTGGAGCTGAAAAGAAACTGGCAAGCAGCTAGAGCAGCTGGGGATGGAAGGAGGAGGAGGCGTTTGTGGAAACAGCTGCAGGGCAGGAGGGCAGGCTGCGGGGTAAGGTCTGTGTAGCCTCTACCCCGTGATGGTGGTGGTTGTTATTATTTGAGACAGTCTCGCTCCGTCACCCAGGCTGGAGTGCAGTGGTATGATTTCTGCTCACTGCAACCTCCACCTCCCTAGTTCAAGCGATTCTCCTGCCTCAACCTCCTGAGAAGCCAGGATTACAGGTGTACGCCACCACGCCCAGCTAATTTTTGTATTTTTAGTAGAGACAGAGTTTTGCCATGTTGCCCAGGCTGGTCTCCAACTCCTGACCTCAGGTGATCCACCCGCTTTGGCCTCCCAAAGTGCTGAGATTATAGGCATGAGCCACCATGCCCAGTCTCCATTTTTTTTCTACAGTGTTGTTATTGAGGTAGAATTTACATACCATAAAACTCACCTGTTGTAAATGTACAATTCCATGGTTTTTGCTACATCTGTGGAGTTGTGCTGCCACTAACACGGCCCATGTTTAGGACATTCTTATCACCCCACAAGTTCCTCTAGCTTTGCCGGAACTCCCTGCTCCCAGCCCCAGGTAATTTGCCTTCTTTTCTGAACATTTCATTTAAAAAGAATCATACAATCTGGAGTGTTTGTGTCTGGCTTCTTTCGCTTGGCATGAGGTGTTTATATCTTTATTGTAGCATATATCAGTACATTCCTTTTGATTGCTGACTAGTCTTCCATTGTGTAGATATACCACATTTTGTTTATCCACGTGCCTATTCATGAACATTTGGATTGTTTCCAGATTTGGGCGATTATATATGAAGCTGATAGGAGCAATCACAAGCCTTTGTGAAAGATGTTTTCATTTCCCTTGGGCAGATACCTAGGCATGGAATTGCTGAGAATGAAAGCTTATGTTTAGCTTTTTCAGAAGTTGTTAAACTGTTTTCCAAAGTACCTGTATCACTTTATATTTACACCAGCAAAGTGTGCGGGCTCCGGTTTCTCCACATCCGTGCCAACACTTGTAATTGTCTGTCTTCCAATTATAGCCTTTCTGGCAAATAGTGGACTCCCATTGTGGCTTTAATTTGTTTCCCTAGTGACGAATGATGTTGAACATCTTCTCGTGTGTTCATTATTCATGTATCATCTTCTTTGGTGAGACATCTATTCACATCTTTTGGCCTAATTTAAATTGAATTGCCTTGTTGCCTTGTAAGGATTCTTTATATATCCTGGATTCAAGTCCCTTATCAGATATATGGTCTGCAAATATTTTTTCCCAGTCTCTGGCTTGTCTTCATTTTCTTTTTTCTTTCTTTCTTTTTTTTTTTTTTTTTTTTTTTTTTTGAGATGGAGTCTCGCTCTGTTGCCAGGCTGGAGTGCAGTGGCACGATCTCAGCTCACTGCAGTCTCCACCTCCCGGGTTCAAGCTATTCTCCTGCCTCAGTGTCCCAAGTAGCTGGGACTACAGGCCTCCGCCACCACACCCAACTAATTTTGTATTTTTAGTAGAGACCGGGTTTCACCATGTTGGCCAGGATGGTCTTGATCTCTTGATCTCGTGATCCACCCGCCTTGACCTCCCAAAGAGCTGGGATTACAGGCGTGAGCCACCGCACCCGGCCGTCTTCATTTTCTTAATGGTGTCTTCTGGAGCACAAAAGGTTTTAATTTTGATGAAGCCTAATTTATCAATTTCTTTTTTTCTTTTATGGATTATGTCATATCTAAGAAATCTTTTCCAAATCCAAGGTCACAAAAATTTTCTCCTACATGTCTTCTTGTGGATGTTTTATAGTTGTAGCTTATATATTTAAGTCTGTAATATATTTGGGGTAAATTTTTGTCCATGGTGTAAGAGTCTAAAAATATAACTTTGTGTATGGATATCCGAACGTCTTGGCACCATTTGTTGAAAAGGCTAGCCTTTCCGCCATTGAATTGTCTTGACTCCTTTGTGGAAAATCAATTGACCCTAAATGCTAGGATTTATTTCAAGACTGTCAATTATATTCCATTCTATTTGCTTGTGTTTATATCTGTGAACATTTTAAAATCAGGTAGTTTAAGTCTTCCAAATTTTTATCAAAATTGTTTAGAGTATTCTGGGTCCTTTGCATTTCCATATAAATTTTAGGATACATGGCCGGGCGCAGTGGCTCACGCCTGTAATCCCAGCACTTTGGGAGGCCAAGGTGGTTGGATCACAAGGTCAGGAGATCGAGACCAGCCTGGCGAACACGGTGAAACCCCGTCTCTACTAAAAAAATACAAAAATTAGCCGGGCGTGGTGGCAGGCGCCTGTAGTCCCAGCTACTCAGGAGGCTGAGGCAGGAGAATTGCTTGAACCCAGGAGGCAGAGGTTGCAGTGAGCCAAGATCGCACCACTGCACTCCAGCCTGGGCGACAGAGTGAGTCTCCATCTCAAAAAAAAAAAAAAAAAATTAGGATACGTTTGTTAATTTATTTAGCTTTTCCTTCTTCTTCTTCTTTTTTTTTTTTTTCTGCCTGAGACAGGATCTTTCTCTTTCACCCAGGCTGGAGTGCAGTGGTGTAATCACAGCTCACTGCAACCTCAACCTCCTGAGCTCAAGCCATCCTCCCACCTCAGCCTCCTGAGTAGCTGGGACTGCAGGCACATGCCACCACACCCAGCTAATTTTTTTTATTTTTTGTAGAGACAGGATCTCCTTATTTTGGCCAGGCTGATGCTGAACTTCTGGGCTCAAGTGATACTCCCGCCTCAGACTCTCAAAGTGCTGGGATTACACGCATGAGCCACTGTTCCCGGCCTAAATTTGTTAATCTCTAGAAAAATGTCTGCTGGAATTTTGATGGGATTACACTGACTCTATAGATCAATTTGGGGAGAACTACCATCCCAACAACATTGAGTCTTCTAATCCATGAACATGGAATATCTCTTCAATTGTTTTTATTTAATTTCTCTCAGCAGTGTTTTATAATTTCAGGGTACATGTCTATTTCTTTTGCAAAATTATTCCTATGTATTTTATTGGTTTTGATGCTATTGTCAATGAAATTATTTTAATTTCATTTTTAGATTTCTTCTTGCTAGTGTACAAAAATACTATTATTGAGTTTTTAAATTAATATTGTAGCCAGTGACTTTGCTGAATGCATTTATTAGTTCTAGTTTTTAAAAATGGATTCCTCATATAGGATCATGCCATTTGTGAATAATGAGTTTTAATCTCTTCTTTCCAATCTATAAACCTTTAATTTTCGTGTAGCCTATTGCATTGGCCAGCACCTCCAGTGCAATGCTGAGAAGTAGCAAGAGCAGATATTTTTGCCTTGTTCCATCTTAGAGAGAAAAGCATTCAGTCTTTCACCATCAAACATGAAGTTACTTGAGGTTTTTCACAGACGCCCTTTCTCAGGTTTTGGAAATTTATTTCTATTTTTTTTGAGACAGTGTCTCACGTCGCCCAGGCTGGAGTGTGGTGGCACAATCTCCGCTCACCGCAACCTCTGCCTCCCAGGTTCAAGCAATTCTCCTGCCTCTGCCTCTCAAGCAGCTGGCATTACAGGCACGTGCCACCACACCCGGCTAATTTTTTTGTATTTACTTTTAGTAGAGACGGGGTTTTGCCATGTTGGCCAGGCTGGTTTCAAACTCCTGACCTCAACTGATCCACCCGCCTCGGCCTCTCAAAGTGCTGGGATTACAGGCATGAGCACTGCGCCCGGCGGAGATTTCTTTCTATTGATAGTTTGTTGATAATTTTTATCTGGAATGGGTATTGTATTTCCAAATGCTTTTTATGTGTCTACCGAGAGGGTCATGTGGTTTTTGTCTTTTACTCTATTAAGATGGTGTGCTACATTAATTGATTTCTGGGTGTTAAACTAACTTTGTACTCATGGGACAAATCCCACCTAGCTATGGTGAATACTTTTTTTTCTTTTGAGACAGGGTCTCTTGGGTGGAATGCAGTGGTGCGATCATGGCTCACTGCAGCCTCAACTTCCCGAGCTCAAGCGATCCTCCCACCTTAGCCTCTTGGGTAGCTAGGACCACATGTGTGTGCCACCACACCTGGCTAATTTTCTTTTCTTTTTTTTTTTTTGAGACAGTCTTGCTCTGTTGCCCAGGCTGGAGTGTGGTGGCATGATCTTGGCTCACTGCAACCTCTGCCTCCCAGGTTCAAGTGATTCTCCTGCTTCAGTCTCCCAAGTAGCTGAGACTACGGGCATGTGGCTCCACGCCCAGCTAATTTTTGTATTTTTTGGTAGAGACAGGGTTTCAACATATTGGCCCCTCTGGTCTCAAACTCCTAGCCTCATGTGTTCTGCCTGCCTGGGCCTCCCAAAATGCTGGAATTACAGGCATGAGCCATCATGCCTGGCCCACACCTGGCTACTTTTTACAATTTTTTTTGTAGAGACAGGGTCTCACTATGTTGCCCAGGCTGGTCTCGAAGTCCTGGGCTTGAGCAATCCTCCCTCCTCAGCCTCCCATAGTGCTGGGATTAAAGTTGTGAAACTAAAAAACAAAAAATGTTGCATGGAATACTATGCAGCCATAAGAAGGAATGAGATTATGTCCTTTGCAGGGACGTGGATGAAGCTGGAAACCATCATCCTCAGCAAACTAACCCAGGAACAGGAAATCAAACACCACATGTTCTCACTCATAAGTGGGAGTTGAACAATGAGAACACATGGACCCAGGGGAACGACACACACCAGGGCCTGCTGGGAGGTGGAGGGGGTCGAGAGGAGGGAATTTAGAGGGCAGGTCAATAGGTGCAGCAAACCACCATGGCACAGGTATACCTATGTAACAAACCTGCACATTCTGCACACGTATCCTGTTTTTTTTTTTTAGAAGAAATAAAATTTATATATAATATAAATATATATATACTTATATACTTATATATTGCTAGGATAGGCACAGTGGCTCACGCCTATAATCCCAGCACTTTGAGAGGCCAAGATGGGTGGATCACTTGAGGTCAGGAGTTCGAGACCAGCCTGACCAACATGGTGAAACCCCATATCTACTGAAAAATACAAAAATTAGCTGGGTGTGGTGGTGCGCACCCAGATGGTGGGAGGCTTAAGTGGGAGGATTGTTTGAACCTGGGGGTGGAGGTTGCAGTGAGCTGTGATCATGCCACTGCACTCCAGCCTGGATGACAGAGTGAGAACCTCATCTCAAAAAAAAAAAAAAAAAAGTGTGGGTGTGTCTTGCTGTATTCAGTTTGCTAATTCTTTTTTTAAAGAGATGGAGTCTTGCCACGTTGCCCAGGCTGGGGTGCAGTGGCTATTTAAGGATATGCTCATGGCATACTACAGCCTCAAAATCCTGGGCTCAAACAGTCCTCCTGCCTCAGCTGCCCAAATAGCTGGGACTACATGCACGCCACTGTACCTGGCCCAGTTAGTTAATATTTGCTAAGGATTTTTGCATCCTGTGTTCACAAGGGATACTGGCCTGTAGTTTTCTTGTGATGTCTTTGGCTTTGGTATCAGATAATACTGGCCTTGTAGAATGAGTTGGAAAGTGTTCCTTCTGTTTTCTAAGAGAGTTTGAGAAGGACCAGTATTATTTCTTTTTTTTTTTTTTTTTTTTCAAGATGAAGTCTTGCTCTGTCACCCAGGCTGGAGTGCAGTGGCGTGATCTCAGCTCACTACAACCTCCACCTCCCGGGTTCAAGCAATTCTCCTGCCTCAGTCTCCCAAGTAGCTGGGATTACAGGCACCCACCACCACACCCGGCTAATTTTTGTATTTTTTGTAGAGACAGGGTTTCCCCTTGTTGGCCAGGCTGGTCTCGAACTCCTAACCTCGTGATCCGCCCTCCTTGGCCTCCCAAAGTGCTGGGATTACAGGCGTGAGCCACTGCACCTGGCTGTTATTTCTTCTTTAAATATTTGACAGAGCATTTACCAGTGAAGCTTTCTGGGACTGGGGCTTTACTTTGTGGGAATTTTTTTTTTTTTTTTAAGACTGAGTCTCACTTTCTTGCCCAGGCTGGATTGCAGTGGCATGATCTCGGCTCATCACAACCTCTGCCTCCCGGGTTTAAGCCATTCTCCCGCCTGAGCCTCCCAAGTAACTGGGATTACTGTTGTGCACCAACACACCTGGCTAATTTTTGTATTTTTAGCAGAGACGGGGATTCACCATGTTGGCCAGGCTGGTCTTGAACTCCTGACCTCAGGTGATTCCCCCACCTCAGCCTCCCAATGTGCTGGGATTACAGGTGTGAACCACCGTGCCTGGCCTGTGGGAGGATTTTTAGTGACTAATTTCTTTATTTGTTATAGGTCTATTTGGATTGTGTGTTTCTTCTCAAGTCAGTTTTGGTAAATTTGGGTCTTTCTAGGAATGTGTTCATTTTACCTAAGTCTAATTTCTTGGCATAAAGTTGCTCATAATATTTCTTTATAATCTTAATTTTGGTAGAGCCACTAGCAATGTCCCCTCTTTGATTCCTGATTTTGGAAATTTGTGTTGTTTCTCTTTTTCTTCTTGTCAATTTTATTGTTTTTTTCTTTTCTTTTCTTTTTTTTTTTTTTTTAGATGGAGTCTTACTCTGTCCCCAGGCTGGATGGAATACAGTGGTGCGATCTCGGCTCATTGCAACCTCCGCCTCCCGGGTTCAAGTGATTCTCCTGCCTTAGCCTCCCGAGTAGCTGGGATTACAGGCGCCCACCAACATGCCTAGCTAATTTTTCTATTTTTAGTAGAGACGGGGTTTCACCATGTTGGCCAGGATGGTCTCGATCTCTTGACCTCGTGATCCACCCACCTCGGCCTCCCAAAGTGCTGGGATTACAAGTGTGAGCCACTGGGCCCAGCCTGATTTTTTTCAAAGAGCTAACTTTAAGTTTCTATTGACTTTTCTCTGTTGTTTACTGTTTTCTCTTTCACTAGTTTCCACTCTGACCTTTATGTTTTCCCTTATTCTTCTTGCTTTGGGTTTAGTTTATTCTCCTCTTTTTTCTTCTCTGTTTTTTTGGGGTGGAAGTTTATTGATCCAGATCCAGACCTGTTGTCTATTTCTCCTTTTTATTCTGTCAATTTTTGCTTTCTGTATTTTGGGGCTCTGTTGTTAAACATGTATACATTTATAATTGTTATAGCTTCCTGACAAACTGATTCTTTTAGCATAATAAATGTTTATTTTTGTCTCTAATGACATTATATATATACATATAGATAGATATAGATATTGATATTGATATTAATGTAGCCACTCCAACCCTTATGGTTACTGTTTGCATAGTAGATGGTGTTTTTATACCTTTACCCACTTGTGTCTTTGAATCTAAAGTGTTTTTCTTAAAGACTTAAGACCCAGCCTCCACAAAATTAAAAAAATTAGCCAGGTATGGTGGTACACACCTGTAGTTCCAGCTACTCGGGAGGCTGAGGCAGGAGTAACAGGCATTTTGTTTGTTTTTTTAAAATTTTAATTATTATTTTTGAGACAGGGTCTCACTCTGTCACTCAGGCTAGAGTGCAGTGGTGTGATTTAGGCTCACTGCAGCCTCAGCCTCCAGGGCTTGGGTGATTGTCCCTCCTCAGCCTCCCGAGTAGCTGGGACTACAGGTGCATGCCACCATGCCTGGCTAATTTTTTGTATTTTAATTTTTTGCAGAGACGAGGTCTCCCTATGTTGCCCAGGCTGGTCTCAAACTCCTGGACTCAAGCAATCTGCCTGTCTCAGCCTCCCAAAGTGCTGGGATTACAGGCAAGAGCCACCACACCCAGCCTAGATTTTTTCACCTAATCTGACAGTCTATCTTTTGATTGGAGTGTTTAGTCCTTTCAAATTTAATGTAATTATTAATAAGGTTCATTTGTTTTTCCTTTACTGCTTGCTTTTGTGTTTTTTAGAGACAAGGTCTTACCCTATCCTGCAGGCTGGAGAGCAGTGATGCGATTACAGCTCACTGCAGCCTTGAACTCCTGGGCTCAAGAGATCCTCCTGAGTAGCTGGGACTACAGGTGTATGCCACCACGCCTGGCTATTTTTTTTTTTTTAATTTTTCTGGAGACTGGGTCTCACTTTGTTGCTCAGGCTGGTCTCAAACTTCTGGCTTCAAGAATGCTGGGGTTACAGATGTGTGCCACCACACCCAGCCCCAGTGTTGTTTTTAATATATATATATTTACATACATACATGTTAAATTGTGGCTAAGAAAACATAAAACTTACCATCTTAACCATGTTTAAGTGTACAATGCAATAGTGTTAAGTATATTTACATTGTCCTGCAACAGATTTCCAGAAATTCTTACCCCACAAAACTGAAACTTTATACCCATTTAACAATTCCCAGTTTACCCCTCACTCCGACCCCTGGCAACCACCATTCTTTCAGTTTCTATGAATTTGACTACTTTATTTTTTATTTATTTATTTTTTTGAGACAGAGTTTCTGTCACCAGACTGGAGTGCGGTGATGCGATCTCGGCTCACTGCAACCTCCACGTCCCGGGTTCAAGCGATTCTCCTGCCTCAGCTTCCCGAGTAGCTGGGATTACAGGCATGCACCACCATGCTCAGCTAACATTTGTATTTTTAGTAGAGATGGGGTTTCACCATGTTGGCCAGGCTGGTCTCAATCTCTTGACCACAAGTGATCCACCCACCTTGGCCTCCCAAAGTGCTGGGATTACAGGCATGAGCCACTGCACCCAGCAAAATTCGACTACTTTAAATACCTCATATAAGTGGAATCCTACAGTATTTGTCTTTTTGCAACTGGCTTATTCCACTTAACAGAATGTCCTCAAGGTTTATTCCTGTTCTAGCATGTGATTGGATTGCTTTCCTTTTTAAGGCCGTTGTAATATTCCATTGTAAGTATAGACCACATTTTGTTTATCAATTTATTCTTTGATGGACATTTGGGTGGCTTTCACCTCTTGGCTATTGTGAATAATGCTGCTGTGAACATGGGTGTGCAAATATATATTCAAGGCCCTGCTTTCAATTCTTTTGGATATCTGCCCAGAAGTGAGATTGCTTGATCATACGTAGTGCTTTTTTTTTTTTTTTTTTTTTTTTTTTTGAGACAGGGTCTCACTCTGTTGCCCAGGCTAGAGCGTAGTGGCTTGATCATAGCTCACTGCAACTTCAAACTCCTGGGCTTAAGCAGTCCTCCCACCTCAGCCTCCTATTTTTCATTTTCGTTTCGTTTTTGTTTTTTTTTGAGGCAGTCTCGCTGTGTTGCCCAGACTCAAGCAGTCCTCTCACCTCAGCTGCCCAAGTAGCTGGGACTACAGCCACGTGCCATCACCCAGCTAATTTTTTATTTTTTAATTTTTTATACAGATGAGGGTCTCACTGTGTTGCCCAAGCTGGTCTCGAACTCCTGGGCACCTTAGCCTCTCAAAGTGTTGGGATTACAGGTGTGAGCCACCACACCCGGCCCTACTTTTAATTTTTTGAGGAACCATTTTTGCATAGCAGCTACACCATTTTCTATTCCTGCCAACAGTGCACAAGGGTTCTAATTTTTCCACATCGTCTGCAACATGTTATTTTCTGTTTGTTTTTTATAGCAGACGTCCTAATGGGTATGAAGTGTTGTGTCGTTGCGGTTTTAATATACATTTCCCCAACAATTAATGATGCTGAGCATGTTTTTATATGCTTCTTGACCATTCATAAATCATCTTTGAAAAAATGGGTTTAAGCCCTTTGCCTTTTGTTGTTGAGACAGGGTCTTGCTCTGTTGCCCAGGCTAGAGTGCGGTGGTGCGATCTCAGCTCACTGCAACCTCAACCTCCTGAGCCAGTGCTCCTCCTGCCTCAGCCTCTCAAGTAGCTGGAACTAGAGGCATGTGCCACCATGCCTGGCCAATTTTAAAAAAATTTTTTGTAGAGATAGTGTCTCACTGTATTGCCCAGCCTGGTCTCAAACTCCTGGACTCATGTGATCCTCCCACCTCAGCCTCCCAAAGTGCTGGGATTAGAGGTGTGAGCCACTGCTGCCAGCCTTACTATGCATTTTAAAGTTATTTTCAGCTGGGTGCGGTGGCTCATGCCTCTAATCCCAGCACTTTGGGAGGCCGAGGCAGGTGCATCACCTGAGGTCAGGAGTTTGAGAGCAGCCTGGCCAACATGGTGAGACCCTGTCTCTACCAAAAATACAAAAATTAGCCGGGCATGGTGGTGGGCGCCTATAATCCCAGCTACTCAGGAGGCTGAGGCAGGAGAACTGCTTGAACCCGGGACGCGGAGGTTGCAATGAGCCGAGATTGCATCATTGCACTCCAGTCTGGATGACAGAGCAAGACTCCATCTCTAAATAAATAAAGTTACTTTCTTAGTGGTTGTTCTAGAGGTTATATAACACTATACTTGAGATTAATATTACCTTAATACTGGCAACACATAGACTTGGTTTTCATGTTGTTTCATTTTTACCCCCTTCTTTGTGTGACTGTCATACATATTACGGTTCTATATGCTATAAACCCCAAAATACAGTGGTATACTTATTGTTTAATGCAACTTTATGTCTTTTAATGAAGTTAAAGAGAACACAGTTTTTTATATTTACCTAGGTACTGTTTACCTTTTCATTTCTTTGAGTAGATTTGAATTACTATCTGGAATTATTTCTTTTCAGCCTCAACTATTGCTTTTAGTATTTCTTATAAAGCTGGTCTGCTAACAATGAATTCTCTTTTTTTGTGGAGTGTCTTTATTTCACCTGTACTTGTTTTAAGGACAGTGTTGCTGGATATAGGATTCTTGTTTGACAGCATTTTTTTTCTTCTTGTGGCACTCTGACAATACTGCCCCACTGCCTCCTGGGGTCCATTGTTTCTGATTAGAAGGCAGCTGTGATTTATTTTGTTATTCTTCTGTAAGTGATAACTTGTTCTTCTCTAGCTTCCTTTAAGATTTTTCTTTGTCTTTCAACAGTTTGGCCATGAGGTATCTAGGTGTAAGTATCTTTGTTTATCCTACTTGGGGTTTATTGAGCTTCTTGGATCTGCAGATTCATGTTTTCCATCAAATTTGGGAATTTTTCGGCCACTATTTCTTCAGATAGTTTTTCCATTTCTCTCTCTTCTGGCACCCCCAGTACACATATGTTGGTAAACGCACTGTTGCTGCACAGGAGTCTGAGGGTCTATTCATTTTTCACTCTTTTTTCCTCTCTGTTCTTCACATTGGATAATTCTATTACTCTACGATTTCACATGCACTGATTCTTCTGTCTTCCCAAATCTGTGTAGTCCCTCTGGTCAACTTTTCAGAATTTCCTTTTCAAAAACTGGGATAAATATATGATTTACCATTTTAACAGTTTCTAAGTGTATAGTTCAGTGACATTAAGGACATTCACATTGTTGTGCAACCATCACCACCATCCACCTCCAGAACATTTCATCATCCCATACTGAAACTCTGTACTCATTCAACAACAATAACTCCCAGCTGCTACAGTGGCTCATGCCTATAATTCCAGTGCTTTGGGAGGCTGAAGAAGGAAGATCGCTTGAGCCCAGGAGTTCAAGATCAGCTTGGGCAACACAGTGAGGCCCTGTCTCTACAAAAAAAAAAAAAAAAAAAAAATTTTTTTTTAAATTAGCTGGGTATAGTGGCTTGCACCTGTAGTCCCAGCTATTCAGGAGGCTGAGGTGGGAGGACTGCTTGAGCCCAGGAGTTTGAGGCTGTAGTGAGCTATGATCATACCACTGTACTCCAGCCTGGGCAATAGAGCGAGACCCTGTCTCTAAAAACGAAAACAGTAATCCCCAAATTCCTCTCCCCACAACCCCTGGTAATCACTGTTTTATTTTCTGTCTCTGTGAATTTGATAATTTCAGATACCACATATAAGTGGAATCAAACAATATCTGTTTTTGTGTCTGGCTTATTTCACTTAGCATAATGTCTTCACAGTTCATCCATGTTGCAGCATGTTTCAGAATTTTATTCAGAATGTGCTTTTTTATGTTTTGTTTTGAGACAGGGTCTTGCTCTGTCACCCAGGTTGGAGTGCAGTGGCGTGATCATGGTTCACTGCAGCCTCTACCTGCCTGGGCTCAGGTCATCCTTCCACCTCAGCCTCCCAAGTTGCTGGGACGACAAGCGTGTGCCACCACACCTGGCTAGTTTTTTTTTTTTTTTGCATTTTTTGTAGAGATGGAGTTTTGTCATGTTGTCCAGGCTGGTCTTAAACTCTTGGACTCAAGCGAACCGCCCACCCTGGCCTCCCAAATTGCTGGGGATCATAGGTGTGAGCCACCATGCCTGGCCAATTCTTTTTTTTTTTTTTTTTTTTTAAATAAGGGCCCAAGGTTGTCCTACCTGACCCTTTAATTCTGTAAATGTGTGTGTGTGTATGTGTGTTTAAGTTTCTGCCCAGTTGTTTTTATTTGTTTGTTTTTTGAGACAGAATCTCATTCTGTCACCCAGGCTGGAGTGCAGTGGCACGATCTTGGCTCACTGCAACCTCTACCTCCCGGGTTCAAGCGATTCTCCTGCCTTAGCCTCCCAAGCAGCTGGGATTACAGGCGCACACCACCACACCCAGCTAATTTATTTTTAGTAGAGACGGTTTCACCATGTTGGCCAGGCTGGTCTCAAACTCCTGACCTCAAGTGATCCACCCGCCTCAGCCTCCCCAAGTGCAGGAATTGAGCCACCACACCGAGCCTCTGCTCAGTTTTTCTTTTTAAAACTTCTTATTTTTTAAGCCTAGCTTCATAGGGGCCACCCTTGTGCCTAATGGTCAGCCAATGCTTTAGGCAGATGTATCTTGAGCCAGCAAGGCATCTATCTTCTGCTGATAAGTTGGTGTGTGTGTGTGTGTGTATGCACGCGCGCGTGGGGGCTACATATTAAAACATTTCAGCAGTTTTGAAATCTGCCCTGGCTTTTACTTTCTACTGGGCCCTCTGGCATTTCCTCTTCATGTGCCCACAGGTTCTATCAGCTAGGGCTGTGTGACTAGCTTGGGCCTTCTCTGATCTCTCCTGTGTGGATGTGCGGGGAGCTTATCAAGCCCCTGGTGGCTGTATCATTTCCTGCTTCTGTTAAAGCTCTAGCTAGGCTGCTGGTCTATTGCTTGAGCCAAGCTGAGCCACTGGTCTTCCCTGGATGTTTGCTGCTGAGTTACTGCTGTTACTGACAATGCCAGTGGGCATGGAGTATTTTTATCCAGACTTCAGCATTACCCATGATCCCAGATGAAAATCTGCCTAGAGCTGGAAGGGATCTTAGGGATCTTCTCGTTCCACACTCTACTTTCACATCCCAGGGAAGGCAGGACTCCAGAACACCCTTGAGCTGCTCAAGGCCTGCCCTAAGTGAGGGCAGCCAGGCTTAGAGATCGGCCTTCAGGCTCAGCTGCACAGCCCCTCAGTGGCACTTCCGCTTAGTGTCCATGTCACCCAACACGTAGAGACAATCCCTAGACCCTGCCCTCGCCAGGGGACGGTTCTCCACCAATACCCTATGAGGAAGGTGCCCCTGAGTGATGACAGGCGCCCAGTCTTGGGAGCAAAAGAGACAGGGCATGGAGAAACCTGACCTGCATTGAGGGTTTGCGGCTCATGCCCTGCACTTGATTCACATCAACTAATTTAATGTCATTTTTCAAAATGCCCCATTGAGGTCCACATTTCACAGATGAGGAGGCAGGAACTTGCTCAAGGACAAGAGTGAGGGGCTGGATACTGGAAATCAGCTCAGGCTTATTCTAAAGTCCCTGTTCTTGTAAGTGACTATGAAAGGAGCTATTTGCATGGACAGGAATGCTCTGTGAGCTTTTTCCTGCTGCAGAGCCTGGACTTGTACAGTGGGTTCTGCCTCTTCCCACCCCCAGCCCTCCCTGATTACTCTAGAAGGCCAGTCATGACACAGAATGTTGGCAATCAGACTCAGCGCCATCTGAGCTATTCTGTCCTGTCTCCGTGCGGTTCCTAGTGGGCTGAGCCCACTGTGTGGCTCCAAGTCTCAGGCTCCGTTATCATTCTGCCCTCCACCAACCACAGGAAACCCCATGCTTTGGAAGATGTTGCTTATTACCAAGATACTGCATTTCTAAAGATGTCCTACCCCCATCACTTATTATCAACACCCATTAGAGCCACTGGCCAGCAGGAGGTGACCAGGACTGCACTTCCTGGGTAAAACTCCAGTCAACACAAAGACAACGGCATGGAAAGACTGCTGCCTGAGGCACAGCAGGATTCCTAGAGCACTGGAAATAGCCGATTGTTCCCCACTCCTGTGGGTGGCCCGGGCATACTATCCTGGGTGCCCCTCCAGCTTGGGGACTGCACACGATTAAGCTGAGCTTGGACCCAGTTTTCTTGGCACTCAAGACTGTGCTCTTTTCATTCAATTGGCTGCTTTCGAAAGCTTTATACACAGCTTTCACGTGCCCATAAACCACCAAAGGACAAACCCTTGCTCCTTGGCCTGGCATTTAAGGATCTTTATATCTGATGCCGGCTTGTTTTTGGGGAGTTCATTGTCTATTACTCCCCCAAGTGACTGCTCTACTCCCCTTCAACCTTCCCAGTGCCCCCCAAATAACTTTGTAAATCCCAGTGCCCCGGCCTGGAATGCCCTGGCTTCCACCCTGCCGCAGCTGGTAGCCTCTCTCTGCCAATAAGCTTCATTTGTCCATACCACTCCCTCTGGCCCATGGTGCTTTCTGCCTCACCATGTGGAACAGGGCAGGCCCAGGTGTTACCCTTCTTGTGCCCAGGGCCTGAGGAGCCAGTGGTTTGAAGGAAGGTTTGCCTTTCAGCTCAGTGCCTCCCTACAGGCCTTTCCCTGCTGCCCTGCACCGAGCCCTGTTTACTAGGGGTGAACAGCCCTCCCTATGGTCCTTAGGCATTTGCGTTCATCGCTGTGTTATTGTTCAGCCGGGGAAAGAGAGGTGGGCCTAGATCTGGATCCTAGAACCCTCACTGTGCAGTCTTTTCCTTACTACCCCAAAGTAAGACCAATGGGGATTTATTATTTCCTTTTGTTGAAAAGAGGAGTGAAGGAAGTGTGGCGCCCCAGCAGAAGAAACTGTATCGGGCAAGCTCCCAGAGGCAGCAGCGGAATCCTGCCTCAGAACCACCAACAGGTGCTGGCTGAGTGCTTACACCTGTGGCCTGTCTTCAGCTGCCTGCTTAGGGAGGAGGGAAGAAGGAAGAAGAGGCCCAGGCCGCCACGCAGACCGGGCTTCCTTGCCTGTGAAGAGCAGCAGTGGGAGGCAAACAGTAGCAATCTTCCCCCTGGATCCTTTATCCTGTATCTCCCTTCTGACTCCCCTTTCTGGAACATCTGGCTCAGGGTGAATCAAATTGATATTTTCTTAACACTCTATTTCATTTTAGAAAAAGCAACCCTTTGCTTTGCAATATATCCCAAAGAGAGAGACAGATACAACATTGAGTTTAATAATCAGCAAAGGGCAGGGATTTGCCTCCTGTGACCTGTATCTTTGCAGACATTCAGGAATTGGTGCTTATTCCTGCCTTAATTATAGGGATTCATAGAAAGCTTTTTTTTTTTTTTTTTTTTGAGACGGAGTCTTGCTCTGTCACCAGGCTAGAGTGCAGTGGTGCAATCTCAGCTCACTGCAACCTCCGCCTCCCAGGTTCAAGCAATTCTCCTGCCTCAGCCTCCTGAGTAGCTGGGACTACAGGTGTGTGCCACTGCTCCCACCTAATTTTTTATATATTTTTAGGGGGTTTCACCGTGTTAGCCAGGATGGTCTCAATCTCCTGATCTCATGATACACCCACCTCAGCCTCCCAAAGTGCTAGGATTATAGGGGTGAGTTACCATGCCCAGCCCATAGAAAGTTTTTTTAGAGAGAGAAACTGAGGCAGAGGGTTGACGGCATGGAATCATGAGCTTCCTGCCCCGAGTGCCTTTTTGTGCCCAGAGTTAAAAATCCATGAATAGCTAAAGAAAGAAAATCTAAAACCTTCCTCTCAAATCTCTAACAAGGGCCATGCGGCCCCAGTGTTTACACTGAGTTATCAGAGCACTCTCAACTTCCTGTATGCTGAGAAGGGACTTCTGAGGAGGACAGTGGGCTCTGGGCTTCCAAGGCCTGGAGCTGTTATCCTCACTAAACAGCTGTGGTCTTTCTTGTCCCTGCTCTAAAGACATTCTCTTTTGGAGGGGACATTCCTGCCAGGACTCCCATCCAGCTCTCAGCAGGAAGAAGTTTCCCATCCTGAAAAACTCAACAGAAACTAAAAAACTGACCCTCTGCTACGGGGTTCCCGAGCATTTGTAGCCTTTCAGAGTTTGACCTTGATTCAGCGGATAAGACAGGGCTGGCCAAGGCCAGCTTTTTACTGCCTACCCATCATCTTTATGCAAGTTCAGGAGACAAAGGGCTTTAGGTGTTACAGGGCCATGGAGGGGCTTGCCCCACACTGAGCCCCTGCTGAAAGCAGAACAAGAAATGAGGTGGCTGGGCATGGATTGAAATGACAAACTGTAACTCTTCTACAAATGTAGAGGTTTATTTCAACAAAATGTGTAAAGAGTGCATCTGAAGCTCCTGCTCATCACAGTATGTGTCCATCAAATTCTGAGACAAGTGAAGGCTGTTTTGTGAACGAAGAGAACAGATAATATGGCGGTCTCCGTCCAAGCAGGTCTTGGTCAATATCCATCATTTATACTCCTCCTGCCTTAGTAGCCTTGCATGTTTGAGGGGCTGTGGGAATGTCAGATTGCTCATGTTCTGTGCCTCCAACTTGAAAAAATCCTTGTCCAGGGTAAGACCTACAGTAAGGAGCTCTGGGGATGGGGGAGGAGGCATTACAGGGTTCTAGAGAGGAAACATACTCGTTTGTGTCATAATTTGGTGGGGAGAGGGGAGGTAAATGAGTGTAACCCACCCTGCCTCTGAAGACATGCCTGGACAGGCCTCCTGGGGGGTGCAGGACTTCATACCACTTGTAGATATGTGGGATTTGATTTATTGCAAAAAAGCATAGAAGAATAATCTGGTCAAAAATGAATCCAATTCTTACTAGGTAAGCAAATAGCCAGCAATGGTCAATGCATTTTCCTGGACTGAGAATTGTCCCCCACCACTTTATGCCCTTTTCTGAAGGTGCTGAACACCTGTACCTTCCACCAGGGCAGCCGGGCTGAGGCTCTGACTCCTGGGGGCTGTCCGCTCCATACCCAGCCATACAGTGCCCACCTGCAACCCAGAACCATTGAAAAGTCCAGCCAATCTATCCGCACAGATTCCTCCTGAAGAAGGGGAGGTGGAGCTCGTTCTTGTGTGCAAACTACAGGGTTAAGGCTCAGAACTGTGGCTTGTCCAAGAACGTTCATACCACTGCTTCTCAAATGTCTTAGTGATTTCCTCCTTGGTCATCAGTGACAAATGCAGTTAGCTGCACTAAAGGAACCGGATGCTACACCAGCCCTGATCACCTGCCACTCTTGCTTTAGGAACAGAGGAATCAGTAAGTTCTTTTCTTGAATAAACTAGTTGTTGAAAGTAAACTCTCTCCACCACCTGAGGAAGCCCCTGATGCCAGTCAGGAGGGGCCAGTAAGCCTGGAGGACAGCAGCACCATGACTGAGTTGTAAATAATCTTAAGGTCATGTGGATTCTGTGTTTCCTGGAAGCCTCCCTCATCAGGAAGGCCAGCTCCTGGTGCTGAGGGTGTAGCTGTCACCAGGGTCCTTTCAGAGCTGTGGGGAGACCTGCTGCCTGTCTACACTCTGGGGAAGAGAGTAGAACCGTTAGCTGCTAGGACAGTAATCCTGGAACTAGGGAAGAGTGAGTGTGGAGGCACCATTAACCTCTCAAAACCATCCAAGCTCCAGGCTTCATAGGAACAACTTTCCAAGTCCTCAAAACAAACAGACTATCTATCTATCTCACTGGCTCTCCACATGGCATAAATAACTAGTTTCCACCAGTGCAGAAAGGGCAGTTCTCTTCTGGCTCCTCCTCTGCCAACTCAGGCTTCACCACCTGTGGAACTGCTGGGGCCCCTCAAGCACTGGCCTTGCAGCTCCCAGCCACATGCGACAGCTAGTCCAGCAGTGACGTGCAGGCGAGAGGCAGGCCAACAACTACCTTTCCCTTTGTCCTCAGAGACTGAACCCAAGGTTGAGGTCCCCTAAATCAAGAATAACTGGTTCTATTTTCTTTCTCTGCTTCTTGGCTCACAGTTTTGCCCTCATCTTTGAGTTCCTATGGAGCTTGTAGTAGATTTTATGCTCTAATTTTTCTTCATAAAAGGTACCGTAGTGTGGTTAAACTGGGAATCATTCCTCTCCAGTGCCTACTGTGTGCTGGGCTAAGAGTCGGGGTAATAAACAATGGACTTGAGGCTTCCTCCTCTCCTTAGCCCTCCTCTGCTGCCTGTGGCTGCGGCTCATGGGGCCAGGAGTGAGGGGGGCTGCTCACTGCTGGGCAACTCCTCACGCTTCCCCATGCTGGGAGGCCAAGGGGCTGTCAGGACAGGAGGGGCAGCCCTACTTTGGTTAGTAAGACCTCATGGTACATGTTTGTACCTTTCATTGCCTTCTCAGTCCTGTGCAGGGAGTGGAGGACTAGGCCTGGCCAGGGTAATAAATACTGAATGGGGTAGGTGTGACTGGTGGGCTGGAGGGGGATTCTGTGATCTTACATCCCAGGATGTCATGCATAACCTGAAACGAGAGGAAGTAAAATGCCATTTGACTCCAGTGCTGGGTCTCCTGTGCCTTCTCATTACAGTGGTTACAGTTGTAAAAGGCAGCTCTAGCCCTTTTCTCCAGAGACAGGGCAGGGACAGGCAGGAAGCTCTTCCTACGTGGAAGGGGAATCCATTGTGGAGAGGATCCGTATGACTTCTGCTCGCTGAGTGGGTGATATGTGCTGCGTCATATGGATGATGGAATCCATGGCAACCTCTGGATTGGCCTGGACCAAGCTGGAAAGGAAGATTGAGAATGGTGAAGAAAAGAGAAGCAGAAGTGTCTAGATGAGGACAGCTAAAGAACTGCCCAATAAACATGTGTGCACCGTCCACTGCAGACATTTTAGTCACGCCTCACCTTATTTGTTTCCCTATATTACAAATATCCAGCCAAGGTAGTGCAAGACAAACCCAAAACATTTTGCTATGTTGAAAAAGGAATTAAACCCAAAACAAAACCCAAAAAAAACCCAAAACATGCCAATGGGGGCATGTCACAAAGACAGCAATTGGGGCATCAAAAGCAGCCCAGCAATGAATTATAAATCAGTAAAAAATAGAACTTCATGAGTCTGTACCAATAATGTATATATAAAAGAATCGGCAGGAGTGAGGACTGAGTGGTGACTGGTAATTGTGGAGGGTGTGCTGGAGTTGGAAAGTTATCATTTTGCAAGCTCATCGTAAAGACTGCACCAGAGGGAAATTTTGATGAAAGCAAGATACTTGCATGGCCTTAAAATGTCTTCCTGCAGACTACTTATTAGGTGCAAGGGGGGAAAATCAGTAATTATACGGTAGAGAAATGGAGCAACATCTTGACCAGCGGATGAAATTAACACGAGGAGGAGCAGATAAACAGCATGTGCCCCCAGATGTGGTGCCCTGTGAAGGTTCTGGCCAGAGTGCCTCACCTGCATCTCATCATGGGGAGACATCAGACAAACTCAAAATGAGCAATGTTCTACAGATGGTAGATATCAGATAAAAGTTTTTAATCAATGTTAAATTTACAAAAGTGGATCATTTTATGATGGTTATGTAAAAGTATCCCTATTCTCAGCAAATGCACACTGAAATATTTGGGGGTAAAGGCCATGATATATGTAACACCCTTAAGTAGTTCAGAAAGAGGAAAAATGTATACACATATGGGAGGGCAGGCACACTCATAAGTGATATAGCAACGGGGAGAAAATGTAACAGGTAAATCTGAGTACAGATATTATATATAGGGGTGTTCTTTGTACTGTTTTTAATTTTATAACTTTTCTGTAAGTGAAATGTTTCCAAATAAACTTTTACAAAAATGCCCCTGCAGTCTCTACCACCGATCCTATGGAGCAGACTGAAGCCTCTAGAAGAATACAGCTAACTCTTGGCTTCAGGAGGTGAGGAGGTGGTTTCCCAGGAAACCACCACACACACAATCAGCTTTCCTCCCAGAGTTGTTCATCCGGTTTGAGTATCAGCATTCAGAGCTAAGAGGTGGGCACAGTGAATTAAGCCTTCATCTAGCTGAGATTACTAAGTGCCCCTGGGGAGCAGTAGCTGAAAAAGAATTGGGCTTCAGGCCATATCTGTACCTGTGGGTCAACTACAGCTGTCTCAAACAGCAAGAGACTGCAGAGATCATAAGATTTCTGCGATCATCTCATGATTTGTTTGGAAACTTTTTATTCCAAAGAAATTAGCCCTCCTTCTCTAGTGGAGTTCCCCACGTTGGTCTCACCTGCGGATTTGCTTGAGGACGTAGTCTCTGCTGATGCATTTGATGTTTTCCTCTATTACCGAGTGAACACCATCCTCCTCTGTCAGCTGTTTCTCTAGCCACTCCGCCAGATCCTTATTATTGTCCCAAACATAAGCCTGCAAACAGATGACTCTTGGTCAAACACCAGGGGTCAGGCCAGGCCGGGACACCCTGACTATTCAGGATCTGGAGTGCTTGCTTACTCCAAAAGTGTGCTCCGTGTCCACGATTCTCCTTCACTGTCAGCATCGTGCAGGAGGAGGAAGTAGGCCTCGAGGCAGGAGCTGTGCCCCTTCTCCTTCTCTTCCTTTATGGACACAGGTGTACACCTGAAGTCTCCATGGGGCTCTCCCGAGCACTCTGGTGCTCATACCCTGACTCTGTCCTGTCAGACTCTAGGGACCCACCTATTTGACAAAGGCTAAGAGAATTCAATAACCTGACAGGTTTGAGAGAACCAGTTAAAAGCCCAAATTACTTAGTAAAATTGTGATTGAGAAGGCAAGGCTGTTTATTTGGTGTTTTGCTCTCAGAGGAGCTGAGACACAATGCCTAAAGTATAAGTCTCTAGCCTCAGTGAGGCCTGGCAGTCACTGGATGGATGAAGTCTCCTGAAATAGAGCCCACTGTCTTTTGATGAGGCACGGACGGGGAACTGATGGGAGGGAAGTCTTGTTGCCAGGGTACAGCCACCAGGTCAGAAACCTAAGCCCCATTTTATTACCTATGAGAGTATTCGAAAGGATCAAGACGTCCATAACCCTGAAAGTCTCAACAAACCACCTCTCACCTCCTTTTCAAGATCATTTAGCTGAGTATTTCCTAGGTGGTTGACTACATAATAATTCAGGAGTGTGTTAGAAGCCTAATAGCCTTCTCCTTGCTCTCTTCTCCTCTCATTTTCTTTACAAATCATTTAGGAATCGTTTTGTTAATGGTTTCCGGAAAACCAAGTACCACAATTAGGGCTCATTCATATTTATGTCATTTTGTTTGGGTAATTAAACACAAAGCTTGTCATTTAAAGGTGCGCTATCCTTCTCTGTTATCACTAACGAAGTCAAAGTCAGAATGACAATGAGTTTGGTGCTATAATTTAATAGGTGGGTGTGTTTGTTAGGGACTCTGAGGCTTTGAGGTTTGAGACGTGGCTACAGGAAGCCTGTATGCAAGCAAGGTCACCAAAGCCACAGCTGTGACTACTGGGCTGCAGAGGAAATGTCTTCATCACAAGAGGCCTCAAGCAGTACAAAACTGAGCACTAGGCTATTTTCTAACTATCTCGTGCCTTCAAATATAATGGTTTCTTTTCAGACTGTCACTTCCTGTCTCTAACTTAGCTGCCGACTTAGTTGTGACTGGTTATTTAATGTATGTCATTTCATCGACGTCTCTGTTTCTAAAAATTAACTCCTTTACATTGGAAAGATGAAGGCTTCCGGGGACTAAGGATCAGCAGTATGTCTCTTTTAGTTCTTTGTCCATTTCTTTTTCTGACTCAAATGTGCCCAGTTCTGTATCTAATCACTGATAAGCAGATCAGCAATTCTTCAGCTGGGGTGTGTGGCCCCGTCAGTGCAAACCTGAGTGACCCTCTCCTCTCTGTGCCTGGGTTAGGACTCCCAGCATCTCTCAAGGCCAAACTGCCTTGAGAAAGTGTTTTGCGCCTAAGGAAAGGAAGTGTCACATCAGCCCCTATCCACGAGGGAGAAGGTAGCACTGCTTTTCCCATAACATGGTTTTAACTCACTCTTGTGACCCAGCTTGCTGCACGCCCCACATATGGATGGGTCCCCCTGGACTCCTAAACGTCGCCACCTAAATTTCAACATTTCCATTTCCATCATTGGCAATTTACTCTTCTGCTCCGTGGTTTCAGGACTTCTACACATACCCCTACTTATGAAGATTGGGGTGGAGGGGAGGAAAAATAAAACAATAAATGCTTCTTGGATTTCAGAATGGAAAAAAAAAAAACCCCAAGATTTTTAGATTTACCCAAGAATCCCAAAGCCTTTAGTTTAGGAGAATATTTAATACTCTTATTAATCATTTTTAATCCGTTTGCTTTTAATTAAGAAACAGCATGATGCTTTCCTATCAACATATGCCAGGGAGCAGATTAATTGTGGCTTAAGATAACTCTCCTTGATTGGTGTAATGTATTAGCTAACGAGATGCCTGCTTCCAACAATGCTCAGACACTACACTGGAAAGCCAGCTACCCTCTAGAGAAAACTCTTCTGCCTTCCCCTCCTGCAGCCACAGAGTATGCTAGGTGTTTAAACATTTTGAAAAGTTCCCAGACAGGATTAGGGCAACGCATTCCAAGTTTTACAGTTGCTTGAAAATATGGGTCCTATAAAAAGATCTGCTGTTTACGCAAAGTACAACTGGATGACAATGACCGCCAAACCCCAGTGGATTACAGCCTAGAGTACATGAAGGAAAGGGGTCTCAAGTTCTAATCAACTGCATGTTTAGCAAAAATAAACAAACTTATGTAAGCATAGTGCCACTGGTTTTTCTCAACAGACCTGGGAGAGTTACCATACTGTTGTGGGATAATTTGCTCCACCTGGGAAAAGCAAGCTCCCTTCCACTGGGTTATGGAGTTTACAGGTTTTTTTTTCTTCCCCCAGACAGGGTCTCCTCCTGTTGCCCAGGCTGGAGTACAGTGGCATGATCACAGCTCATTGCAGCCCGAAACTCCTGGGCTCACGTGATTCTCCTGCATCGGCATCCTGAATAGCTAGGATTACAGGCATGCCCCACCATGCCTGGCAAAACTTTTTTTGGTAGAAACAGGGTCTCGTTATGTTGCCCAGGCTGGTCTTGAACTCCTGGGCTCAAGCAGTTCCCCTGCCTTGGCCTCCCAAAGTGCTGGGATTATAGGCGTGTGCCACTGTGCCCAGCCAGAGCCTACAGTTTCTTGTTTGCTCCCTTAGAACAGTTGTAAGACTCAATTCCAGTCATCCAGAAGGATAGGCCAACCTTATTCCCAGGAAGAAGCCATTATTATTTCCCTCCTTAAAATTATGAAAATGGGCCTGGCACAGTGGCTCACGCCTGTTATCCCAGCAATTTGGGAGGCTGAGGCAGGGAATTGCTGGAGTCCAGGAGTTTCAGACCAGCCTGGGCAACATGGCAAAACCCCACCTCTACAAAAAAATCAGCCAGGTGGGGTAGTGTATGCCTATAGTCCCAGCTACTTGGGAGGCTGAGGTGGGAGGGGAGGATCACATGAGCCCAGGAGGTTGAGGCTGAAAGTGAGTCATCATACCTACTCCAGCAGCCTGGGCAATAGAGTGAGACAAAAAAAAAAAAAAAGAAAATGTGGCCAGTCATTCCTAGTATTCCAGCGTGGACTTTAAACAGGTGTGATATGCTAGGCTGCTAACATCATGACAGGCCTGGGCCCGTATGCCACCTGTCAGCATATCCATCTGTATCAGAACATTTTATCAATAAAATATCAATAATTCTACATCACAACAGTGGCCTGTCCTAAAATGAATGTTCAACAGACACTTTCTGTCTGCATCAGTGGATAAGTATCTCAGGCACTAGTCAGCCTCACTAATTTTATGTAGTAATTAGTCTATCTCACAACATCTAAATGACCTGTTTGGAAAGTTTCATTTCTAACATACTGGATAGCTGTTAAGTCCTCCTTAGACAATGGTTCAGCAGGGCCAAGGAGTGACCAGGGCACAACCTGATGGATGTGAGCCCTGATTACTATACCCTACTAATAACTCACCTTGGGAGCTGCTGGGAGACACCTCCAGCTAGGGAGGCTCCTCCCATTTCTGACCTTCTAGACTTCTGGGAAACACACAGCCTGATGGGTGTAGGGATGGCATACAAATCCTAAGGTACACTCATATTTTGGAAAGACATTTTCAATACACCTACACTTACAAGGCTAAGCCCTATCCAACAGAAGCCCAAGAAAGGATGTGATTTTTTTTTCCAAGGGCTTTAGAGTACAATAGCCAAAGGACATGTGGGCTAGGGTGGCCATCAGACCCCTGTGAACCAAGCTCCTGTGAGCCAATCCCATCTCAGCTCCAGGCCCATAGCAGGGCCAAGCAACACTTTCCAGGTTCTACCTTACCTCCTCCCTGCCTGGCCCTGTGTGAGAAGTTTGGTGTATGAGACTTATTCATCAGTAGCCTGAGGCCAGGTTTTGAGGTCAGTGGAAATAAGTGACCCTGTCAATAGTGCTTTTTCCTATGGTCCTCACAGGGGCCTCTGTTGAGCATTCATTTCACTTGGAAATCCAGAATAAGAGCGAGTGGGTAGCTGTGTGAACAATAAGAATGCACCATGGCATCGGGTTGTGGGAACATGAGAGCATGCCAAACCAAAGAGCGTCTGAGCACCCACTGTGCTCAGGAGTCAGCCCCCTTTCCGCCGAGGTCAATCAGCTGTACATTTTTGACTTGGTCTATGTTGCTATTATTTTTTTACCTTCTAACATGGAGCAGGGGAAACTAGCATATTTTGAATGTCTACTGAGCCAGACATTGTGTTCCATACTTTTTCTTTTTGGAGACAGGGTCTCACTCTGTTGCCCAGGCTGGGGTGCAGTGGCGCCATCATAGCTCACTATAACCTCAAATTCCTTGGCCCAAGCGATGCTCCTGCCTCAGCCCCCTGAGGAGCTAGGACTACATGTGTGTGCCACGACACCGAGCAAATTTTAAAATTTTTTGTGAAGACAGGGTCTTGCTTTGTTATCCAGGCTGGTCTCAAACTCCTGGCCTCAAGCGATCCTCCCACTTCAGCTTCCCAAAGCACTGGGATTACAGGCGTGAGCCACCACATCTGACTTATGCTCCATACTTTACTCATGTTATTTAAAACTCACTGAACCCCATGACATAAACACCACCCCCATTTTACAGATGAGGGAATGGAGGCTTAAATAATATGCCCATGCCAGTAAATGACAAAGCTGGGATCCCGAAGTTTATGAGATTTCAAAACCCACATTCTCATTGTTCCATGCAGAGTCCTAATTTCAATTTCTACTATTGGGGTCTGGGAAAAAATAAATCAGCCTGTTTGAAAAACCAGGCTTCAAATTTTGGATCTAAGAATCAAGTGAGAAACCATGCCCAGGATACAAATGTGTGCCATGTTCTTATGACCCAATTTAAACTACTGTTCTTGTTATTTTCGTTAAGGAGCTGTAGTGATGCTTTGCTTCTGCCTGCAGTGAAACTATGAACCATAAATCCTACTATTTCCTACAGTAGGATCGTCCCAGTGGATTCAAACAGACTCCCATAACTCATGGTAACAGATATCTCTAAGGGAAACAAAAGAATTATAGTGCTCAGTTATATAATATCACCGTGTCTTCAATTTTCTGTCCCAGAATTTCTGTTTTCAGGATTAAGATTAAGAAAACAAATTCTCTGGGAACAAAAAGAACACAAGGCATAGCTAATAGATGCCTATCTCGAAATGTCTTTTCTTACCAGTAACCAACCACAATAAGGATTAGAGGGTCACTTCCTGGTGCAAAGCCAGGGTCTAGACTCAGCCAGTCTTTGCACTTGAGAAACACAACACACAGTATCTATCATTCTTTGAAGAACCACCCCCCCCCCCCCACACCAAACAGCAAGCAGATTGTACATCACTCCTTCTGAGGCACACAGATGGCTTTTGAACACTGCAACCCTTTCTTCTCTCAAGGGCACTGCAGATTTTATCACCCACCTCACACTAAACTAGGTCCTGCTGAGCCTGCCGAATATGGAAGGAGGTTTCAAAGCCACATGCCCTGACATCATAGGATTACCCGTCCTCACGTTCAGTCCTTGGCATTCCTCTCAGAGAACTCAGGAGAATGCTGCCTTTTGTAGATGGGCACAAGGGAAATGGCCTCAGTGCTCAGCATGGCTGCCCCCAGTGCCTAGGCAGCCTCCTACTGAGCTACGGGGTGGGGGTTCTCTTCTGTGCTTCAATTCCAGCCAGGAGCTTGTACACACGTGGTCAACTGTTCTCTCCATTGATAAGAGACGGCAGTGACCTATTTCTTCAGACGCTCTGTCCGCTTGGGAGCAGGATGCTAGGGAAAAGCTGAAGGGCCTATCTACTTGCTTCATGCCTGGGGGGAAACTTCCTTCTCATCCTTGTGCCTACTGAGGCTGGACACGTCCATTAGTGACTAATGTGGTAGGGAGGCAGTGCAGGCCTCTCCTGGCCACACACATACACACACACTCCATTTACCTAGCCGGCCACTCTTAACTGGAGGACAAACTCTTATTTTACACTTGCGTGACTTTCAATGCCAACTTCCACTAGAAGCTGCCAGTAGCCACTGACAAAATTGTCTCACTCAATTATGATGCCACAGACTGACCTTAACCTGAACCAAATGTCGGAGAAGGCTGTGCTCCCCAACTGCACATTTGAAATATTTATCCAAAGAAGCTTTTCAGTCATAAAAAAAATGGGCAGACTTAATACAAAGGTGAATCCTAGAAGCACCCCAATTCACTGGCTTTAAAACTGACAGCAAATCTGGGAGCTCCTCCTTGAGAACGATTAGCAGAGGCTTCAGGCAACACTTTCTAGGCAGAGGCCAGAGTGCCCCTCTTTGTGGGCCAGGACCCTTCAAGCCACCACCAGCCACCCAGCCCTCCATCAATACTCTAACCTGGTAGTCACCAAATGTTTGTGATCACATAGCAATGAGAAAGACAGACAAATATATTTTGAGCACATACTACCAATATTCTGATAAAATGCATTTTTGATGTAAATGATTAATCCATATATTAATTACTAATAAAGGTTAATTTCTTTTTGTTAGTAAAAATAAACAGAAATAAAAGTTCCAGCTTTTTCTTCCCATCCATGGAGTGACTTATGCAGCCCACTATTCCAGGAGCAAATGCTGGTGCCCTTGCTAGGTCATCCTGGCTTGAGACCCGCCCCATCCCCAACACTGAGGCTAGAGCACCAAGGACACCATCTCAGTGGGGTTACTGCTCTAGGTCACGAGCCCTCTCTGTGAGATCACCCCAAGAAAATGCCAGCTTCATAGGTCCCTTTCCCTGCATAAGGGTGGATACTTCCTTCCATCTCTGATTGGAAGTAGGCAGCTCTTTAGTTGTAGTCATGGCATCTCCTGCCGATCACAACCTGTTAGGCTTCTGCTCTTAGCCCCTCCAATTCCCTCCTCCACACAGCCCCCTTAGTGGTCTTTCTAAAATAGAAATCAGAGCATGTCACTCCACTGCTTAAAATACCTGAGTGGTTTCCGACAGGCCTCAGGACAAAGTCCAAACTCCTTGACAGCTTACATGGCCCTGTGTGATCATGCCCCTGCCCCTTCTTCCTACCAGGCACCCAGTCTCTGAGCTGCCCTGAAACAGTTGCAGGATGTTCCTTTGATGCATGTTACTCTTACTCTCATGGCTTAGGATGATGCTGTTCCTTCTGCAGGAACATTCCTCCTAAGCCCTGACTGCCCCCAAATCCAGCCTTTTCTTCTGGTTCATTTCTGCTTTGTTTTCCAGCCTCTCCTGAGACATCACTTACTGCACAAGGCTTCTTAGACTCTCCTCCATCCTTCCCAGAGAGGGTCAGGTATCTTCTCGCTGTGCTCTGTGCCCTTTGCTGTGTTTAACATGGGCCTCACTATTGTGCATAACCTCTTTATTTGTCTCCCCCTCTAGATGGTGAGCTCTATGTGGATAGGAACAACATTTGCCTCTTTCACTGCCATGCCCCCAGAAGCAAATGCAGTGTCTAGTACCCAGTAAGTGTTCAAAAAGGTCTGCTGAATGATTGCATAAGCTGCAACATATGCCCTACCACCTCTTCTAACAAGATGTCGTGACATGACATGTTAGGGGGAGTAGCTGGGGGAGGAAACAGCTTGGATCTCTATGTTTCCCTTCTACTCCTGCCCTTAGAGGCCTGTGGACTCTTTGCTGGCGAGACTTGCAGCCCTCAGGTGGTGTGAGGAACTCAGCAAAAAGGCTTCTCTTTGAGTGTCCCACCTACCTTCACTGTTCCTTCCACTTCCACAAACCAGCGCCTTAACATGGCTTGAATCTGGCCATCAGTCAGCTCAGGGTTGGCATTGTGGATTTTCTTCTTGACCAGGTCCTCCAGCAGAAGACGCCTCAGCCGCCAGTAGAAGAAGGTACGGGATGTTTTCCAATCCAGGATATCCTACATGCAGAGAAGAATAAACTTAGCCCAGTCCTAATTCCTGCTTAATGCTCAGTCTGGAGGGAAACCCACAGGCATAAAAACTGATTCTCCAGGCAAGCCCTTCACAGACCCAAGAGCTGGCTGTAAACTCCTAGCACTTCCAGATGTCCCCCAGGGCAGAAATGCAGCCCACATGCCCTGCTGTCTGCAGCACTGTGCACAGCCATGGGCCTGGCTAATGCTGATCCCACACATGGCTGAGATGTTCTGGGGAAGAGGCTGTGAGTTCCCAGATAACCAGACAAGGATAAATTCGTTTTGAGAAGATGGATCAAACAACTTGCAGATCAATTATTAATTAGCTGCTGCGGGAGCCTTGACCCTATAGTAACCCACATCCTGAGGACCCGTCACCAATGAAGTCACATGTGACTCAGTTTCCCACCAGTAAAATGCAGCTTGCCTCCTGAGGAATTAATGGAAACCTAAATTATACATTGTTTTAAGATGATAACAGTTACAGAAACAGTGAAAATCTAAAAAATATTGAAAATGTTTTGATCTGCAGAAGTTGTTTTAATTTGGCCCTCATAGCTCCCTGCTTATGAGCCTGTGTGCAACACACACACACACTTGCCCACATGTGGGCCTCTGACAAGAAGTGGCAACCATTGTACTTACGCTAATAACACCCTTCTCCTGCATCCGGCCTGGTGTGTCGTGCAAGTCAGCAAACTGCACGGCTACCTGATGGTAAATGGGAATTAGGAATTCCTCCCGCTCCTTCAACTTGTTCTCCAACTCCTTCCGCTCAGCTGTGCTTAGCTCTGGGGTCCCTGCAATTAGATAAACATGCCCGTCACACTCTGTAATGACCAGGAATCTCTCTGCACAAAAGCAGCCACAATCACGGGAAGCTCAACATCAGCCTGCCCCCTCTTCCCTCTGTGGCCTGGCTCTCCGTTGTCTTCTCTGCTCTTTGCTGATTAACAGGGCCCTACAAGATGCCACACCAGTCTTTACCTTGCCACAAGAAGCCCACATGCCCTCTTTTCCCTGTGGCAGTCACAAGTGTGAAGGCAGATGGCAGCCCCTCTCCCATGCCTCTCCCTGAGAAGGTGCAAGTAGCGACCTAGAGGCCTGCTGCATATTGCTGACACCACCCAGGCTCCTCCTTCCCCTGAGGCCAGTACTTGTACACTGACACCATGCCCATCCCTGCTGACCAGCATCAAAGCAGCTGGGCTATTCCACACGTGGGATGTGGTGAGAGCACCCCTAAACTCCGAGCACAAACTAGTAGCTCCTGTTTCCGTGTACATGCGAGTTATCTGCCAAACTTGGCAAGGACCTGAATAACTCCTAAAGTTACAAGCCATAGTACTTCATGGCTTCTAATCTCAGGTTTATATACTCTTAACCTCTAATTAGTAGAACTCAATCTAATTAGAGCTAGATCCTCACATCTTGTGTCAGCTCAGTGGGTTAGCCTGTGCTCTCCCGCCTGGGCTGCTACTGCCAGAGCCAGTCCCTGACCAGACAAAGACATTCTACTTCTTAGGCTAAAGGAGAAGGAGGATGTAAAAAGAGAAAGGCAGTTGGCAAACCTCATTTGGATCACTGCGCACGGTACCCTGACTCAACAGACAGGAGACTTTGGAACCCCTTATACCAAGGAGGGACCCCTCCCCCAATCAATAGTGTCCCAGTAGAGGTGTTGCTATGGTGTGCCTTTCTTCCTAATTACTCTCAGAATGGGATCTGCAATCAATACTGAAAATTTAGCTGCCTGCCTAGTAAGGAGGAGTAAGCCTAGCTGAAGGAGCAATAGGTGACAGCCCCTGGTGTTAGGGACACCCTGAAGTGCTTTGTCACCAAAGCTGACAAATAAATACATGAGCACAGGTGATAGGATGCAGAAGAGGAAGGTCTATTTCAAGCATGCCTGTCTGGGAACAGGCCTTGTTTTTTACACCACAATGAATCATATGCCATAAAAACAGCCTTGGGCTGCTGACTGAGCCGTATTATACATAAACACAGGTTAACAGAGGAGGGATGTAACTATAGTACTTAAGTTTCATTTTTATTAGTTTTTTGGATGCCCAACTCTACCTCTTTTTTTAAGCTCATCACCATTTTAAAACTGTGATGAAGGTGCCACTGATCTGCTGCTTTAGGCCCCGGCGCCTCAGTAGTGTTCCTTCCAAAACACCTGAACAGCATGAACGCACCGGGCCCCACACTAAGGGATGACACAAAGGCCCATTGCATTCTAGTGTAGATCTGCCTGGAGGGCTGATGGCGGGAGGGCTGAGGGATGGAGGGCTGATGGGAGGAGGGCTGATGGGAGGAGGGCTGATAGCAGGAGGGCTGATGGGAGGAGGGCTGATGGCGGGAGGGCTGATGGCAGGAGGGCTGATGGCGGGAGGGCTGATGGCAGGAGGGCTGATGGCGGGAGGGCTGATGGCAGGAGGGCTGATGGAGGGAGGGCTGATGGGAGGAGGGCTGATGGAGGGAGGGCTGATGGCAAGAGGGCTGATGGGAGGAGGGCTGAGGGATGGAGGGCTGGCTGGTGTCTTCGGAGATGAGACATTCTCAGAACACCCTTGTTAGGGAAGCAAATATTTTCCCTTCTCCACAGAAAGAAACCAAGATTCCCTGGAGAAATAGCTGATTCTAGGGATGAGGTAGGGAAAACATCAGATGAACCTGGGGTATATTGTGACAAAAAAACAAGGAAGCCCTCAAAAAACGATTGAGACATGTTAGAAAAATGCAGGAGCCAGTTTTGAATGTGTTCCCACTGCCCAATTCTGGGACAATGAACACTAAAATAAATAATGATATTTATTAACAGACAGAATATTTGTGGAATGAAACTAGAATCTACCAATTCACCCTCATATAAGTAATTAAATGAGGGAGAAGGGAAAGGGAACACTCTCTCTTCCAGCAGAAGAACAATAAGTGTAGCGGAAATGATGGAATTAGAAAAATCACCGTTTTACAAGCATCACTGTAAATTACTCTTCCAAGAATCATCAATGGATGTCAAAGCCAGTGGGTGAAAGTTTGATAAGAAACAGAATATTCACAAGGTCTTAAAATATTCCTTACAAATCACTTATTAATTACAAAGGGGAAAATGGTAACTTTATCGTGGATTAACCTAGTGAACAACACCTTAAGCAAGTAATTAAATTATCACCAAGAGGACAGACTGATACCATGACTCCTGATGATGTACTGAGAAGGACAGAACATGACTTCCGCAACATTCCTGCCCAAAAAGCAGAATCGAAATCTAACCACAAACCCAAACTGAGGAAACATGCTACAAAAAAAGTGGCTCACTCTTCAAAAATGTGAAAAACATGAAAAACAAAGGTCAAAGAATCAGTCCAGATTAAAAGAGACCAAAAATACTTGACAATGAATTTCAATGTATGCTCATTAGATCAGATCTCAGACCGCCCCTCAAAAAAAAAAAAAAAAACTAAAAAGGACATTGAGACAATTGGTAAAATTTTAATATGAATCATGGATTAGACAGTAGTATCAATGTTTACAGTTCTTGATTTTGATAAATGTATTGTGGTTATGTAGGAGAAAGTCTGTGTTCTTAGAAATACACACTAATATTTATGAATAAAGAAGCATTAGGGCCAGGCGGGGTGGCTCACACCTGTAATCCCAGCACTTTGGGAGGCTGAGGTAGGTGGGTTACTTGAGGCCAGGAGTTTGAGACCAGCCTGGCCAACATGGCAAGACCTTGTCTCTACTAAAAATACAAAAATTAGCCAGGCATGGTGGCACATGCTTGCCATCCCAGCTACTCAGGAGGCTGAGGCGTGAGAATTGCTTGAACCCGGGAACTGGAGTTTGCAGTGAGTTAAGATGGCGCCACTGCACTCCAGCCTGAGTGACTGTCTCAGAAAAAAAAAAAAAAAAAAAGGCAAGAGGTCCACAGATTACTTTCAAATGGCTCAAAGAAAATGCATATGTGTGTGGAGCAAGAGAGAATAAATACATGTACACATGTGAATATGCAGAAATAATAAAGCATTGGGATATTAACAATAGGTGAATTTGAGAAAAAAGCATTGTATTATTCTTGTAACTTTTTTGTGAAATTGGAAAGTTTTAAAAATTAGGCAAGCTGGAAAAGAAAACTTATTCCTGGCTATCCAATGCATACAATCAATAATCAAAGCTAATATTTATAGGGTACTGGGCACCATTCTAAGTGCTTTATATCTATTAATTTATTATCACAACAACCTTAGGAGTCTGGTATTCTTATTATTCCCATTTTACAGGTGAGGAGACTGAGGCACTGAGAATTTATGGACTTACCAAGGTCACAAAGCTAGCAAGTGACAGAGCCAAGACTCAAATGCAGCAGTTTGGGTCCCAAAGCTTTTGAACACTGTTAGCTGTCTCTTCTCGCTTACTTGGGCAGAAGACACGTGCTTCAGTAGTAGTGTCCCTTTAATTTCTGAGAGGCTAAGTGATGATGGTGGGCTCCTGGCTGATAAAGGTTCTATCTTAGTCCCAATTCCATAACTAAGACCAGGACAATGTCTCCAATAGTTCCCATTCAGATGCAATTTCCTAGGCAGGCCTAAGATTTAAGAGTTGTGTCTCTTGTTACTGTGAGTTCAAGAACTAATACAATAATAGGTAAAGTCACAGCCCTGCAGGGAGCAAAGGGATGGCAAGACCACTGACATGGCTAAACGCACATATACATGGACCATATCTAACACACCATTTATTGAGCATTTACCACTCACTGCACTCAAATCTTTCAGGATCACATATCATAATCACCAAGCACAATACAGATCTACACACCTACATCTGGTCAGCTGTTAACACTGCTGCCAAGCTGAATACTTCAACGTTACTGCGTGCTTTCCCAGTTGCTTCAGGTACATGATCTCCAATCCTTAGGACAACTCAACTTTATGCCAGGGTGTCTATTTTACAGGTAAGAAAACCACAGCTCTGAAATGTAAAGGGACTTCCCCAATGGCATCCAGCTCTTTTTTTTTTTTTTTTTTTTTTTGAGACGGAGTCTTGCTCTGTCGCCCAGGCTGGAGTGCAGTGGCACGATCTCGGCTCACTGCAACCTCTGCCCCCTGAGTTCAAGCAATTCTTCTGCCTCAGACTCCCAAGTAGCTGGGATTACAGGTGCCCGTCACCAAGCCTGACTGATTTTTGAATTTTTCATAGAGATTTGGTTTTACCATGTTGGCCAGACTGGTCTCAAACTGACCTCAGGTGATCTGCCTGCCTCGGCCTCCAAAAGTGCTGGGATTACAGGTGTGAGCCACCGCACCTGGCTGCATCCAGCTCTTAAGTGGCAAAGTCAGGATTTACACTTGGGTCTGGCTCTCTCCAAAGCCTGTGTTCTTCCACATTAAATGGTATTGAAGGCTGGCAAGCAGATATCCTGCAGTGGCCACTATAGGGAAACCAGCTGGAGAGTTGGTTTGTTGTTCGCAAGGAGTTAAGAGCAAGGCTCAGCACTGGCTGCAGAAGAGGGAGCAGCTACGGGCTGAGGACAGTGTTTCAGAAACCAGGCTTTGGCTTCGCCAAGTTGGAAGGACGGAGGATGCTGGCTTCTGGGCTAACAAAGGTCTTGCCCTCTCAATCAAGCTATTCTAGAGCTTTGAAAGAATAACAAAATAAATGCCTGTAATGCTCTGGCCCTCCTGAGACTAGGAAGATTGCAGGGCATTCCTCCAAAGCCTACCTTGTTTGATTCCTTCAGTAATGCCTCTGATTATGGTTCAAGACCCACCTCAAAAAAGCATCAAAACAAGGAAAAGACTGAAGTGGAGAATATATGTGTTTTTAAATGCCCATGTGAAGGTCAAGGATTTGTGTGCTTTGTTTTAGGGGAAAAAAGATTTTTAAAATTTTATTTTCTAAAAATAAAAGGCTGCTATTAAGCCAGTTATATCATGTGTTGCACACCGAGGGCCCCTCTCTCCTTGTACAGCAAAGCAGCCAGCCCCGGTAATGATTTAGGGGAGATTAACAAATATGTCAATGTCTATTTTCTGCTTAATTTAAAAGTGGCGTCTATAAAGATTTTTGACTTCTGAACCCTGTTCTCCTGAAAGAAAGAAGGTAAGAATGAGGAGGGGGATAAAGAGTGATTATCCTATCATTGATCGTTTGTCAGGAGCATTTCTTATTCACTGGACTATTGTAAAAAGCTAAGCTCTCGATCAATGCTGTAAGCTCCCTGTACAATTAAATATCTTGAAATGGTTTTCTTTCTTTTCTAGCCAGATTGCAGGGCCTCAGGGATTTTAGGAAAGCAAGTTGGTGTGTACACGTGTGTGAGTGTGTTTAAGAATATGCTACAGAGAGAAAAGTCATTCTTTTCTAGAATTCTACATTAGGAAATGGCTGAGTGGGAGTAAAAAGGTAGGTGCTCCCATCCTTTCCTATCCAAAATAAAAAGTCCCTATGCAAGTTGGGAGGACTGCCTGAAGCCAGGATTTCAAGATCAGCCTGGACAACAAAGCAAGACCCTGTCTCTACAAACACACAAACACACACACACACACACACACACACACAAAATGCCAAGTGTGGTAGCTCACACCTGTAATCTCAGAACTTTGGGAAGCCAAGGTGGGAGGATGGCTTGAGCCCAGGGGTTCAATACCAGCCTGGGCAACAGAGCGAGACCCTGTCTTTCCTCCTGCATGCCCCCCAAAATTAGCCAGGCATGGTGAAGCGTGCCTGTAGTCCCAGAGATACTCTGGTGGCTGAGGCAGGAGGATCGCTGGAGCCCAGGAGTTCAAGCTGCGGTGAACTATGATTGTGCTGCTGCACTCCAGCCTAGGTCAGGAGTGTCCAATCTTTTGGCTTCCTTGGGCCACATTGGAAGAAGAAGAATTATCTTGGGCCACACATAAAATACACTAACGATAGCCAATGAGCTGGAAAAGAAATTGTAAAAAAAATCTCGTAATGTTTTAAGAAAGTTTACAAATTTGTGTTGGGCCACATGTGGCCTGCAGGCCACGGTTGGACAAGTTTGGCTTAGGTGAAAGAGGGTGACCTTGTCTCTTAAAAAATAAGTCCCCATGAAATCCTAAAAATGCACACTTTTAATTAAAAAATTTAAAGAGTTAAACAGAGACGAAATATCACTGGTCAAATAAGAAGAGCTAACACTATTGAGATGTTACTGTGTGCTGGTACTGTTAAAGTACTTTTTATCTCATTTAATCCTTACAACAATCCTAAAAGATGAGGAAACTGAGGCACAAAAAAGTAACTCACCCAAGGCCACAAAGCTAGGCAACAGTGGAGTTGTGATTTTGGACTAGGTAATCTGGTTTAAGAGCCCATGCTCCTTAAACAAAGCAGTTCAAATTGACTTGAAAGTATCCGCAGCACAGTGGCCTATCAGGTGTTCCCTGGAGCCAGGATACAAAGAAAAGCCACATTTCTCCTCCATGGTATCAAAGGTGAAGAGAGGCTGGACACGGTGGGTCATGCCTGTAATATCAGCACTTTGAGAGGCCAAGGTGGGAAGGACTGCGGAGGCCAGGAGTTTGAGACCAGCCCAGGCAACACAGGGAAATTCTGTCTCTACAAATATTTTAAAATTAGCGGAATGTGGTGGCGCATGCCTTGTAGTCCTAGCTACTTGGGACTGAGGTGGGAGAATTGCTTGAGCCTGACAGGTCGAGGTGTGGTGAGCTGTGATCATGACACTGCACTCCAGGCTGGCAGACAGAGTGAGAATCTGTCTCTGACCGAAAAAAAAAAAAAAAAAAAAAAGCTAAAGAGAAACTCCCAGAGGAAACGGCTGATTTCTGCAGCAGGAGGCAATTTTTTGCCCAGCCATATCACTTAAATAGGCCAGGAGAAGGTCAGCCCTAGTCTGTGTATGAACAAACTACATCCTAAAAGTAGGATTTGGGGGAGGTGACATCTTCAAAGCTTGGAATAAAAATCAGACTGGTAGACTAAAAATTCTCTGCTCAGCCAAAGGCTCTAGGCGACCTTGTAGAAATCTTTTTCCTTTTCTGAGTTGAGTTCCTCATTTATGTAACAACAATCCCAGTCTGGCAAACAGGGAAAATGTTTTATAAAAGAATGTGATATTAAAGTGTTTTTAAAAACATTCTCAACTTTTAAAAAAGTTATACTTGGTGGCAGGCACCTGTAATCTCAGCTACTTGGGAGGCTGAGGCAGGAGAATCGCTTGAACTCGGGAGGCAGAGGTTGCAGTGAGCCAAAATCACGCCACTGCACTCCAGCCCAGGCGACAGTGCGAGGCTCCATCTCAAAAACAAAAACAAAACCAAAACAGTTATACTAAGAAGCCTATGTAAATTTAAATCCAATTTTAACTTTGATGGGCCCTTCTTCCTTTACTTAAGAAAGCAATTTGCGCCAGGCACGGTGGCTCATGCCTGTAATCCCAACACTTTAGGAGGCCGAGGCGGGCGGATCACCTGAGGTCGGGAGTTCAAGACCATCCTGGCCAACATAAAGAAACCCCATCTCTGCTAAAAATACAAAATTAGTCGGGCATGGTGGTGCATGCCTATAATCCTAGCTACTCAGGAGGCTGAGGTAGGAGAACTGCTTGAACCCGGGAGGCAGAGGTTGCAGTGAGCCGTGATCGTGCCATTGCACTCCAGCCTGGGCAACAAGAGCGAAACTCTGTCTCAAAAAAAAAAAAAAAAGAAAGAAAGAAAGAAAGCAATTTGCTTTGAATGGTTCAATACTTATGATGCTAGAGATAAGAACAAGACCACCCTCCCCAGAAAGCTCCTGAATATCTCAGATGTTAAAACATACTCCCATCCCTCAACCTTGAGACTGAAAAATCAGCATAAAAAAGACTGGAATCTTATTAAGATTCAGAAGTACAAACACAAGCAGTTGTTTAAAAGATCTATGTAATCACATTTTCTATGTTGAAAGAAATTTTTCTATAAACATAGTAAGATAGGTAAAAAAAAAAAATCCTGCAAAACTATTTCTATATCCATAACAGGTGTGCCTTTCTTTACACAAAAGCATTCTTGAAAAACTGCGTAAATCAGATCCTGTTTTAAATGCCTTAAGGGAGCTATTTTATGAGGAACCCTGCAGTGAATCCTTTGGTAAGGCAAATAATCCTTTTGTAATGGGAATAATTTCTCCCAATGTATCTAGCTTTTTTTAAAACCCCATTTTCATATATCTGCTTTTCTTCAAAGGGGGCCATACCTATCTAAATACACTCACATTTGCATATTGATTTTAACAGCAATCCTCTCAGGGGATGTTTAACCCTAAAGTTCCCTGCAACAGTGTTAGTGCTCTACTGTTCATATTTTTAAAAATCATTATATTAATAGAAAACCCAGAGATTTCCAAACAGGAATAAAAAAAAATACTGCTCCCCCATCAGTCCCGTCCCTGTGTTTCCACGCAGACATATCCATATAAAAAAGGTCAGGGAACAGCACAGAATTCTCTGAATTCTTCTGGTAGAAATATGCCTCTGTAGTCTTCATTATTTTCCTTCCCTAATTTGCTCTCCCTATGTCTGGCAGGTCAGGATACGGGGATCTGGTCATTTGGGACCAAGACACATTCTGATGACAGCTTTCTCTTGGGTTCCCTCTAACTAAATGCCTGCCAGGTCCCTCTGGCCATACAGAATTGTGAAACACTGCTTCCTTGGGGGAGGCAAGCCCAGGTGCTTTTATAAATACAATCAGATTAAAGGATCAAACTAAAATGACCCCTTTCTCTTCTCAGAAAATTTTGTCACTATTGCACTAAACTTCACCGAGCCAAATAGCTTCTGAATCAGTGTGAGGGGTAGGTTTTCAGCTACTGCTAACAAAAGAGAGGAGGCAAGATCCCATATCTACCTTCGTGATAGAAAGCCTCGTGTTATTTCTCATCAGCCTCCTTACCGCAAAGGACACAGTGGCCATAGTGTCAGTGAGGACACTCCAAGTTCAACAGGTGAGAGGTGAAAGACCACTCACTAAGGCATGCGTATCGGAACTTCTTTCTTTCCTAGTCTTAACTTTCCAGGCAAAGACATACTTTCTGCCTCAAACAAGCAACTCTGGCTCTTTTCAGCTTTCAGCCTCTCGAAGATGGACATAAGAGTTGGAAAAACACAGCTCAGATACTTTGATCACCTCTGCCAGAAAAGCAGCTTAACCCTTAAGTCCCCTTAGCCCAGGGAACAGTCCTTTTCCTGTCATTCTGGCTGCTAGAGAAGGCTTGGGAGGAAGGCATTCCTGAAGATTTTTACAGAGAAGCGTATCCTCACCTGCCACCACAATGCTCCATATCTGCACCTGGGGCAACCTTGACCCTGAAGGCATGGTGGGTGTGGGCAGGCCTAGAAGGACCAGGCAAGGGCCAGCAGCAGTGCTCACTCAGTCCATGCTGCTGCTCCCTGTGGCAGGCAGTCAGGGCATGTTCTGTGTGGGCGCAGTGCGGTGCTGCATGGCAGGCTGCCCAGCTGCCTGGGAACAGGGCCACAACTAAGAACAAGTTCCCCTAAGCGGCTCCTTTGCCCAGGTGCTCTTCATTTTGAGAGAGAGGGACAGTGGGGAACTTACAATTGCTTCACACTTGGGCTGGACAGTTCTCTCTCCATCTAAATTGATTTGTCATTTCTCTCTGAACACAAGAGGAGGGGAAGGATCCAGGAGAGGACCTCAGGTCACAGCACTCAAGAGGCCAGGCTAGCAAGGCCGTCCCGCTCCACAGCCACTCTCCCTGCTCCTGGCCTTGTGAGGCAGTAGAAGGATGTCAGAGAGAGACAAAAAGGACTTGGAGGGCTGCGGCTCCATTTCCAGAGAAGAAATTTAATTTCCTTAAGGCAACCAAATGGTAGGAAGTAATTCTCCTCCTTGCAATGACTCTACCAAGCCCTGGTTCTGTGAATCAGGGTCAGAACTGATTCAGCAATGCAAGACTCTGGGGCCTGGGCTTTGCTCACTTTTCTTTCTGAGGTAATTCTTCCCTTTACTTCTATTAGGAATCAGTGTAGGCACTATTTACATATTTTCTGTTATAATCACAGACCTGCAAACTAGTAATTCACCATCTTTCCACCCAAACTAACCATGTAAGATGACAAAAGGCCATTTAAAAAAATAAAAATTCTAGAAGAGATGAAGTTAGCTGCTCAGAAGTCAAATATTACTCATTCTTATAAAATACATAGCAATTATGATTTTTTTTTTTTTTAAAGACAGGGATTTGCTCTTCTTGCCCAGGCTGGAGTGCAATGGCGCGATCTCGGCTCACTGCAACCTCCACCTCCCAGGTTCAAGCGATTCTCCTGCCTCAGCCTCCTGAGTAGCTGGGACTACAGGCATGCACCACCATGCCCGGCTAATTTTGTATTTTTAGTAGAGACGGGGTTTCTCCATGTTGGTCAGGCTGGTCTTGAACTCCCAACCTCAGGTGATCTGCCTGCCTCCTCCTCCTAAAGTGCTGGGATTACAGGCGTGAGCCACCGTGCCCGGAGTAATTATGTTTTTGAACACAGTCAATCAGTTGTGCGCTGGTTTGTCTAAGTGATCTGTGAGCACGCTCCCCAGTAAAGAGGCAGATTTGGGGAGAGAACGGCAACACAAGATAACATCCACTCCTACAGGCTTTCTCCTAAATCAGATTTTCTCTGTGGAAATGGCTTTAGATTACAAAAGGAAAGAATCCTTGTTTAATTTAGTTCGGGCTCAGTATTCAGTTGAGGAAAAATCTGAAGAAATCCTGAGAAAAGGAGAACACAGAGAATGAGAATTCCATTCTGGACTCTGATGTACATTTATTTATTTTGTATCTTAGATGATTCACTTTTTTGGCCTCAATTTCCCAGTCTGAAAAATGAGACCATTTTCACCCACTTTGTGAAAAAGAATTTTGGTAGTTTGGTTCTAGGCAAACTAAAAGAGCCAGAATCATTGTGAACCCCAAAGGAACTGGGTTCATAATATGTCCTGTTATATCTAGGCTGACCTGCTTTGTCGCAGAGACAGCTGCCCGTATAGGATATCCCTGAGAGACAGGACTATACTTCTGTTTCTTTCATATTTTCACATGTGGGACTGAGCCACAGAGAATACTGGATACCAAACATGGCCATCTGCTTTTTCTAATGATTAAGACAGAAAGATAATGATGCAATGAAGTAAATGCATGCTCATCTGCTCCTCATATTAGCTAGGCAGAGGTGTGATCTCCACTTTATGGTTGGAAAAAAACTGATGTTCGGAGAAGTTAAATAATTTACAAGACTCGTAGTTCGTTATTCTTATTCCAAGTCCACTGCTCATGTTCCCAAGCTGCCCTAGGCCAGAGCCTGCTTCACATTTAGCAGACTAAGGGTCCTTTTTCAAGTGCCATTTTGGTCAAGGTTAAATAAATATGGTTTTCTCCAATGCGGATAGGAAATTGATAATGAGATGATTTGTAACAAATGATTAAACGGCTATCACTTGGGAGTCTCCTCCCTCTCCCCTTCATGTGCTTCAAAAGTTAAAAGGTGCTGGTTGAAGGTGGGAGCGACATCACTTTCCTTGAAGAGAAAGAAGCTTTATCTCCACACCCCTCACCATCCAGTCCTTCTGCAAAAGGAGAAAGGATCCCTCTCCCTACCACCCAGTTACTCTGAAGGGATGATAACAGCCATTGGGGGGTTAAAAAGAGGCAGTGAACCCCCAGTTAATGAGTAGGAATTCAGCAGGCAGTGTAAGATAAATGGAGCTCTCTCTGCTTCTGCTAGAGTCAGCATGAACTGCGGCCCTGCGGCTTGTTTGTGGCAAATGGAGTGCGCGAAATATCAAAGGGCAGTGATCCAGAAGAAGACCGACTTTGACAAATTTTAAATTGGCCAGAAAGAAAACCAGCAAAAAGAAAAAAAAAAGGGAAAAGAAAAAGGAAGAAAAAAAGGAAAAAGGAAAATGATGCAATTTGCTGTGTCCTGCAATTGCGGCATTGCTGCCTTTGTATGGAATTAGTGGTAAACACAGCGGCAACAATTGGGGGATGCTGGGAGCAATTATGAGCCATCTAAGTGAGATGCTTATCAGTGGCTGAAGCTTTTAGAGCTCTCTCTATGAACAGTTGTAAGTAACTTGCTCTTGAGCTGCAGTTACTTTAATTAAAGTGTACAGGGTTGGTCAGAAGTAATTATTCTGTTTGGAAAAGAAAGAGAAAAAACCCACCTCAATTCTGGGTGGCAATAGATTTTAGAAACAACTCTCATTTCTTGTATGTGTGCATTCCCCATAAAAGGATCAGACTGTGGTGAGTTAGAGTTATTGGTGGCTGTTACCCAGTGGCAAACAATGGGACACAAACAGGGTTTCTTGTAACCCAAGTCACCGTGTTTGGCAGGCAACCTGGCTCAGGGCTCCAAATGCCTGGATGTACAGTCTCCACAGTGTAGGCAAACGGGATTTTTCTGTCTCTGGATGGTGGGGATATACAGTCCACAAATGGTACTTTATTAATTAAATTACCACTTGGAACATAAATGAGCTAGCATCTCTCTTCTCCATTCACTGAGTTTCACTACCTTTTAAAGGCAATCTCTGTTCCTTTAGAAAAAAACAAAAACAAGACAAACCAACTGACAAAAGAACCTCGAGCAATTATCTTTACTAACATAGCAAGGGGCTCAATGGGAGACCTGGGCAGAAAATCAGTGTTTTAAAAGAATCTGAAACTCATTTAGACTCTGGACTCAACACAGGACTCCCATGGTTTAGTCCTATGTTCAAATTGCCAAGTGGCTTCCAAAAGCTCTGAAAACAAATGAGCAACAGAGCAATGGCTGGAAGCATTAAGCACGCCTGCTCTCAGGGCTATTCTGGCTGCAGCTACTGTTTGGAAGCACACAGTGCGCAATCTTTACTTCTATTTCTCTAGCTCAGGAAGACCCCGGAACACCACCTGGGTAAAGACTCCTGCTTTTCTATCCCATCTCTCAGAAATGAAGTGAGCTGTCCAAAGAAACAAGCAGAAACAGGACATATTTAAATCTAGCATATTCTCTGGTGAGGCCTGCCCCCAGCAGCAACTCTAGCTAATCATTCTCTACAAGGACATCTTAGAAAGACGGGCTTTTTGTACTCTAAGGAAATATCAGGAAAAAAAATCAGGTGACTTTTGCTTTTTTAGGGCTCACTTTCCCTATTATACACACTATTTCATTCTACCAGGGTTCTTACCATATAGAGGACAGTAAATAAAGATTATCATGAATTTGATCAAATGCTTCAGTGCCTCCTCCCCTGGCCTATGAATGCACTCATTACAAATCAGCTGAATGGCTCATTGATTTGCCAGAAGGACAAGCAGACATACCCAATCGCTCAGCCAAGTGGATGTAGACTGGGTCCACCCGACGCATGGTTTTCACCAGATCCTTTCTGCGGAATTTGATTTCTACTGTCCCTTCTGGCTCCAGAACAGATCCCCTGGATCAGAAAGAAAGAAAAAACAAAACAGAAATAGAGGCACTTTAAAGGAAGGAGACAACAGAATGAGGCCAGTTACAATTTGTAGACCAGGAAATAGCTTCATTATCATTTTGCCCACCTATGGTTAACAGACATCTCCCCGGGGAGAACAGTAGGCACCAGAGAAGTGTCTAAGTGAGGTATGAGAAAGGCCTGGCAAAAAGCAATTAAAATAATTCTCATTACCACACCAGTCGACTTCCATTTCAAAGGGAGAAGAATACAGATTCCACCACCTACAGCTGATAAGAGTAACAGGAATCACATTATTTTCCAGGGGAAAAAAATGCTGTAGGCACAGTGACAGGGGAACCACCTCCATCACGTAGGATGTACAATAATGAAGGGCAATACTTCATCAATACTATCTATCTATCTATCTATCTATCTATCTATCTACCTCACCTATACCACAGCTGTCAGTCTGCTTGTAGGACACTGATCAGACACACTAAGCCAGGCCAAGTAGGAGGTAAAACATTCTGCCCAGCGCTATGGAAATGAGCAGAGTCAAAGGTCTCAGGGTTACTTTTAGTGCATACTAATGATGTTCAGTCCCCAGAAACTTTACCCCAAACATGTTTAAAAAAAAACCCACAGCTTTCTAGTTTAAAAAAATTATAGATAATGTTTACTATGTACATGGCACTGTTCTAATAACTTACATATAAATCCTTACAACAATCCTATGCCCAGTCTCCATCTACTATGTAGTAAGGTTCTGTGATTATTCCCATTTTACAGGTGAGGAAACTACAGTTTAGTAAGTTATGAGACTCGTCCAAATATAACAAGAGGCAGAACTGGATTTGAAACCAGACAGTCTGATTCCAAAGTCTATAGAGGAATTGTCTCTGATCTGATATCAGATGAGTTTAGGACTTAAAAAATAATAAACCCCTAAGTACAGAATGTAAATAATAAGCCTCTCAGCCTAGAGGTTTGACAGTGAAACTACTGGACTCTCCTAAGCAGCCTTTGACATAGAAGGCTGAATCTGGGGGGACAAGAGAGAAGCGGGCGGTCCACTAAAACGACTGGAGGTAAGAATTTCCTTGGAAAATGTCAAAGAAACACGTTTTGAAGTTTACTTAGGAAAGAGGTGAGAACAGACTATGAAAGGATGCCAGATTAGATCTGTTTTATTTAGGTAGTTTCAGGTACCACCTCCCAATAAGCCTGAGGTTCTCCCTTACAGTTTTTTTGGGTGCTACAAACACCATGGTCTTCAGCTTCCTGAAATGCTAGAGTGAGGACCTGGACTGTAATGGAAGGAAAAAGCTTTGGTTTGGAATCACAGGATGTGGGTGCTGTAGTGCCATGGCTGTAACATTCTCCAGGAGGAAACCAACAGCTACAGGGTCCCTAAAGGCAGTGAATGGAAATGTGGAAGGCACGCTACCTGCTTTCTCGGTCAGCATACATCTCCATGTGCCGGGGGTTGATGGAGGAGTCAATCACCACCCAGGAGCCACCCCGCAGCTCAGCCTGGGGAGGAATGTAAACCAGCACAGGCTGGCAGCACTCCCTCAAGCCATCCACAATGTAAGCACCAAACTTCAGCACTTGGTCGTACATATCTATGGAGAATGAGACAAATTAGAAATCAAGAAATTTCTCTTCCTCAAAGCAGTACTTTTAAACACTGTTCAGGACCTCTGGCCACGAAGAGCCTCCTTATACTATGCCTCCTGTTTGGCCACCCTATAGACTAAAGGGAGTATCGACCTGTATCCCATTCAAGACTCCAGAGGATCTTCAAAAGCACAAGACAGCAACAGAGAGATGCACTGTCTTTCACAAGATACAGTGTGTAAGTCTTCCAGATTGCCTTTCCATTTTATATCCTCTCTGAATTTCTGTACTCACGTTTCACCACATTAATTCACATTTGCTCTACAAACGTTGAGTATTTTTCATGTCAATATGTGCTCTCCCACTACAGTAAGTTTACTAAAGGAAGGAACTATTCTACCTCTTTTCAGTTATTCTCATGATGCTTAGCATAGGATGAGCTCTTCAAATGTGCACCTAATGGAAATTGATCCTTTAAAAATTTTATCTTCAAAAACTATTTTTCATCTTGGTATCCCGATATCCCTGCCCAGTGCCTGAACATAGTTAGTGCTCAACAAATATCTGCTGAATGAATGAATGCTGAATAAATTAGTTATATACTCTGGAAAGAATATAATGAGAAAGAAAGACAAATTCTTTAACAGTTGCATTTTTATAGGGTATCAATGAGAGAAAAATTTTAAAAATACTTAGGAAATACCACACAGCCACATGAGAAGAACAGACCCAACCAGGGCAGCATAGTGAGAACCTGTCTCTACAAATAATAAAAAATTAGCTGGGCATGGTGGTGCATGCCTGCAGTCCCAGTCACTTGGCTGAGGTGGGAGGATCACTTGAGCCCAAGAGGTCGAGGCTGCAGTGAGCCATGATCTTGCCACTGCACTCTAGCCTGGGTGACAGAACAAGACCCTGTCTCAAAAACAACATAAAACAAAATAAACAAAAAACAAGAGAGGAACCACCTCTTCATTCTGCTAAAGACTACACTTTGTAGACTGGGAATGGTAGCTCACACCTATAATCACAGCTCCTTGGGAGGCTGAGGTGGGAGGACCGCTTGAGCCCAGGAGTTCAAGACCAACAGAGAGAGACCCTATCTCTACAAAAACCAAAAAAATTAGCAAAACATGGTGGCACATTCCCATAGTCCCAGCAACCCAGGAGGGTGAGGTGGGAGGATCTGAGCCTAGGAGGCTGAGACCTGCAGTGAGCTGTGATCATGCTGCTGTACTCCAGTGTGGGTAACACAGCAAGGCCCTGCCTTTAAAAAAAAAAAAAAAAAAAAAAGAGTACATTTTGTAATCCCTCCAAAGCCAGGAGCAGCCTGAAGAAAAGGACCCATGATGTACACATAAAGTGAGTCCCTGGAAAACTGGATCAGTTATTTATTTCCCAACTTTTTATGGACTTCCCATTTCCCAGCTCACTGAAGTCCATTGCTAAAGCTTTAGGTTTATGAGTCCAGATGTTTAATGAGTACTTCAGTGGAGCCACAATGGATCCTTTCTAAATACCAAATAACAGGTTCAACTGAGATCAAACTTTCTTATCAAAGAGAGGATCTCAATTTGGAATAAATCAATTCTGGGAATCCAAGGCAAAGAAGCATTTTTCAGGAAGTTAAGAGCAAACCAAATAGAAATTGCTTTCATTGTAGTTACTGGCAAATTAAACTGCCACCTTCTCCAAAGTAAAAATGGCTTAATATACAAACTATCAGTGAGCACAGTTCACTGCAAGGCACATGCTCCACTGCCCCAACCTGGTGTGTCTGTGAAGACTTCAGAAATTCCAAGTTACCCCAGAAAACACCCCCTACTCTATGTGGAATGTGTATGATATGTACTCCATGTATATGATCAGAGTGAAGACATTTATTCCTTTGGGAGAAAAGCTAAGACCAAAAAAATTTACTGCTAATTACACAACTGCTGTATGAAGAGCAGGGAATAAAGGACTTTAAGTGCTTTACGCTAATTCTGTAGTTATGAAAATAATTGCTCAGTTCAAATTATTTTAACTAAATTAATTCTTTAGTGGATATTTCAACCAGTGCTACATAATAAAATAATTGTGTAATTAGCAGTACATTTTTCAGTGCTGCCAAGAGTACAGTCTCCGAACAAGTAACAGAAAAGTGTCCCTCAATGATATCATACAAAGAGAGGAAATGAAAGGTATAGATAAAAGGAGAAAATAAAGCAATAAAAGACAGCACAAAAAGTCATTCTACCTGAAAAAGAAAAAAAAAGTTAGAGGTAAGTGAAGACAAAGTTTCCAGCTCTTTTACTCACTTCTTCTTGTTAAAGACTTAGCTACAACAAAATCTATCTCTGTATTATAATTAACAGATTGACATCTCAAAAAGAAGGGGAGATTTTATTTAAAATGTATTTTCATTCATCTATTAAAAAAATACTAGATTTCATAGTATATGCAAACAGTTTCAAATGAAGATGAGTGTGTGTGTGTGATTTTTAATTTTATGAAATGGACGTGGGCTCCTTTTTGTCATCATCATGGCTAGCTTATTGTGTACCAGGGAACATGATTATATATACACACATATAAATCATTTAATCATCAGAACATTATCTTATTTATATATCCAAGTTGCAGGTGAGTAAACTGAGGCTTAAATAAGAGTGAGTGGTGGAGATAAGACTCAAATCTAGATCTTGTTGGCCCTAATGTCCACATTCTACTACTTCATTCTTTTTTTTTTTTGAGGTGGGGAGCGGGGCGCGCCAGGTTCTCACTCTGTCTCCCAAGCTGGAGTGCAGTGGCACGACCTCAGCTGACTGCAACCTCTGCCTCCTGGGTTCAGACGATCCTCCTCCATCAACACCCCAAGTAACTGAGACTACAGGTGCGTGCCACCATGCGCAGCTAATTTTTGTATTTTTTGTAGAGACGGGGTTTCACCACGTTGCCCAGACTGGTCTCGCTGAGCTCAAGCCATCCGCCCACCTCGGCCTTCCAAAATGTTGGGATTACAGGTGTAAGCCTCTGTGCCCAGCCTCTACTACTTCATTCTTACTGCTAGGAGAGACAGCATGAGACTGGGGTACTCTGCTTTCCAACATCTAATATGATGAGTAAAATAAAACCAGAAAAAGAGACTTGAATACATGACTGAATATTCCCAACTGCTGCTGGATTTCCTCTGTGTTCAGAAATGTTCAAAACTATACTGATAACACTACCAGCCTGTGTGAGGCTTGGATCTGACTGCCAAACAAGTATTTTTCGGCCCCAAGACTGTGAGTAGGAAAGGAGCATCAGGGTTTGTTAAAGCTGACATGTTTGGGACTAATATATTGCCTCCATCTAACTTGGAACACCTATAGACCCACAGCCCAACCATCAAAACACCCAAAAAGCAGGCTATTAAAATATAAACAAACACACAAATAAACTCTGTAATCGACATGCTCAGACTGAACTGCAGCTGCCCCAAACCACTTATTTTGAAAGGCAGGTTGAAACACTTGGCAACAATCTGACACACAATTGTCTGAAATCCCTTCGTATTTAAGAGACAGAGCAAAAGCACAGCCAATAGCAGCAGGGGAGGGGCGATCCCCAAGGGTTTAGGTTAGAAATCAGTCTACAGAATTTTAAAGCTATGCACGTGCTGTCAATTCTCAGGCCCTGAGAAACGCAACTGGGAATGGAAAATACTGATAGGTTCCTCACTGGAGAGGCGGGAGCTTGGAGTTTTCTAGCATGCTGGGCAAAGCACATCTGCATGAATGGTGACCACACACAACCTTTGCAGTGTGCTCTCAGCACCTAGGCACCAACCCTGCCTAGGGCTTTTATTGTTATAAACATGGATAAACCGTGGCAGCCATGTGTATCAAACAAGGGAACAGGGTGGCAGAGTGTTTCCACAGTGTCCCACACTCTTGAAAATGAAACAGATCTTATTGGCTTGGGCAAGATTATCTGTTAGAAACTGAAGGTAAACATTAGCCATACACAAGCTACATATACATAATGTCTCTCCTTAGTTCATTATGATCGGCTGACACTGTATTTCAACATCCTAGTAATCAGAGACTTTAAAATAGACTTTCATTCCAGTTAAAGTTTTCAATAAATTTTTTTTATTGTTATTTATAACCTGTCCCAGGAAAAAATAATAAGTATAACATGAAAAGCCAACTGAGAGTGACCCTGTAGCACCAGCAGTGAGGCAGCTTAATATCACTGGGATTTGCATCCTATCAAGCTATTCATGCTGAGGCTGGGACCCTGGTGCTAATTTCTAGTAAATTTCACGCTTGATGTCTCCCTGTTGTGGGTCATTGCCGGTTCGTCTAAATAAACTGCTTCCAAATGGCTCTTCCATCTAAATATTCAGCCAGTTTTTATAATTTAATTTTGCATTATGCTGAATAGCCTTCCGGCCAGATAGAGCTCATTGAAAAAAAGCACCAATACCATCTTGACATGCTTTTATTTATTTATTTATATCTTTACTGCTCGAATTAGACCTCCTAGGCCGACTAGTAGAGTTTTTTTTTTTTCCCTTCACTAATGTCAATTTTCAGCATAGCAAGAGCTGTCTCTAATCTTTTCCTACTCATTACACACAATTTTGGAGTCATTTTACCCACAGTGCAGTCGGCTCCTGGCTGTGTGTTTGTGTGCACTGAGGGATGGCATAATTGTTTATTTTCCCTCCCTGCATAATCCCCAGCCAGTATTGAAACCAAAACTGCAAACATCTCCCCAAGGGATGTGAAGAATGACAAGAGGCCCTCAGTTTAGGTCCCTTTACATGAGATAATACAACACCCTGACCTGTATGTAAATATGAAAGGCACTGTTCCTCCCCCTCCTACCTTCACAGGGATCTCTATCTTCCCTAAGTCTTATTTGTCTTACGTGAGGTGTAAAAGGATGCATCAGCACCAAAATTAAGACAGAACTTGCCCTGGTCTATATATCAGGCCAAAAACTCATTTCAGACCAAGGGCAGCAGGGAGAAAGGAATGGGTACTTATTGTTTAAGGGGTATAGAGTTTATGTTGAGGATGATGAAGTTTTGGGTGTAGATACCAGTGATAGTTACACAACACTGTGAATGTATTTAGTGCCACTGAATTGTACACTTACAAATAATTAAAGTGATAAATATTATGTATATTTTACCACAATAAAAAATGAACTCATTTCTGAGCTCTTGAAATTTCTTTTCACAATAACCAAGGACATCCCCAAAGTAGAGGGGAAGTAGGTGGATAATAACTTTTTCAGGAACCTTGACATTCTGTTATAGGGATATTCTAGTAGATCTAGTTCTGGTTTTAGGCTCTAACTGTGTTACAGGGAGCTACATCACATCAGCCAACTGTGTTACAGGAAGTCAGACAGATCCACCTTCCTTTCCCAACTCTGCCATTTTGTAGCTGAATGAGCTTGGGAAATTTACTTAACCTAATTTACATAAATCTTAATTTATGTAAAATGTTCATAACAATATAACCTACCCCTTAGAGGTGCTTGTTGTGATGATTATGTAAGATAATACATGTAAAATTGTTAGCACAAGTTTCTGGTGAAAAGAGCTCAATGAATCTTAATTGTTGTTGTTCTTACTGTTACAGCGCGGCAGCCAATCTGGGCCTGAGCCAAAATATGTAGCAGAATTGAAGCTTTTCCTAGAAGTGGCACATTGGAAACTTTTGAACTCTGAACTCCCGTTAGGATAAAATATCCAGGGTGACACTCTGAAGTAATGTCAGGAAGAGTACATTCTCAGTGGGCCCCCCACAAAGAGATAAGTAAGGAGTAATAGCATAGCATTCTCTCCCAGGTCTCAACAAAAATATTAGAGCCAAGGAATTTGGGATCAAGTGAAATCTAATGCTGAATGAACCTCATATATATGAATGAGGGGTTTTCAGGCCCCCCTTCCCTTTGATATACTACTACCATCTTCTTTTGAATATCCTGGTATTTTGTTTATACATTATGGCTTTATCATTTTGCTCAAGACATTTTTCTTGTCTCTGTGAAGCAATGTATTGTTTCTGACTTATTTTGACTTATTTTTGTTCTCTGAAGTGGCTAGCATAGTTCCTAACACACAGAACTCAATAAAAATGTGTAGGATTGACTTAACCGTATACTCTCAATTTCTCATGGTATTTCCACTAATTTATTATCTCGGTCAAAAAATAATTCACCTTGATAATCTAAAAAATATATACAATCATTAATTTGGATATATAGTCCAAGTCTCCCCCAAGAAAAGTATAAAATGTGGTAGTTCTCCAGCAAATACAGGCAAAGGTAAACTTTTCAACCAAACACACACACACACACACACACACACACACACACACACACACACACACACACAATCAACCTAGTCAACATTTTGCCAAGGAGGCCTGGCCATACAGGGCTCTTCCTAGACGAGTAAGGAAAAATTGTCGGCAAAAATTTCAAATCCCTCTTGCCACATAACTGACCATCTGGTAGTTTCCCCAGGCATTTCCTCCCTCATAGGCTGGGGGTGCTTCTGCCCTAAGCTATTTTTAAGTGCCCTATTGAGAGTTCATTGTTTCACATTTTGTATGTCTTAAGTATTTTCTTTTCTTTTTCTTTCTTTCTTTTTTTTTTTTTTTGAGATGGAGTCTTGCTCTGTCGCCCAGGCTGGAGTGCAGTGGTGCAATCTCGGCTCACTGCAACCTCTGCCTCCTGGGTTCAAGTGATTCTCCTGCCTCAGCCTCCCAAGTAGCTAGGGATTATAGGCATGCACCACCCCATCTGGCTAATTTTGTATTTTTTGTAGAGACAGGGTTTCACTATGTTGGACAGGCTGGTCTCAAACTCCTGACCTCAGGTGATCCACCCACCTCGGCCTCCCAAAGTGCTGGGATTACAGGCGTGAGCCACCGCGCCTGGCCATCCTAAGCATTTTCTAATCACTATTTACTCCAAAAGTTTCTACTCCTCCCTCCTTCCCCTAACCTATCCTACTGTTTTTTCCTTTTTTTTGAGACAGAGTCTTACCCTTTTGCCCAGGCTAAAGTGCAGTGGCACAATCTTGGCTCACTGCAATCTCTGCCTCCCAGGTTCAAGTGATTCTCCTGCCTCAGCCTCCCGGGTAGCTGGGACTACAAGCGCCCACCACCACGCCAGCTAAGTTTTGTATTTTAGCAGAGACAAGGTTTCACCATGTTGACCAGGATGGTCTCAAACTCCTGGACCTCAAGTGATCCACCTGCCTCAGCCTCCCAAAGTGCTGGGATTACAGGCGTGAGCCACCCCGCCTGGCCCTATCCTATTGCTTTAGAACCCCAAATTCTCCCCAAGACAGATGGAATTTATACTTAGCATACTCTCATACCCTCCAGGTATGCAGTCTCTGGCTTAGCATGGCCATGAATTATCTGGCCATGGGACAGAGGGCTTCACTACTGTAAGAGGTAGTGTTTCCTTTGGCTCTCCCTGTAGTGTCCACAGTCGCTCTACACATCAAGGTTTCTCCGTAAATGGTGATACTGGCTGCCTAATTACTTAGCAATTCCCATAGCATGGAGTAGAGCCTTTGTAATAATGGTCTAATATGCTGGAGCCACAGGCCCAGGGCTGTTGTTAGATAATAATATAACATAGCACAAATTGCCACTGGTACTGAACAGCCTCTGGTACTGAATTTGTTCATTTTCTTCCAGTAAATGCTAATTTCAGTATCTGTCTTGGTCACTGTAGAACATTAGGAGTAACACCAACAAAGTATATGCCCAGAAAAGAGGGACAGAGTCACAATCATATTTCCCCAGCACCATCAGAATGGTCCAGCATCCATCTGTGAGAGCGAGATCCACAACAGTAGGTCACCTCAATAACACTAGTAGTAGATTATTCTGAAATTCTGTATGGAATTATAAAATGTACTTTTTTCCATTCAAGTTGCAACTCAAAAGATGTCTCAGAGAGGGCAGAATCCCCAAAAAGCCTAGGCTATTAGGACACCCACAGATTCTGCTGAATCTATACCCTCCCTCTGCCGCAGAGTGCCCAGTAATCAGTGATGCCCCTCCAGCCCACAGGCAGCCCAGTCACCTTTCATTCCACCAGAGAAGCCTCTCCAGTTGGCAAAGACCATCAGAGGCAGCCCTTCCCGGTTGAAGTCCTTGATGGCCTGATACGTCTTAAACGCAGAATCTGGGAACCAAACCTGGCCAGCCTGCTGGATTATCTATTAGGAAAAGTCAAAGAAGACACAATTAACAACACAGCTCCAGGGGGAAATCTCTCCAAGGTGAACAAGATTTTACTTATTTAAAACTGAAAACTAAAAATCAGATCAACAAAAACTATTGTTCATCAAGATCATCATGTTTGGAGTAAAAAAGAAGAAAGGATCCTCGATCTTTGACCTTGTCAAATACTATTCTTTTTAAGTCCTGATTATAATAACTCTGTAGTCAAAAGGGAAGAATGCAGTCCTAAGAACCCTTGTTCTAGGTTTCTCAAAAGCTACTTAAAATGGCTCCATTGTGCTACTCTTTAAAGCAAGTCAATTGTACATAGTCTCCCAGTCCTTTCACCTTTGTGCTTAGTATAGCATTTTCCTGTACTGTGGCTAACAAATAGACAATTGACGTCACACTGCTGAATAGCCTCCTCCCTGGCCTCCCTGACCCCTCACTTTCTGAATGGTGTCAGGATGTGAAAATATAATCCATCCTTTAAAAAAATAATGGCACCAGGCACAGTGGCTCATCCCAACACTTTGGGAGGCTGAGGCGGGAGGATCCCTTGAGCCCAGGAGGTCAAGGCTGCAGTGAGTCAAAATCACACCACTGCACTCCAGCCTGGGCCATGAACCATGTCTCAAAAAAAAGGGCTGTGGTGTTCACGCTTGGCATTAGGGCAGACTTCACCGTTAACTCTAGCTGTAGCTCTTCCATGTGTATACTCAGAGAATAGGGGACCAAAGAGCCTTCAGTATTATCTCAGCTACCTTTCTGTAAGACCATCTCCCCAACAAAAGTATACGTTTTCTAGCATCAAGAAGACTACTGTAAAGACTTATTTAATTTTTGAGGCAGAATTTAGCTTCTAGTCCGTTTAGACTCACCTTAAAAGTGAGCACATGATGTTCTAAAATCATTCAAGGCTGCTGATGCCCTTCCCTCTAAAACTGATGGTTTGCAATGTTCCTGATGTATTCACAGGCACTGCGAAGAGAAAAACCCTCCAAGCACAGCCCCCAGTGTACTTGAGGTGGCCTACCTTGGCTTCAGAATCCAGGTTTGCTGGATCAGCTGGGATACTTAGTTCTACTGTTCGGGTTTCTACAGCAACAACTCCCACAGGTATTCCTCCTAGCCTGATAAAACATGAGTCACATAAGAACCCAATGTATGTCAACATTATAGCTAGCCATTTGTTTTCCAATCCCAAATCAAGACATTGGGGAAAAAACTAGAAACAAACACAGAGAGCAGGGGAAATCTGATTCTTCTATGAGTTAAATGTGAGACTCTACGGATTTGATATTTACTCTCTAAATATGGTGGGAAACCACCCTCAGAATCACTTCTATTCGGAAATGTCCCAACACAAGATAAATTCAAACCAAGGGCTGTTCTAGGGGAGCCTCTACATTTAGACTCAACAGCCTAGCACATATACACATCCCTACCCCTGTGGCTGCTAAACGAAATTTCTCAGTTCACTCTAGAGCATCTCCTTGGTGAAGATGGTAGGAAATGGTCTGAAAGGCAGTAGGAATCTGAGACTTTCAGTAACTTTTAATGAGGACTGACCTTGCTGAAATGGAGCTGTAGTTTTCTATGGAATATTAATAATGTGGTTCCAGATAAGATTTGAGGGTACAATAGGTCTTACTATTAGGTGTGTGGATAGGGAGTATGTAGGCATGTTATGAGGATGATGAGAAACACATGCCAAGAATAGGGAAGTGGATCAACAAGCCCTTAATTTTCTCCTTCCTTGGAAAAGACAAATGGGACAAGGATAATTTTTAGTAGTAATGCTGGTGAAGTCTATATTAGAATTATATATTTAATCTCAAAGCTATGTTTATTTAAAAAACTGTTTAGGAGCTCAAAGCCTCTGCACCTTATACTCCACTATGACTTCCCAATTTGGTCCTCATAAAGATTTTCTAGGAAAAATCAGAGAGCAAGACAAAGTACAGGGTGAGTCTTTACTCTGGAAAATGTGATGCAGTCTTCATTCTCACTGTTGCATTCCTTGGGGTTGGGGCTGGGATGGGTTATAGTCTCTCATTTCTCACAGCATCTCCATAACAAACTTTTCCATGACAGATGGCCTTTGGTTGTTAAATTGGCTAGTGAAAATGGATTCCTGTCATCACAAGAGGGCTGACAAGGGCCTGAGTGGAGACCACCCACCCCCTTGTCACTTGCCTGCACTGAATCAGAATCAAAAGCCCTCTAGACAACCAGACAACGAGCAGGAGATACACAGGAGGGTTTAGAAATATTTCTGTTCACAATGATTAACAATCCAACTGGAAACTTGTAATTGCAAAAGCCACCCTAAATCGGTAACTTATAACTTATATATTAGGGCCCATGTGACCTAATAAAGAACATCTTTATCCAAGTATTACAGTTATTTATTGAACTTGAAAACAGCTCAGAACAACTTCTGTTTTCTATTATACTTCATATAAATTTTATCAGGCTAGCACATGAAGATGCTACATCTTGTTTTATAGTGTGTCCCTGGACAAGGTGCCATGGAATAATAAAAGACAATTTACAGCCAATAGCACACATATTCCAAACATACATACCAAAGATGAGTTTTGGCAGCACTTACAGTAACAATCCCAGACGAATACATTTATATTTATTTCTTGAAATGCCATTGCTTTTGAAAGAAGCTAGAGCTCCATTTGTGTTTTATATACTTGTGAGTATGTGTATACGTTTGGAGTAAGAAGCCCAGAACTCGTCAGATAGAAAGAAAGGAGGAAGTCAGAGTGAGTGTTGCAATAAACAATGACAGAGCTAACCAAAGCCAAGCTTGACTGATCTTGGTCGCAAAGCAATCCCTATTCTTCTAATCATAAGTGTAAAGTATTTTTCTCTTATTTCCCATGGGAGGATCTTAAAGAACTTAACAAAGGTTTGGCTTTCTGAGACTTAAAATCTGTCATGTTTTTTCACAGACAGGAAAATTGAAGCAGAATAGATGAGACAAATCTCAAAAAAGTTGGTCTTAGTGTGCCGTGAGGAATCTAACAAGCTGATACAGGAGTCGAGTATCAGGGTTCTCGCTCCAGTGTATCTCCTACTTCCAAGCTCCCCACTGGGAATTTTACCAGGCACAGAGAATACTTCTCACTGGGACTGAGAAGCCTGGGGTGAGATAAAAGACCTGAGACTTTAAAGAAAACAGACAGGTAGGCTCTGGGACATTCAGTCTGAGCTGACTCCAGGCCAGAATCCTATTCAGAGTCACAGAGGAAGACCCTGTCTGTGGGATTTGCCCTCTGATGGCTTCTTGTCACAGGCAGCATGGAGGCGTGCTGACCTGCTGTACTGAGAGAACCACAGAGCCTAGAATTATTTTCAAGGCTAGAATCTAAATCTCAACCCAATGTGGCATGTTTGAGAATCTTGAGCAGGTGCCACTTTTCACCAAGATAAGGAAAACTGATTGCCCCCAGAGGAAGGTGAGCTCCAGATGCGGTCCCTCAGCAGCATGTCTCTGCAGTGCAGAAGTAGATTAAGATCAGTCGTGGCAGGTGCTCGTTATAGCTCGTTATAGCAAGCACTACAGATTATTTTGCACAGAGCTTGCTGTTGAGTGAAGCACTTCTTAGAGTAGGTATTAAAATTTAATAGAAACTTCAATTTCCCACTTCAAAAATATAGGTATCTTGGCAACCTATTTCAGCTTATTTTACTCCTGTTTCAGGTAAACTTTTTTTTTTTGGCAATTCACATCTGATTATAATCCAATATAGTACATTTGTCACTTAAATAATCTCGGTGCCACGAAGAACCTCTTTCCAGTTACATAGAAAAGCAGATGAGTCTCTGAATCACTTGTCACCTATTCCTGAAAGAAAATTGTCTTTGGGAGAGGGAAAGTCATTGGTGGGCTCTGGCTATTGTAGTTGGGCTTTACAGCTCCCAAAGTGTTTTTCCTGAAACATTATAAAAAGGAAGTGTTGTCAAAATTAGCCTTCAGATTAAACGCATCATTGGAGTGACACACAAAATGGCAACTGAGAACCAGCACTCCAATTATTTTGCCTTGGGCATGGCTATAATCCAATATTCTCAGACAGTTCAGACAAAGAGAACATTATTGGTATATATCTATAGAGCCATGGCTCTTTCTTTCTTATTTTTAGTTGGGAGGAAAAAGAGCTGCCAAAACAAAAGAGCTCTTACCTGGCTCTACCAACCACCACAGTCTGTGCCCAGGGCTGCATAATCTCTGAGAAAGATCCATAGTCAAAAAAGCCACTCAACCACTGACCTTTTTGGGCTACAGAAGGGAAAGAAAGAAAACAGAGAATAAGGACAGTGAATCCATTGACAATGTGCTGGAACTGACGAATTTAAGGTGGTTTGGGGGATTATTTTGGGGAGTTTGTTGTTTTTAACCAAATTATAATAGATGGAAGCATTAGGCAGCTGAATGTTCATCTGCCTTCAGACATCATCTCCTATTTCATTTGCTAGTCTGCATAAAAAGAATCATTTATCAGCAAAAGCATCATTTATTGTTAAATGACAAGGTTTAGCTAGCAGAGAGAGTTTGCATGCTTTTAAATAAATAACTTGACTTTCTTCAAGACACTACAAACATTTGTCAAAAGGCTGCCAAGTCATTAAAGATATTTTCAAAATGTCTATTTCTATTTTAAAACTTGCCTTACAATTTTGTTTGATTCCACTGACTTTCTTTTAACTGAAGGCTAAAAACAACCAAACAATAAGTATTAATGATCAGATAAGGATCCAAATTTGGAGGGAAAAATAGGAACTCAGTTTCTCCGCTACAAAAGCAACAAGATATATCTACTTTATTAAACAGCTGATAAAGTATAACCTTTCTACAAAAAAGGGCCACATATTCTTGACAGATAGTAAAAATACAATGGTTAAGATGCACATACTTAATGCCATTAATCTTCCTTGCACATAGAATTTCCTTCACTGGCAAGACCCAAAATTTTCAACATGTTAGTTTAAAAAAAAAACTTTTGTTCCACAGGTATAAATGTTTGACCAAAGCCCCATAAAAGCTTCTGCAAATAACCGTTTCCTAGTTTGCCCTCTCAGCTCACGGTTTTCAGTGATTCTTCTAATTTGAACATGGCCCTCCACCCCCTAAAAACCCAAGTCCAAAACCAATTAAAAGTGGAGATCTGAGCAAGCTAACCTCTGCTGACTTAAACAGGATGGAGAGTGTTTTATCTAGACTAAACTTGTAATTACTGTGTTCTACATTCCTTGCCTCTATGGCCCCAGTGTAAAATGTGATCATCCATTTCAAAATTATCTCTCCATCCGTGAGCCCAAAGCCGATCGTTTAGATTCTGGTCTTGTGTTGGGCGTCAGTTTGAAGAATATCACAGCACTATCTCCTCTAATAAATGACTTTAACTTTTCACCTAGAAGATATCTGCTTTAACTTATCACAGGGAATCATCTGCTTTCTTTAACGCTTCCACTAAATTAAAATCTGAAGTCACTCGATTTGGGAGCGAGTGTTAGCTGCACATAGACAGCAGGATGAATTACTAGGGAGTCAATGAAAAAATATTATCCAAAAAACAGAAAACTTAGTTTATCAAAAATTTCATTTTATTCTGTGGATTTCATTAATAATGGCCAGGATAATGCCCACCTACACACACATACTTCTGTTCACCCATGAAAGAAGGACTCAAATTTTGGTGAAGTTTCTAAACCAAATTTCTAGGTTCATCAGAACACTGAATTTTAACTTTATATCTTTGGATCATTTTCTAATTCTTACTTCAATAACAGGGATTTGGAACTACAGAATTAACTTCAAGATGGAAATGTTTTCTTCTTTAAAAACTCTCCTGCTAGGGGTAGGAGGAGTCACTGACTATTGTAGTTGTGCTTCACAGTCCCCAGAGAGTAGATCCTACCCAGTTCCGATGCAGAACCTTAGAAGCCGGCTAAGATGGCTTCCCGTATTTCCCAGGAAAAAACTCACTAAGTCTTGTTCCAAATTCTAGAAGTAAAGAGGCTCACTTCATTCCCAGAAAAGTCCTGCATTTTAAGACTGACAGGTGGCCGGGCGCGGTGGCTCACGCCTATAATCCCAGCACTTTGAGATCACAAGGTCAAGAGATAAAGACCATCCTGGCCAACATGGTGAAACCCCGTCTCTACTAAAATTACAAAAATTAGCTGGGTGTGGTGGCATGCACCTTTAGTCCCAGCTGCTTAGGAGGCTGAAGCAGGAGAACCACTTGAACCTGGGAGGCGGAGGTTGCAGTGAGCCGAGATCGCGCCACTGCACTCCAGCCTGGCGACAGAGTGAGACTCCGCCTCAAAAAAAAAAAAAAGAAAAAGAAAAAAAAAAAGACTGACAGGTAATCTTAGGCTCATAGTTCTTATCATAATCATGGCACAAAAAAAAGGGGAAAGAAGGGGTAAGTGGAGGCGGAGGTTGCAGTGAGCCGAGATCATGCCATTGTACTCCAGCCTGGAGGACAAGAGTGAAACTCCATCTCAAAAAAAAAAAAAAAAAAAAAAAAAAAAAACAGTAGGAAGAAGATTAGTATGGTGACTTTCCAGGCATGTAAAGAAAAACTATTTCGTTTTATTAAAATTAACAAGAAGAGGCACTGAAGACAACAGGTAAAGTTATAAATTAAAATAAACACTTCTCTCATGTTTTTATATAATAGAAAGTCTAATGTAGATATTGTAGAAAAACAATGTAATAGCTATATAATAGCTATGTGACCTTGTACGAATCACTCAACTTCTCTGATTTTTGTAAAATAGTTATCTCTCTTTATCTAAGAGAGGTCGTAAGTGCAAAAAAGATGTGGAAGTGCTTTACAGTCCCACCTGGCTTACAGTGGGTACCCACAAAAGTTTATTAGGTCTTCCTTATGAAGACCTCTCTTTCAGCAAGATCACAATGACTTTTACACTTAATAAAATACCTTCTGCAATCTCTTCTACTTTTATATATAGCCTTTCTTTGAAATAGTTGCAATAAATATGCAAAAAAGAACAAATGCTTCCTCACATAGTTTGAAAAAATGGATTCAAAATACAGCAGAGGGATTTGGTGCTCCACAAAAGAACCTCCTGATAAGTAAGGTTTGCTAGAACAGCCAAATGGACTGACAAATGAGAATGTACACAGAGTTACTTCTTTTTCCTGTTTTGTTTCTAAGTTAGGTAAAAGACAAAGCAGTAGATTAGATATATCTGGAGGGAGAGCTTATTCTCACTCCATGTATCTATATAATTAAAAGTTCTGGACAATCTCTTCATGAATAAATGAACTTACAAAGTAGCCTTCTATTACTTACTAAAGCAAGTACCAATACCATTACCAATATCATAAGAAGGGCACATGCAGCGTGGGTGCTCAGAGCTTGCTGAGAAGAGTGAAGTCATATTCTACACTGAAGGGTCTCAAAGACGTGTGCTAAAACGAAACTGATTAATCTCTTTTGGTTGTAGGGATTAGATGACTGAAGATTCTAGTCCTATAATTTTATGATTTTATGGCTTATATTGAACTGTGTTAAAGTCTTTGAACCCATTAAGTAATAAGTGCTTTAATAACAGAATAAACAGAAGAAATGTATTCGTGACTGCACTGCTTGACTTAATGGGTGATTGGGAAATGTCATTTTATTTATTTTTCATTTTTTCATGAAGGATTTCCCACCTTTTTCTTCAGAGGGCTGGTTTTCAGGTCTTTCTCATTTCTAGGTACTTACCTCTGTTTTCTTAGTCACATGTGATTGTTCAGGAATTGGATAGTGATTGAAAAGAACGCTAAAAGCTTAAGAGCCAGGTACCATGGGGTCCTCAAACATATACATACTTGGGTGAGGACGGCCTGCTAGCATCCATCGAGGATCGTATGGGGTCTTTGTGGGAACAAACTCGATGATTCTGTCTATAGGATCCTTTGAGTTCAGAAGAGGAACTGAACTGTGCACGCTCTAAAAGGAGATTGGAAGAGAGCACAGCAATCAGTGAACGACAGCCCTAGACTCCAACTCAGCAACAATAGTTATAGACAAAGACAGCAGGGCCCACGTATGGAATTGCACCCAATAGTCCCAATCTTCAGCTGGAAGAATCCTACGTATGTGCCAGGCCCCAAGGAACATGTATAGGTCAATAGTCTCATTTAGGAGGCTGGCACAAAGTGGTGTGTTTTGACTCTTGATTTCAGTGTGCCCATGCTTTCTGGGATGCTCCTCTGAGGAATGAATGGCTATTACAGAGGAGAAAACCCACAATGAGGAGGAACCTTAATATACTGGGATCTGAGCCTTAGGTAGGCCATGAGGGCTTCCGTGGCTGGAAGACATTAGAAAGGGGCCCAACAAATGAAATCCAGAGACATCTTAAAGGTAGAAGGCAAAATATGGCTGTAAGGAAAAGAGAAATCAATAGCTTTCAGAGAAATATTTTATAAAAAAATTCCTCCACCATAAAGACAAGACCTTAAACACAGAGGCAGTGAGCTGTGGTGGAAATGACAGGCTCTGCAGGCCATGTCAGTGCTGGGTAGGAAGGGCTCACCTTGGGCATGTAAGACAGCCAGTGCAGGACAGTGAAAACCCCTTCAAAGTCATCACACACAGTGCAGTGGGTCACCCCATTGTTGTGCATAATCTGGATGCCCCCCAGCTGGTTATTGGAGGTGTACACTTCCCGCCCGAGGACCTAGAGAAAAGAGCAAGAGAAAAGACATTTGTCTCTATAGAAATAAAGGCATGGTCGATTTCACAAGTCGCACTAAAATGGGTTCTTTTCTCCACAAAACAGAGATTTCAGTCTCCATGGGTTGGTTGTTCTGAGGGACTATCTGAATCTTCTTCCTAAAAAGAAAACTTAGAAAACAAAAAATATGAGATTGACGCGCTGCCAGCTGCGCTAAGAGGGCTTACTATAGCATTAGGAGATATACCTAATGCTAAATGACGAGTTAATGGGTGCAGCACACCAACGCGGCACATGTATACATATGTAACAAACCTGCACGTTGTGCACATGTACCCTAAAACTTGAAGTATAATAAAAATAAAATAAAAAATTAAAAAAAAAACAAAAAATACTTTTAACAATCACATTCATGGTTGCAATTTTAAAACCAGCAAGCCCCTTTCTCTCCACCAGCTGCCACAGATAGGCAAAGCATACTTCCACCCTCAGCTGAAACTGCAGTGGTGGGTGAGGCTGAGACCCAGAGGCATAGGCTACCTCATTGTGTGCAAGTCTCTTTGCACACAGACACAAAAAGGTAACATGCCTGTCTTTCAACAATATTTAGTGACAAGTCTCAGTTAAAGAAACTCTGGGGGCTTAGGTTCCTCATTTTTAAAAAGGATTATTTTTTTCCTTATATTTGATTTTTATTAGATTGGTGCAAAAGTAATTGTGGTTTTTGTCATTTAATGGCAAAACCACAATTACTTTTGCACCAGCCTAACACTGGCCTCCACGCACAAGCCCTAAAGCTAGCAAAAACCTGAAGCAACTCATGATACATACATGAACCCCTGAGTCTCAAGTCTTCTTTGTGTGCTGGGTGCAGGGCTGTGATTTATACCCAAGCATGCTTCCCCTCCTCCTTCCCTTCCCAGGCTCCAGGGAGTTCAGGGCCTCAATCCCTGGTATATCCCTGGAGGAATTTAATCCTTGTAAGGTCAAAGGGCACCTGCAATTGGAAACCACAAAGTTTCCTTTAAAGAAGAAAAAAAGAGGAAGAAAAGATATTCCTGGACTTGGAAATTGCAGGGTTTCTTTTTCCCTTGAAGACTGGTTAATAATTTCTTTCAGGGAAGGAGGTTTTCTGACCCAGCAGATGGAAGCCGGGCAGCCTGATCACTGACTATTGCAAACTGCTGAGTGTATAGTAATTGTCAGTCATCTAAGGTAGCCCCGGAGAGCTCTAAACAGTTGTAGAGCGCTTACTGTATTTTACCTTTTCTTTTTCCTTTCCTCTCCTCCTTTAAAAAATAACGACAATACAAAATTTCTTCCGTACGTGTATTCATTTTCAGTCTCTGGGGAGAATCTAACTAACTAAGGGCCAGCAAAGTCTGCCTGTATATTCCCATTTTGCCCCTTCTTGTTAGGAGCTTTGAGAGGTTCCCCTGCATGCTGGGTCAGCACCCCCATCGGGACCTTCCAAAGATGGAGGAAGTTGGTGACCAAAGTAATAACCTCAGTGTGACCCAATTGGCCTTGATTCCATTTAACTTCAGCTAGGAAGGGCATAAGATACTTTTCTGAAAGGAATATGGAAAGCAAAATTGCTCTCAGATTACTGTTTTCCTTGATAAGGAAGCGCAGAGAACAAGCCTTTACAGGCAGCCCCAAGCTGAGCAACATGCTGGCAGCTCCTTTGAAGGAGCCTCGTGAAGAGGGAAGACGGTATCTGACCACTGAGCTCCCATCCGCCTCTCAGTCCGTCTTTAATCTCAGCCCAGGCACTGCGGCTCTTTTCTCATTCTCCTGCTGTCTCTTTCCATTTGCCCTCTCTCTGACTGATACACTGATCTCTCGGTCACTCAGCTTTCTGCTCTGCTGAGTCCATATTACTAATAACACCTCCGCCACGGCCAGTTTACCTCATGAAGGCAGGAGCACATCATTACAAAATAAACTCATAACTTTGACATTCTAGCAAATACACGCCGTTTGTTATTTTTATGGCTTTAGTCTTTCTAACAGGCAGAGGGCATTACATACCTGTTTCATTTATATCTTTAAATGTGCACACACATGCACACTCACACATGCATCAGGAAACAAAACAGAACAAAAAATCCAAACCAAAGCAAATATCCAAAGCAGTCTGTTGATGCGGGAGCCTGGTAGAGGCAGAAACCCTGTCACTTACAGAGGCCACGCTCTGATCTGGCTCTGGTTTTATGGTCGTCATAAACCCGATGGCCCACAACTGGTCCTTCTGGGACAGACTGCCTCTCTGTTAGAAGGCATTCAGTGTGATCAGCAGTATTTTTAATTATTAAAATAAAATTGGAAAGGGGGAAAAGGAATACAAAAGGAGACACTGTGCTGACCCTGAAAATCTGATATTCACAATCTAGGTCAGGAGCCAAGTACTCCTTGTTGCCCAGAAGAGAGAGCTGGGCCATTTTCTACTCAGAAACACTATTTTCTTCCTATCTCTAATACCTGATAATGTCCAACCACTTAGAATCTTACACATCTCCAAAACTAATAATGGACCAATGAAGAACTACACTCAGAAAAAGGGACCGCTCAGCTGTTTAAACATACTTTCTTCTGATGTCTTTGCCTCCTCATTTAAAAGTGATCCTCTGCCACTTATCTATTCTACCCCATATTTTTACAAAATAATGGGAGGCAAACTTGGTAGGCTCAATAACTGAGTACTCTTCTCTTTACAAGCTAAAACTCGGGTTCTGATGCTTTGGCATTGTTCTGAAAAGGCAGCAGTATTTCTACATCTCTCCTTTCCTATGTTTAGAAGAAACCTAACCAGGGCTTAACATACCAAGAACATTATTTCTGAGCTAAAGAAGTGTTTGTCATGTGAGAAAATTCACTTAATTCAGAAATTAAGGAGAAAAATTACAGAATAGACTAAGAGTATCCCAATATCACTCTCTGACCAGCCTTATCTTGGGAGATGGGGGGTAGGGTGGGGATGGGCACAGAAATGAAACTGCTCCACTAATCACAAACAAATGCTAACAATCATAACTACTTAACAATCGGTGAAGAGAAAGCAGTACCCTCCAGTTCATCTTCAATGACCACATGTTTGGAGTATGCGCCAGTAGAATGAGGGCGCACACAATAGCTCCTGATTTATAGGGGTCGTTGCTGACTCAAGTGGTTTTAATGATTTTAGAATACTTCACAACAAAAGCTCCAACCAAGGAAGCAGAATCTGGGTTAGGATAAAATCCATTCTGCCTAACTGTGAAATGATCATGCTATAACAGTTACACAAACCCTCATCAGTATCTAGGAAGACGAATGGAGTCCACATAGACAGAACCATTGTTTTCTTCCTCAAGGTTGCCCTGCTGACCTTCTACAGAAAAACCTGGGGTCAACAACTCTCATCAACATATTTTCATGAAGTAGGTGAGCTGCATTCAACACTCTTTTAAACTTTGACCTACGCATTTCTTGCCGTGTTTCAGTTCCCAAATATATTCCTCTTACATTCTACTTACTGTATGATACAAACTTTTAATTTATCTGTCCAGCAAGCATCAATAATCATTTAAACACAGGAGTGAGTCAAACAGAGGTGATTCTCCTGAGGCCTCACTTTCTTGCCCTCCAGATCTAAGTGGAGAAGCAGTACCATGCAATATTAGGAATGGGCTCCACCTTGGGGTCCTCTGCTGAAGAGTGCCATGCTGACAGAATTGAATAAGGGCTGAATCTGAGAGGAAAGAGGATCTTGACTCATTCTCAATATAAACTTAAGCCTCATCCAGTACTTCATTCATTGCAGCCGGCGGACCTAAGAATTAAGGGCACCACATAAAAGCCGGTGATTAGCAGAGACACAATTGTTAAAGGCTCCACCAAAGATGCTACGTAGCCTTTAGAAATGTTGAGATACATAAGAAGTACAAATGAATGCAGTCATACGTCCATGCTCAGGCCTCTGCTGCTGCTGCTGCTTATCTAGAGACACTGCAGACAGCTCAGGTTTACCACAGCTGACAGGCAATGAAAACAGCCTAATATACCGCCTGCTCTCTCCCTTAAAGCCCTTTTTGGAGATCAAGATAAACACGTACTTCCTTTCCCCCATGCTCCAGACGTTTGACTGAAGTGGCAGAGCATTGTGATGTTTTGTGCAAATGAAATCACTATGTAATACTGAATGAGTGCAGTATTTACTTGTCAGGATATTTGTCAGCACAGGCATTGAGATTTCCAAGTTTCACAGATGCAACTTAGCTCAATTTTTTAAAAATTGCCTTTGTCCTGACATACACATTATGTTGGGGACCCTTAGACTTATAGGCAAATATTTGCAATCATGTGCTGAAGATGTGAAAAATTATCATGCATATCAATGATGGAATAAAAAATGAAATCTATTCCTTCTCTTCCTCTTTATTCAGTCTTTTCCCCCTCTTTAAACAATGCTCGGTGGGTCAGGACATCTATTTAAGGAAGCAGGGAATACAAAATTCCTCCTGCATCTAAGAATTAGGCTACACAAGCTGAGTCCTCGCTGCAATCCTCCTTCTTATTAGGACATTTCCATTCTCAAGAGGATTTGAGGAGGGGTTTTGTAAATTTACTGAGTAATTGTCATCACTGGACTTCATCCATGATTCTAGATATTAAAGTCACTCTGGGATCTGTCAGGTTATTGATAAAGGTTGGCTAAAGCTGAAAGAGAACAGATATGAGAAAGAATAAGCAGGAGTAGAGGAAAAGTGGTAAAATAGGGACAAAAGAAAGAAGGAAGGATGAGAGAGAGGAAAAGGGAGGGGGAGAGAAAGGAGGAAGGAGAAGAAAAAAATGCAATAGCTCATCTACTCAGTGCAGCTAATATCCTCCTCCCTGACCTGAGAGGACTACATTTTAAAAATCTGACAAGTAATTCAATCTCCAATTAACAATTTTAAGTGGTGCTGCACATATCACTGTGTCAATGTTTCTTCAGGAATATATCCAAGGGTGAATGGAATTAAATCTCTAGGGAGATGGAACCAGGACCTATGTGACCAACAAGATTATTTGGGGGTTCCAAAATACAGTTTCTTAATGCATAGGCAAAGCGTTATAATTTTTTCCCCACTTTATTGCCACTACTGTCACTGGCAAACTGGAGTGCTGGCTGGCAGGTGCTAGGCTAGGGTTGGGGTAGAGAAGGGGCTCGGTGACATACTGTGGGCAGAAGAGAGAAAAGCCTCTGACATGAGCCACAGCTGGATTCAAGACCATTTGCTATAAGACCAAAAATCTCTCTATAAGCAGCAAATCATGAAGTGATCAGGTATGCTGAAGGATAAACTGGGGCAAAGGGGTGGTACTGTCAGTGGAAGGAAAAGAAACAGCCAAAAAGAGGCTGAATATAGGCCAGAAATAACACTGGAAGACATCTCTTTACTGAGGTACAGGGCTCAGTGGAGAACAGAGGAATGAATTAGACAGCAGAAAGACAATAAGGATTTGAAGGTGGAGTGGGTAAGGAACAGAGACTCATTTGTAATGTAAAAGATAGAGAGGAGCCACACAATAGTTTGCTAAATGTATGAGAAGAAGCACAGGCTTCTGGAAAGAAAGCTGCCAAAAGTAATCACTCACCCTAGGGGGACCCACCAACTGCTCATGTAGGTAGGGACTTGAGATTTCTGATAAGTTAATTCCAAACAGGAATTCTTTTTTTTTTTTTTTTGTAGAGACAAGGTCTTGCACGTTGTCTAGGCTGGTATCGAAGACCTGGCCTCAAGCAATCCTCTCGCCTCAGTTTCCCAAAGTGCTGGGATTACAGACATGAGCCACCATGCCCAGCCAATTTTTAAAAATTTTAAATAAAGTCTGGTTTATTGAAGTATAATTTACATACAGCAAAACTGTCCATCATAAGGTATACAAGTCTGTGAATTTTAATACACATAGTCATATAACCACCACAACAATCAAGATAGAGAGCATTTTCATCATCCCAAAGTCTCCTCATGTTCCCTTCCCTCCCTCCACCCCTAACAACCATTGATCTTTTTGTTCCAGTAGTTTTGCCTTTTCTAGAATGTTACATAAATGGAGTCATACAGTACATAGCCTTTTGAATCTAGCTTCTTTCAGTTAGCATATTGCATCTAAGCCTCATTCATGCTGATGCAGGTATCAGTAGTTTATTTTTATTCCTGAGTAATATTCCATTTTATGGAAGTACCACAACTTGGTAACCCGTTTGCCTGTTGGTGTACATTTGGGTTGTTTTCACTTTTGGAGGATTATAAATAACACTGCTATAGACATTTGTGTACAGGTTTTAAGAAAAGCCCAACCTTTTTCAAAGTGGCTGTGCCATTTTGCATTCCCACCAACAATCTATGAGAGTTCCAGCTGTCCTGCATCCTCATCAACACTTGGTATTTGTCAAACATTAAAAAAAAACCATTTAGGCCAGGCACAGTGGCTCACACCTGTAATCCCAGCACTTTGGGAGGCCTAGGCAGGCAGATCATGAGGTAAGGAGATTGAGACCATCCTGGATAACACGGTGAAACCCCATCTCTACTAAAAATATAAAAATTAGCCGGGGCGTGGTGGCACATGCCTGTAGTCCCTAGCTACTTGGGAGGCTGAGGCAGGAGAATCGCTTGAACCCGGGAGGTGGAGGTTGCAGTGAGCCAAGATTGCACCACTGTACTCCAGCCTGAGCGACAGAGCGAGACTCCGTCTCAAAAAAAAAAAAAGCAAAAAACAAAAAACAAAACAAAAAACACCATTTAGTGGTGTCAAGCTGTGGTTTAATCTTCATTTCCCTAATGACTAATGATAAGCATCTTTTCATGTGCTTATTTACCATCCTTATATTTTCTTTGGTGTAATGTCTGTTCAAATTTCTTGCCCATGTTTTTAATTACTGGGTTGTTTTCTTACTGAGTTTGAGAATTCTTTTGGATACCAATCTTTTATCAGATTATGTATTTTCTAAAGATGGAAAACTTTTAAAAAAATCCCTGTTTGTCAGTCGCCTCCTACTGGTTTTACTGAATAGGCTGTGACTGACTGCATTGCTCACCAGTGTCCAGGCCCCAAGAGTATGGTGTTTGCAGGGCCTCGCTCTTAGGGGAGTAGCACTGACTTACTATCTCTGTGGCCTTTTGGTTTGTGTTTTCTCATTGACGTCTGATGGGCAGCAATTTTATTTTTTCCTTTAGAACACATGAAAGGCCTATTATTGTCTTTTAGCTAAATTTCAGCTCCATGAAAGCAGGAATCATCTTTGTATTGCCACAGCATAAGAACAGCTTTATACCTAACAGGCATGCAATAAATGCATGTGATCTACCACATTTCTATGTATTCTATAAAACCTCAACCGATTAGTATGTTCAGCAAGTTAAACCACTATAAGCAAAATAAGTCTTTCATATTAGTGTTATAATGTGTAGTGGCTTTCTGAAGCAAAAGGAGTGGTTCAATTTTCCTACCTTTTTAGTTTTCCCCAATGTAGATGCCCCTCTCCCTCCCTCCCTGTCAAAATTCTTTACATGGGCTAAAATTAAACTAGTAATTCTAAGTACTATAAAGTCATATTATGTTAGGAATGCTCTTCTGAGCTGCATAAACCTGCTTTATCTATTGAGAAAGGCATATTTTACCAATGGGTCAGGTAGAAAATGAAGTTACTCAAAAGTTGATTACATGTTCCAATGGTCTTGACTTCTCATATTTGCATCTTATGCTGTTGGTTAAATTTGGGTGGGTTCTTTTCCTTACCAACACTGATTTCTCAATTTCTTAGACGCGCATACTATTTTAGAAGGCTTAAATCCCAGACACTGAGACATTATTAAAATTAGGAACCGGTCAAAAATCAGCCAGAAAATCTTGAAGCCCAGGCATGGTAATCTGTAGTTCAATCTAAAAAGCTCTTTAAGCTTCTCCTTTCATAATTCAATATTCCTGACTGTGTACATTAGCTGATTAGACTGTGTGATGATGGCCAATCTGAATGAGAAGGGACATAGCTAGATTTGGATCCATGCACAGGGAACATTCCCTAGAATGATGAACAGCTAGGAGTCAGGTTTCTAAACAGTCTCATTTCCGCTTCTTTATCATATTCATAGACCAGTCTGTGCACAGCCAGGGCCCAGCTCTGTCTTCCTTCTAGAAAAGACTGGAGTCCTTGCATTTCTAATCTACTAACGTGTGGTTCTTGCACTTTTAATTTATGAGTGTTAAGGGGGACCTTTCTGACTTGGGAACATATTGGCTCGGTCTAATGCTTGGAGATTATTAAACTTGGAGCTATGCTCCACTATCAAGTCTACAGATCTTTTATTTAGAAGATATGGTGCTCTAAATGCACAAAGAGCTCCCTGTCACCTTCACATTAAAGCCCCTAGTGCCTGGTAAATGGAATTATATAGCTGTCATCTCCTTTCCCCAAAGTTGTAAGAGTACAATGGGCTCATTTTTTCACACTCCATCCCAGCTTCAGAACTAAGAGACCTACTTTGTATTGATTTAAGGTCTCAGAAATAAATAAACCTGCTTCACCACTGTGATTCACAACAAATTCATGATACACTATTGCATGATATATTTCAAGCTCTTGCTCTGGCTCTCTTTTTCTTCTGGTGAGTAATGGGGGAGGTGGGAGGTGGTAGGGAGCTGCAAAGCTGACAGCCTGATGGTTATTGGAGATGGTTGCTGACTGCAAATCCAAGAATAGACACTGTTGGAGGAGTACGGGAATTTTTTTACAACTAGGGGGCAGGGGTGATAAGCTAATTTACTTGGGCTTCAGGCTGGGGTTGGGGGAGAAGAAAGGCTGAAGAGAGGAGAGGGGTTGACAGAGTAGCAAAGCTTCAAGTGAGCACTGATCTGCAAAGACAGAGCTATGAATATATGTAGAAAGAGAGACAGGTGAAGAAAATTCAACATATGAAGGTGTAACACACAACTGAATATAAAATGAAGAAGACGAAGAAACCAATCTTCCTAAGGAACCGTGTGTACAGAGCTAAGTGGGCCCTTAGCTTGAGTTCAGAGACAATGTTTTATTAGAAACAGACAGTGTAGAGACCCTACATGCCACCCAAAGTGTGAGGTAGAGGCATTTCTTCATTCTAATACTCAGGACACATCAGAACCCTGGAGGTGGAAATGGACAATGGATATAGGGTAGAGATATAATGAAGGTCCACATGGATGAAGTGAGCCAGAGACTGTTCACTGAGGCAAGAGGGTAATACATTCTAGCAGTTTAGCTTGTGTTTGTGTACCCTTGGGGTTTGAGTACCTAAGTCTACATCACCTTTACTGATTCCACCAAATCTTAGGCCCAATGAGTTTTAGCTGGTATCTACAAATATAGCAGTCAAAAAGAAATATCCTCCAACCTTATTTCAGGATCTGGACTTTCAACAAGGCAGAGGAGGAGAAAGCAGGAGATAATCGGGCTCCGAAGGTACTGCATGGCACTGCAGGAGACCCCTAAGGTTCCAAGGAGTACTTCCAAGTGGAATTAAGTTTTAACTGTTTCTCTTGTTTCTTCTACTTATTTCACATTTTTAACTGGCAAAGTTATTTATGAATCCAATTTCTTTTCTATCTTGGAATAGCATTTTCATCTTCACTACATTTGTTCTTGAGACAAGACCAGACTCTGAACACAAAAGTACATGAGAAAGATTTTGGTTCCATTCAATTTCCAATTGGTCATATCACAAAACTGGGAGTTTCTTTGTTAAATTTGAACACTGTCTTTAAAGAGTGATCAGTCTCTGTACAGGGAAACAGACTTTAGCCAAATATAAAAAAGAATTCACAGATGAATACATAGATGAATGGGATTGGCTCCAAAAGTACTCAGCTCCCATTCAGTTGAATTTTTCACACATAATTGGGTGAATATTTAGCAATGGTGTCACAGAGGAGATTCACACAACAATTGTGTGGTTGAACTTTTGAGGATCCTCCCACTCTCAAGATTTATAATTCTACAGCCACTTGTGATTGTGAACAACATATAGTGTTTACTTTTCTGTAATCTGGATAAGAAACAAAATTAAAAAAAATTTTAAATCATCATGCTCTTCAACTTCCATTCCTGGTCTCACGAGTATGTAATAATTTTATATATCACTAATATGTAATTTTATATATAATACCCTAATACGCAATAACTTTAAAAATTCCCCACCTCCTATCTATTCACTCCCCAGCCTAAAACAGTTCCCTGGCTACAGATCAATATGCATCTTTATAGCATCACAGAATACTAGATATTGAACAGAATTTAAGATTAAGAGATCCTCTGGTCTTCTACTTAAAAAAAACAAGCAAACCAAAAACAGGCTTAATTCACTTTATTTTTCTTATGTAAAAACTCTGTGTTGTAGCCACAGTTGGAGCCTGGGTCCCCTGCATGGAGACTCTGGTGTGGGTCTTGATGAGGTGGTCAGTGAATTCCTGACAGGAAGACTTGATGAATACAGTCTCCTTCCAGAGGTCGGGGGTCAGGTAGCTGTAGGTTTTAGAGATGGCATCAAAGATGGCCTTGAGAAAGTTCCCTAGGGTGGCAGTGCAGCCCCTGGCTGAGGTGTAGCAGTCATCAATACTGGCCATCATCAGCAGCTTCTTGGGCACCAGGGCCGAGATGATGCCAGTGCCCCGGGTGCAGGGATGAGGCGCACCAGCACAGAGCCACAGCCACCTGTCACCTTGCAAGGAATGGTGTGGGCCTTCTTCTCCCAGTAGCCTCTGTGCATGGGGACAATGAAGAGCTTGGCCAGGATGATGGCCCCATGGATGGCAGTGGCCACCTCCCTGAAGTACTTAACACCCAGACCAACATGGCCATTGTAGTCCCTGATGGCAACAAACATCTTGAACCTGATGTGCTGGCAAGCACGCGTCTGCTTCTGCACTGGCATAATCTTCAAAACCTCATCCTTGAGAGAGGTCCCCACGAAAAAGTTAGTGATCTCAGATTCCTTGATGGGCAGGGAGAAGAGATAGATCTCCTCCAGGGACTTGATCTTCATGTCCTTGACCAGGTGGCCCAACTTGGTCATCCATTCCTTGCCCTCAGCCTTGCCTCCATGAGCTCTGTGGGGCCCAGGCCCTGTTCACGGCCATGGTCCCAGCCCTGGATGCCACTGCCAAAGGTTCCACGGTTCCCCATCTCAGGCACCCCCACACCTGGCTAATTTTTTAATTATTTTGTAGAGGGGGTCTTGCTTCTTGCTATATTGGCCAGCCTGGTCTTGAACTCCTGGCCTCAAGCCATCCTCCTTCCTTGGCCTCCCAAAGTGCTTGGATTATAGGATTACCACGCCAACCTGATTTTCTACTTTAAAATGGGAAATGTATTATGCCTTCCATTTCACAAAGAGGAAACTAACATCTAAATAGATTAAAGCCCAAAGTTGCTTACCTAGTAAATGTCAGGGAGAAGAACAATCAAAAGTTTTTTGTTTTTTTTTTTCTGAGATGGAGTTTTGCTGTTTTTGCCCAGGCTGGAGTGCAATGGTGCAATCTTGGCTCGCTGCCACCTCTGCCTCCCAGGTTCAAGTGATTCTCCTGCCTCAGCCTCCTGAGTAGCTGGGATTACAGGTGTGTGCCACCACGCCTGGCTAATTTTGTATTTTTAGTAGAGACAGGGCTTTACCATGTTGGCCAGGCTGGTCTCAAACCACTGACCTCAGGTGATCCGCCTGCCTCTGCCTCCCAAAGTGCTGGGATTACAGGCATGAGCCACCATGCCTGGCCAAGTTTTTTTTGTTTTTTTTTGTTTTTTTTTTTTTAATCTAAAGGTTCTGTAACTCCAAAAAATTTGAGCACATTCATAATAGGTTGTCAAACATGATAATTTCCGAGTCTGTATTCAATGCCCCAAATAGAGTCTCAGAGCTTTCACTTTATCTAGAAGCTCTGGACTGGTACTTGCTGTAGGGTCTCCCAAATTCTTAGACTCTAAGCCACCATATATGCATGGGCTCTCTTAGAGTCAGAGACAACTTCTGCAGTGGAGCTCTGTGTGGCGATTCCACCCTGCAAGATCTCCAAACCAGAGCACTCAGGATTGTTGGCAGGTCACTAAGGCAGACTAATAGAGTCAAAACATAACCTGGTATAGTTTTCTACCAAACTTGAGGAATATTGAATGAAAAACAAACAAAATAATCCCCCCAAATGGGGCCAGATTTACCAATATTTTATGTGTGGGGAGGGAGCGCTTGAAAATTAGGGAGATCTGTCCATTGTGCAATAATTTCTGAGAATTCATTCATAATGCTAAAGCAAGGATTACTCAGAAAGGAAGCTAAAATGCCCTCTTTAGAAAGGAGAGTGATCCCATCTGGAGCTATGGGAGTACAGGGACTGTCTATTGTGAAAATAGGTAGTTAGGGACTTTTAAAAATGCAAATTGCTAGACTGATCCTTAGAGTGATTATGAGCTATTGTATCAACGAGTCCTTGGGGACTCTTGTAGACAGATGACTGACATATATACTACCCTGTCACGACTGAACATCGTGCCTCTCACATTAATGGCTTTCCAAAGTGCGTTGATTGTTGCTAGATACATCTATTGGGAAAGTCAATACATGAATGTACTGCCACAGTGAGGACTGTCATCTAACATTTTCTTGAAGAAATTTTTGCCTTCAAAGAATCAGAAAGTATAGAGAATAATGTGTTCGTATTTCCTTTCCAGAACCAGGATAAGAAATTGCAATGAGAAGGAACCCTAAATGAACCTTAGAGAAGACTATGGCAGTGCCAATGTTTTACCTATTTTGGCTCATTTAATTCTCACAGCGACTCTGGTACACAGATACTATTATTACTCATCTTTTACAGTTAATAAAACTGTAGCCCAGAGAGGTTAAATAAATTGCCCGAGGTCACACAACTAAGTAGGTGGTAGAGCCAAGAATTAAACCTGGGCAGCCTGGCTCTAGCCTCTCCATGCTCATAACATCTTTTTTTTTTTTTTAACTAATAAAAAAATTGTAATTTACTTAGAAGCATTCAGAATGCCAACAAAACAGCTGCAACTTTTTTTTTTTTTTTGCAATTACAGAGTGGTATTCAGTTAACAGAACAATTGTTTCATATAAGCTGCATCAGAGACAATTGAAAATGAAAAAACTACCAACCCCATATATAACTTACATGTGCTGTGCACCAATAAGAACCTGCTTAAAATTTTTATGCCAATTTACAACCCCCATCCTGTACCAGGCAAGGTTAGTGGCTATGAAAATACCACCAGGACAGGGCTATCTAAAGACACTTTTGGTAGTGTGTTAACTATACAAAAGAAGACACCATACAGTTTAAAAAAATTCTTACACAGCCTTACATTTCAATTTTTTTCTTTAAAAGGAGTGAGTTGTATACAGGGGGGTTAAATGCTTTATAGACAAGAAAAAAATCTGTGCTAGAACCAACTTATTCATCATCATCATCTTCTTCATCTTCCTCCTCCTCATCCTCTTCATCTTCCTCATCTTCCTTGTTTTTCTTGCTTTTTCGGCCTTGGCAACTCCCTTTTTTGCTGCATCAGGCTTTCCTTTAGCTCAATATGCAGCAGTATCCTTTTCGTATTTTTCCTTCAGCTTCGCAGCCTTCTTTTCATAAGGCTGCTTGTCATCTGCAGCAGTGTTATTCCACATCTCTCCCAGTTTCTTTGCAACATCACCAATGGACAAGCCAGGATGTTCTCCTTTGATTTTTGGGCGATACTCAGAATACAACAGGAAGAACGCTGAAGGAAGCCTCTTGGGTGCATTGGGATCCCTGAACTTCTTTTTTGTCTCCCCTTCAGGAGGGACGTAGGTTTTCATTTCTCTTTCATAATGGGTCTTGTCTGTCTTTGCCATATCTTCAAATTTTCCCTTCTGTTTAGCAGACATGGTCTTCCACCTCTCTGAGCACTTCTTAGAAAACTGAGAAGTTGACTGAAGCATCTGGATGCTTCTTATGCTCCTCCCAACAAGTTTGCACAAAAAATGCGTATGACAACATCTTGCCTCTAGGCTTCTTAGGATCTCCTTTGCCCATGTTTAGTTGTTTTTCCACAGCGAGGCACAGAGTCACCCAGTGCCTGTCTGGCTCTCGCTTGCCCCGGCGCTGTCTCTATCGTAACCTCTTTAAGTTATGTGAAAGTTACAATGCTGCCCGCCCCACAGTGAGAGCTAAGTAATCTCTCCTTCCCTTCTTGAGCCTCCATGACTTTCATGCTGTGTTTCACAGAGTCATGGGTGGGTGAGCATGGAGACTACACAGTGCAGGTCCCTGGTGTAACAGACAATTCCCACTCCTGAGAGGAACTCTGGTACTGTGCCTAACAGAGTCAGCTATGACAACTTCACATTTCATACTGCATAGCTGCAGAAAAATACATATATGAGAACCAGAGAGAAATGTAACTTACTTGCACCAAGTCTCAAAAGCAAGATTAGCAGAATTAGCCCCCTACCAAACTAATGGCCCTAGTCATACCCATCACATAACTTCTTTTTTCCTGGCAGATTCAGTGGAAATAGGGGCCTGATCTCGCTAAGGGGGATGAGAGTATAGGATTTTTTTTTTTCTAAAAAAGAAGCAGAGCTTTAAAATACAAGAAAAGTCACATATCATCTCCTGGTGAATCTATCACCTGCATATCACTGCCTTTGGCATATACCTTACCTTCACAGTCAGTTAATGTCCACAGGACAACCATAAACTGCATATTCTTATTTCTCTGGATAGAGAATGTGCTCTCTCTCCCCAAGTCTGGGGCAATGGATTGAGAGCTAGTAGGCTCCAGTACACATCAGTGTTCCTTTACAATACTAGCTCTTCCCAGCCTATCTGCCACCTAACACTATGTTAAACATACTAATACTTTTACCAGGAAAGGGAGAAAAAAATAAAGTAAAAAGGAAACTGAGAGGAAGAGTGGTGGGAGGAGGGAAGTAAATATGATCATCTCTGCAAATGTCCAGTGGCAAATAGACTTAAGAGTTTATGACTCTGCAATCATCTCAGCTCCTTAAGGGTGCATCTTAACAGTTCCCCAAGTACACAGGTTACTGCCTTTGCCAGGCCAGCATGACTCCCTTCAAGCAGGGTAATTTGCCACACACATCAGGTCTGCCACGCAGTGAGGCATTTTAAGGAATCTGTCACCCACAGCCTACAGTTCCTAGAGTTAGGATCTACTACCTTGAGTGACATGAAATAGCAAGCCCCTAGAAACTTCTCTTATTAATGTCATCATTCTCACGACATTTGGACAAACAGGAAAACGACCGGACCACCTTCTCTTAGGCTTTACAGACCACTAAGCAAAGAGGCCTGAGCTTTCTTCAGTGAAACTTAGGGACATGAAAGTTCATGTTCTGACCCTGATCTAGTCTCTCTCAATGAAACTAAGTCACTTTCCCTTCTGTTTTTGCCTTCCTGTCTACGAAATATAGCCCTGATACCATTAGCCCATTCCAGAAGATAGCAAGGAACCAGACAGATATTCTTGACTGAATTTCAAGCAAACCCACTTGGGCTGCTTCTAATCACCAGCCTACTGCCTTTAGTTCTAATGTCAAATGTGCTTAGTAACACTCAATAAAATCCAGATACTACAACTCATCTCAATTTGGGTAATATTTTGAATATTTTACAAATAACTGCAGGCAACAAAGCAAGACAGACATGGAAAGAAGATACACAAATGGTGAGTTCACAGGGGGAAAAGGATAAAAATACGAAGGTGGGAAGCACTTCCTGGTTTTGGAATAAAAGACACAGTGGCAAAGGATGGCGTCCATGAATAAAACATGTAAGTATACAGAAAAACCACCAAAAGTAAAAAAACAGGAAAACACCAGAAAATATTTATTTTATATGAAGGTTACTACTGTTGGCTATAAAAAGAAATCCTTTAAAAAGTAAGAGTCTTTGGAAGCAAAAGATAGGAAGGTGTAAACTAATTAAAAACAGGCTAATGACAGGCAACATCATGTGTATGCCAAGATGGAGTATAGCCATAAAAGCCAGGCGCACACATGCAATGTATTAAGTTGAAAATGCATGTCTCTTCAGCTTCATATCTATTAAAGGAAGAAACAATTTACAGGTTGCTGCATTATGGGAGTATGATATGTGGAGTGTCAACCTTTTCTCTTCAAACTGAACCATGTTAAGTAAAATCAATGATGGGGTTTGGGGGGTAGGGGAAGGAAGGGGAAAAGCAGGGAGAAAGAAAGTTTTTAAAAATCTCTGCCTCAGCAAAAGTTTTCATTAAAATTTTAGACAAATCATCCCTGTGTCCTTCTCCCTTGCTGCCTGGGGCTCCATGCTATTTCTATGCAAATAACAACCTCGTGGTTTATATCTTATTATTTCCACCGGAGCTGCAGCGACATGACCTGAGATGTGTAAGAGGTGGGGGGGAAGGGGGGGGCAGAGGAGGGGATTTGGAGAGGAGAGAGAAAGGGAGAGAAGAAGGAGGGGGGAGAGAGAGAGAGAGGGTGTTCACTCAAGTGTGAAAAAATATTGTCAGGAGTGAGCATCAAGAACAAAAAAAAATTGCAGGGATAACGTGTTTATTTCAGTCCCCCCCAAAACCCCCCAACCCCCCTTCCTGCAAACCAGCACCTTTTAAAATTCATTGGGCATCAGGCGATCATGCACAATCCATCTGCTTTCACTTTATCATTTGCATTTCATGCCTCCTGGCTTTTGATGTGCTGATACTTTGATGCAGTCAGGAGACGTGCATTATCATTATTTCAATTTTCAAAGGGGTCAACAGGATCGGCACTTGCACACACAAGATTTTTTTCCCCTACAACCTCTGAACACCCCCACTCCTTATTCTTCACCCCAATGTTTAACATAAAGGATGAAGACTCAAAAATGTGGGGGTCAAATATTTACAGTCTAAGACTGTATATAAGCTTGCATGTCTCCTACATTTCCACCTTACACAGGTACATACTATGAGCAAAATGGCCAAGGCTTAAGAAAGGAGGCTCTATAATGTTTCAAAAACACAAAGACTTTCTCACACATGAACACACAGGGCGGCACACAGACAGAGAAAGAGGGGGATCTATACGCAAGACACAGACACAAAGAGACAGAAAGATCAGCACCCACACAGAAAGAGACATGCACTCAGGGTGACTTGCACACACCCAAAGTACACAATACAGAGAGATACCTACAGAAAGAAAGGCAAACAGAGATGAAGAAAAACACCAGCACACACAAAGACAACACACAGAAGGAGTGAGTCAGAGGAAGCCATCTGAGCATGGTAGTTTCCTTTTTTCATACCTTATAGGCAAAGGGGCTAATAGGATATTCTGAACGAATTTGCATAAAATCGGGTGTCTTCAGCAGCACAGCTCTATACTTAAGAGGAGCTGACATGAAGATAGTGAAGCAGGCAGAGCAACATTAGGTAACCTCTGTATCTGATCACTCCCTTCAGCTAAAAACAAATATGCCCTTTTGGAAGTGAGCATTGTTTGGTAAGTTAAAGCTATAGCTTTATTTATCTTTCACCCTGTAACTAAGCTTTTGTTTTAACAAGCAGCCCTGTAAGCTATGACAGTGAATATAATGAATTTGATTAGAACAATTCAATCAGATTTTAAGAAATCAATCTCTAATGTTTCTTCATGGCACAAATGAAATTCAACTAGCAAGTTTTCAAGCAAAACAAAACCAAAAACCCAACATCTGCTTTTTGTAATATTCTTTGTATATAATATAGTATCGGGGCAGGGGGGAGAAAGAAACTCAATATAAGAAGATATATTTCAGAAATTAGCTCTCTGACTGGGTATGGGAACATCATGGAAATATAGGTTTTTAAAGTACCATTATCTATGAGAACAGAATTTTTAAAATCTTTCAAAAATTCTGTTCTCATAGATAATGGTACCTAAAATTATCTTTGGCATTCATCAATATCTCATCCTAAGAAGGTATCCAAAAGAGCAACTTAAAAAAAAAAAAAACAACAACCTTAAGACTCTCAGCAGTTTCTCCCACTGCAATAATAATCTTCAGTAGTAGTGGTTCACAACCTTTATTTCCAGGCTACTCTCCAAAAAGGGAGGAAGACAGCCAAGTTCGCCACTGTTAGCACTGCTGTGCCTTTCCTTGATGAGAAAAGCAAGCCCAGAGGAGGATACAGAGTTCATATGAATGCACAGAGCAAGCTGATCGCATCAAATGATTCCTCTAATTTCTGACATCCACAAAATCTAATTAAACCAATGGAATTATCAACTTTTTCCTAAATGGGAATGACAGAACACTTAATTCTTACCCTTAAACTTGAAAGTCAAGACTTGATAAAAAGTTCCTGCAAGTGGAGTAAACATAATATCTGATACAATTTAGTATGTGTATTAACTCCATAAGCTCAATCACCAAATCATGTTAGAGAGAGGAACGGGAAACTGAAATTTGAATGTGGGCCAACACTTTTTGCCAAGAACTAGGTACTCTTTTTTTTTTTAAGAGATGGGGTCTTACTATGTTGTCAGGCTGGATTCAAACTTCTGGGTTCAAGCTATCCTCCTGTTTCGGCCTCCTGAGTAGCTGGGAATCTAGGCATGCCCAGTAGAACTAGGTACTTTTACTTATGTTTTCTCATTTGAGCTCCACATTATTTAAAGGTTTAAATTATTATCCCCCTTTGACAGATAAGAAAGCTGAGGAGCTGAGAGGTTATATAAGTTGCACAAGGGCAGTCAGCCTCAGAATATTCCATTATACTTTTCTGGCCCTGAAGAGAAAATAATTTTCCTATGCTTGCAAAGATGTCAGAACTGCACTGTCCTTTATACATTCAGGTATTCTTGGATAGTTTTCACTCTTTCGAGCAGTGACCTTGCCATCCATTTTTTTCCCCTTTGGAAAAACCCTTGTGAAGTTGGACTAAAAAGGCACAAATCTTTCTTTGGAAGGGAAGATAAATCTTTATGCATACTCTTTCCCAGTAACCCATCCATGCATCCATCCACCCATCTTCCCACTCAATATTTGCCAAATATTTCTTCTATATACAAGAGACCACCATCGGTGCCCTTTTCGAGAGGTGTATTTACAGATTTCACAAAATCATTAAAACTTGATAGTCTCAACACCTAGGCCGGTACCTAATTCATGATGTAGGCCTGAAATGGGAACCAGCACAGCTGGAATCAGAGACAGCTCAATGTCTGTGTATAGATCTCCTCACATCTTTTACTAATAGATTAAGAAAAAGAGAGAAGTGGGACAGAACAGAAGCGTTCAATTAATTCTGTCTTTCTACAACGACACTAAAACATAAGCACTTTAGAGCAGCGGTTTTATATGGTTTGTTCACTAACATATACACAGGGCTTGGAACAGTGCCTAGAAAACAGTAAGTACTCAAAATAGTTGATAAATGAAATGAATGAATGAATGAATGAATAAAAAGGCAAGCAAGTCAATGGGCAGAAAAGATGGAGGGAGAGGGGAAGAGATAGACTGAGGAAGGCACGGATTGAACTGCTTCCTTCCAATCAGGATCTTGAATTAAGAATTCACACAATAATCTTCAATCAGCTATGCATACTTCTTCAAAACCCTAGAAACTTACTTTGTTGAGGGCTCCAGCTCCTGTTAGAATTAAGTGAGAATTCTCAACCTGGATGGTTCTCTGTCCCAGCCGGACAAGGTAAGCCCCAATCCCAATGGCCCGGCACGTCACCTTAGAAAAGAATAAATTCTACATGTCACATATTTATGTCCTCTCTGAAGCTATAAGAACTAAGGCATAGATAAGTAAAATCCAAATTAACAGAAATAAACATTGCTTTTTATGAAGTCTATTTGATTGACAACAACACACACACACAAATTTCATGGTCAAAGAAAAGAAAATACAATGATGCAAAATTCAGGCTGGGTGCAATGGCTCATGCCTATCATCCTAGCACTTTGGGAGTCTGAGGTGGGCGGATCACTTGAGCCCAGGAGTTCAAGACTACCTTGGGGCCGGGCGAGGCAGCTCACACCTGTAATCCCGGCACTTTGGAAGGTTGAGGCTGGTGAATTACTTGAGGTCAGGAGTTTGAGACCAGCCTGGCCAACATGGTGAAACCCTGTCTCTAGCAAAAATACAAAAATTATCCGGGCGTCATGGCACGTGCCTGTAATCCCAGCTACTCGGGAGGCCAAGGCAGGAAAACCACTTGAACCCAGGAGGCAGAGGTTGCAGTGAGCTGAGATCACGCCACTGCATTCCATCCTGGGCAACAGAGTGAGACTCTGTCTCAAAAAAAAAAAGACCTACTTGGGCAACATAGTGAGACCCCCATCACTACAAAAAAGTTAAAAATTAGTTGGAGGTGGTGGCACATGCCTGTAGTCCTAGCTACCTGGAAGCTGAGGTAGGAGGATCACTTGAGCCCAGGGGGTAAAGGCTGCAGTGAGCTATGATTGCACCACTGTACTCTAGCCTGGGTGATAGAGTAAGACTCTGTCTCTTAAAAAAAAGGAAAGAGGGGCCAGGTGTGGTAGCTCATGCCGGTAATCCCAGCACTTTTGGAGGCTGAGGCGGGTGGATCACGAGGTCAAGAGATTGAGACCATCCTGGCCAACATGGTGAAACCCCGGCTCTATTAAAAATATGAAAATTAGCTGGGCATGGTGGCACTCGCCTGTAGTCCCAGCTACTCAGGAGGCTGAGGCAGGAAAATTGCTTGAACACGGGAGGCGGAGGTTGCAGTGAGCTGAGATCGTGCCACTGCACTCCAGCCTGGTGACAGGGCGAGACTCCATCTCAAAAAAAAAAAAGAAAGAAAATAAAAAGAAGTTACACTAAAAGCTAAAACAAAGTGCTGGGTTTGTTTGAAAAATTCAGTTATTTATATTATCCTATCTTCCTATTATCATGTGTGATTAAAATATAATTATAGACATACAATCTTCAAGAAATGCTCTCATTTGGGACTGAATAGCAGTGATAAGAGAAAAAAATAAACCTAGCCACACAGCCAGTTCTTCAAAAATTTCACATTCTGGAAAGATTTACCAGGCTGATGGTAATGATCTCATTATAGGCCAATGAGGATTCTCCAGCAATCATTCCAGAACCTCGAAGGTTCTCGGGTCCAATTCCCTCTTCTTTCCCAATAATATCTGTTATCTTGTACCTATTGGATATGGCCATGTCAAATTATGAATGTTAAACACAGTAACAACAAGCCATTAAAAGAATAATCACCAATAAAAGGCGGCTAAAAGTGTATTGAAAGCTTATATTTAATGCCAGGGCTTTATGTGCTTCCTTTTATACTCTTCATTCATATGTCTTTCCTTCTTAGCTTGGTGCCTATTTTACCTGGAAGCAACATGGTTTAATAGAAAGAGCGAAATCTGGAATTAAGCAGATAGCCTTTTTTCTTTTTTTTTGAGGCGGAGTCTCGCTCTATTGGCAGGCTGGAGTGAAGTGGTGCAATCAAGGCTCACTGCAAGCTCTGCCTCCCGGGTTCACGCCATTCTCCTGCCTCAGCCTCCCAAGTAGCTGGGACTACAGGCGCCCGCCACCACGCCCGGCTAATTTTTGTATTTTCAGTAGGGACGGGGTTTCACCGTGTTAGCCAGGATGGTCTCGATCTCCTGAGCACGTGATCCGCCCACCTCAGCCTCCCAAAGTGCTGGGATTACAGGCGTGAGCCACCGCGCCCGGCCTAATTTTTGTTTTTTTTAGTAGAGACGGGGTTTCACCATGTTGGCCAGGATGGTCTCGATCTCTTGACCTTGTGATCCACCCGCCTCGGCCTCCCAAAGTGCTGGGATTACAGGTGTGAGCCACCGCGCCCGGCCAAGCAGATAGATTTAAATCCTTGCTCTGATACACACAGGAGTGTGACTCTAGAAATAATAATAACTTCTACAAAATGGGAATAATAATATCTACCTCTAAGGGTTGACAAGAAAGTTAAACTAAAGCAAACAAGGAAAAGGTTTGATGTTATAGATGGCCCTCGGATTTTAGATGCCCTCTCTTATTTTCTAGAACAAGTTTCTTAAAAGCAAGGTCAATGTATATCTCTATAATGAGCAAAAGGCATCATATCAACAATTTTAGACAATTTTACGTAGGAAGAGAATATCCAAACAGAGCGGTAGTGAGAATGCTCAGCTTAGTTTCTCAAGTCAAAAATCCTCTTCTAAGGTAGGATGAAGCAAAGGTCAAAATACTGAACTCCCATTCATACTCCTTCATAAATATCAAGTATATACACAAGGGTCCCTGGATATGTCCTCTGGAGGGGAAGGTGGAATGTGTGTAGAAGTGAAATGCTGACCAAGTTGTCCAGAAAGCATCCTGTGGATCTAGTGGGAGTCACTCATCTGTCTTCCTGGCAGGGGATTAGGAGTGATAGCTGATAATGGGAAATGGGAGATGGGGAATGCAACTAATAAAAGAAAGGAAAAATACAAAGTTGGAAGTAGAGATGGGCATATATTATTTATTGTTCCACGTGTACCCAGAAGGCTTGGCAGTGGGCACAGTTTTATAAATTGAAATAATAAATAAGTACCCCATAGTGGCTCTTAAAATACTTCCTCCTGCCCCCATATTTTCCTGCTCCCTTCTTCATTTCCAGCCCTCCATCAATTCTTTTTCTTTGCCCTTGCTGTTGGTCTGTGACTTTGCATCTCTGCTTCCCAGATTCTGCTGCCTTTCTATTTTTAGCCTCTCCTAATATCCAATAATTTCCCAGTTCTTCCTTTTGTTCTGTATCTAGACTCTATCCTAAAGTTATGTCAGAAATGAGGCTACTGTCCCTTAAGGGGGTTAATTAACTACATTAATTGTATATGTGTTTGTGTGCCTGTTTGTATAAGGTCCATATAGTCATAAATATTCAAGGACCCAGCCAGACTTGCCTGTAACAAACTCAATATTCATAGATTCCAGAAATGAAGAGTTAAAAAATATCATAGGGGAAAATCCCATTCAGAGTAGCAAGAAAAAATGCAAAATATTTAGAAATAAGCATGAAGAAATTGGCAGAATCTCACCGTAACTATATTGTGTCTCAGGGCACCATGATGAACTCCCAGAAGCACTACAAGATATTTTAAATTTTTGAGAGAAGCACTATTATATGTGGTATCTGTGACCCTATGTGAACTACTAGCTTTAGATAGTTCATAGTAGTTCACAGTTTAACGTTAGAATGGTGCTACATTCCTTTTGAAAATGTCCTGTCTTTGCAAGCTAGATTTTTGAAGTTTCTGTGAAAACTCAATGAAGAACAAGAAATGTGGGTGGCTATATCCAAGCTGATTCCAAGGTTTGAGAGGTTATGCAGACACAAATATCTCATTAGTAAGAAACTGTAATTATTTAAGAATAAATTTTTTCGATTTATGTATATAATTTTTTCAAATGATTATTAAGTTCTTAGGACGCAAATACTTATTGTTTAACTACCTAATAAGCAGAAATATTAAGTATATCTTATAGCCCAGGGGTGCTATGAAAAAATTACTGAGACACTAAGGATGCCATGAACCAAGAAAGTTTGGGAACCTCTGGCAAAACCTATATGAAGAAAACTACAAAACGTAAAAACAAAACAAAAAAAACCCCACTCATATAAATGGAAAAACATACCCTGTTTCTTTTTGGGGAAAGTTAGTATTATGAAGATGTCACTTCTTAAATTAATGTGTAAACTCAATACAATCTGAATCAAAATCATTATGGAACTTTTTTGGAATTAGAAAAACATGAGACTCTAGCCAAACACAGTGGCTTGCACCTGTCATTGCAGCTACTTCAGAGGTTGAGGTGGGAGGATTATTTGAGGTCAGGAGTTCGAGACCAGCCTGGGGAACCTAGCAAGACTCTATCTCTAAAATTAAAAAAATAATTAGCTGGGCATGATGGCACCTGTCTATAGTCCCAGCTACTTGGGAGGCTGACATGGGACAATCTCTGAAGCTCAGGAGTTTGAGGGTTTAGTGACCTATGATCACACCACTGCATCCCAGCCTAGGCAACAGAGTAAAACCCTGTCTCTAAAAACAAAAACCCTCTACATTAAAAAAAGCAAAAGTAGCCAATAATACTTGAGGAAAAATTAAAAATGTGAGAAAATTTGCCTCACTAGAATAGTTTAAATAGTGTGGTATTAGCCCAAGAGCAGACAGACAGAACAAAAAAACACAAAAGAGTAAATTTTCAGTAAATAGTATTAGGACAATTAACTTTTTTTTTTCTTTTTTTTGAGATGGAGTCTTGTTCTGTCACCCAGGCTGGAGTGCAGTGGTGTCATCTCGGCTCACTGCAACCTCTACCTCCTGGGTTCAAGCGATTGTCCTGCCTCAGCCTCCCAAGTAGCTGGGATTACAGGCATGTGCCACCAGGCCCGGCTAATTTGTATATTTTTAGTAGGGATGGGGTTTCTCCATGTTGGCCAGGCTGGTCTTGCACTCCTGACCTGAAGTGATCTGCCTGCCTCAGCCTCCCAAAGTGCTGGGATTACAGGCGTGAAACACTGCGCCCAGCCAAGCAATTAACATTCTTAAAAATACTTGCAGATAGATTATATAAAAACATTCAACTTCACTGGGAGTCAAAAATACAAGTTAAAATAACAATTGCCATTTTTATTCCATTTTATTAATTGATAATAATCAATGTTGGCAGGGGTGAAGAAAAATTAAAGAGGGAAACAAATCCTATTCTACACTGCTGACAGAAATGCAAATCTTGGGAAGGCAATTTAAAATTATTTTTTAAAATCCTTAAAAATTGACTTTTCGACCTGCAATTTCTCTTCTAGAAATTAACCAAAAAGGGATGATCAGAGCTTTTAATTCCTAAAAGTTTATATGAAACTTATATAAATGTCCCTTAAGTGGGTTCAGCCAAGGGATGTGAAAAATTAGAAATAGTCTGAATGTTCAAATATATTTATTATAATAAAATACTATGTAGACATTAAGCATCATATTCTTAAATAATGTTTTAAGAATACACGAAATTTCCCCAAAAATAGTTTTTAGTGAAAAGGATAAATTATAAAAGAAATTCTTGTTATAATCTCAATCACATAGAAAAAAGATATGTCTATAGAAAAGACAGCAAGTGTATAACATAAATTCATAATCGTGGCCTGAAGGTGGGATTGTGGCTAATTTTTTTTTCTTTATAATTGTTTACATGTTTCAGTTTTTCTAAAATGAATTAAGTATTATAAATTTAAAAACTTCAATCAATAACCCAAGGTTCTTCAGCTAATAAGTGGTAGAGCTGGATGTAAACCTAAAACATCTAGATTATGTCATCTTCAATGTTCTTCAAGGTTATGAACAGCTGTACAATATGGAAAAAAATACCATATTCTCCTTTCTTTAGTCATGACCAAATTATTCCAATACATATATACCTACCTGGATTCTCCTTCATCTTCCACGTGTTCACAATGGACAGAGTTGAGAGCACTGACTCTCTTATAATCTTGAGGAGTCAGATATAAATACCTGTATCCCTGTGAAGCACAAATAGTTTTTAACTCATTATTTGCCATTGTCATATAATCAGAAGATACAGCAAAGCATACATAATGAAGCTTGTTCCACAGCTAGCTTTAAATTGCCACATCACTTCTTAGGTTTACTGTCTAACAGAATACTAGCACAGACAGTCCTCCTTTGAAAGATGAAGTGCCTATTTTTTCACTCACTAACTGTCCTTGAAACAAGACACCTTATAGCTGCAATTCCAAGTATATTCCCTTCATTTCATTTTCTTTCTTTCTTTCTTTTTTTTTTTTTTTTTTTTTTTTTGTTGAGATGGAGTCTCACTCTGTTGCCCAGGCTGGAGTGCAGTGGCGCGATCTCAGCTCACTGCAAGTTCCGCCTCCTGGGTTCACACCATTCTCCTGCCTCAGCCTCCCAAGTAGCTGGGACTACAGGCACCCACCACCTCGCCTGGCTAATTTTTTGTATTTTTAGTAGCGACAGGGTTTCACCGTGTTAGCCAGGATGGTCTCAATCTCCTGACCTCGTGATCCGCCCGCCTCGGCCTCCCAAAGTGCTGGGATTAAAGGCGTGAGCCACTGCTCCCGGCCTCATTTCATTTTCAACAGGGTTAAAGGGTCATTTTCTGATCTTTAGTGACATCTCTATTAAAGATATCAACATGTAATTAAAGAATTGTGTGAATTACTATTTTTCACTCTCTCAAATCCACAGGATCATCAAAATAAATATAAGCAAGGGATAACAGAAAACCGCAAATCTAGGAGATTCAATATTAAAATCAGAAGTCTACACAGTGCTAATAGTGAACACTGAACTCAGATCTTTTGTTTTTTCAATAAACAACTCCTAATGCCCATTTACATGTAAACAATTATACTAACATTTCATAATTGATTTATATGTATCTATACACACAGCCACATACAAAGTAGAGTTACATGGTATATGTGTTTAACTTAAGTGAATTAGTCACTCAGTCAAAAAAATAAGTAAACACAGGGAAGCATTTTAAATACTATGAGAAATTATGCCCACCATTTAACTCAATAAATGTATGTCCCACAGTGAGCACAACACGGAAAAGACATAAATCTGCGATTGGTCTTGCATGATTTGTGTTGAGAATGCCTGACAGCACTGAGTGTCATTAGTATGTCAGTCAGTACACATTTACTGAGTGCCTATTATGTACAAGGTACTATTCCAGGCACTGGAAAAACAGGAATTAACAAAAATAGACAAGAATTCCTACCCTTATGAAACATACCTCCTACTCGGAAAGTCAGGAAATACACAAAATAAGTAAAATGTATAATGTAAATGGGAATAACGTTTAAGGAAAACAAAATGAAAGAGAAGGTAGACAGTCGAACTTTTAGAAAAAATAACCAAGGAAAGCCTCATTGAAAAGTGTCATTTGAGTAAAGACCTAAAGGAGCTGAGGCTATGAGACATGAGGATATCTGAGGAAAAAGCATTCTAGGTAGAAGGAGCAGCAAGTACAAATGCACTGAGGCATGATGTGCTTCGCAGGTTTAAGAAAGCAGAGTCGGGTAGAGCCAATGTGTGGAATGGTCAGGGGAGGCTGTAGCAAGAAATGAGGGCAGAGTGGTACTGGAAAGCCAATCTATGTAAGGCCTTGTAGGCAACTATATGATCTTTGGCTTTTACTTGAATGAATTGGGAAGCTATTAAAGGGTTTTAAGTGGAGAAAAATTTTGTGATCTGATTTATATTTTAACTAGATCATTCTATCTTTTTTTTTTTTTTTTTTTTTTTGAGCAGAGTCTCCTTCTGTCACCCAGGCAGGAGTGCAGTGGTGCGATCTTGACTCACTGCAACCTCTGCCTCCTGGGCTAAAGTAATTCTCCCACCTCAGCCTCCCAAGTAGCTGGGATTACAGGCATCTGTCACAATGCCCAGCTAATTTTTATATTTTTAGTAGACAGAGGGTTTCACCATGTTGGCCAGGCTGTTCTCGAACTCCTGACCTCAAGTTGATCCATCTGCCTCAGCCTCCCAAAGTGCTGGGATTACAGGCATGAGCATGAGCCACCACACATGGCCTCATTCTACATTCTGTTGAGAACAGACCTTGGGTGGGGCTGGGAGCAAGGCCAGAGGCAGGAAGACCAATTAGGAGGGTACTGCAATATGCAGGTAAGAAGAGTTAGACTACTGCTACTGCTAGTAAGTAGCTGTGGAATTTGTTAGAAGTACTCAGATTCTGGATATATTTTAAGGTAGGGATGTAAACATGATTTACTGTTTAGATGGATGAATGGGGTGTGGAAGTGAATGTGGGGTGTGCAAGAAAGACAGAAGTCAAGAATAACTCCAAGGTCTTTTACTTGAACAAATGAAACAATAGAGGTACCATCTGTTGAGACAGAAGACTGTGGGAAGAACACATTAAAGGAAGATTAGAAGCTACAATTTAGGCAGACATTTAGGCAGATGTAAGTAGAGATGTTGAGTCTGGATATATGAATCTTGTGTTCAGGGGTAAGATATAAATTTGGAAGTTTATCAGCTTGTACATGAAACTTAAAGCTTTAAAAGACTGGATGAGGCTGGGTGCGGTGGTTCACACCTCTAATTCCTGCACTTTGGGAGGCCAAGATGGGCGGATCACTTTGAGCTCAGGAATTCGAGACCAGCCTGGGCAACGTGGGGAAACCCCATCTCTACAAAAACCAAAATAATTAGCCAGGCATGCTGGTGCATGGTTGTAGTCCCAGTTACTCAGGAGGGTGAGGCTGGAAAATTGCTTCAACCCAGGAGGCAGAGGTTGCATTGAGCCATAATCGCACCACTGCACACCAGCCTGGGCAACACAGTGAGACCCTGTCTCAAAAAAACAAAACAAAACAAAAAAACAGGATGAGATCACCAAGGGAAGGTGAATAGGAAAAGAGGAGTAGTCCAGGGACCAAGCCCTTGAATCACTTTTTTCCTTCTACCCTACTTTCTATATTGGCTGTCTTGCCAAACCACCAGGTGAGAGGGCATTGGGTCCTAGTGGGGTTGAGAATGGGGAGTCCAGAACTTCTTGGTCCTGCTGCAGCCTCTGTGCTCCTGACATGTCTCCATTCACTTTTTTTTATAATTAAAAAAACTGGCCAGGCACAGTGGCTAATGCCTATAATCTCAGCACTTGGGGAGGCCAAGGTGGGAGGATCACTTGAGGCCAGGAGTTTGAGAGAAGTCTGGGCAACACAGCAAAACCTTGTCTTTATGAAAAATAATAAAATTAGCTGGGTGTAGTGGTGTGCGCCTGTAGTCCCAGCTACTTGAGAGGTGGAGGTGGGAGGATCACTTGAGCCCAGGAGTTGGCAGATACAGTAGGCTATGAATGTGCCACTGTACTCCAGCCTGGGTGACAGAGCTAGACCCTGTCTCTTAAAAAAAAAAGAGATAAAATTAATATAACATAAAATTAAACATTTTGGTTTTTAAAGTTTTTTTTTAGTCTCACTCTGTCACCCAGGCTGAGTACAATGGCACGATCCTGGCTCACTGCAACCTCCACCTCCCGCATTCAAGCAATTCTCATGCCTCTCTACCTCCCGAATAGCTGGGATTACAGACGTGTGCTACCATGACCAGCTAATTTTTTATATTTTAGTAGAGATGGTATTTCGCTATGTTAGCCAGGCTGATCTCGAACTCCTGGCCTCAAGTGATCTGCCTGCCTCGGCCTCCCGAAGTGCTGGGTTACTGCAACCAGCCAAAATTCACCATTTTGAAATGTATAACTCAGTAGACTTTAGTATATTCAGATGTTTTGCAACCATTACCACTAATTCCAGAATATTTTCATCAGCCCCAGAAAAACCCCTGTACTGGATCAATTCCCATACTTTAATAAAGTTTTTCTATGAACTTTATTGAAATATAATTTACATGCAATAAAATTCATCAGTTTTAAGTGTTATAACTTGATGAGTTATGACAAATGTATGTACTTAGGTAGCCACCACCACAATCAAAATATAGAATATTTCCATCATCTCCTGAAATACTCTTACATTTAAAGATGTGAAAGGCAGCAAAGGAAACTGAGAAAGAGGAGCCAGGAATGCAGGAAGATAAAAAGGAGACTTTGGGCTCTTGGAAGCCAACAGAAGAAAGTATTTCAAGGATGAAGGAATGACCAACTGTGTCAAATGCTAATGCTATTGTCAAATAACTAAGGTGAAGACTGAGAATTCACCATAGAATTCAGTAATATGGAATCACTGGTGACCCTGACAAAAGCAGCTTCAGTGGAATGGTAAGGGTGCAAGCTCAAGTGAAGTGGGTTCAAGAGGGAATGGGAGAAGAACATCTGGAGACAGCAAGAACAACTCCTTTAAAACAATTTTCCTGTAAAGGGAAGGAGGGGAGGGACAGTGACTGGAGGGGTGTTTGTATGCTAAAAGGGCTGATACAGTACAGAGGGAAAAAGTGCTGATGCACAAAAGAGCAGGAGGAAGTGTTGATCGTACACTTAAGTTAGCAAGAAAGGAGATCAAATGTACAAGAGGAGGGATTGTCTTTAGACAGAAGTAGGAACTATTCATTCAAAGTGTGGAAGAGAAGGTGAAGAGTAAGGGCACAACGGATGCAGGTACATGGAAGCTTGTAGAAGCTCTCTTCTCATTGTTTCTCTTTTCTTGAAAATTGGGAAGCAAGGTCTGATGATATCAGCTAAGAGTGGGGAGAGGGAAGTGCGTGTTACAGGTTTGAGGGGAGAGATGTGAAACCGTCATCCAGGAGGTTGCTAAGCTTGAATTTAAAGTAAGATCAGTCAACAGAACTGTTTTTTTCTCCATCAAAGTTCAGCTGGGCAGGTGCAGGCATGGGAGCAGAATGGAGAGAGTTGGATTTAAACACTCTGTAAAAGCACAGAGTAAGCAGAGTGAAGAGAGAAGCAAGTTGAAGCAAGTTGAGAGAGAAAGTTGAAGGTGCAGAAAAGATGGTGATTATAATGATTAATCAAGGACTGACCTTGGAGTTTAAGCCAGATAGGAATGAAATGAGGTGTAAGGAGGGAGTGAAGAACAGAAGAAAGGTGGGAGGATAAACAGGTGAGTTCAACTCAATGGTACTGATGATTTCAAAGGATTGTTGGACTAGAGAGAGGAAGCTGGAAAGAGAGGATGGAGGGGGTAGCAAAGAAAGAGATACTTGAAATTGAGATTATGGGGAATGAGAGGCTGAGCTAGGGTATAGGACAGAACCACTAGAAGAAAAGAAGTCAAGGATCCAAGAGGCCAGATTATGGGAAGAATCATCTATGTGGATATAGCAATCACCAAGAATTATCACATGACTATTAGTAATGGACAGAGTGGCAATGTGCCAGGAACTAAAAGATGCAAAGAATGAGAGGGAGTGACCAAAGGATCAGGAAACACAAGGAGCAGTATGGGTATGGCACAGTCTGATGACATGAGATTCAAAGATGGGATTTTTTCAGAGAGAAGGGAGAGGTGTCTGGAAGCAGCAATGAGGATCAAGGAGGACAATATTCCCCTTCCAGGCTCAGTGGTTCAAAAGAAAGACAGAAATCAGTCAGTACTTCAGAGGGCTACGGGGGAAGCAATATCTTTAGAGGAGAGACAGATCTCAAGGTGAACAAGGAGGTTGGAGCAGAAGATGAGGAGGTAAGGGATTTTGTTGATAATTGACCGTAAGTCCTGGAAGCCACAATTAAATAAAGATATATATTTTTGATTTAGCATGTCTCGCACTAAATGCATACCTACTATTTCATCTAGTGCTCAACCAAAGAAACAGCAACCTGTTTTATAGATGGAAGAAAAACCAAGTGAACATATTGAGAAATAATTTGTCTTTAATATGGTGTCTTAAGGAATTTTCACAAATAATTTTGTTTATATTTAATTTTTACCATAAGTGGTGATTTTTGAACTTAAACCTCTACCCTTCCCCCACCTCTCCACACATGTAGCATAACCATATAGCACCTTGAAGTAGTATATGCTCTTAGTGTGTACCTTGTAAGGATCCTCAGGATCTACCCAGGCCACATGAAACATATGGCGAATTTCTTCTGCCAGTCCGATTCTTGCTCCACTGTTGGCTGATACATAGATGCGTGGAATACCTTCTGCCCTAGCAAGTTCGGAAGCTCTGAGAAATAACAAATCCTCTTGAGGCCCAAAGGACCCAATTCGGTATGTGATGTCATTGCCAATAACAATGATATCTCGGCCTTCTGGATATTCAGGACTTTTAAAGGTCATTTTCCAAGCTACCATGCCAATCTGGAAAGGCATAAACAAACAAATGAACAGAAGTTTCTTACAGGCAGAATTTTTTTCAGGTTCATTGAAGGTATCAGAGTATACCTAGGCACAGCCATTATGTAAAGATACACATTGCTAAAGAGCCAAACTCCCTGTGGGAAACTACAAAAGACATTCTAGTATACTGCTAGATTATGCTGAGAACAGCTGGTCTACTGTGTATTTCAAAACTGTCTCAATTCCTTCTTTGGGCCTGCTCAAAGAAGACAGAAAAGTCAAAATCTAAATGCACTCAGGATACATGTGGAAGAATGCCATGGCACTGTTGATTAAATCTAGATATCTCATTTTACTGCCATATATACTAAGACACTGATATGGTTTGGATGTCTGTCCTCTCTAAATCTCATGTTGAGATATGATTCCTAACATTAGAGGTGGGGCCTGGTGTGAGGTGTTTGGGTCATGGGGTGGATCCCTCATGAATGGCTTGGTGCTCCCCTTTGATCTGAGTTTATGCTAGATCTGGTTGTTTGAAAGAGTGTGGCCTCTTGTGGGTGAAAGCAAGCATGAAGAGAGTGCTATGAACGCCTTGGGCACACTACAAGAGTACAAGGTGGTGGGTTGCTGCCTGCCCACCCCCAAATGCCACATGCTGCCCTTCTATGGTATGCGAATCTTGCACCTAATCATGTCATTGTCAAGTCCCGTCTCTGGTACTTGGTATCTCAGCTAAAGAAGATAAGGAGTCTTCAGGGAAAATTGTCTACTGTAGGTAGGTGTTTGAGAAATCCCCCCTGCAGGTGAAGAAATCTGGCATCTAGCTGCACTACGACTCCCGTAGCAGCACCTACAACATGTACTGGATATCAGGACTTGACCACCATGGGTGCTGTCATCCAGTGCTAGTGAGACATGGGCACCTGGCATCACACACAGGCCCACTCCACCCAGATCATGAAGGTGGAGACTGCGGCCAGCAAGTGCTGCCAGCTGGCGGTCAAACAGTTCCATGACTCCGAGATCAAGTTCCCACTGCCCCATGGGGTCCTGCATGGTTAGCATAAGCCATACTTCACCACCAAGAGTCCCAACACCTTCTTCTAGGTGCAGGGCCCTCTCACCCAGGTGTGGCTTAAATTAACTCAAAAATGTCACGGTGCTAAAAAAAAAAAAAAAAAAAAGAGTGTAGCACTTTGCCCCCCACCTCTCTCTTGCTCCCTCTCACCTCTCTCTTGCTCCCTCTCTCACCATGTCATGTGCTGGGTCCCCCTTCACCTTCCTCCAAGATCATAAGCTTCCTGAGACCCTTAGCAGAAGCCCAACAGATGCAGTTGCCATGCTTATAGAGCCTGCAGAACCATGATCCAAAAATAAACATCTTTTCTTTATAAATTATCCAGCCTCAGGTATTCCTTTATAGCAACACAAATGGACTATCACAGACACTATTTCCATCTTTTGTGACATTTGTTCCAAGAAACCTTTAACACACAAGGAAGCAGAAAAAGGATGACGTCTCACGGACTGTACACTTTTCATGATCCAGGCTCCTTGTACTGTCCTCTAGCATTTGATAGGAATAACAGAAACACTCTTTACTGATTTGTTTCAGGTATGTTCCATTTCTGCTAGAATTTACCAATGCTCAACATTGCATCCTTGTGAGCATCTCTTGCTTTCTTCTAGCACCAGAAAAACCAAAGGATGGAAATAACTAATCTCTTGCTGCACTATATGTAAATCTCTGCTCTCTGTTCAGCAGCATCTGGCCAGCTACACAAATAAATGATATTGACTTAAAAGGCAGAGGTGACATGTCTCTTCCCAAACTCTCACAGCCCTCTCCTGTTTTAATCCCCTTCTATATGAGAACTAGTCAATCCTTCTACTTGTATATTTGCTAGTTCCATTTCTTTTCTATGCTATTCATTCATACGCTAGTTACAGCTGTAGTTTTTCATGTCTGCCTGCCTGTTTCCCCTATACCTGGATAAGTAATGTTTTCCATTCTTTTTTTCCCCCTTTCTTTCTGTCTCTCACCCCCCTCCTTGCCCCCACCACTCGCCACCAAACACAAAGCCTACCTACCAGATGAGCTTCCCTGGTCCTGCCTAATGGAGCCCCAGCCACATCTGCAGCCTTGGTCCCTCATCCCCAGGCTGCTGCATATCACCTCATTGGGGAGCTGGCCATCAAGAAGGGCCATTAACAGATGTAAATAGCGGCATCCCTGGAAAGCCACATGCATCACCCAGACTCAACCAGGCCAGTGATCATAAGCTCTGAGTACACATTCCTCAATCCAATTGCACATCCACTGTAATCAGGCTGGTTGAAGCATTCTACACAGCTATTTGTGATTCTCAGCATTAGGAAATATATATATGAAACACCCTCAGATAAATATAAGCTATTTAATATATCATACCATTGGCCAAATACAAGTCAAAATGGATATGATACACAGAAAAAAATCCAATCACTTTCTAAGATAAGGTATTACTCTATCTACTCATTAAAGACAGAGAAAGGAAGGAAAAATAGATCATTCAAAAAATAACACAGTGAACACTCAAATATCAGGATAATTTTGGTTGTGGTTTCTAAGAAGCTAGTTAATATAATCCCTGCATGAGGAGAAATGCTTTATCTGCCTTCACACATGCCCCTCTAACCCCAAACCTTTTGTTTTTCAGGAATGAAAAGCTATTTTCTGTCAATTTTCCTCTAAATGCATTTGTAGTTAGAAAGATTGCGTTTTACACCAAATTTTATGATATATTAACCCTAGGCACATAGGCCAGAAGCAGCTTAGATACAAGCCCTGAAGAATCTACTTCAGCATTTGTGTGCTAATGTAAACATTGTGACCATGTGGCACTGGGCAGGCAAATAATACTCTTATCTTTCATTACTACCTGGGGACTCTAACTGTGTCACTTGGGCAGCAAGTTCAGCAATTGGCTAGGTCATTATGCTTGCAATATTGACTTCTAATTAGGTGTCAGCACAGCAGCACCAAGAACACACTATTCTTTATCAATGTCTTTCCAAAGTATGTTGCTCATCGACCGCCTCCCCACCCCGCCCCGCCCCCCATCTTAAAAAGTACCATTACAGAATGGAGAGTGTTATCCCAGTCTCAGTGCAGCAAGATTCCTGATCAGAAGACATTCAGTTTTGAGGTAGCATGATGGACAAACATCTAAGAAAGCACTATTATTCAATTTACATTAAAATAATTTAGATTTCACTGCTAATCAAAGGATAGGGCATATAAAGGTGAACATGGGCTTTGGAGTCCAACAAACTTAGATCCAAATCCAGGCGCTATCACTTATATTAACTAACTGTGTGATCTTAAGAAAATTATTTAATTTTACTGAGCTTCAATGTCCCCACATGCGAAATTAAGAAAATAATACCCATGGGTTTGATAAACACACTATTAGAAGCAGAAATCTACTATATTAACTTCTACGTAAAAAACTTTGTCTTTCTCTCTCCTCTCCTCTCACTCTGTCCAAATCTTACCCATTCCAAAAGGTTCATCCAAATTCCATTTCCTCAGTAAAGCTTCTCCCAGCCTAAAGTAATTCCTATCTTTTCTGATCTCCTACTAAGACCTCTGTGTAGAGAATTTTTTTTTTTTTTTTTGAGACAGAGTCTCGCTCTGTCACCCAGGCTGGAGTGTAGTGGCACAATCTTGGCTCACTGCAACCTTCAACTCCTGGGCTCAAGGCAATCCTCCCATCTCAGCCTCCCAAATAACTGGGACTACAGGCATGTGCCACCATACTCGGCCAATTTTTGCATTTTTTTGTAGAGACAGGATTTTACCATGTTGCCCAGGCTGGTCTCAAACTCCTGGCCTCAAGCCATCCTCCTGCCTAGGCCTCCCAAATTACTGGGATTATAGGCGTGAGCCACCTTGCCCAGCCTGAGAATTCTTCTGATAACTAATTATATGCTGCCTAGGATTGCTTTTGGCTTACCATCTTGAACGATTATAGCATCTCCTCTAGTGCTTCCCAGGAACATTAAACATAGTCTGGGAGTAATAAATGTTTGCTAGTTCCAGAGTCTTTTTATTTTTTCAATTTAATTTTTTTTTTTAAGACAGGGTCTTGCTATGTCACCTAGGCTGGAGTGCAGTGGCACAAATACAGCTCACTGAAGCCTTGGCCTCCTGGGCTTAAGTGATTCTCCCATTCAGCCTCCTGTGTAGCTGGGACCACAGGCATGTGTGTTACCACCATGCCCAGCTAATTTTTTTTATTTTTTGTAGAGATGGGGTCTCACCATCTTGCCCAGGCTGGTCTTGAACTCCTGGACTCAAGTGATCCTCCTGTCTCGGCCTCCCAAAATGCTGGGATTACAGGTGTGAGCCACTGCACCCTGCCTCACTTTTAAAAATAACACTTGAAAAATACTTAACACCAAGGGCTTAGAACATTGCCACTTATATTTTAGGAATCATAGAATAAGAGTCCTGAATATTCTTAAACTATTTTATTTTAAAAATAACAATAGCTATCATAATAACTACCATTAATTGAACATTTACTATCTGCTGTACTGTTCTAAAAGTTGACAACTACTGATAGTGGTTAAGAGCTTAAGCTGCAAAGTCAAGCTGTCTTGGTTCAAATCTCAGTTTTATGCTAGCCGTATAACCTTGGACACTTAACCTTTTACAGTTTCACTTTTCCAATTATAAAATGGGGATGACAGCACCTTTCTGGAGGTATTGTTGTGAGCAACACCATGTTAAACTAGTACAGAGCCTGGCACACAAAAGCCCTCAAATGGTAGTCAGTATTAATTCAAAGGTAGCTGTAATTATTGCCATGAGGAAATTAAGGCACAGAGGAATTAAGTAACCTGTCCTTATAGCTAATGTGAATTGTTTACTTATTTTTTTTTTGAGATGGAGTCTTGCTCCGTCACCCAGGCTGGAGTGCAGTAGCGTGATCTCGGGTCACTACAACCTCCACCTCCCGAGTTCAAGCAATTCTCCTGCCTCAGTTTCCTGAGTAGCTGGGATTACAGGTGCATGCCACCAGGCCTGGCTAATTTTTGCATTTTTTTTTTTTTTTTTTTTTTGGTACAGATGGGGTTTCACCATGTTGGCCAGGTTGGTCTCGAACTCCTGACCTTGTGATCCGCCCGCCTTGGCCTCCCAAAGTGCTTATTTTTTAAAAGGAGTTTCACATACACAAAAATGGTATTTTCTTTTTTTTTTTTTTTTTTTGAGACAGAGTCTCAGGCCATTGCCCAGGCTGGAGTACAGTGGCGTGATCTTGGCTTGCTGCAACCTGTGCCTAGGTTGGAGTGCAGTGATGCAATCTTGGCTTGCTGCAACCTCCGCCTCTCAGGTTCAAGTGATTATCCTGCCTCAGCCTCCCAAGTAACTAGGATTACAGGCACGTAACACCACGCCCGGCTAATTTTTGTATTTTTAGTAGAGACGGGATTTCACCATGTTGGCCAGGCTGGTCTCGAACCCCTGACCTCAGGTGATCCACCTGCCTCGGCCTCCCAAAGTGCTGGGATAGCAGGCACGAGCCACCGCGCCCAGCCAAGAAATGGCATTTTCTTTACTAGAGAAATTAAGGAAGTATGTTCCTTAATTAAAAAGATATTAGTACAAAAACTGGCAAAAAAAAAAAAAAAAAAGAGGTCTGTGGTTTATTTAATACAATTGTATCAATATTTATTTCTTAGTTTGGTAATCATATCATGGTTACATAAAGTGTTTTAACATTAAGAGAAGCTGGGAAAGGGTATACCAGAACTCTCTAATATGATCTTTGTAACTTTCCTGAAAATCTAAAATTATTTTGGAGGGAAGTAAATTGGATAGCAAGATCACTGTTAGTGTTCTGTACAGCCTTATAAGATGATGACTATGAAGACTATGAATAGCATTTAAAAATACCCATGATGTAATACTAAATTAGAAAAGGGTTCAGACTCAGGAGCCACATTCTGAGACTCTGAATCTGAATCTAAGATAATTTGACAGAACTGAGACTCAGCTTTCTAGCCATATACGCTAAGGTAAGTTATCAACCTCCCTGTACCTCAGTTCCTTCACTGGTAAAACAAGGGTAATAAAAATCTACGGCATAAGTTTGTTGTAAGGATTAAATACATGTTAAGTCCTAGGATAGTGCCTGGTATATAGTAAGTGCATAGTATGAATGACAACTTCATCAATTGAAAAGCACTTTGCGGGGTAAAAACAAAAATAAATAAGAAACAGCAAAATGAGGTGATAATTATTGGGATGATGAAATTGTATTTTTTTTCCATTCTCCAAATTTTCTTTTTTGTGTTTATATTGCATTGATAACTTTAACTTTTTATAAAATAAAAAATAACTGAGAAAAGAAAACTACCAAATACTCTTCACTGGGTGATAGGTACATGGGAGTTTATATTATTTATGCCTACTTTAGTGTACGTTTGAGCATTTCCATAACAAAAAAAAAAATTTAAGGGGGGAAAAAAATCTCACCAGCCTAATTGATTTCCCATATTTTAGAGGAACTAATTCTAGATTTTAGTCATACTACAACCGATCTTATTTATATAAAATTTGAAAGAGATAAATGTATGAAAATTAAAAATCAAGACTCACTTTAAAGAGAAAGAAATATCAAGAACTACGTTAGTTTGTTGGGTTATCATTTCATTTTCTAAAAAGAAATGCTCTGCAATGATGTGGTAGAGTGTAAACATATGTATATATAGGTTTATACAATATTAATGTCTCTACCTCAGAAGTAACTGCTTCAGTGTTTTTCTGGTCTGATGGTTAAATACATATTTATATTTTTAAAGTCAATATTTGTACAATAGACAAGAACAGTGCGTATCAGCTAAATACATATTTAGGACTGTACCACATGTATTACAAACATGTACTAAAATCGAAAGCTTTTATTTATACAGAACCTTTCATCTTGAAGAGGGCTAAAGAACTTTACAAACATATGTACATAAAAGGACGTTTGCACTGATAGGCAGGGAAGGTACTCATTCACCCACTCCCCTATTTCTTCTACCAGTCCTGGGTAGGAACACATGGTGTCAACAGATGCAGGTCTGTAACAGCTGCAAAGACATACAACACAATAATCCAGTTGTGATGCACAGTCACTGAGAGGAAGCTTGCAACTTGAGAATAGCAACAGCTCTCCTCCAGTGTAGAAGCACCATAGCCATTTCCAGCTTTGTGTTTTTAAATTATTCTCTACCCAACTCAACTAATCACCTGACAAAATTGAATTTGATACTGGAAATGGTTTCTGAATGCAAAATACTTTCTGTCTGATGATGAAAACTAGATTGAAAAATGCTTCCCTCTGCCCTTGTTAGATTTAGGAAAAATAAAAAAGGGTTACAACATTCAGGAGAAATGGTTCAAAATATTCTACCTAAGAATAGCTTCATCTCAAAGGATTAGATCATTGCTTTGGAAGAGAGTCATATTTCACTCTCTAATTAGTACACTGTTAAGTTTTTCAGTCAAATTACTTTCTATAGATGGGTCTATCTATATTATATACATAATGGAGATTTCATATCGAAAATTCTACAATCACTATAAAAGTATACACAGTGTGACAATGTGATTAGCAATGTGACATTCATTGATTTCACCTAAGCCCAATCTGCATGTATATTAATTGAAGAATAATGACTAACGGAGACCCCATCATTAAATCCCTCTTTTTGGGGGTCTTCTCTTTCTCTCCAACATTTTTATCCAGGTGAAACCCAGTGAAAATGACATGCCAGGACTAAGAGCTGAAGGAAGATGGAAGAGCTAAGAAATTAACAAAAAGGTACCCTGTAGCCCGCATGTAAGTGGGTGGGTTTATGGTCTAATGAGTTTTAGACTCAAACGGGCAGTGCCAGTGTCGTCTTCTCTGATCACTGCCTCTCTCATGCACTGACTAAACAAGTGGTCCTAGGTACTTACTACAAATTATTTTGTCATTACTATAGCCATGAATAAGTTTTAAAATATTTAATTTCAGATCATTTTTCATAACAGAACATTCCAACGAGCAGGTTTATTAGGTTTAGGGTTATCAACCTAAGCTGATTATCTTAAAGTGAAAAAGGGAAGAGGATGAAAAGAGCTACAGTGAATAAGCTAAGGATAAGCAGAAATAAATATTTGTTTCCCTTATACAAGTTCTAAGGCAGAACATATTTCTTTGGCTACATTCTGATTCTGGAATGAACAGCTCAAGTGAGGGAGGAGGGGATGGGAAGGAGAAAGCAAGCAGAAGAGAACAGTCTTATTTAACTGTTTTTATGTGGGTAAAATGATTTGTGCCACAGTATTTCCATAAGAAGTGGGACCATTATTTTCCTGTAGAAACACATTTGGTTTGAAAAGTATCACTGGACAGGACGTGAAAATCAAACCAAATGAATTATTCACAACCTCCGATCAGAGGTGATCATTATTTCTGATGCTCCAAACAGTGATTAGGATTCTGCCCTGAGATGTCATTTTCTCGCTGAGTAACACCAGCGATACAGAAAGGCATTATCTATCTATCCATATATGTATTTTTTCTGCTGGGAGGACCTTGGTTTAATGTTACTATAACAGATAGTGAAAACATGATAATATTAACATTTATTCTGATGGTGCCCATAAATGCCATTAGTCTGACACAAAGTGTCAACACTAATCATGACCCAAAATTAACACCAAAATTGACATCAACATTAATTGTACTATCAATGTGAATAGAATGTGCAAGCACACACAGGCACTTCCCAAAGCTGCTGTTGTTACTACAAAATAAAACAACAATATTAAGCTCAACAAAGAAATTTGCAGGAAAAGCTAAGGGCAAAACATGCCAGGATTTTGTTTTTTAAGGGTGAAAGACATATCCATCAACTCTAGCTATGCTGTGGGAAGCAGAAAGAGAATATCTTTGCCACAGCTGCCTTTCTTACATCTCCACACTTTGACTTGAGCTCTAACAATACCTTTCCATACAGATTTAAATACAGGTTAGGCTGTGGCTGAGATGTTGAAGCTGTATTCGTTATATTCATGCTAAAAGCCTTGCTATATTCATGCTAAAATGATCTTGAGTTTTTTTTGGAAGAGTCTGTAAAACCTATTGTTCTAATTCTGCTAATGCCAGGAAGATGACTACCCTGCAAGGCCCTTGAGCAGCAATACAAAGAATCCAAGCATGTTAGCGCTAACCCAGACTTGGGCATCATCTGCATCATAAAGATGAGAAAACTAAGATCCAGAGAGCAGGAATCTGAACTTGAGTCCCTTCTCAGATATATAACAAAATGTTACCTCTTTCCCCCTTTTGTATCTTGTATCCAAGCATGAAAAAAAGAGTTTTTCAGCTCTTAAGAAAATTATTTTGAGCTCCTTCACATGATCACAGAACACTAAATAATAGAACATTGATATCTGGCAAATAATACAATATGGAAAGGCATTGACATATTTTTCAGCATGGCTTTTCCAAATGGCACAAATTAAGTCAAATATTGTATTTTAAGCCTTATGGCTTACTTCAAAAATGGCTGAACAAACTCACCTCAACCTCTCTAAACAGCGATAAAAGGGTAAGAAAAATATAACTTAGAGCAAAAAATTTTCATCCCAGAGGTAATTCTTTGAAAATGTTATCAAAGATTAGAAATAACAATTTTGAACAGGGAAATTATTTCTCCCTGTAACATTTATATACATGAAACCACAGTAATTTTACACATGTACACACAGTAATTTAATAAGCATAGGAATTATTTTTTAACAAACATGCAGTGGAGCACATAGAAGCCAGCGGTATTTGAGAAATGGGGCCCAGGATTAATTGGTTGGTATGGAAATTAACCAAGTTGGCCTACTATAGTCCCAGAAGCCTTGTCCATTAATCATACGAATGAGTGCTGAACTCTGGTGCCCCCCGCTACTCCTCATTCTCTGGTGTCATCTGTTGCTGTCCTGATGTTCATTATTGCCTCTGGTTGGAGCTGTAAAGTTTCTTGACATAGGGTACTATGTCACATTCTTTTTCAGTAAAATCTTACAACTTAAGACAGGTATAAATATGCTGGCAAGTACATTCTTTTGTTTGAAGGCTATCTCTAGACTTATTTTTGAAAGAAACTGAGGAGCCCTCCACAAGTACTACTTTAGTGAGCCAGTGGATGCATTAGGATTTTCAAAGTCAATCAAGGTTACTGAGCCTCATTTTGCTATCAAAAAAATGAGTAAAAACTACTCAACCTGATGAGAAATCTCCAACACCAATAATAGTCATTCAGAAGGAATTCTGAGAAAAGTATATACATCCCAAAAGAACAGTGTCAGAAATTCATTAGAAGTAATTCCATGGTAGGAAGACTTATTTTTCAAAATTAGCCTCCATATTTTTCTAATGAGGGATCCAAGTTTGGTTTGGAAGATCATTTTAGACAAAGACTTGCAGCCAAATATACTTACTTAGAATGGGAATAAAAGAACAAAAACATAGAATTAACATAAAATTATCTTACCATATATGCCATAATATATCTTTCTCTATACTTAATCTCAAGGATTCAAAATTGATTTTTCAAAGCCTTGATGAAAAATAAGGCAAGCACAAATTATGAATACTTATGTATAATCATAATCATTTATGGATAATCATAATTATACATAATCATATGTATTTGACCCTTTTCTGCTGAGGATCCCAAAGCACTTATAAACATTCTCCTATCTTTAGGGACAGATTAATGGCAAAGACCCTTTTTATAAGTTGAACAATCAATGCATAGACCATGGTCCTGTTTTACAGACCCGCTTCGCTTAGGTCTATTTCAGAACTCACCTTCAGCATAGTACAATTTAAATATGCCTCTTTTCTAACACATATCTAAAAGACTGACACTGACTCAATTTCTATACACAGCATGAAAAGGCAAACTGATTTCAAAAGAATGAAACAAAAGCAAGGTAAAGTACATCCAAATTAGCATCACATTCATGGAGCTATTTTGAGGTTAAATTGAGTAAAACAATTTAAAAAATCTAATGTTAAATATTTGGGTCCTGTGTTCATGAGAAATGGCCTACCCTTTTCTCACCACCAAAACCCGTAAGCATATACACACTCTCTACAGGCAGAGTTTTAGAACATAATGCTTTCCACTAGAATCTGAGTCCAGGATAACCCAAGCAATTCCTTTGAGGGTATGGAAAATGTCAACCAAGTGAATTAAGACAGAGGGTTATGGTGGTTTTTCTAAAATAAGAGGTCCTTTGGGTTAAGAGGTCCAGCCTAAGAACTGTCAAAATGGATCTACTAATTAATTTCTTCTAATCTTTTAGGCTTATATAAGCTTACCAACTTCCTTTCCCTACCAACTCCTAAATTGTTTTTTTGATACTCAAATTAGAGATTCAAAGGATTATAGTAACATGTAAGTGAGGAGCCCAGTCAAAATGGTAAGATTTGTTTAAGCTGGTCAGTAGATGCAGGGGTATTTGTCATATCACTGTGTATTTTTTTATATGTTTAAAATAAAAAAATTAATGAGATGCTATACTTTGGGAGACATAGGATATCAGTACATTGCCAACAATTAAAACAATAATTAAATATGGGTATTAGTTGGGCTAGCAGTTCTAAAACTGAACCCCTAATCCCCACTGTCCCTACCATTTCACCCCTGAGAACATAAAGCAGGACTAAAACCAAAATACCAGTCATGATGGCAGCTAGTCTTTTTTTTTTTCAGCCAGAGTCTCACTCTGTCGCCCAGGCTGGAGTGCAGTCGTGCGATCTTGGCTCGCTGCATCCTCCACCTCCTGGGCTCAAGAGATTCCTGTGCCTCAGTCTCCTGAGTAGCTGGGATTACAGGCGCCTGCCAACACGCCTGGCTAATTTATATATATATATATATATATATATATATATATATATATTTTTTTTTTTTTTTTTTTTTGTAGCGATAGGGTTTTGCCATGTTGGCCAGGCTGGTCTCAAACTCCTGGCGTCAAGTGATCCGCCGACCTTGGTCTCCCAAAGTGTTGGGATTACAGGCATGCGCCACCGCGCCTGGCTGTCAGCTAGTCTTTAAACTTTAATTTACACTACTTTATTTCCTCTTCAATCATCCTCTTCTTTAAAAAAAAAAAATAGATCCCTAATGCAAGGTTCAAAGGATCTTCAACCAAAGAGTTAAAATTGCAATTGCTTATTGCAGGAACACTAGGTAAAGGCTACTATACCAACTGAAAAAAGAAGGACACCAGTGAATCTGCCTCAACAAACAAGGCCACTCACAAGGCTCATGTGAATGCTAAGCTGCTGAGAAGGAAAAACCCTGACACCTAGCGCCCATCTGAAAAAATGAAGGCTCAGAGCTACCACAATTCTTAAGAGTGGTAGTGTGTGTAGAGGTGACCATCAAATTGCATTCAATTTTTTTTTCTTTTTCTTTTTCTTTTTTTTTGAGACGGAGTCTCACTCTGTAACCAGGCTTGAGTGCAGTGGCGCGATCTCGGCTCACTGCAACCTCTGCCTCCCGGGTTCAAGCGATTCTCCTGCCTCAGCCTGCCAAGTAGCTGGGACTACAGGCACCCGCCACCACGCCTGGCTAATTTTTGTATTTTTAGTAGAGACAGGGTTTCACCATGTGGGCCAGGATGGTCTCGATCTCTTGACCTCATGATCTGCCCGCCTCAGCCTCCCAAAGTGCTGGGATTACAGGTATAAGCCACCACGCCTGGCCCCAGTTGCATTCAATTTTCAATATACTTTCCTCCCAGAAAAACTTTTATACCAAGAATTCCAGTCTCTGAATACCAACCCCTTTTTTGGATATACATCTTGTACCTAATTATTATAACTGCTTCCAAATACAACATCGCAACATCGTCTTCTCATCTCAGTTTCTCATTATGACAGGCATGATGAGACAGAATGTTAAAAAGCTGCCCATGTTCTGATATGGTAAGAAAAACAGGGTCCTAATTTCTACTAGCACTAAAGTTACTATGGTAGTTGACTCTCTAACATATCTTTCAGCATTGCCCACTTTAGAGATTACTGGTCTAGTTCGCAGAGCTGATAAAAAGAAATAAAATAAAAGAATGCTAGTAACTTATTTCAGAATAAACAAGAGCATAGTCTCAAGAAGGCTAGGATTTTCTTTGTCCTACCAGGCAAAGTTAAGTTGTTCTCTGTCAAGTCCGTTACAGCCCTTGGCTTGATCTTAGCCTGAGCTTTTTAATAACAGGATTTAGTGCGAAAAGCAGCTGTACTGGATTGCGAACTGTTACTCAAAATGTCCCCACCTGCAATTATAGCTTCCACCAAAAGATCAAAACAGGTTAGTAAACTGGCAGGAAAATGAAAACAATTCCTCCAAAATTGAGAAGTGGTAAAGCAGAACTGTTGGATAGCTGCATTTCTTCTGTATCCAGGCTCAACAGCACACATTCATCTAGCTGTGTATTTACATACAGTGCCCATCACTGTACCAACACAGCAGCTAGAAATGAGATCCGTTTAGTCTATGCTGCAATCACATTTTCCTCAATTTTCATCTTTACTTGAAACTATTAAGAAAAATCTTGGACAACTCATCTTTGGAGCTATCTGCAAGTAACGTAGTTCACAGATTTAGTCTACATCTTTTTTATTCCTACTCTAAAGTCATACTAAATGTAATGCCATTCAAATATGACAATGAGAAAAATGTGTTCTCCTATACCTTTCATCATGCATTAGGTGGTACTCCTTTAGTTACATCTTTCTTTATGGGGAAGGGACAACTAGGAAAATAGAAAGGAGACAGTAGCTAATACAGCATCAGAAAAGCTCTGTCTCCTGCTCTAAACACAGGCATAAATGTTCAAAATGCAGGTCACATCTCTACTGAAACAGCCAATATTCCTCCTCAAATGGCAAAGAAGTTACCTAAAACTAAATGGAACTGAATTGGTCCAAGTCCTGGTCCCATCACCTTTTTACCTATTTACTGTCCTGGAAAAAAAAATTAGAAAGACTGGCCACCCATACAGCCAATGGTCTGATAAGTGCAGGTTTTCTGCCTTCGATCATGGAGAAAAGCACCTCAATTCATGGGAAAACTCTGAAGGAATCTCTCATTTTACCCTTACTCCTTACATCCATGTGCTAGTTTTCAAACTCAGAAACTCCAATCCTTGAAGGTAATGCAATACCACCCACAATGATGACCTGGTAGAGCCGTCACTTTTGGAGAACACCACATTATGATGATTTAATGTCTACATAGCACCAATGCATTTACATTGAGCCTTGGCTTTCAGAACATTAACAGGTCAATTTTTTATTCTTTTGTAATAAAACTATTTCTCAAGGCTCTGTCCAGATGCCCATTCTCTTTGGGACAGGACAGATTTACTCCAAATCTCATCAGCATGAGCTCTGTTCATTCCCTTCACATCATTCTTGGGGTAATATGTAGAGTGCCAGGCTCATGACAAACTTGCTCTTTGGCCAAAGAAAATTAAACCGCAATAGCTGAAAGTCAACTTGCCCTGATAAAACTGGGCTCAGCACGAGGAAATACATCCTACTGACACTTTGTCATCTCTTAGGCACAGCTGTCCCTCAGAGTTCTGACTGCTGAAACTCCATCCTTAGATTGGTCAGTCTCTCAGTGGACATGCTCCATTGTATGTTCAAGCTATTGGTAGCAGAGTTTGATACTAACACCCCAACCTCATTCCTGTTGTGCAGTGCCCTATAATCTAGCTAAGGCCAATGACTGACTTCACCAGCCATCCTGGGCATTAGTCACTAACTGCTCACAAAAGAACATCAGTCTAACTCCTCCCAAGCTCAAAGGCTCAGAAACAGCAAGCTAACACTCAGCCTCAATCCTAGTCAATCATTTGAAAAGAAAAACAGAACAAAGAAAATAGGCAACTAAGGAGGGAAAACTGTAGAACAAGAAGAAAGTGAGAACTGACAAAAACTCAAAATCTTTTGAAGAAATACTATTCACTTTCTGGTTTCAAAACTATTAAAGCACTGGACAAAGGAAAACATGTGGCTCCTATACTAGATCTACTACTAGTCATAGCTATAGTCCTATGCAACTGTTTAAGACATATCTTTTCCACTAAGGTTTGTTAGGTCTTAAAGGGGTTAAAAAAAACCTTTAATTTTTAAAAAATTCGTGTGTGTGTGTGTGTGTGTGTGTGTGTGTGTGGTCTTTGGGTACAGAGGCCCGTATAATAAGACTATTTGTATTCATACTGGCAGAGTAAACACTACATGTTCATGCCCAGGCAGCTCTGTGCTTGTAATTTCAGCAAGAACAGAGCTCTGTCCCTCTGGGACTTCACTATTCCCTGAGTCTCCATTCGCTCAAACACAGAATGAGGGCAGAAAGAAAGCAGGAAAGAAAGATCATGGCAAGGGGTTTCACACAGCACTGCAGCTAGCTTTCACGTGGCCAAAAATCTCATTTTGTGTTTTAATTACATTAGTTAAAACCATTTTGCTCTCAGCCCCATGTTCACAAGGGTGCCTTCCATTCCTGAAGACTACACTGTTCAATGAATCAGAATTTAAGTCTAGCACAATGAAGCTTTTCTTTGCTGCTGAGGGGCTCACTAGGCAGATGCTACATACAGTGGCAGAAACCTCTGTTTCAACTTCGTGTGCTGATGAGTATATATCTATGCTTGTCAAAATGTTTTGCATCCTTCCACCCCAGTCCTCTTGACTTTGCTATTTGTTGAGACTCCTACAAGTCTGATACTCTCCATCTGGTCCAATGCTTGCATCCATCTTGATACCAAATCATCTACTGTTGGCATCCACTGGCATATTACTGAAATAGCCACACACCTTGTATATATAGTGAAATTTTTTGAAAAAGATTGAGCAAAATAGAAACAAACTGCTTATTATTTCCAAAGGTCTACCCAGCCTATTTGTGGTGAAAACACAGGTAAAGATTACTCCTTCAATGGAATGAAATCTTTCTAGGGATTATATTTAAGGTTGAAATAAAAATATCTCTCTTTTTAGGTTTGTTACTGGTATTATCATTGTTATAACTGTACATTAGGAGCACAGTTAAAATCAGAAAGAATCATAATGCATGGACAAGAGTATAAGAGTATAGGGCAAAATAGGACTTTATATCACTATTCATAGGTTACTCTGAGAGAAAGGATGCCAAGGCTAGAAAATGCATTCTTGGGATAATTATCAAAAAATGGGTTCTTTGCTACATTTTTTATGTTTGAACCCCTAATTCTGATTGAGCCCCTTCAAGAACACATTTATCATGCTCACAACAGCACCAGATCAAATGAATTGAGCATGGAGAAGACACTGAAAAATGCATTTATTAATATGAATCCAAATAAGAAAAAACATTAAGCAAAACAATACTTTAAATGTTTTCATTATAGAAAATCCTGGCTGGGCACAATGGTGCACACCTAAAATCCCAGCACTTTTCGGGGCTGAGGCAGGCAGATTGCTTGAGCTCAGGAGCTTGAGACCAACATGGTGAAACCCCATCTCAAGAAAAAAATACAAAAATTAGCCAAGTGTAGTGGTGCACACCTGTAGTACCAGCTACTCAGGAGGCTGAGGTGAGAGGATCACTTGAGACATGGAGGTCAAGGCTGCAGTGAGCTGAGATTGAGCCACTGCACTCCAGCCTGTGTGACAGAGCGAGACACCATCTCAAAAAAAGAAAAAAGAAAAAAAGAAAATCCCCAAATTTCACACATAGACAAAAACAGGGAAAATAATCTATTTTCATGTACCTATCACCTAGCTTCAATGATCAACTCACGACCAACCCTGTTTCATCTACACACCCACCCTCACACCTCTTTATTTAGAAGCAAATCATTGCATCTGTAAATGTCTTAGTCTGTATCTCTAAAAGAAAACAATATTCCTTTTTATTTTTTTAAAACTGAGTCCTTTGTGTTAAAACAATACTATTTTAAAAAGCAAAATCATAATACCATTATCACACCTAAAAAATTAATAATTTCTTGATACTCAGTCAATGCTCTCTCTAAAGAACTCTCCCAACAAGACTACCATGCTCCAGTGCTATTTAATGACCACCTCACAGAAAGCTGGTACTAGTGGGCACAGAGATAAGAAAGGGAAGGGGGGTTTCAACTACTTGCCTCATTTCCTCCTGGAAGCCTGTTCATGTGGACCAGCTGACCTTGATCATCCAGTACCAGTTCAGTGTAAGTCAGCATGTCAGAAGGCAGAGGGGGAGATGGAAGAAATGCTTGAGTGGACATAGACTCCCAGAGTTTGATCAGGGACTAGTGGAGAAAAGAAGTTTGACTAATCAGTCACAATAATTTCAATATAGACAAAAATAATTATTAAGATTCAGTCAATCTGGTTTTGCCTTCTTTTCCAAGTGTTCTGCAGAGTGTAAACATTAGACTAAATTCTCCAGCTCCCATTCTCAGTTAAAATAGATTTGTAATTACTTTTTACATGCCAAAAGTCAGGCACTTTTCCAAAAAGTCAAACTACTGAGTGATTCCAAATCAGCACCAGAGCATTAACAAACAGGAAAGACCTAACACTATCCTAGGAATATTAAAATTAAAAAACTAAATAAGTAGCATCGACTCCTTAAAACAAAGAAAAGGAAAATCCTAAAGAAACTTGACAACAAAGGAATATCCAGGAAAATGACATGACGCTCAGCTAATAAAAAGAAAATCCAAGAAGGCCAGAATGAAGCTTCTACTAGAAATTCCAGGGAAGAAACCTCTTTCTAATATTTTTCATAGCTATAGGACCACACACAGGAATTAGCTCACTAGATGTGTGTGACTATTTGTAAATGTGCAGATCAATTCTGCTCAATTTTGACACAGACATACCAATTCATTTAAAAAATATTATGATTTCCATTTCCAACTTCCTGTAAGTAAATCCTTTGTGAAGTGGGAGCTAATTCAGCTCTTTCTTTGCTTGCCTCAAAGCAACATTTGAATCCCAAGTGACTCATACATACCTATGTGTCCTAATCACTGTGTTTATGCCTATTATATAGGAAGAATTACTTAGAATGTGATTTATATTATATTTATATAGAATGTGATTTATATTATATTTATAGCACTGGCATTGGGAAACAGAAGTAACACTCAGCTTTTAGGCTAGCAATGCTATAAAAGGGAAATACCGAATGAAGGTATCTTTCAGGAGACAGAACTTGTAAACAAATGGTTGCATAAAGGTAATCTCTTGTATTTGTGAATAACACAGGAATTCTACACAGACTATTTACTACGGCTACATATATTACTTTACTAAAATTCAAATGTGGTAATACTGGTAGTATTGACTAGGAGACTTGGAAAAATCCTATATTCATAGATTTTTTTAAAAAGGACAAATTCAGTATTCTTTTGATACCTTATTCTTTACTGGTTGCATTTTCTACTGGTGATACACTTTTCTTGCCTTCTATTGATAGAAGAAAAATCTGCAGCATAGAGATGATTCACCATACAGATTGAAAGAATTTGTTTTCATATAGAGGCTGAGATTCATAATGTCATATTTTCTCATGCTAGTTTTTATTCAGCTATAACAAATCTCCCACAAAAGAACTTATACTCTAAACTGTGTACCATGAACTCTATATCCATTTGTCTATGCTATCTATATTGATTCTCATCATATTAATCTAGGGTATCAACTAGGAACCAGGTTTATATTGGAAAATGAGAACTAAAGTATCAGATCTCCTTTTTAATATCCATAATTTGAATATAGACTTGGGAAATACACAGGTAACTCTTCACACAAGTCACTGTAAACTATCACCACAAGAACATAACCTTAGTTTACTCTCTCCTGTCTCCTACTCAATAGAGACTTCTATTCTCACCATTCCTCTCATTAATTCATAAAGAACCATCCAATATCTGAGTTGGCAGTCACCAATCCTCAAATGAAATAGAAATGAAAACAGTGTCAAGATATTTCTTGCCCTTTGGAGTGCCCCCTTCTAGCCAAAACCGCATCTGATGGAAATTCAGGGAAACCTTGCCTCCTTAGAACATGTCAGACCCTCCAGTTAGGCATCTTACCTGCCGAAACATCTCTGGGATATCATATATGTATGTTGTCCCTAAGGATTGTGCCTGGAACCTCTTTGATTGCAGCAGGTCTTTGGTCACATATGGAGTATTGATTAACATTCCATGCAGTGGTCCCTGTTTGTCTCCATATGCCTGAAACATGATCTGCAGGAAAAAAAAATGGCATGGGGAGTTAAGAGACAGAAAAAAATCAGAGAGCTGCCTAGAGGGGCTTTTTTTGCACAAATATTATCTCTTTGAAAACATTTTTGGTAGGTTGAGTAGCTGAGATATGCCTCTTAACACTGGGTACTTGGTGCTCTCACCTCTCCACAGATTAACCAACTCCAAAAAATATATATATATAACCAGCCATATACCATAACTGCTCTCACTTTTAGATTAGTTGAAATCAACAAGAAAGAAGGCCAGGCGCAGTGGCTCACGCCTGTAATCCCAGCACTTTGGGAGGCCAAGGCGGGAGGATCATGAGGTCAGGAGATCGAGACCATCCTGGCTAACATGGTGAAACCTTGTCTCTACTGAAAATACAAAAACATTAGCTGGGCGTGGTGGTGGGCGCCTGTAGTCCCAGCTACTCGGGAGGCTGAGGCAGGAGAATGGCGTGAACCCAGGAGGTGGAGCTTGCAGTGAGCCAAGATTGCGCCACTGCACTCCAGCCTGGGCAACAGAGCAAGACTCTGTATCCAAAAAAAAAAAAAAAAAAAAAAAAAAAAGGAAATAAACAAGAAAGCACGGTGCACATTTCGCATCTCAAAGACAGACTGACCATGCTAGCCATCTAAAGTGAGTTGAATCTCATATACTCAGAAATGAAGTACATCAACTAACCAGTCTGAGCAGCCCTGGTATTGAAGTTGAAGAACAGCTATGCAGTAAAGATAATTCTCTTCTTTCCTCAATGGCAGAAGGCCAGATCAAGACTCTAGTATATCATCTGTGCTTTAGTCCTTTAACCCACTTGATTAGATGGTACTTCATAAGTATTACTAGCTATGCAAAGGCTTCAAAGATTTCTGCCAGAAGTGGATTTCATCCATCCATCTAGATAGTTAATTCTCACTAGCCCATGAGACACAGCCTCATATTTTACATATAGTAAAATAACCATATTATATTAAATTATGTATATTAAAAAACATATATATATATATACATGTATTTACTTCTCCTCAAGATGCTGTCTACAACTAGTGAATAGCTCCTGCAATACCTATATTGTCACATAATGAAATCACTACACTGGTTTTTAATCATTTTAACTCAAATATTTCTAGAGGAGTGCTTCATACTCCATATATTTAGATAGTTTTATTTGCTTATGAATATTTATAAAGGATGCCATTATTTCAATTCAATTAATATTTATTGAGTGCCCAGAGGTTGTATAACACTAAACTAGGCACTTCATGCATGGATACATAAAATATAAATTCCCAGTGCAGTGAATACAAATGGAGATTGGGATGTAAGGGTATGTGTATACCTACATATCTATTCAGACCTACAAAATAAGCACAAGTCTACCATTAATGAATAGATTGTGGACCTGATATATATGCACAGGAATAGAATTAAGTACCTTCCTAAATCGTGGGTACAGTTCATCTGTAAATCCTTAGCCCCTTAGCTCAGAGGAATGAATGTTCTGCTAATTTGTCAATCAGGTCCTGTTCTGGGGAAAACATGTCTCAGGCTGTTTTAAAGACCCAGAGATTGGAGCTCCCAGTCCTCTTCCACAAGATCAATAGGAAAAGTCACCCGGGGGGAAGCAGAATTAGTAATGTCTTAGGAATGTGTCAGTAAAAGCAATAATGTTTTAAGAGATTCAAAGTGTTAAGTAAGGCAAGGGTACAGTATGAGAAAACTGTACTCAGAGCAAGTAAGCTGAATCAAAATAAGAAAATGGGGTAAACGCAGCAGGTTCCTAGAACTACATTTCTCGTCTGTTAAGAGAGACAAGACCTTGAGACTCGGTTTGGCCAAGCTTTGTGATGAAGACAGGCTGGTCATAGTTAAGCAACATAATTGTGCACTGAGGAAGGGGATTGGAGAAAACAATCTAGCTACATATGTATATTGCTGGCAGAAATTTAAATGGTACAAATATTTTGGCAGTTTGTCAATATCTTATAAAGTTAAGCATATGCTTACTGTGTCCCAGCAATTACACTTTTACGTATTTACCCAAAGGAAATAAAAATATATCTACACAAAGATTTGTAAATGAATGTTCACAGCAGCTTTATTACTACTAATAGCTCAAACTAGGAAATAAAACCCCAAATGTCCATCAACAGGTTATCTTGGAAAATTAGACAATGAGAACTAGAGGGCCGGGCGCAGTGGCTCACGCCTGCAATCCCAGCGCTTTGGGAGGCCAAAGCAGGCAGATCACGAGGTCAGGAGATCGAGACCATCCTGGCTAACACGGTGAAACCCCGTCTCTACTAAAAATACAAAAAAAAGGCTGAGGCAGGAGAATGGTGTGAACCCGGGAGGTAGAACTTGCAGTGTTGCAGTGAGCCGAGATCGTGCTACTGCACTCCAGCCTGGGCGTCAGAGTGAGACTCCATCTCAAAAGGAAAAAAAAAAAAGAAAGAAAGAAAAGAAAATGAGAACTAGAGTTTCAGTCCTTTTTTTTTTTTTTTTTTTTGGAGACGGAGTTTCACTCTTGTTGCCCAGGCTGGAGTGCAATGGTGCGATCTCGGCTCACCACAACCTCTGCCTCCTGGGTTCAAGTAATTCTCCTGTCTCAGCCTCCCGAGTAGCTGGGATTACAGGCATGCGCCACCACGCCCAGCTAATTTTGTATTTTTAGTAGAGATGGAGTTTCTCCATATTGGTCAGACTGGTCTCAAACTCCTAACCTCAGCTGATTTGCCCACCTCGGCCTCCCAAAGTGCTGGGATTACAGGTGTGAGCCACCATGCCCAGCCAGTCTTTTTTAATATCCATAATTTGAATATGGACTTAGGAAATATACATGTAACTCCTCACACAAATCGTTGTAAACTATCATCACAAGCATGTGGTCTTAGTTTACTCTCTCCTACTCAATAGAGACTTCTATTCTCATCATTCCTCCCATTAATTCATAAAGAACCATCTAATATCTGAGTTGGCAGTCACCCATCCCCAAATGAAATAGAAATGAAAACAGTGTCAAGATATTGCCTGCCCTTTGGGGGTGCCCCTTGCTAGTCAAAGCTATATCTGATGGAAACTCTGGAAAGCCTTGTTTCCTTGGAACATGTCAGAGCTCCCAGTTAGTCACCTTACCTGCCAAAACATATCTGTGAATATAAACATTTTGATAAATGAATGTAAAAATTTCGATAAATCCATTAAATGGGGCTGGGCATGGCAGCTTACACCTGTAATCCCAGCACTTTGGGAGGCCAAGGTGGGAGGGTCCCATGAATCCAGGAGTTTGAGACAAGCCTGGGCAACATTGTGGGACCCTGTCTCTAAAAAAATTTAAAAACTAGCTGGGCATGGTGGTAGACGCCTTTAGTCCCAGCTACTTAGGAGGCTGAGGTGGAAGGACTGCTTGAGCCAAGGAGGTCGAGGCTGTGGTCAGCTATGATTACAATATTGCACTCTAGCTTGGGCAAGATAGTGAGACCCTGTCTCAAAAAAAAAAAAAAAAAATCCATGAAACGGAATACTATCCAAAAATGAAAAGGAACATACACATAATCTATGCAACATGGCTGAACCTCAAAAACATTATGCTGAGTAAAATAAGCTAGACACAAAATAGTACACACTGTTTGATTTAAATTCTAGGATAGGCAAAACTAATCTATAGTAACAGAAAGCAGATCAGTGGTTGCCTAAGGCCGGGGTTGGTGCTTCTACCTTTGACTGCAAAGGCGAATAAGAGAACTTTCTGCAGTGATGTATCTACCACAACTGTGATAGTACTTACACGGTGTATACATTTGACAGAATGAATTGAACTGCACACACAAAACGAGTCCATTTTATTATAAGTAAATTGCACTTCAATAAAGGTGTTATTTATTATTTTTAGAGGCAGTGTCTCACTCTCTCGCCCAGGCTGGAGTGTGGTGTCACAATCATAGCTCATTGCAGCCTCAAACTCCGGGGCCCAAGTGATACTTCTGCCTCAGCCTCCTGAGTAGTTGGTACTACAGGTGCATGACACCATGCCTGGCTATTTCTTTTTTTTTTTTTTTTTTTTTTTTTTTTGGTAGAGACAGGGTCTTGCCTTGTTGAGCTGGCTAGTGTCAAACTCCTGGGCTCATGTGATCCTCCCACCTTGGTCTCCCAAAGTGCTGGGATTACAGGTATGAGCCACCATGCCCAGCCCAAAGATGATTTTAAAATGTTATTTTTCTTTTTTTTGAGACGGATTCTTGCTCCATTGCCCAGGTTAGAGCACAGTGGCACGATCTCAGCTCACTACAACCTCCGCCTCCCGGGTTCTAGCAATTCTCCTGTCTCAGCCTCCTGAGTAGCTGGGACTACAGGCCCCTGCCACCACTCCCGGCTAATTTTTGTATTTTTAGTAGAGACAGGCTTTCACCTTGTTGGTCAGGCTGGTCTCGAACTCCTGACCTCAGGTGATCCATCTGCCTTGGCCTCCCAAAGTGCTGGGATTACAGGCGTGAGTCACTGCGCCCAGCCTAAAATGTTATTTTTCTCTTACACTGCACATTGGAAATCAATTCACTTATGCAATGGATTACCCAAATCTCTTCTCCCCATTATGACTGCCTGACATCAGTGTTCATTACAGCCTATACTACAAAGACTGTACAAGGAAAATGAAAAATAAAACTCAAGCCAATCAACCTTGTTCCTTATTGGCAGAATGAATAAATGATGTGCTAGGGCAAGAGGCTGATAGTAATAGGAGTTCCTGAATACTCAACTATCTATGTTAGTTCCATTTTCTACTATAATGAACGCAGTAACTAAAAACTGTAAAGTATATGTTTTAGAAGTTCATGAAAATATGTACACATTTTATATATCACACACCTTTCACCAGAAGCCATCAAAATTATTTTAGAAAATAATTTCTGACCCATAGTCTGCTCCCTTAGAACACTGTATTTATTTATAATAGCACATATTTGCCACAGAGAAACAAATCATTTGTCTTCTTCCATTGTGATGTAAATTTCTTGAGTACAGTTTGCTTTTTCTCTTTATACGCATAGTGCCTGACATACTATAAGTAGTCAATCAATATTAAATTAAAAAACAAATGAACGAATAACAGACATGGTTCTGTATTAACTTCATACAATGATTCATTAAAGAAAGGGAAAAACAGTTTGACAATAAGCACCATGTAGGCATTAGGAGCACCAGAACTGGGTTGGAGGCTGCTCCTTTTGTCAGTTCCCACGTCTAGCCACAGGCTCAAAAGTTAGTTCCCATATGGCAGTAGCTCTTGAACTCTCTCAAGTGAAGAGTCTGTAGAAGACCTCTTCCTTCAGGGCTTTTAAAATATGCAGGACCCTAGGTAAAAAGCGTTTTCCTTCAGGTTGAAGGTGGTTTGTTCATTCTTTCAGATGCTTATTGTGTGCTTATTTTGTACCATGTGTAATACTAAACCCTGATTGAAGGCATCTGTGCCTTTCACACTCCTGTGTCACCATTAGCTAGCATGAGGGAAATCTCAGAGTTTCCTAATAAAGGAAAGGAAAAAAAAAAAAAGAAAGAAAGTAGTTATGAAGAACAAACATATTTATCAAAAACATTAAAATCTCAAGTGGCCATCTTACTTTTCACAAGAATAGACCTGCCTTGAAGCTATTGTAGAAGTTAATTAAAAACATCCCTACCCATTGAAAGCTTTGACTGAAAATGTCTTTAAAGTTGCACTAAAAAAACATCAAATACAGCAAAAAATATTGAACACTCTTTCTCTTGGTCACCACTCACGCTCTTGCGCACTCTCTCTCTCTGTTTTTAACTGCTCACTTCTCATAGGATAGATTTCTCTAGCCACCTCACTAGGAATCAAAGCACAAAATGAAAGGTCATTCTGACTACTGTCCAAACTGAGATTTTTAAAAATTCATCTTCAAAAGACTGAAAAATATATTTTCCTGACTCTATTCCTGGATTTAAAAGGATATAGATAAAAACAAGAGACACATAATCTCTCCCTGGCACCCAAAGCACGGAATAGACTGAAACCCTTGTTTATGTATACTGGAGCAGGTTCATCCTTTAATCAGAAGAAATGCAATTCTTGAATTCAGGCCAAAGCCATAAAATATCCTAGTTCTTCAAAAATGTGAACAATGGTGAACCAACCTAATTTCAGTATCATAGTAAAGAGCCCAAATATTTAGAAACCAACGTAGTAAAAAAGATTAAAAGGGAATTCTCTGTTTCACAGAATTAGTGTACTGACTCACTTTCTATTTTTACATTCTCAGTTTTCCTACCTGAAAACGGGTTTAAATTTGCCACTTTGCTCTTGTATAATATATGACACCCTGAAATCTTTGAAGGAAAGGGAACAACATAATAGATAACACAATAAATATGATAAAAACAGAAACAGAACACAATAGATAAATATGATAGACACTGATGATGGTAGTGCTCATGCCACTATACTATGTTGAAATTTTCCTTCTTTAACATAGAAGTTGGTGACATAAATCCAACAATTCTCTTTTCCTCACTTGCCAATGAGTAGTTTAATTATGGTGAAAACGGAAAGGACGCATCAGACCAGAGATTAGATTGCTGAAATAACCCACGAGCCCTCTAAAAAAAGAGCCTAAATTGCAGAATAACCTCTGGAGTCAGGTTCACTTGGCATCTGTTAGTGCTTACCAATACATGACAAATGGTTAAGGGTTTTATAACATCCATGATAGAGAACATAGGCAAATCTTATAAGGCAGATGAAGTTTTTCAAATTCATACAATCATTTAATCTTATAGAGGATAATCCCACCAGGTGAACCAATGGGATTTGTGAGTGTGGGTCTTCTATAACAAGGACGAGTGTCTTATCTGTAGGACCAAATCAAAACTCTGAGGAGCCTGTTTGAGTATTGTACCTGTGCTGTCCTGGAGTCAGTCACTTCCTTGTATAGGCTGATATCCAAGTAATAGCCAGACTCGTTTGTCAGGAAGAGGCGGATGGGAATTGCTTTTCCAGTTGGCGTCAGGCGAATGTTGATTTTCAGTTCTGCCTGGAGGACGCGCAATTTCCACAGGCGACTTCCATACCGCATTACCATGCTCCGCACGGATTCCTCAATCTGACACAGACACATCACCAAGCACAAAACTTAAATATCTTCTAACTAAGACCTGTTTCAGGTCTGCTCATATTTGAGAAAGAAGGGGTAAAAAAAAAAAGAGGTTGGTTTGTGGAGATGCACACCTTACAAAAAGTGGTCAGATAGTTTCTCCCCAAACTATTCTTTCTTGGAACAAGTCAGGGACAATTTCATGCTGGCCTGGCATTTGAGTGGTTTTCTCTCGATAATAACACCCAAATCTCTGCAACTCCTTCCCCTTTCCCAATTATATTCATATTCTATATCAAAGATCTGCAGTATCTAAAATTACAAGCCATGGGATTTAAGAGGAAGCCCCAAATAAGAATAAAATCTCTAGTTAAATAGCTATTAAGTAGCATTTATATGCATGGTAACTATGTTTCACTGCACTTACAGGACTTTAAATCAACACAGCAATTACCACCATGAGCTTTTTTTCATACAGTTTTATTAAACTTTATAATATATGTCTCTTGGTAAATTGCACAAATTAAAGAAAGGCAATTTGTAGGTGGTGCTAGAACATTCTCTCTAAACAGAGCTCTGAAGCTTGGCCACTGCTAAGTCCACCTAGGATTTAATAAGATGGGGCAGATGTTCCCACATTTCTCTAAGTTTATACCAAGGCAGCTTAATGCTCTTAGTTTTTAGGGGTAGGACAGTTATTTTAACTAAATGGCCTTAGACATGATTTCTTGTTATTTACATGCTAAAGCAAAACTTTTTTTCCCCAACATGGCTGCACAGAACATAATGCAGCTAGAACATGCTATTCGAACTTAATGTATCCTTAAATGAAGTATCTTTCTAAAATGCTTCCTCAACTTCTTAGAAAATCTCAAGAATATCTTACATTCCCTTTCTCTTGTGGTTCTTTAGTAGCATGTGCCACCCTTGCAGTTTGTTTCTGCACCACAAAATTTTAAGTTAGAATGAATTTCAGGGAGTTAACCTCTCTATTATCATACTTGCTTGTTAACCAAGAGATATTTACCCATTCTTTTCTTGAGGGAACAAAAGCCAACAATCTTTATGTACAGAAAATTGGCAGCTATCTATCATTAGAAAAGCAGAGCCAGTGTATATGGGTGGTTAGAATGAAAGCAGAGGCTGATCTGAAAAACTCAGAGAAAAGGTAAGCCAAATCTAAAAAAAAATACAGCTGTACAGTGTCCATGCCATGTTTTAAGTTTCCCAGCTTATTAGTCCCAGAATGCTTAGGAGAAGTTTTGCTTAAACTAGATGATGAGATTTGAGTCAAATGAGTAGCCCTGTCCTTGGCGTTCCTTACAAACTAAAGCAACCCATCATTAGCTTGGAATTTTTAAGGGAAAAAGGTAGAAAACTACTTCTCAGATCTCAGATACTAAGTTCAAGAAGCAAAAGTCTACCAGGCATGATGACTCATGCCTGTAATCCCAGCACTTTGGGAGTCTGAGGCAGGAGGATCGCTTGAGGCCAGGAGTTCAAGACTAGCCTGGGCAACATAGCAAGACCCTGTTTCTGTAAGAAAAAAAAGAAAAAGAAAAAAAAAAAAGCAGCAGCAGCAGCAAAAATTCATGCCTACAGCTGATCTTGAAAAAGGGAGATACTGGTTCTCCTATCCAAATTCCACAGTATCATGATAGAAAGAGTTAGAAGGGGCCAGGCACGGTGGCTCACACCTGTAATCCCAGCACTTTGGGAGGCTGAGGCAGGCAGATTACTTGAGGTCAGGAGTTGGAGACCAGCCTGACTAACATGGTGAAACCCCGTTTCTACTAAAAATACAAAAATTAGCCGGGCGTGGTGGCACATGCCTATAGTCCCTGCTACTCGGGGAGGCTGAAGCATGACAGTCTCTTGAACCTGGGAGGTGGAGGTTGCAATGAGCTGAGATGGTGCCACTGCTTCAGCCTGGGCAACAGAGCGAGACTCTGTCTCAACAAAAAAAAAAAGAAAGAAAGAAAGCGTTAGAGGGAGCAGAAACAGAGAGCAGCCTGTCTTTATTACACTTGGGATAAAAGGTCAAGTACAAAATCACCTTGTTTTTCTTCCTTAAATTATATAGAATGCATTTCAGAATAGACCCTCAGGGAAGAAAATATACATAATACATGAGAAATTCCTTATCAGCCAAATTCTCTCCCTGTGGAAAAACACTAAAGAGAGATAGGTTAGACACTTTGAGAAGGTGCATTATCTCACTAAGGCCACCAGGTGATTAACATTTAGTGCACAGAAGCAGTAATTTAGCCAAAATGCTTAGTAACAGTAAAATTAATAATTCCAGATGAGAAATAGTAGGGAATAATACAAAACAGGACCACTATTATGGCAAATATAAAATAGGTACCAACAAAAGAAAATGTTTTCATGTTTTTGTACTGCTTATAAGTGACCAGCAAGCTAACACCAAAACCTTCAGTTTTGAGAACTGTTTTTTCAATGGCTATATCAAATTTTTGACACTGTCCCAGAAACTCAATCTTATAAACATTCTATAAACTTTACAGATTAAGGGCTCAACAGCCTGAACAAGGAGTACCTGTTTCCAAGTCCAAGTGAGATAAATATGAATGAACTTCTGTGCTTATGCTTGCTAGTGCTGGGAGAGAAGCTAAGGAGAAATGTACCTTTGATGGGTCCATGATAACCGTGGGCACAAAGTTGAGGAAGATGTGGTTACAGTCAGTGCGGACATTTGTATTGTTAAAAGCAACTTCCAACTCATCCATGGCTTCCAGGAGTAGCCGCTCCCCTTCATTTTGCAGATATTCAAAAGAAGCTTCCTATACAGGAAGAAAATAATCAACATTAATGTAGTTTAAAAGAGGCAATAAAGAAATGGCTATTATAATCACTTAAGCAGCAGTATATCATGAATCATAAGGCACTTGGTGAAGAGATTGTTTATCTTTCTCCCTAGAGTCAGTCCAGTAACCACAGGGAGCAGGGGCAGGAAAGGGCCAGATAAAGAGTCCATGTCAGCCCTTCCTCCTTACTTTTAGTGCATCATTCCCTTCCAAGAGGTAGAAATACTGGGCATCCCCATAGCTGTAAGTTCAATAGGATGATATTTCACATATGCCAAACAGAGCTATTTAGAAAGGAAAAGCTGAAGAAAGGGTACGGCTATGGGATATAATAATAATGAACACATCAGGAAGTGCCTTGCTATATACAGACACTACCCATACTTCTAGACAGGTGTACAATGGGATCACCTCTTTCCTAACTTATCTCCTTATGCTCTACCATCACCCAATTCTTCCTGTGATTTTTCTGTTTGTATGCTTTTTCTTTTCTTGAGTGTTATTATGCTTCTGCTACCAAGAAAAATCAAATTAAAGTGGAAAAAGAGCCTTCATTTTTTATTTTTTTTCAGATGCACTTTCTGCTTTGTAAAAAAAAAAAAGCCTTTATTATATGAAATATTTACTTTTGTAAACATTGAAATAGAACAAGAACCTTGATTCAAAAAATGAAAACCTGATCTTTTTTTTATGTTCTCTCTCAGCAGAAGCATAATACCTAATTTTGAATCATATCTATTATTCTGTCCCTTCCCTCAGGGATAACATCCCATTAAAGTACAGCACCCACCTTGGTGACCAGATCAGAATGCCTGATGATTGCACGAACAAAGAACCTGTAGTCTGTCACTTCTGTGCCCACTTCCACCTTGGCTGCCCCGAGATACAGGTGCATCTTGTGATTAGCACATGGAATGGCAGTGAGGTCAAAATTTCTCATCCGGTTCAGCTCTAACTGGAAAGCCAGAGCAGGCTCCAGATGACGATAGATACGATCCTCCTCAAACTGAGTACAAGAATCAGAGAAAAAACAGCTCACAAGAGGCAGTTACAAAATTATACTATGAATGTGAATGTAAAAGAGATGCCTGAAAATAGAAACATAAGCTATGATGTGCTAATGAGCAACAAAAATGAGCTACATTCAAGGCTAATGCTACAGCTTACATAAGATTAGGCACTAAAGTACCTATTATATAGGTACTTTATAGGATGATATTCCTAAACTTTCATCATTTATGATTTTACAAGTGGTGATGATATACATGAAAAACAAACAAAAAATCCTCAATTTCCTTAGAACTCCTACAACATTTAATGTCTTTATATAATTCATTTTTATATTAATTACAGGCTGCTTCACATTAATATCTACTTCACATGCCAATGTTTTGAGCTTACCCAACTAATCTAAAAATTTTCTCACTTATGATAAGTACAAAGGACATAATAAATACTCAACAAAGAAACATCATACAATTTTTTAATTAAAGAGATATTTGGCTTTGGAACACTATATCCATAGATATATAATTACTTATATATGTTTTTTAAAAGTTGTATTAGTATATAACTTTACTGTATTTACTGTATATGTACTGTATGTTTCAGTGAAACTAAAGTATTTTTCTGGAATACATGTCAATTGAGTGAATGGAGAGAGAGAGTCAAATATATAAGCCGGTAACAGGAAGAAAGCAACATGGTCTGAAGTTTTGTATTTTAAAATTGAAAAACAAATTCACATAAAGTAGAGTTGAGTATCAGTGAACTATTTGTAGATAACAAGAATGGTCCTTTAATATCACATCATTAGGATCATTCTACAGGACAAGGATGATTTGGAAAGGTATCACCTTCGTTGAGTAGCTCAATACATTTGGTTGTTTCCCAAACCAAACCCTTTCAGAAAGGAATTGGCTTTAGTTCTAAGACACATGTAAGGCAACAGGAAGCACAAGTTCAATAAGAGAAAAAAGAATGGCAAGAAGAACGTATGGCAAAGATAAGCCGCTCTTGGGCTTTTAAGAAAAAGTAATTTTTTTTTTTAAATAGGAAAGAAATCAATCCTTACCTTATCCCTTGCTCGGAATGTAAAAAATTTAGGGAATTCTCTCTGTATTAAAGAAGGGGGAAAAATGTGTCAGTAGTTCATAGACATGGCTCTTTGAGAACAAACAGTATAGAAACAGTTAAGCATTTAGAAGACAGTTTTCTAGAAAAACATGCTTCTTACCTAAGCTTAGTCCAGGAAATATATATGAATGATCCTCCGCATAACCATCACTTTGACCCCATTTCCAAATTTGAGAATCACCACATTATAAACCTAATTTTAGTATCTACCCTCTCCCAGGGGAAAAAAAATGTATGAATTTTTTAAATCTCCCAAGTGAAAAAAATTTTTTTGCTAGGTATTGCTCTTGGCACAACCCAGCAAATAAAACCAATATACCCTTGTGCCACAGTCACTGCAATAGTAGTTAATGGACTGATTTCCCAAGTTACTCTTTAAGAAACTCTTAAAATATAAACTACTCAGACAGTATAGAGTGCTCAGTCCATGATTTTCACATTTATTCTCAAGTCAATAATGTCAAGGGTTTAAATGATAACATTTGAAGATGAAGAAAAATATAAGATTCTACCTTGGTCACTACCACTATATGTATAGGAAAGAATAAGGTTAGAACTAGTGAACTTGTAATCATTAGGTCTTCCTGCTTTTTTGTAGGGCATTATACAAAAAAAAACCCAATTTACTAGAACCTTATTAATTAACAAAGATGAATTCAATTAGCAGAGTTCATTAGTTTCTGAAATTTAACTTACCAATGCCAAATACCCCTGTTTCTCGGATGGGAAGCTCTACTGGCAGTGCTGGAATCAAATCATTACTATTTGCCTCTATAGGAGGTTTCATTAGGCATCTTCTTCATTATGAGTGCAATATAATCAAACACTTATCAGTACAAGGCAGAGAGACCGGGACTAGCTGCCTACACATCCTCAATGAGCTTTAGGAAATGTGAAGGAAACATGGACTGAAAATCTTCTGGTGGCAGGTACTCTCATGTGTTGTCCTATCTGATGCTCTCAACAACCTCTAGGGGTAGATATTGTGACCCTCATCTTGCAGAAGCCTTGGCTCAAGTATATGCTCAGAATCACAGAGCTGGAAGATAAACTTGGGTCTCTCTAGTGCCAGAGCCCATGCCCTCTGATCTCTCAAGGGCAGAGTATTACCTTTCTCTTTTTATTATAATCTAAATTCCTCATTTAGAGGATTTCTCTTTGATGAGACAAAAACACAGAAATTAAGACTTTAAATTTAAAAAGCAGAAAGCAAACAAAGCAAAACTCATGCTGTAAACCTGTGGTTCTTGAATTTCCTGAAAATTTCTTGAATACGTTCCATAAGTGTTACACCTCACTCTCACCTTAACTAAAGCTTGCACAGTTAATAAATCTTTTTATCTTTTCCTTGGTATTTTAACTGTAAGACTGCATTTAAAAGGTTCCTAGGAGCTCATTTACCAACCTCAGGGAAATCCTTTTTTAAAAGCCTTTTTAAAGTGGATTTTACACAGGACTGAACTTCTCCTCAAGTTTTGTTCTAAATAATTCTCTGACACCCCCCCCACCCGTTATGAGAGTGAAGCACATAGGACTGACTTCAAGGTTAAGTAAGATGCATTCAGCTGAGGTGTCGATAAATATCATGCTCATGGTTTTATATAACCTAGTTTTGGTTTTATTCTAGTGAGGTACAGCTTTCAGAGCATTACCTAAAAAGTAACAAATGTCAAAAAAGGAAGAATGACAAAATCTTTCCATGGAACTCTCTGAAAGAAAAGTCAAGGAAAGTGATAATATGATATTTTACGCACACACTTTTCTATTCCGCCTTAACTATTATTAGCTAATTAATTAAAATGTTTGTTTAGGATGCCATTTATTTAATTATGTACATTTATAGGATCAAAACCATTTCCTTTCAAAAACAAAACAGTAATAAAAAATGCTTTCTTTTCCACTAAACCAATTAAGAAAATTTGTAGTAACTGAAAGGCATATAAAGCAGTTTGAATGGAAATGCCTTTAATACAAATAATGAAGAAACTGACTAATTCTTGGCAGAGGTGGGCAATGACTACCAATTAGAAAAACCACTTTCATTAAGGTTAGCTAAGAAAAGTTGTCATGAGATCATATAAACAACTTTTTTTTTTTAAACTTCTGAGTAAATTTGTAACTCCCCGGTAAAATCCTCAATTTAAGTATTAAACATTCAGAACAAGAGATGGCAAGAACCTCTGTGCAATGGAAAAGTGGAACTACTAAGCAATTCTTCAGTGACATGGAAGTCTGAAGACTCTTACAAAAAGTAATCTCTTTTGGCACTCAAAAACCACAGAATCACAGAAAACACAGAAAAGAAGAAATCTAAAAGTCTGATCCTACAGTTTTAGTAAATTCTTTTATCCTATCTCATCCTCATACTGCCAGTTTTTCCACTGAAAGCATTCATGCTTATTCCATCATCAATGTATTTGCTTTCCAAGTATTCTACTAGTGTCATGGGCAAATATCATAATTGAATGTACACAAAGAAAAACCCTCTTAGTATTCTGGTACCAAAAAACAAAAGAATGCAACGTTTCACAGGAAGAAATTATGCCCTTGCTGTGTTCTAATCAGCCAACCATCATCAAGACAATCAAAATAATTTGCCCAAATTAGCCAATCAAGACACCCCGCAAATCAGAGAATGTGAAAACCTGCAACAAAAAACATCATAGCTGATTATGATACTAATAATCGTGTTAAAAACCTAATGAGATGAAGAAATTGGGAGCTTGCTGGTACAATTCTCTTTTACCTCAACATGCTGAGAACTAATTATATAGACTGTAATTAAAACAAAAATCCAAACCAACCCTTCTGAAAACTAATAGTTGGTCCACTACCAAACAGAACTATCTTAAAAAAAAAAAGAAAAAAAGAACTACTAATTATGATAACTGCTCATATAGTGAGCTCTTCCTTCAAGGTCCAAATAATCCAAAACATTTCATTTTAAAGTGGGAATCACACAATAGTCATAAAACAACAACTCTCTCTCGGGAGATATGTAGACCTTTTTTTTAAATCTCATGAAATTTTACAAGAACAAAAGGTAACATTTTATTAACAGATGTAAAACTGTTTGATTTAGAATCTTATCATGGTTTTAGGACTTAATGGGGGATAAGAAGAAGTCCTGAAAATTTGTATTCCGATGTCCTTAGCCAAACTTTGCTGAAAAAAATATGGAAAGCTTAAAAAAAAAAAAGCATAATATTATATCCCAATTAGACAGCACTTTCTGCTAAATATTTTGGAATTCCAGACCTAAAATGTGAGTGAAACTAAGACAGAGTGAGTCAATAAGTTTTAACTAACAGAAAACTGTGGAGTTGCAGTTTAGATAGCTGCAGAAATTCAAGAAGCCTCTTTTCCATTCAAGACTTTGATCTTTTTTCTTTTTTTTAACATCTTGTCCATTTTTTTCTTTTATTTTTTATTTTCAGATGAACATCATGATCTACTTTATTTTTTCTTAACAAGTAGAATATATTTACAAAAAGAGACTTGTTTTTCCTCAAAGTTTCTGTTTAAATATCAAAGTTAGGCAGTTATTCAAATTCCATTATGGGCACTTGATTTAATTAGATGGTTATGGAAACAGAGTCAACTCCCAGCCTCCTTAACACTGGTGAAGACTGCTGTCACAGAAATAATCTCCATGCAGTGTCAACGGACTAGGGTGGCAACAGACACCCTAAAAATGTTTTAAAGCTGTGGGCAGCTATCTGGGACAACTGTGGCTAAACTACGAAGTATTGTAAATGCTTATAGCAATCACTGTCATCCAAATCAGTACCTAACAATATACACAGCTCTCTAGCAACCTCTACTCTGGCCCTCATTTGTCTTATTCTGGTTCTGAGGCAATTTGAAAGACCAACAACTATATAACAGCACAGCTTGCTTTATTCCACTAACCAATGTGCTTGAATCAAACTTGGTAAACTTCCTCCTCTCCTTGCTCCCTCAAGTGCAAATTCTCTCTTCCATTCAATAATATAGGGATTCCACAGCATTGGACAGGGGAGGCTGCATACATCACAGTGGATTATCAAGAAGCCAGAGAGATCAAGGGATTCATCTCTGACACTCCCAGAAAGCTTCCTCTTTTTCACAGTACACTAACTATGGGGCAAGCACAATCAGATGACATGACAGAGGCTAAATAAGCATCCTTCATGAATGTCAAGCTACCATCAGCAAAAGAACTCACAGCAGCACCACGACAGTGACCCCCAGATTTGTACAGTTTCTGCCAACGCTTCCTGGCTAGTGTAGATCCTGGATTGTATAATAGATTCTGGATGGAGTTCGGTTTAATAGTTGCCCTTGCACCTTGCAAAATCACTTATCATTTTTAAAGGGACTAACATAAAAACACCCCAACTCCTCTGCCATTCAATTCTTCAGAGCAAATGCAGTCCTCACTTAAACCTTAATGTTCTCTATGCTCTAAAGCAGCTTTTCCTACACTCATGACAAATCAAGTCACTTGATAATTTAAGTGATTTCCCACTTGATGCCACTATAAATAGGAATCAGACAATGATTGTCACGGAAGACCCCCTGCTGGCCTCATTTTCTAGCCGATTTTGCCTATACATGTCCCTATTAAACCTAGATCCAGAAATATCAGGACAGCAGAGAGAAAAAAATGTTTTAAAGCTGTTAAGTATACTCTTAATACTAGGGCATATTTATAACTATACACTATAGATTCAGAGATAAGAAAGGGTTTTTTTATGTGTTACATATATGAGAAAATGTCAGTGAGAACTAATCACTTTGGTTTGCTAAAAATTTTAGTGAACAGTTTTAGTTGATCAGTGTATTTATTATAGAAACCAGTTAGTGTGCTATAGATGTGAAGATTCCATCTAATCCATTAGCAAAAAGGAAAACAATTTTACAAATTTAGTGTTATTCCCTAGAATATGCTGTTATTCTAAAGTCGGTGATAAAAAGCACAGTAACATTTAAGAACCTAGCACAATACTCTTCTAAAATCCAGGGCCTGGCTCTGGCATGTCTACCTTAGTTCTGATCAGCATCTACCAGCCACAGTGTTTATCCATGGGCTTTCATATTCTATCCCAAAGTATCAATTTTATTCTCTAAGCTCCTGATTTTTCTTCCTAAAGCCCTAGGGTTCTTTTTAAGCTCCTCATACTTCTCCACTGACTCCGTTTCCTATCTAAAGTTATTGATTGACATATATCTACACTCTGCTTGATTTCCTGACATCAATAACACAGGGGAGTCATGCAGTCCACAACATTTCCTAAAGCATTTCAGAAAATCTTAGCTCTCTTGTTTCTCTATAGACTAGACCAACAAGGTGAACTGTATGAAGGAAAACAAAATGTCAAGTCTTGAAAACCTAATAAACAAAAAGGTAATAAAAGCAATCACACATAGGTCCTTGAGTTTAGAAAGTCCTTTCCAGAATCTCAAGTGCCATCTTCATTGTTGCAAACAAGCAAGGCTTAACAACCAAATTATCTTAATTGCTAAAACCAAACCAAACAGGCTGGGCACAGTGGCTCATGCCTGTAATCTCAGCACTTTGGGAGGCTGAGGCGGGCAGATCACCTGAGGTCAGGAGTTCGAGACCAGCCTGGCTAACATGGTGAACCCCTGTCTCTACTAAAAATACAAAAATCAGCTGGGTGTGGTGGCACATGCCTGCAATCCCAGCTACTTGGGAGGCTGAGGCAGGAGAATTGCTGCAACCCAGGAGGCGGAGGTTGCAGTGAGCTGAGATTGCGCCACTGCACTCCAGCCTGGGCGACTAAGCAAGACACTCTCTCAAAAAAAAAAAAAAGAAAGAAAAGAAAAAAAAGACTTCTTAACATCCTCTAGAATCTTAGTTAGCTACATTAGAATCAATTTTTATGAAATATTTTGATTATAATCAGTCATTTTGAAAACAACATATTGATTCCAAACTGGATTTCTGGCCTTACTGTTGTCACTGTACTGGGTATGATCATACGGGTATACCATAGTTTGGATGCCAGGCTATTAACTTAATTCTCTTTTCAATAAAAATTTTAATCTCATAAATATTAACAGTTAATTCAGTTAAATGGGAGAATAAGCAACAGAGTGTTTAATTTTTACTTATTTCCTGTTCCTACGATTAACATAAGACAAAAAATAGCAACTTGGCTCTATCAAGGCATTTTAAATAATAAATCATTGTTCTTTAGAATTGAGACTTCTCAATAAAGAATCCAAGACCACAAAATGCAACTGGCTGTCCTTGATTATTGATTCACTATAAGCACAGAAGAAATTACTAGTTAGCTTGTTTCTACCTTATTTATCTGGATAAATGCTTATGTTCATTCTTAACTATTTCTCAGAGATATATTGAGAATTCATTATAGGGTTAAAAAAAAAAAGAAGAAAACCTTTAGCTGGAACACTTGATATAAGAATTAAAAAAAATTTTTTTTTAATTAATAGAGGACTGGGTCTCATTATGTTGCCCAGGCTCATCTCAAACTTGTGGGCTCAAGCAATTTTCCTGACTCAGCCTCCCAAAGTGCTGGGATTACAGAGAACTGAATATTTATTATAATAATTTCTAAAAGAAGAAGGATCAAATATCAGTCCAGCCCTTCTAACATATATTCTGGTTAAATAATCAGTGGCAGACAAATAAAACAGTAAGTAATCTTTCATTATTGTTCATTTTACTTACATGAAATCTCCGATCCACCTCATAGTTGACCTGCTTTCTGAAATCCTTTCAAATAAAAGAGAGAAAGGAAGGAAAGACAGCAGAAGTTGGCAATTAGTAACAAAATCAAAAAGAAATTGAGTAAAAGATGATGAGTTAAACTAATGTTTTTTAAAAATGAAACTTACAGAAAAGTGGTTATTTCTCTGCATAAATCCTATTAGTAAGTATAAGATTACAATCCCATTTTTATTAAGTTGTAGCAGCAGCATAAGAAATATTAAAGAGGTACAATTCACATGTCAGTACCTTTTGTGCAACCAGGAAAGTAAGGCGCCGGATCCCATGGTCAACCAGGGTAGCTTTCTAGGAGCAAAAACATGTAAAACAGAAGATAGATGAGATTTCCATTCATTCTAAATTTTATCCCATTCGGCCCTTGTAAGGCTTTGGTGGAGTTAAACATCCTTTTTGGATATCCTTATCTTAGCTTAGTACCTTCAAACTTGCAAGTGAACAAATTTCAATCTGGCTCCTAGGACTAAGTCTTACGAAATAAATTTTATATTGATTTGGACAAAACTGAAAGAGAACTTTGTGGAGGAGAAAGGGTGATATGAAGTCAACTAAATTACCTCAGAACTGATTTACATAAAGGTAGGCCATGACACAATTTCTGCTTATAGAAATCATACTGTTGGGCATGTATTCAAATGTAAACATTAATATTGATAAAGATGCTAAATGAAATTAGGTAGAGAGAAAAGAAGGACTTTCCATAAAACATAAAACACAGGTCCTAAACTGTTTAGATTGTAGATGTTACCTACCATCAGATACAGCATCCCTAGAATTCAGTCTAACAAATTGTAACCTTTCAGTTTTGATACAACAGTCCCCCCTTACCTTACATGAAGGCATTTTTTAAAAACTCTCTCTTTTAAAATTGTTAAAAGCAATATTTAATAGGCCTTTAAATTTAGGAACTATTCATATCTCCACTAGGCATAGGCGACTAGTATATTAGAAGTCAACAGAAGGCTGGGAGTGGTGGCTCACGCCTGTAATCCCAACACTTTGTGGGGCCAAGATGGGCAGATCACTTGAGGCCGGGAGTTTGAGACCAGCCTGGCCAACATGGCAAAACCCTGTCTCTACTAAAAATAGAAAAAAATGAGCCAAGTGTGGTGGCACATTCCTGTAATCCCAGCTACTTGAGAGAATGAGGCATGAAAATCGTTTGAACCAAGGAGGCAGAGGTTGCCGAGATTGCATCACTGTACTCCAGCCTGGGTGACAGAATGAGACTGTCTCAAAAAAAAAAAAAGAAGTCAACAGACACCAGTAGTTTCAAGACAGCCACTTATACGAGTCTTGGGCATCTGGACCTAAAGCCTTCCTCTTCCCTATACTGTTCACTTGCTTCAAAAGGCAGGGACAAAGAAACAAATTAATGAATTAAGTAAAAGACATGTGTTTAGAGGTCCCCAACAAAGAAGGATTATAACAGCAAGCAGAAAAGCAACCCCACCAGTTGAATGACCTGAGAAAACATATGAATAGTACAAATAGAAAAGTAATGTGGACTTTCACAGCCTACATCCAGACTTTAGTTTGACCACATTTCTTGCTATAACTCCAACCAAGAGATATGTTTATAGGCCAGTTCTTAACATTCATGATATTATATATTTTTTAAAATTTAAATTGTCTTCCCCTTATAAGGAAGCACATTCTTGGGTTATTTCTTCCAATTTCTTCAATTCTGCGATGGCATTGCTGAGTAATAAAATTAATTTTATTAACAGCATAAACAAAAGATAACTGGAAAAATTAATTTTCTATAAGCAAATAATAAAATAATAAATTATCAGGCCAAATATAAATAAATTTTGGTTTAACTGCATTAAAAAATTATTTGTACTGCCATCACACACCTTGCTGTAAATAACCAAGTATTGACACAACAATATGAAAAAAATGTGTCGAAGGAAAGGAGGGGTTTCTCAGTGTGGCCAGGAACAGAAATACTTCTTCTGACATCAACAAAGATTCCACTACAGTCAAGTCCTTCAAAGACAAGCATCAGTAGCTATGTTCTGGCAAGGGAAGAAAATAACTTTAATAATGCCATGATTTAAAATCAAAATTGTTATTGCTTTTAAAATTCCACAAGTGGCTGACAATAACAGCAGAGCAACAGGATTCTGATTACATTGTAATAATGCAGGTCTCACAGCAAGTCCACAGCTATTACCCAGCGATTAGGCATCAGCACCTGGAGAAACTCCATTTACACTGACTGCTTCAATCTCCTCCACAAGTCATTTACAAATATATGATCCTAATTTCTATGAGAGAAAAAAAGACATGCTGGGACTAGAAGATTATTTGGACAATTTGGATCAACCTATTTGATAGTTTAATGTGTGCCTTAAAAAAAAAAACTTTTTCTAAACTGCTAGGAGCATGATCATGAAGTGAAAAACAAAACTAGTTGCCACTTTATCTTTTGTTTTTTTCTTAAATTGCTTTTCTTTCCTTTTCTTTCATATATATATATATATATATATATATATATATATATATATATATACACACACACATATATTTTAACAAGGAGATGAAAATGCCAAATGTCCCTGGATAAGCACAGTACCTGATGCAGTAAATAGCTTCTCTATGCTTAGAGTGTCAGCACAGTCTACCCTTACCTTTCTAAATAGCCTTAGGCAAAGATATTGGATTTCTCTGTGCCTTAGTTTCCACACCTAGTCAAGGAAAAGGGTAATTTCTTATTTCTCATTAATGTTACAAACATATGTAGCGAATATGAAGAAAATGCTTTTTTTTTTTTTTTAATTGAGATGGAGTCTTGTTCTGTCGCCAGGCTGGAGTGCAGTGGTGCAATCTCGGCTCACAGCAACCTCCGCCCCCAGGTTCAAGCGATTCTCTTGCCTTAGCCACCCGAGTAGCTGGCGCTACAGGCGCCCGCCACCACACCTGGCTAATTTTTGTATTTTCAGTAGAGACGGGGTTTCACCATATTGGCCAGGCTGGTCTTGAACTCCTGACCTTGTGATCTGCCCGCCTTGGCCTCCCAAAGTGTTGGGATTACAGGCGTGAGCCACTGCGCCTGGCTGAAAATGTCTTTGTAGATCAACATGCGTTGATAAGTATGACACTTAGATTTGAGGGCAACAAGAAGTGTCAAGTTGTGGTCAAATTATGGAAAAATACTCAAACATGGGCAATTAGTGCCTCAAAACCTAGGAAGAAACTTTCACAGATTATTTCATGAAGCAGCAGCAGCAGCAGCCACATATAATATTAAGACTCTTCCAGGCCGGGCGCAGTGGCTCACGCTTGTAATCCCAGCACTTTGGGAGGCCGAGGCAGGCAGATCACCTGAGGTTGGGAGTTTAAGACCAGCCTGACCAACATGCAGAAACCCCATCTCTACTAAAATACAAAAATTAGCCGGGTGTGGTGGCGCATGTCTGTAATCCCAGCTACTCAGGAGTCTGAGGCAGGAGAATCACTTGAACCCAGGAGGCGGGGGTTGCTGTGAGCTGAGATCGCACCATTGCACTCCAGCCTGGGCAACAAGAGTGAAACTCCATCTCAAAAAAACAAAACAAAACAAAACAAAACAAAAAAACTCTTCCAGCAAAGATTACCTTGATCACTGGCTTTAGGTTAATTTTATGTGGTCACTGGCCAAGGGCAAGAAGGAAGGTAAATTTCTGTCTACAGAAAAAGCCCTAGGCATATCCCCTACTTTCACTTCTCTGGAAGCACCTTTTCCTCATACTGACCACTGCAATCTCATAGTTAGTTTAAGTGCTACAACACCGTCATGGAATAAGTACTAAGACTCATAGTCATCACAAATTTACCATTTTTTCCCCTAGATATCTACCATTGGCATTACATGATGTGAATGCCAATGGTACGAACTGTCTACACCACTGAATTAAATTTTGAAAACATCTACTGAGTTCTTTCTCTGCAAGAAGTCCATGGGCTAAGTGCTGTCCACTCCAAGAGAACACATGGGTCTTGCCATCAAGGGCAGTTTAAGAGGACACTTTGCTATCTATCACATATCATAATGAAATATAACTGTAGATTATTGTTTTAAGCATGCCTATCCTGTCCCCTCAACTAGACTATAAGCATCTTCAGGGCTAAGAATGTATTATTTACTAAAGTACCTAGATCTGTGCCCCCTATACCTGGCATCAAATCCTTAAGTTCTAGTATTTGCTCTATCATCTTCTAGCTGGTGACCTAGGGGTCTTAATTTCTCTGAGCTCCAGCTTTTGCCCATGTGTACAACTGGAACAATTCCTGACTTATCTAACCCCATGGAATCGTGGTAAGATGCAAATAAAAAATTTAGGTAGAATTTTTTTATAAATAAAAGGCATTATTATTGCTAATAAATGTATGCTGACCAATTAGGAATTCAAAGGAGGAACATACATTTTAGTTAGGGCTACTCAGAAGTCCTCACTGAAGAGATGAAATTTGAGACAGTTCTTAAGACAAACAAGATTTAGAAAGAAAGGTGAAAGAAAACTTTCTAGGAAAGAGGAAGTCAAAGAAGTATAATAAATGAGGCACATTAGACAATGAACACAGGTCTTTTCACAAAATAGCAAAGGCTACATGTTAGTCTCTCAATAGGCTGATGATGTTGAAGCTAAAGTTAAGGAGGTATTCTGAAGGTCAGAGAGAATCACTGTTAAGTGGGAAAATAACATGGTAAGAGCACATTTGGGACATTTAATTTTGTGGTGATGAGCAGAATGGAAACTCTTTGGAGGGAGAAAGTGAAGGAAGATAAGTAGATCACAAGTAAGCCTGCTGCAGTGTCTCAGGTATAAGATAGTAAGGGTTTGAATTAGAGATGGCAGTGGGAATTTTAAAACTGGAAAGAAGAAAAAGAGAAAGGGTAAAAAAGACTGCAAAGAAAAACTAACAGACCTTGGTGACTGACCAGATACAAATAAATATGTACAGATTGTGGGTAGAGGGGTAGAATGAAGGAATGTCAAGGAAAAAGTCAATGACTTTTGAATGATTGGGAGTAAAAGGTATAGTGAGTTGTGAGGTTTTTTGTTTTGTTTTATGAGGGGATTGGAGAGGGACGAGAAGAGGTGAAGCAAAATGATGGAAAATGTCCATTTAGACGATGGCGTTTGATGTCAACAGGAGATATCCAAGTGACGTAAAATTGAAAGGAGGATAGATGTATAACTGATAGTTTCAAAGGAGGGGAGGGGAAGACACAGAAGGGACCTAAGGGGAGTTTAGGCTTAGACATGTGGAAAGTCACCAAAGGAAAATACTTGGTAGGTGATTCGAAGTTCAAGACTGGAGCTCTGGGAGAGATTTAGGAAGATAACTTCCCTTAAAAACATTTTAAATATTTGAGGTCTATTATCTGTTGACACACAAAGATATTCATTATATATTATTAAGTCACTTTGGGATTTTATCCCTAAATGCAGAACTAGCCATAGTTCTGAGAGTTATGATAAAAGACATAGCCATAAACTAGCAACTGATAAAAGGATAGCTATGATACACAGCCAGTAGAAAGGGGACATCACGAGCTTCCACCCAATCAAGAACTTACATTTTGCTGGGTAAATTCTCTGAACATAGCTGCCAGCCTGTCATCCTCAATATCACAGTCAGTCTTGATAGCCACATTGAGAATGTGAATTGGTTCATCCCTGGGAACCTGTAACTCAAGAACACAAGTCAAAGAAATTATGAGGCTGGCCAATACAGATGCAGATAGAAGTTATAATATTTGGTAGAATACCTGAAAAAGAGATACACCCCACAGGATATTTTGGTTTGCCCAGCAGTAGGAATGAGCAAATTGAAACCACTGCCCAATAGCCACAGAGAGATTAAATCAGGTAAAGCATATAAATTTTAAAAGATAAGGCAGCAGAGGCATTAGTAACAGGTGGCCCAATCTTTACTTGGCATGAAGCTGAAGATCACTATGTCTCACCTTTTTTACCAATAAAATGGGGGTGAAACTATTTGCCACATCTCTTCACAGAATGTGAAGGAAAATGAGTGATATAAGCCATCTGGACATGTTCCCACATAATATATTTCCTTACAATTTATCAAACAATGGAAGTATCAAATCATGAAAAAATAACATCATAGAGAAAGAATAATTTATTTACTGATAAATAAAAAGAAATGATTTAATAAAAAGACAAAGTTTTCAACAAAATGCCTACTTTTTTTCTGTAATCTAAAGTCCTCCATTCTCTGAGGACTATGATTGCACCACTATGCAAAAATATAAGCCATGGCTGAGTAAGAATTCCAGCAACCAAAGCCCAAATCCTTAAAACAACATTCAGAGATTCAGAGGCAGCTGCAATGGACATAGCTGAGCCCACTCTATACTATGGACTCCAAAATTAATATAGTTTTTTTAAGTTAGGATTTATATTCCACTTGTTTCCAGAAAATACTTTGGTGAGGCATACAAAATTAAATACTATAAAGTGGGGTAAAAGGATGAATTCTTTCCTATAATAGTTCAAAGTCAGAAAGATAGTATACAGTAGAAGTCCCATGTCTGAGGGGAACAAAGCAGTCTCCCAAAAGGGACATTATACCTTATCCTCATCATAAAGAGACGTGTGACCTGCCTCAGGGAATGTGGGACTCTGGGGTGGGGAGTCAGAGAAGCAGCCCATCACTTCATCAAAGATCCTAAAAAATACAAGAGAAACACCCACCATGAAAACTCAAGTGGCATGAAACTAACACTGCCATTGGCAGCTGAGTCTAAAAGAATAATCTATCTTAGCCTGGGCTCAATAGTTAATTGAATAGAATCACCAGTGGCTAGAGGTGACATGCAAAATTTCACCAAGTGGCAGAAATTAGGAGGATGGATTGTTTAAACTTTAATAAACCATATATATTTTTTCTTTTTTAGAAAGAATGATCTAAAGCTTTTTTGTTTGTTTTGTTTTCCTCATATGTAAGATATGAGCACTTCTGTCATCATCGGTCTTAAAGTAACAGAAAGTGTCTGGAACTGGAGTAGTGACAGACCAATGTAATTACCCCTCCCCCTAGGGTAATGCATCAGTATACATCAAGAGATAGATGCTGAATGCATTTAATCAAAAGATGTATTGTCTCTTGTGGGGCTCACTCTAGTGTTATGTTTAATTTCTCCTGACATTTCACTCATCACAGAGCAGACAGCTTCTTCTGTTAGCTCCACAGGAAAAGATGGTTTTTGTTTGTTTCTTTTTTTCTGACCAGGCCCATACTACAAGTAGAGGCTTGTAGAATCTGAATGAGAGGTAGAAATGCAAGGATATATACCTCTCCAACGGCATATACAGCAAGGGTTACATCTTTTTAGCTGGCTCATGGCTATTCGGGAGACCTTTATTCATTTTGCAGAAAGATGAGACCCCAAAACACAGATGTCCATGGCTCCCCTTGTACAGACATAGTTCCACAATGTCTTACCTGACAAAATCTTCAAAAGTCCGAAAAGAGACCATTCCGCCCATCCGCTGACAAGGTGGAGTGAATGAGTTGTCCAACAGTACATCGCTGACACTAGCTACATGGGTCATGCCATAGTGGTTGAGGTTGGAGGAGAAGGACATTCTAAATGGTAATTCAATCACGTTCATTAGACAAGGAGGGTAGGAGCAAGGACTGGGAAAGTAACAGTAGGGAAAAGGAACTAGGAGAAAACTCTGAAGTAGGGTCAGGTTGCAGAGCAGATTTGGTTTTTTTACCCACTATGGATAAGGTTGTTTTGCTGGATTCATGTTAACCCTTTCTTTTGAATTTCCCTAAATAAACTATATTTTCATCACTCCAAAATTTCTTCAAATAAAAAGCTAAGAACTGTTAGGAATTTCCAGGCAGTTTTAACACAATTACATTATAAGATGTCCAATGAATGAATAGCACATAGGGGTTAAAAACCATCCTGCATCTTCCCCCTCCCTAAAGCATTCCCTCCTTTAAAAGGAAGTAAGCAAGCCAAGTGAGTTGTAACTATGCAATGCTTAAGGCATTTTGTTTTCTAGGAACTGTAATAGAGTAAGTATTCACAGATACATAAAGAGATAGGTATATATATGTATGTAAAACAACAATTGTAATTAAGTCACCTGGAATGGTTTAGTAAATAATTATATAAAACATTAGGGTACAGAAACAGGTCACAGTCTATAAAAGGAACTTTACTGAGGAATTTACTTTCTCCTTTAATGGGTTGGTAGGCATAGTTATTGGGGTTACAGTTCTCCCTTTTTGAAAGAGAGCTATTTTTCAACCCCAAATTGCACGTTTTTCTTTTCATAGTTAAGCACTTCTATACCAAAACAAAAAAATCTCCATTGAAAGCCCTTAATAATTTCCAGCAAGATACAAAAGGGCAGAGCATGGGTCTCAAAGTATGTGTAAGCATGACAAGCAGCTGCTAAACGGAGATGCCTGAAGAGAACTGAACTGATTTGCTCAATCTAAAAACAATGAATCTCTATATTTCTTGATGTACCTTAACAGTATGTACTGATAAATAATACTGTAAAGTGTTTCTGAATGCTCAATCAGGACAGCCTGTTAGGAAGGACCAAGCTAAAGGATGCCTCCAGGACTTGCCTGACATGTTACCAGCATACTGATCTGAAGCAAGTTCAGGGCAAGGCAATGGCACTTGAATTTGGGGAACTGCCCCAAAAATCTCCTTGAAGTACACCACCTGCGGTGTTGCAGGGGGAAGAGAGACGACAACGTGGACTTGATATCTGGGTACATATTGTACCCTATCGCAAATCATAATTACAAGGCAATGGAATTCTTTGTAGGATGGGAGTGCTGCTCACACAGACTATAGAGACTGACACTCCAGGTTTTTATTCCTTTGGCGAGTGATGACTATGGAAAAGGTACATCATCTTTTGACAGTACTTGGGAGTAGAAGGCAAAGTGGGAGAGGAAACCATTGATACAATGAATGAAACAAACAAATGAAACACACATCAAGCAAGTCTTACACATGGTGCTCACTAGAAACTGGGATTCAGAGTTGTATTACCACAGAAGTGCTATCATCCTCCTCTTTTCTAGGATCACCAAATATATTTACTAAAAAAGCAAGTTTGTGAGGCATTGTATCTTTTCTACTTGCTTGGCATTAGACAGGAAAGATAAAAGGGTTCCAGACCACATTTAAAGGGAACTCCCTCTGAAGAAGTTAACAAACTATGTTTGTGGCAACCATGGGGTTAAGTAGCTTTTTCACTCAACTGAACCCCATGGGAAATATCGACTATTCAGTTTCCCCTCACTGCTATGCTTGTGAACCAGGGTGGCTAAAGGCAGGCAGGAATGAGCCAAGCCCACTCACCAAGGGAAGACTACAAGACCAATTAAAAGCATTCCCTTTCCTCTCCACATCCAAATTGGGATCTAAAAGCTATGATTAGTCTTGATTACTTAATATTTTAAAGGGAGAGGGACAAAATAAATGTAAATCTATAAATAGTTCCACGTGTAGCTGATTATCTGCAAAGACCTTGCCATCAACTTACTATTGCTTTTGCATTTTGTGGATTCAATTCCAATCAGAATTGTTATCCTCTCAAACTTGCATTGTGTTGCCTTGCTTGGTTCAAGAGACAGGAGAAACCCAAAATACTAAAATATCACTTATGTTATATTAGCCTGGAAACCTCCACACAGGGTTAAACACATCAAAACTTAAATATACTTTTCCAATGTTAATCTTATTATAGGTCTGAAATAAAAACTGACTATCATAACATTTTAACACTTTAGAAAATTAACTAACAAACTGATAAAACATGAGATCAGCTATTTCTGGATCTGCACTCCTCTAAAAGGAGAAGCAAATTAGAGAAACTAAAAATTGTAAAAACTGTGAATAATTTGCCAGGATAGGAGTAACCTTAAGGGTTTCTCCTCTGAAAGCCCCAAACTACACAGAGAACTTAGCAAAAGAAGATGTTGCTAGCAAGGCCGGACATAAGGCAGATAAACCCCCTATCATACACAGCTAGATGGGAGCTTCTCCATACTGAGGCTTTTCAAGTAGTGCTTTTTGAACAGCTGAAGAAAAGCTGAAGCCATGTTTTCCAAACAGAAAGAATAATTTAGTATGTCCAAAGGGGAGCTCAGGACTCCCTAGCAGATAACACATTATCTTGTCAAGTGTTGTGGTTTTTTTTTTCCTGGTTTCACTATTCTAAGTTACATAAAGGTGCTTTTAATTGGAAAAGAAACTAAACATACGGTACCTGTTTAGCGTAGGGATGTTCCCTCTGTAATTAAACAACCACAGTTAGTTACTGATAAGTTAGTGAAAGCCATAATAAAAGAATTGTCAGAGCAGATATAGACCAGTCATGAGGAGCTCCAGTTTGGCAGCTCTGGCATTCAGCAGACATAATTAAGTGCTCATTACCCTTCAACCCCCAGGATACCTCCAAAGAGGCATGCTCCTAACCTACCTCACCACACCAGCTGTTGATGGAAAGGGTCAAAATGTATTTACCATGGATTTTAAAAATAGCTCTATTACCAAAAAAAAAAAAAAAAAAAAAAAAAATTTAGAGTAGTGGTAAAACACAGGCTGATGAAAATTAATTTAAGCTATATGATATGGTATATTAACTCAAGCTTCAATAAGAAATATAATTCTTCACAGGATTCTTAGAGACTCTTCTTTCTTGTTCCTATTACTGAAGGTGTAATAAGGAGGTCCAGGGAAGTTGATTCCACAGCTCCTCCTACTTTAATCGCTTATCCAGGATATGTGACAGACCTACAAATTCTCCACCAAAGAAAAGTATCCAGGAATCTGGGTTCCCAGCTACCTGTTCTAAGTCTTTTTAACCATACTCTTCCTCCCATGAAGGAGAGCAGGGGGGAAGGTACTGTATTCTAGGAGCTTAAAAGAACTGAAAATCATGCAGGAAAGTAATGATAAATGATTCTATGATAAGTTGTTAAAATTAATTAATACTTTGTAATTAAATGAGTTTAGGGTCATAATGATTTTAAAAATTGCTGTTAGCTTAAAAACTCTAGGCCTCTCATAAATAAAACCTTATCTAAATTTGACTACCACAGAACTTCCTTATAAAGAATGTGCCAAATCATGAAAGAAAGACCACGATAAGAATAGGAAACTACAAGGCACATCTCCCACATTCTCTTTGGCCTTTGCCACTAACTCCTTTTAAAAGATTTCCCCAACTGAAAAATAATCAAACAAATAAAAACCTTTATTTTCAATGTTAAATGGGCAAAGTTATACTTACCACCTACAATTTAGGGGCATTGTAAGGGGGCTGATCGGTTGATATCTTAACCTTCTAACATTCTTTTATCAGCATTTAATCACTGTTGGGGTTTTCTAGCACACAGAGGACTTAATGGGCAGAACATAGTGGGTGGTGCTGATGATATGTGGAAAGGAAGATAGAGGGAGGAAAACGATGCACTTTCCATGGCAGTAGAAGGAGCAGAATAGACTGAGCAGGCCATATAAATAAAAAGCTGTGACATATCACTGCACACAAACTGTATACCTCATGTGATTTGTGAGTAGAAATGCTCTTTGCATCAAACCTGTATCACAGAGTGAATTCATAAGACAGCAAGAGCAACCTCTGAGTGCAGAAACCTGAACCTTTGCTGTTTGGATTCCTTAAGCCTCTCACTCAGGAGAGTGGGTTTTATTTTTACAAGAGATCCTTAGTTATAATGCACTTGGGCCTCAACAATACAGAAAAAATAGGCACAGGTTCTAGAACAGAGGGAGGTACAGCTGAACAGAAAACTAACTGCAGATGCTAATGAGAATAGTTTTCCTTTTACGATATAAAGGATGCTAAAGAAAGGGGCCGCCTGCACAGTTTCTTAGCATGAATCTCAGTTCAGAGAGAACTCTACAACCAAAGAAACCTCAGGTTCCATTCATCCAGGTTTCTAGAGTTTAGAAACCAGTATAATCTCTCTCAACTGTTAACAAATTTCCTAATCTAATAAAATAATCTAACTGCTTCTGTAGCTACATTCTAATCCCTTTGGGAGTCTTCACAGGATGACGGCCATGTTTTCAGTAGAAAAAGGCCCGAACTGAAAAGAACACCAATAACAACAAAAAGCCAGGCTTTCTCCATCAGCAACTCTCAAGCTCCTATAGAGAGCCCCCTGCTGCTTTGTTATAAGAATTATGCACCATCTACACAGTATGGGTCAAAAAGCAAAAACTCCCAACATCTCTAATTTTTAAAGGAATGGTCCCAAATCAATCATGTAAGTAGGTTTAGAGCCAGCTTATCCACTTAGGTAGAATAAGAATCTGTGGGGATGTAAGGGAGATAAGCAAGGAAGGAAGGAAGGATAAACTGTCTATTAACAGATAAATATTTGGTCATGTCCATAATGATCATTTACATGTTTTCTTTTTTTTTTTCTTTTTCTTTTTTTAAGAAATAGAGACAAGGTCCCACTATGTTGCCCAGGCTAGTCTTGAACTCCTGAGCTCAAGTGATCCTCCTATCTCAGCCTCCCAAAGTGCTAGGATTATAGGCATGAGCCAGCAAACCTGGCCACTACAAATTTTTCATCCTATACAAGGGCTATATGGTCAATTTAAGAATATGACAAATGTGGCATATCGCACACTACTGTGATACACCAGAAAGCTAGATTAACACTCTGTACCAAAAAAAAAAAAAAGCCACACACACAACTAAGGGAAGAGATTGTATACGAGTCAAATATTCCATTTATGTAGCTGAAAATAAAATTTGCCACATTCCACTGCATACTCATCACGCAAAAATAGTCAAATTAGGCCGGGCGCAGTGGCTCATGCCTATAATTCCAGCGCTTTGGGAGACTGAGGTGGGTGGATCACTTGAGCCCAGGAGTTTAAGACCAGCCCAGGCAACATCTCCAAAATCCATCTTTACACACACACACACACACATACACACACACACGCACACAAATATAAAAGTTAGCCAGGTGTGGTGGCACACAGTACACCTGTAATCCTAGCTACTCCGAAGGTTGAGGTGGAAGGATCGCTTGAGCCAGGAGGCTGAGGTTGCAGTGAGCCAAGATCATGCCACTGTACTCCAGCCTGGGTGACAAAGTAAGTCTCAAAAAAAAAAAAAAAAAAAAAGTAAAATTGCTCAATCTTTGATAAGGCAATCAAGTATATTTTCAAATACATAAATGGGACATAAATTCACTTCCTATCTGCTGTTTGGGCTATTCAAAACACTTATTATAATGAATCTTCATTTACAACATTTGATGAATATTAGAACCACTTTCTTTCTAGTAGATTAGCTCCATTTTACAGATGTGATAACCAAAAAACCAAAGAGGATGCTTTCCAATGACATTGTTCAATATGGTGTCATAAACCACAATCTAGACTTGGCATTTTCTTATCTCCGCTCTCCAAGTTAGCATTCCACATCAGTATAGATTTTAGAGAAAGACAAGAGAAATCCTGTGAATTCTGAGGTTCCCGGCACTAAGTCACCTCTGATTTTATTGCTCTGCCTGCCCAGAATGGCTGGAGAGCTTGCTTCAATATGAATGCAAAGTCAGAGTTGCCGCTGCTAGCTGAACCCTCTTTAATTTAAAGAACACTGACTTCTCTGGCAGCCACAAGTTCTGTGAGCCTTTTTACCATCCCTTCCAGCTGAATTTCATTTGGCTTGATTCTAGCTGGCCTTATATAAATCTTTTATCATATAAAAATGCTCCTGATTCTTTTGCTTCCTAACTTGAAGAAGAAAAAAAAAAGAGCCCATATGAAAATGATGGGGATGCATGCAAACAAGCAGTGGTTACATCAAGCTGTGACTGAAAGCCAGTATAGGGCAACTCTTTTGAAATCAGGCAGCAAAGCAGAATCAGAAGAGGTCGGCTGAATAACCTACTAGCAGCCACTAACAGCAGTACCATAGGAGAAAGAGCAATTTGACTGGCTGTGACCAGTGGTGGTCTCTTTGCATGACTATATTTCTGCAGGAAAATCCAAATCAAGAACTGTAAAACACATCTGAACCACGTATTTCTACTGGCATCTCCCCCACCACCTCCTTGCAGTTCAGATGCCCTGAGTCTACTGCAGAGCTTTAGTTTACAATAAAATGATCATTACTTCATTCATTTGCAGCCCCTCCAAAGCCCCTTCTTTGCTCTGCTGGAAGGTTTTGCTCTTTCTGAAACAAGTACATCAACAGAGCTACAGCATATTACTGTTGCCTGCTATATAATTAGCTACGAACCCACAGCACAAAACTACGGGGATTTACAGGTGTCCTGGATTCTGCTTTTCCTTCCCCCAGGACTCAGCTAGTCTTCCTTGACAAGAAGGGACCTTGGGCTACCCTAATGATATATTGAGAGTTTTAAACTCAACTCTCCAATCTTACAAGTCTAGAGTGCCAAAATAACACAGCAGAGACTAGAAGCTGAGCCACGGATACAGGAAAGCACTTTGGTAAGCACTTAAACCTGCTGAGAATCTTCTCTTCTGCCAGATACTTGCATCTTATCAGCAGACTACCCTGAATGAAGGAAGCAAGCACTGTAAGATTTCATTTATTTATAGCTCATTCTGGCTTGCTAACTACAACAAGTGCTCCCACTGCAGAAACAATGCTACAAGTTGGATGACTTCTGAGTATCTCAGTACTATCCAAAGAAAGGTCTAATCTCTGGGTGTTAAAGATTATCAGAATTCTTGAGAATGGCAGTTGGCTACCAATTAGTCACATGGAAGGCTCCTGATTTCTAACCTTCCTTATGAATAAAAAGTCCAGAGGCCGCCCACTGACAGCTGAACATTGAGGATGGATGCCAAGCAGCCTAAACTCAGCCATGACCAAAACACATGCTATCAGGGGAAAACACAGCCGACCTCTTCTGGAGGTAAGACTTGAGAAAAGGGAAGTATTTGAATTAAAACATTATAACACAGAAGGCCAAATTCACAAGTAGCAAACAGCAGAGAAGGTACAGTGGAATCCGACTTAACTAAAGCATGGATTTCCATCTATGAAATAGGTGGAAATAAACACCAATAGGTCCTCACCCATTATATATGTACAGAAACGTACAACAAAGTACACCTCCATCTCCTGCATCAAATGTGATGCTTCTTATTTGAATCACAGAGTAAAGGTTAAAAAGATTACTCATGTTCACTAGCGTATATTAATTATAAAAATCATTTGGAGTTTTAAATTGTGTACTCCCAGACTGTCATATTATATTATACAGAGTCATATGCATAGGCACAATTTATGGGATAATATACTTTACATATGTTTGTATAAATATAACTATATTTTAAAAGATCAAATACTAGTTGACTGAAGAATTTGTTTCCAGATTATCCTGAGGCACTTAATATGCCCAAAGCTTAGTGAAATCCTGAAGGTCAAATGAGTCAATGAATTGTGCAAAATACAGACATTCAGGATGATGCTTCAGTGTAACAAGCTTTCCCATCACCAGCACCAGTGAGTGATACTTAAGTTTCTGAATAGGAAAAAAGACAGACATATACAAAACTTGGGCTCTAAACCCTAAGACTCACTAGGGAAAGAAGGAGAAAAAGGAATATTCAATGATATAGTTTGAACTCCAGGGTTAATTCATGTAAAACTCACTAAAGGGCTGGGCTCACAGAATCTTCAATGAGAGAATTAGGTTCTAGAAGTCTGCACAATAATAAAATGCTCCCTTAGTATAGACTAGTTGCCCTGAATATTCCTGCACCATGAAAACAACTTGAGATAGTCACTTCTCCTTCAAGAACACAAGTCAGTTAAAAAATGACACATTAAAAAAAAAAAATCCCCTCCCCTCAAAAAGAATCACACAGCCTTTAATGCTAAGAAGGTAAAAAAGGAAACACACACACACACACACACACACACACACACAACATACACATGTTACATATACATACACACACGTGTGTGTGTGTGTGTGTGTATATATATATATATATATGTTTCTAACTATGCTTAAATCAGAAAAATCTCTTTAGCTGCTGTTCAAGTGAAGGAAATTTTAGAAGTAAAGGGTAAATCCAGACCAGAAGCTTGCCTGAGTGAAGTTCTAATAACTGGATCCTCTGCTGAATAAGACCTACAGATGCCAAATAAGTTGGAACTACAGTCCCCAGAAAAAAAATTTAGAAGTCTTGGGTAGAAGATCAAAAAGGAGATAATATACCTCGACTGATGCACACCTAGCAAGAAATGAAATAGGAAGTCACACAGATTAGGAATAAACTATTTAGTAATCTGCTTTTTAAAAAAATTATTGGAGTTTTTTTTTCTAAAAATAGTCGAATTATACCAAAAAACAGAGTAACCGCAACATGTCAAACAATGCAAAGTCCTATGATGAATTAAAAGAAAAACAAAAATGTACCAAATATGTTACTACAAAGCAACTGTTCAAGTGTGCTAAAAACAGGTGTCTTCTCCCTTTTCAGAGGCTCCCCTAGTCATTTGCAATATATTTTGCCTACTTCTCTAAAAATCAAAATAGGTCCTAATAAGTAAGATACAGGTCTTCAATCCCAACAGCAACTAAGGGATTTTCCTGAATAAAAAAAAAAACAAAAACAAAAACAAAAAAAACTCTGCTGCCAGTTTGCAGACAGAGTGCCGTGTTTCACCCCAACCTATGGAGGCTAAATCACAGTCAAAAACAAACTGCGTGACTGGGAATTATAGTAAGAGGAGTTAAAAACAAGGGCAGGTGCAGTGGCTCACGCTCGTAATCCCAGCACTTTGGGAGGCCGAGGCAGGTAGATCACCTGAGTTAGGGTGTTGGAGACAGCCTGACCAACACGGAGAAACCCCGTCTTTACTAAAAAATCAAAATTAGTGGGGTGTGGTGGTGTACGCCTGTAATCCCAGCTAATCGGGAGGCTGAGGCAGGAGAATCGCTTGAACCTGGAAGGCAGAGGTTGTGTTGAGCCAAGATAGCACCACTGCACTCCAGCCTGGGCAACAAGAGCAAACTCTATCTCAAAAAAAAAAAAAAAAAAAAAAAAAGCTGCAGGAATGGAATTCCATACACAATGAGATTGCAGTCTTGCTTTGATATTACAGCTTACTAAGACACTTCTAACGATGTGCTGGACAAATTTTGTCTACTTCAAAAACACCTAGCTAGGAATGTGAAGACCAAGTGCAAGGAAAGAAAACACAAAAAATTGGTTAAACAAAATACTGTGGCTCATGCCTGTAATCCCAGCACTTTGGGAGGCCGAGGTGGATGGATCACAAGGTAATGAGATCGAGACCATCCTGGCTAACACGGTGAAACCCCGTCTCTATTAAAAATACAAAAAATTAGCCGGGCATCATGGCAGGCACCTGTAGTCCCAGCTACTCGGGAGGCTGAGGCAGGATAATCGCTTGAACCCAGGAGGCAGAGCTTGCAGTGAGCCCAGATCGCGCCACTGCACTCCAGCCTGGGCGACAGAGTGAGACTCCATCTCAAAAAAAAAAAAAAAAAAAAAAAAAAAAAACAACCTGTTTTCTCCCCCAATAATTTTTGGTCTGTACTAGGTATGGTGGCACATGCCTGTAGTCCCAGCTACTTGAGAGGCTGAAGCAGGAGAATTATTTGAGACCAGCCTGGGAACATGACAAGACCCCATCTCTATGGGAGGGGAAAAAAAAATTGGTTTGTTAACCTCAATTGGGAAAAATATAAAATTCTGTTTTATATTGATAAGTAAAATATGTATGATTCATATACCTTTTCTTTATTCTCACTGATTTTTAAAGCATGCATAAAATATTGTAGTGTAACATCTATAATATCAACTGTGAATAATTCCTGTAACTACTAAGAATAAGCAACATAAGAATAATAATTTTTCCTCTCTCCACGGGCACTACCAGTAACAAAAAAAAAAAAAAAAAAAAGAGGGCTCAGTGTGACTGTCCTAATTAATTTTTGGTCTAAGTTGAACTGTCTAATATAGCAGCCATTAGCCACATGCAGCTAGGGTAGTACTTGAAATACGGCTAGTTTATATTGAGATATGCTGTAAGTATAGAATACGTGCTAAATTTCAAAGATACAGTATGAATAAAAGAAAAAATATTAACAATTGTTATTACATATTGAAATGGTATTTTGGATATAATGGGTTAAATAAGATGTTATTTGAATTAATTTTATCTGTTTCTTTTTACTTTTAAATGTGGCCAATAGAAAATTTTAAATAGCATGTAGCTTGTATTATATTTCTATTTGACAGTACTGGTTTAGAAGTAGTAACTGTCAATTATAGCTGTTCATCAGAGTTCAGAGGAGCTTTTCAAAGTGGTCACCTGGACTCTAATCCAAAATGAATCGGGTCTTGAAAGTCAGGACTCCAATATGTGTATTTTCAAATTACCCCTCAGATAATTTTGAGAATCATTAATCTAGAGGTTAGTGGACATAACTGAGCCTTACAGGACAGAGTGGAACAAATATTGGTAGCCCTCTGTAACTTCTTTCTGTAGAATGAGAAACAATATGCTTTTCGCCTGCTTGATCAAAACAATAACATACAAAAAAAGTACTGGAGTTAGAAAAAGAAGAAAAGTACTTGGCTCAAAACTAGCTAAATCTAAAAGAGCTTAGATTTCTGTTTAAGATGAGCAGGCCTATTGTATAATAAAGACTTTGGCCATTGTCTCTGGTTCCTGGAAGAGAGACTAAATCCTTATAATTTCCCAAGTAATAGGAGTGTCATTGTTATTTTAAGTCCCTTGGATCACACCTGAGTTTATGCTAAGAGATGAGATGACTCAGGAGGGGAGCTGGTCACTAGAAAGACCAACTGTGTGATTAGAAGGTTGAGGGCTTTCAGCCAGCCAGACCTCTGGGAGGGGAGATTGAGTTTAATCACGTAGGCTATGATTTAATCAAGCATGCCTACGTAATGAAGCCCTGATTTTAAAATACTCTGGACACTGAAGGTCAATGGAGCTTCTTGGTTGGTGAACACATGGATGTGCTGAGAGGGTTGATAAACTCTGATTCCACAGGGAACAAACTGGGAAGCTCTGTGTTTGAGACCATCCCACACTTCACCCTAAGCGTCTCGTGCTTTTGGCTGATCCTGACAATAAAACTGTAGTGCTTGAACTCTGTGAGTTGTTCTGAGGGAATTATCAAACTGAGAAAATTGAGGGGACCCTCAAATTTGTAGCCAGTTGGTCAGAAGTGCAAGTGGCCAGGGGACCCCACTTATGGCCCCATCTGAAGTAGGGACAATTTGGTGGTGGACTGAGCCCTTAGCCTGTGGCATCTGATCTAACTTCAGATGGCTAGTGTCAGAATTCAATTGCAGTACACCAGCTGGTGTCATAATAAGGTTATAAATCCAAATTTTAACAAAAACATTTGGGGGAAAAATATATTTTATATATATAAAAAACATATTTTTCATATATATTATATATATAAAAAACACATTTTTCATATATTATAATATATTATGTATATAATCTTATAAAACTAAATTCAAGTAGTAAATCTGCAATAACTGAACAAGCTATACTCTGAAACTGAATACATCATTTTATGATCAAACCTGATCATTTGATCCTAAACAGAACTTTAGATCAAAAAAAAAATTAAAGAAATTTTAACATTTTTCTGGTTTTCACAAAGATGATTTTATTTTTCCTTTTTATTTTGCAATTATCTTCACCTTCACAGTTATACCAATAATAATGATGACAATAACAATAATAATCCAGCAGGTTTAGAATTACACTGACAACCAAGGGAGACTTCAGGGAGATTACAGGATTACTGTTATGTTCAAGTCTGATCTTTATCTACAGGCATGTCCAGATGTTGGGAGGGACTGGCATATAAGTTTTGTAACCACATTGAACTAACCAAGATTCATACTCTTGACATAGAAAGGTGAATAAGATTTCTTAACAAAGCAGTCAAGAAGAATTTCTCTCATTTTTCAGCCAACATTCCCTCACCAAACTGGACATATCCTCAAATAAAAAAAAGTAGGACAGGGAGAACAATTAAGAGAGACAAGGAGAGTGATGAGGAGGGAAGGAAATCAGAAGCAGCCCTGCAGCCTGACTACAAATCACTGCCCAAAGGGAAGCAGGAAAAAGCAGGAAGAAAAGGAGAACTGCCCTGAGAATTACAAAGAGCATTAAGTATAGCGTGTAGTTCTCTACAATTATTCAAGGAATGCAGGAAAAGAAAGAAGACTGAGTGCTGTGCCTATGTGTGCCATGAGTACTTCGCCGCTCACTGAAGGACAACCATTCGTTTCTAGAAAATGAGATTCTGAAATCCATGGAGGCAAAAATGTACCGAGAGATGCTTGCTAAATCAAGGATATATGCTTTTCTCTGCCAGCCATAAGGTATTTTTGAGGTAGAGAAGTGAAAGGATATTCTGAGACAAAGAAGAGAGGTACTTTTTCTGAAGATGCCTCTGCTCATCTGCCGACCTCTGCTGGATCAACAGTGGCATCCAGTGGCCAAAAGTCTCAGCACAGACTTCTTTGTCTCCAGAAAGGGTTTCTATTGCTTTGGGTGAAGTGGCAATTTAGAACAAAACCATTTCTGGTGTCTATAACTAAGGTTCCCAAAAGACACAGTACTTTGTAATACCAAGTGAAGAACCAAAGGCCATAAAGAAGAAATGGAGAGGGGCAGGTTAAGATTGGCTGTGGTATTTATATTTCCTGTGGTATTACTAAAAAGAATGAAAGTACAGGAGGGGATGAACCTATGTGTGGGTGGAATTCCTAGATTTTCATTGCCTTAGAATACTTTTTAAAAGATAGTCTATAAGATAAAGTATTTTCATTTTAAAACAAAAGCAATTCTGAAACAAAAACGTCCATATGTACATTTTATTTTTTAAAAGACAGGAAGGGACAAATAATGTAATTATCATGGCTTAATTCAGTAATTTATTTGAGATTAAGAAGTTTGGTTCTGCAATGTAATTTTTAAAAACTGATTGAATTTCAACTGCTAAATTCAGGTGGTCTGTTTTAGGGAGATAATGAAACTGGCTCAGATATAACCTCAACCCATAGCAAACATATAGAAAAGAAAAGCATTCCACCCAAAGTATTTTTTTGGTCTAATTGCTGATTTAAATTGTTAAAAAGAGTGATTTTTCTGGCAAAGTTCTAGCAAGTAAAATGCTAGTAAATTCTTTCTAATTTTTTAAAAAAGAAACTATTTCCTCAGTGACATAATACAAGCAAGAATGAATGGAGTAATCCTAAACTTTCATCTTACTTAGACCATAATTTTTCTCTTTAGATCAAAGAAGTGGGCACCAAAAGGCTCTTCTCTTTTGGTTCATATTGTTCATTTTTTGCCCTACATTTCTAACTAAAAAAACATGGAATTGTCATACACATTACTCCCCTTGATTCTCATGGTATACCTCTGGCTGGCTCGGGTGCACATACCACCTCAAACTCACCTGTTTGGATGAGATGTGGGCAGCATGAACTGGAATTCCACCACACAGGTGTTGTCCTTAAGCTGGCGGTGTTGTACGCTGTTAAGTTCATAGGCAATATAAGCCCTTCGAACATACACCTGGTTCAAAAGAAACCCTCAGTAAATAAATTTCAAAAACAGAAATTAAGAAAATAGCCCAGAAAAAGAGTCTTGAAACGAGGTATCTGAGGCAGAAGGTGCTCTGTGGGGAGAGAAGTCCCAAGGCCCTATGTATACGTACATATATTGCTTTAATTAATAAAGCTGGAGTCTTAATACTATAACCATGACTACTAATGAAAACAAAACTAGGCTGCCTCTGCTGGACACCTATGTGCACTGTAAACCTTCTTCCACACTAACCTAAACCCTGGAGAAGGTTTAATCTTTAGCAAAAGACAGCATATAGAACTACAACTATTAATCTATTAAGCATGATCATTTCAACAGAAGATTAAGCAGTGAGAAAAATGAGAGGTGCTGATTTTGAGCCACTTACAGAGTGAAAATAGAAGACACAAGCAATCACAGTACAGTTCAACTCTTTTACTATCTCATGTCTTTGTCTTGCGTCCTCCCCGACTTCCCCACCCGCTCAAAATCAGTTTTCAGCAAACTCTGATCAAAAGCAGTAAGGCATAAGCAGTAAGACATAATTTGACATATAATATCTCAAATACTTGAACTTGACTCAAGAGTTAAAGGAACAGCAATGAAATAAAATAAAAATAAATATAAATTAAAAAAAGAAACAGCAATAGGCTACATCTCTGCAAAAACTGTCAGTCCAACCTCACACATTTCACAGCAAATTTGCCATGCACATAAAATGCTACCTGAGATTCTATGGCACGGGAAGTATATAAGGAAGCTTCTCATTAAATGACATAAAAACACTACAAAACACTTAAATGTTTTAAAACTTTTGGCATTTACTGAGTAGGATAATTTACACTCTACCACAGAGTACAAATAAAAAGTAACACAAAAGAGCTGGCAACAGACTACCGTGATGTTACATTACATAAAATCATCTAAAACACTCTTTTTCCCCATCTTCAAAAAACAACTATTTGGCAACTTTACAGTGGTATTCAGGGCCTGCAATTTTTGTGCTTAATGAGGTAGTGTGCTGTAGCGGAAACAGAAGTCTTTGGAGTCAGATTAGCCTGAGTTCAAATGCAAACTCTTCCACTTATTATCTATGTGATTTTGGACAAATCACTTAACCTCTCAGAGTCTCACTTTCTTCTTACTTCCTAAAGTAACTGTAGGATTAAATGAGAAAGATAAAATACCTAAAACACAGTTCATTAAATGCTATTACTTTCTTTCCTTTGAGGAAGTATTTCATAAGAGCTGCTTGACAATCCAAACATAACTAAAATCAATTTTAATTTGGCCCAAATCACACAATGGTAAGATGACACATGCTCTGATCAGCCATATATTTTCGCTTTTTGTGTTACAAGGAATCCTAATTCATTATGAAATGGGAGAATTCAAATACCTGGAAAATAGAAACTACTGAAAAATGCTGGCAGCTATTTTCCTGTGATTGGAACCTAGAAGCTGGTGATGAGTTCAGATGAAACACTTGAGTAAAGTATCTGAGTAAGCACATACTGTTTCAGAGGAAAAGAGACTAACTACCCTTAAGAACCAACCTTAAGGCCAGAGAACTAGAACTGACATGGCAGCCAAATAGACAGAAGAAACCAGCTAGAAACAAAGGAAAAGGTCATGTCCCATTACCATAAATACTTACCTCCAGAGCTGCCATCCTCACTACTTGGTTGCTGTGATAGAAGAAGTTTGGTAGGACATCAAAAATAGATGTTTCTGATAGGATGAGTTTCTAGAAGATACAAAGACAGGCTTAAGCCTTACATCAAAAGGAGAACAATTTCAATGGACACTATTTGGCATTTGAAGCATTTAGTGAAACCTAAGAATTTTGTCTCTGAATGCCATAATCTCTCTGTGCCTCAGCTTCCTGAGCTACAAAATGGAGAAAATAAAATACCTATCCTCATAGGGCTGTTGTATTATATGAGTAAATACATGTAAAATTCTTGGAATACTGAATTAACAATGCATTATTTGTATGCTAATATAAGTGTTTATGACTGTTATTCTTTTCTGACATTTATCTGAACTCTCTAAATATTGTCTTCACCAGGCATGGTGGCTCACACCTATAATCCCAGCACTTTAGGAGGCCAAGGCGGGCAGATCACTTGAGGTCAGGAGTTCGAGACCAGCCTGGCCAACATGGCGAAACCCTGTCTCTGTTAAAAATACAAAAATTAGCCAGGCGTGGTAGTGAGTGCCTGTAATCCCAGCTACTCTGGAGGCCAAGGCACAAGAATCGCTTGAACTCAGGAGGTGGAGGTTGCAGTGAGCCGAGATTATGCCACTGCACTCCAGCCTGGGCAACAGAGTGAGACTCTGTCTCAGAAAAATTAAATAAAATAAATATTGTCTCAATACTCCACTATGGTAAACCCTAGATTTGAACTCCAGTTGAAACCCTAGATTTCAGCTATTAACCAAATAAGAAAAAACATCCTTTTTTCCCCTCTAGATTCCCCAGGAAGAAATGTTACAGAAAGTCTAAAGATTCCCCTGGGCCAGATATAACAATGGTATCCTTGTTTCCAGGTAGAAAAATATAAAGTCATTCCTGAGAAGATAACATTTAAAAAATAATTGCGGTGGTCCTTCTGATTAGTAGTAAAATTAGACAATAATCTCTTAAAAACGGGCTTCTTATAAAGCTTAATAATAAGCATTAACATAAAATTAAAATTAAATGATACTTAAATAGCTTTGTCTCCAGAAGAGTAACAACTACCTATGTATACATCTGATTCAAATATCATAAATCATCAGAGAAATGTGTGTGTGTATATATATATATATATCAGAAATCAACCAGCCTTGTCATTTAATTCTGGCCTAGAATACTTTCTAGGTAAAGTACAAAGATAAAGACTTCAATAGGACACTTCTATCAAGGCAGGCCTATTTGATTTTTAAGCTAAACCACAATTCTAACAGCATTTGTATGAAAAAAATATTCATAAGTATAAATCATTTTAGAAAGTCAAGATATGAAACTCCATTATATGGAAAATCAAAATTAATTAATTAAGTGACTAATTACTTAAACTATGCTTGAGAATAAAGGAGGTAAGAGTCCAGATAGGCAGGAAAGGGTTATATATATATATATATATATATACCTGCAGGTTCTCAATGCAAAATTGATGTCCATACATGTCAATAGCTGATAGGAAGATAGACTCTACTTGGTTATGGCGAAGCTCATATGATGGCAAATGGGAGGCAATAAGAACCTAGAGTGAGAACAAAATAGGAGGCACACATTCCTCGGAGTGATTATTCTAGACTCCTATTAGGCAGCTCTGATACAAAAGCAATAAATATAAATCTGTAAGTGCAGGCATCACAGATAAAACAGAGACCAAGTAAAACAACTTCTAGGTCCTGTAACATAAAGCCAGTGCCACCAAATACTGAATCTCAGTTGACTCTCACCATGATTTGCATTGTGGCCAATTTCCCATGGTGGGTAGGGGGAAGGGAGAGAAAACAGCTTCGATCAAGTTCCATCAGTGTATGTGATTTACCATTGCAAAGCTGCTGGTCCTAGGGACTGCATGACTAGCTGTTAATTGGGAATCAGGTCTGGCAGGGAGCAGCTGTGGGAAAGGTAGATGCAGCAGAGCTAGCCTTTTACAACTCTGAAGTAGAAAGAAAGACTAGGGAAAGCTGCTTTGACAGCCCCAGGTACTCGGCACCAAGGAGAACGCGTCAGGAAGTAACACCAGTGTGTGTGAGGGGCAGAGAGAGTGAAAGCAGTGTCACAAACAAACAAACAGTGACACGGTAGGATCTGAATACCCTCAGCAGGTCACTGAGAGGTTCAATAGCTTTGAGTAGTTCAGTGACATGGATACAATTGTAGAGAAAGCAGAAGGTCACTGAACAGCTTCAAATGCTGCTTCCTTGTCAATGCCCATGCACTGAAACACAAAGGGAGTGCCAACTCTTGGCTTCCCTGCTGAAACCTTTTGGAATGGAAATGAAGACTGCAGGGTGAAACTAACTGGACTTCTCTGGGGTTGTTCTGATTGCTGCCGCCTAAGATTCATTTCATTATCTTTCTGCTTTCCACACTTGATTATTTCCTGTACACTTGGAAGTTTTCATCTGCTTCTAAGCTCCCTTTGGGAAGTAAGAAATACTGAGTCTATTTTCTTCCCTGAGTGTCCTTTCCTCCACCTGACCCTGGTTTACTATCACAGGGCTACTAGGGAGGGAAGGGAATGATACCAGGATTTTTTAATGGGGAAAGGGCTTCTATTTTAAAGAGACGCAGCACTAATCTTTTCCTTTCTCTTTAAAAAAACATACCACATGAAAACATTTGTTCTGAGGAAAACGTGACACATATATAGAAAATAACATGTTCTTTGTAAAGTGATTAAGCAAAAGTTCATTGTGTCTAGGACTGCCTGATCTATGAAAGCCATCCCTCCTTTAAGAAAACCAACAAATGTCCTTACCTGGCGTGCTCGAAGTGCTACTTTGGCATTGGTGGTCTTACTGAGTTGAGTTAGCTCTGTGAGAATATTCAGCAGCTCATCAGTGAGAGTAGGGTCCCGGCCACACAACTGATCCTAATTGTTAATGTAAAAAAGAACATAGATAGTCATATTAAAAAGAACAGGTGGATAGGATTTTAAAATAGAGAAAAGGAATGAAAACAAAGTAAACCCAGCTGGATTAATAAGAAAATGCAAACTTCCTATTATTTTTACCCTAAACAATGTGGTAAAGAAGATCCCAGAGGAAGTTTGGCTAAGGAGAGGCAGCCCAAATCCCTCATTCAAAATTCCTAATGTATTTCCTTATAAATCAACACTATACTTTTAACACGCAGAAGGAATCATTAGAGACCACTAAAAGGGGCCAAGGGGATTCTGAGTAAGAAATAATAGATATGTCTCAAAGTTTTAAGAGAAAGTTTTAAATAACAGGGACTAAAGGCCTTCCTGTTTCCCCTCCCACTTTTGGAAAGAAGGTAGATATAAGGCAAAAAGAACCACCCCAGTGGTTTTCATCTCATAAACCAAATTTTCAGCAACCCAGGAGGATGCAAAACAGAAACACAAGAATAAATTATTTATTTATAAACACACACTAACTAAAACACCATCTCATATGCTGGCAATTCTGCATCCCAAATCATTTCTCTTCTTCCTGTACCAAGAATCATTCCATGATACTTAAACATGTGAATCCTTAGCTGAATTAGAGGAAAAAAACAGGCTCCTACTATAGAATCCATGGTTTATTCAGTATTGGGTCCTTCCTCTTCTAAGAAGTAAAAAATGTTAAGAAAATAATCTCAATCATATTCTGAGAGAAATATCCTTACTGGAGTCCAGTGGAATATCAGTTTATTCCCTAAATTCATCCATTATCCATGCAATTTCCATCTAAGCTGAAAAAAATGTAAATGCAGTTTTTATAAATGTCTGTCCTTTTTGAACTTTACAGACCTACTGGTAGTAGTAATTATTAACACCACACCATATAAAATATATCCATTTAGATATCACTACCTCTACTTGGAGTTTTAAATAATTGCCTTGGCTGGGCAGGGTGGCTCACACCTGTAACCCCAGCATTTTGGGAGGTCAAGACAGGAGGACTGCTTGAGCCCAGGAGTTCAAGACCAGCCTAGGCAACATGGTGAGACCCCATCTCTAAAAATAAAAAATAAAAATAAATAAAACAAAAAATTTTTAGGCCGGGCGCTGTGGCTCACGCCTGTAATCTCAGCACTTTGGGAGGCCGAGGCGTGCGGATCACGAGGTCGAGACCATCCTGGCTAACACGGTGAAACCCCGTCTCTACTAAAAATACAAAAAATTAGCCGGGCGTGGTGGCGGGCGCCTGTAGTCCCAGCTACTCAGGAGGCTGAGGCAGGAGAATGGCGTGAACCCGGGAGGTGGACCTTGCAGTGAGCCGAGATCGTGCCACTGCACTCCAGCCTGGGCAACAGAGCGAGACTCTGTCTCAAAAAAAAAAAAAAAAAAATTTTTTTTAAAGAATTGCCTTTGTATTTTAATAAATATTTATTCTCCCCCTACTACCAATGGGACATGAAAGAAGACCCAAAGGGCCTGCTTGTTGCTGCATGTTAATCTCCCCACTTTGATTATCAGCCCTTTTCTTGAAGAATTTCTATTTCATACTTAACCTTCCCCATCTCAGGGATACTCTTTATAGACCTTTATCACAGAAGTATAAATAAATGCAGTATAAATAAAAGACATGCTTTTTCCAAAACCCCTACCTTCCACATCACAAGGTAAATACTTTTGAAATACTCAATGCCATTATGCTGGGAAGGTTTCTCAAACCCTTTTTTTTTTTTTTTTTTTTTTTTGAGAAAATGATATAATGAGATTCTGGTTCCCTAATCCACCAATCAGAGGTCTGCTCTGACTGTCCAGAGTCATAAAACATATGATGGGAGTTATAATTAAGGAAGTGCAAGTACTGTTTTCACCCATTTCACCCAGATAATTCACTCATCTGAGTGAGAAAAATAAAAGCTGCTATTAAAGTGAAGATAAACCCAGAGGTTCTATTGAACAGGTAGCACAGATTAGAGAATCTGTTCTACCTATCCTAGGCATAAAAGCAAACAGGAGAAAGGAAATGCAAGTAAGTCTCACCTTTTGCTGAGAACTAATGAGCAAAACAGAATTTCAAAGGAATATGTAAAACTACCAGAAACAGGACCATAGAAAGACAGAAGGAAAGAATTGACAGATAACAGTAGGTAGGGAAACCAACATAATTTTTTCCTACCTAAGTCCCTTTCCTAATGTTCTTAATAGAGCAAACATACTCCTTTCCGAAGTACTTACTAAAAGCATTGGAATGACCCACCAAAATGCCTAAAAACATAAGAAGTCTACTGGGTAATGCCACAACTCGACTCCTCTGTACAAAGCCAGACTAAAGTCTCAACATTAAAAACAAAAGCCAACATGACAAAATAAGAGCACTAGGGCCAGGCGCGGTGGCTCACGCCTGTAATCCCAGCACTTTGGGAGGCCGAGGAGGGCGGATCACGAGGTCAGGAGATCGAGACCATCCTGGAGAACACGGTTGAAACCCGTCTCTACTAAAAATACAAAAAAATTAGCCGGGCGTGGTGGCGGGTGCCTGTAGTCCCAACTACTCGGGAGGCTGAGGCAGGAGAATGGTGTGAACCCGGGAGGCAGAGCTTGCAGTGAGCCGAGATCCGGCCACTGCACTCCAGCCTGGGCAACAGAGCGAGACTCCGTCTCAAAAAAAAAAAAAAAGCACACTAATCACCTCCGCAACCTGTATCAGATTTGATATAGAATGCATTCCCTTTAAAAGAAATATAGGTTTACCTTTACAGATGAAACTAAAATTTTTAAAAATGGAGTTATCCTCTTGCATAGTTACAGATCATGTTTTGTTCTGTTTTGTTTTGTTTTTAAGACGGAGTCTCTCTCTGTTCCGCAGGCTGGAGTGCAGTGGCGCAATCTTGGCTCACTGCAAGCTCCGCCTCCGGGGTTCACGCCATTCTCCTGCCTCAGCCTCCCGAGTACCTGGGACTACAGGCGCCCGCCACCATGCCCGGCTAATTTTTTGTATTTTTAGTAGAGATGGGGTTTCACCGTGTTAACCAGGATGGTATCGATCTCCTGACCTTGTGATCCACCCGCCTCGGCCTCCCAAAGTGCTGGGATTACAGGTGTGAGCCACTGCGCCTGGCAGTTACAGATCATGCTCTAACTTAAAAGACAAAACAAAGCAAAACACGTAAAAGCACTTTTTTTTAAAAACCACTTTTTTATTTTATCTTTCCACTATGAGAGAAAGGCAGTAAAAAAGGGCTTCAGGAAAAAACAACAGTATGTGTAAGAAAAGCGAACTATGGAGATTAGAAAAAATAAATGTGGGCCAGGCGTGGTGGCTCACGCCTGTAATCCCAGCACTTTGGGAGGCCGAGGTGGGCGGATTACCTGAGGTCAGTTCGAGACCAGCCTGACCAACATGATGAAACCCCATCTCTACTAAATACAAAAAAATTAGCTGGGCGTGGTGGCGCATGCCTGTAATCCCAGCTACTTGGGAGGCTGAGGCCAGAGAATTGCCCAGGAGGTGGAGGTTGCAGTGAGCTGAGATTGCGTCATTGCACTACAGCCTGGGCAACAAGAGTGAAATTCCGTCTCAAAATAAAATAAAATAAAATAAAATTAAAATAAATAAATAAGGCCGGGTGCGGTGGCTCACACCTGTAATCCCAGCATTTTGGGAGGCCAAGGTAGGTGGATCACCTGAGGTCAGGCGTTCGAGACCAGCCTGACCAACATGGAGAAACCCCGTCTCTACTAAAAATACAAAATTAACTGGGTGCAGTGGTGCATGCCTGTTATCCCAGCTACTCAGGAGGCTGAGGCAGGAGAATCGCTTGAACCCAGGAGGCAGAGGTTGTGGTGAGCCAAGATCGCGCCGTTGCACTCCAGCCTGGGCAATAAGAGCGAAACTCCATCTCAAAAAATAAATAAATAAATAAATAAATAAATAAATAAATAAATAAATAAATGTGAAGTAATTATCAAACAGTATGAATTAACCACTATTTTCGTTAGTCTATTCTGACTTGGAAGTTTTCCATTCAAATATTTTCTCCACTGTCATCATTAATACTTAGAAAAAAATTGGCAACAGAAAATTATGTATAGAATAACTTCCTCAACCCTGTCTTGTCCCTGACCTAGACACAGCATTCAGGTTCTGCAAGAAAACATCAGGGTTTTTCAGAACCACCCATCTTAAGATGCCAACTAACATCCAACAGGAAGTTTATTACCCTCTGTCCTAGAGACAGGCTTCTTTTGGGCAACTGGACAAACAAACATCACCATCTAATCCTGGTGAACATTTTGTAAGGATACCTTTAGATGGTGTCTAGGTCAGCAGATGTGTTTAGTCAACATAAAAAGGTTTGTTTAAAGAGCCAACCTGCTGATTTTGGGATTACAGGTCACTTGCAAAAATCTGGCATCCCAATCCACCAACCAAAGGTCTGTTCCAACTGTCCAGAGTCATAAAACGAAGTGAAAATTATTATTCAGCCATACTGGTACAAAACAGTTATTTCTTGCTTTTACTTTTGACCTAGATGGTAGCTAACTATAGGAAATAGTTCGAATTTGCAGAAATACAACAAACATGATAAAACGTTAAACCCATAGCCAAGGCTGGGCACAGTGGCTCATGCCTGTAGTCCCAGCATTTTGGGAGGCCAAGATGGGAGGCCGAGACCGTTTGAGCACAGAAGTTTGACAGCAGCCCAGGCAACACAGTGAGACCACATCTTTAATTTAAAAAAAAAAAAAAAAAGCATAGCCAAAGTTACACAGTTGACTGACAGAAGAAACCAACATAGTCCAACTTGATCTTAGAAGGCAATTCAAAACGAAAAGAATGTGACCTTATGTGTAATGCCCTCAAGACATTAACTATTATTTAGCCGGGTAGGCACTAAACCCAGGATCAGCAATGAACTGGTAGCTTCTTCTAGTCATATCTGCACTTTTTGATATCCCAAAAAATGTCATAGGGTAAGTTTAACAATTGTTAATATCACCCTTATTCAGTGAATGTGGAATCACTGAGAAAGACTTTTCTTCTTTATTTACATATTGGACAAAATTATTTGCAGTCAGGTTAAGTGGAGGAAGGAAAGGTGCTGATCAGCATCATAAATTCTCCCCATCTAAACCAAATCAGGGGTTCATAGGCATGGCATTACTCATACAGAAGCATGGTTTATAGCATGTTCATGTGGACCGTATCAAAAATAAGTTACAAGTAGTGAGGGGAAGACTACTTACCATCAAGGTGGCTAGAAGATATGTACATTGCCATCTAGACAGCTATGAAGATGTTGATACTTTGTATTTGTACCAATTAGCTTAATCTGGCTAAAGATTAAAGAGTTCCTTAAATATCTCTAAGCAAACATAAACAATGTTCTGAGTTCTAAGCTTTTTCCTATAAAGTTAAATTTAAGAAATAAGAAGAGCTTTCAAAAAATAAATGTACTATTGGTCTTCCAGACTTTGTGTTAAATTGTGTTACAATGTCCCTTTAAATGGAGGAAACCTGATAGGACTTTAGCCTTTTACCTGATACTTTGCTTTCCAGACAGAGTGAAAGATTACCAGAAATCTGCTTGAGAGTCCATGAGGCAAGTTACCACTGGGCAGGTTATGCTAACACCTGGAGAGGATGAAGGTACCTCTTTACTAGAGCAACGCATATCCCATGACATTGACTCACGGAAGCCTGAGTTTCTTGATACCTCCCTCCCTGTAGGTTCAAAAGCCCCAGAAATCATCATCTAGCTCAGCAAAGCATACTATCAACATTCCTACTTCTAGAAAGCAGAGAATGGAATACTGGGCACATAACCATCAATCAGGAAGCCAAGATATGCAAAGAAAGGGGAACCAGCAGAGAACACAAGCTGGGGGAGTCAAAGTGCTACCATGTGCAGGTGACATCTGTAAAAGATACTAAGATCCGAGGAAAGAATAATCCAAACAACCAAAATGGCTCTTACCAGCTACTACCATTAATGCAGATGTGGGAGAGGAGGAGGGAGAGGAAGAAGGAAGGGGGAACAGCTAAGCGTTGTCAAAGAGGAAAAGAGGAAGACATGTCTGGCATTCAGTAACATCAGATCAGAAAAGAGCACCGTCTTGAGCTTTTACCCATGTTCCATAAGTCACTGCTAGCTGGCCCTGAGCTTGATCATATCATTAACTTCTTGATTTCCAAATCTCTAAGATGAAATGAAAACAACTGATATTTGAAAAGAAATTAATGACATGAAAGCTTAGAGATCCTCTTACGTTTACTGGGTCTCATTTTGTTTTTGTTTTTTTTTTAAAGAAAAATGTAATGACACCAAAATAAAGAAAGGGACAAATCTGGCTTCCTGGTTCACATGTTCAACCGTCCTTATCCTCCTCCTCCTCCTCCTCCTCTTCCCATCCCCCTTGTCCTCCTCCTCCTCCATCCTATTCACCCAAACTCAAACTCTGAAACAGCTCTTTTCCCTAAAGAGCTCAGCCTGTTGGAAAGAAAGTCTGGGTACTATCCATGCAGGTAAGAAGTAATCAGGATGACAAGGTGGGAGAAAAAAAGAACAGCGTGGAAAGTCAGAGTCCCATTGGCTTCTGCCTGTCCTGACTGGCAAAAGCAGAAAGCAAAGCCTCAAACCAGTTCTCTGACAGGGCCCAACGCCTCTGCAGCACCCCCCGCGTAATTACACACTTGAGTGACTGGACTCTGAAGAAAATTGAAGGCCTGAGCTCCGAACAGCTGCCATTTTCTCTCTCCATCACACCAGCGTGATTACTTGAGAAATGAACAGCCCTGGCTCAAAGCTACTCCAGAATTCTCAGAGGAAATATGGCTCCGTGTTCCAATAATGAGATTCTTAAGGCAAGCGTTACTTACAATCACTCCGCAAAAGGAGCGAGCTGAGCCCCTATATCTTACAAATTAGAATTTAAGAAACCCAGCGACAGTCTTGGACAATCATTACTCTTCCGCTGCTCCAAGGATTCTAGGCTTTGGTCTATTTTTAGTGCAGAAAACTGTTAAGTTCTTAAAAACGTAATCACAATAAAAAGAAAAACTCACCATAATTAGCTTCCTATAAAGGCAAATTCCACCCCATTCTAGGTCCAAACTGACAGATTCTCCTACCCTCCTCATCATTACCCTTTTCTGACAGAAAGTCTTGGCTTTATCCAAATGAGATTTAACAATCCTTTCATTAAATTAAAAAAAACATCTAAATAGTCTTTCTTCCTTCTTTTGACTGACAAAAAAAATTAGCAAGCTGCCATAGATTGTATCATTTCTTAGCTGAAACCTGTCACTTGGGGGAAGTTGAAGTATTACATTGTACTAACATATATATTTTTCCCTCTCAACTGCATCTTTCTCGTTTCCCTACCATCTAGCTATTCTAGGGTAGCAAAGGCAATGAACTCTCCCTATAATTACATATTTTTTAAAGTGGCTATTCTAAAAAATGTGATACGCTTTAGAGTTAACCAGCTAGGCATATAACTGAATGAGTGGCACTCTTGTTAATCAGAGGTGTATGGTAGATAGTTTCCCTTCATTCTGAAGAAATAAAAAATAGCATGAAGATGTATGTTTTTTTCCTCCATGAAAAAATGATGTAATTAACTTACCAAGAATCCCAATTCCACAAAGAGACAAAAAGAAAACTCTAGGAGTGAAAAGGCACTACAGTCCCCAAAAAGACAGGCATGCAGCAGCAAGGCAAATGCTCAGGACCATGGGGTGAGGGACTCTAGGAGTAGTCCTACTGTACTAATTCCTACAACTAACTCAACCAGAATGAGCTAGGAGTGAAGGACTTGCAAGTCATCTTTAAAAATCCTTCAGCCCACAAAAATTCCACCCACTGGCTGAATGCACATTAGCTCTCATCAAACTTACCAGGCTCACTCCCTATTCCTACTTCCTACTAATTCTTATTTTACTAAGTTATAGGGAAAAAAATCATACATTTACTACCAATACAATAATCCGAGCTTAGATTTTCAATATAAATAAAAAGGGACCAATGAAGATGCAGAATACATTTAAATTTCTCTGGTCAGAGAGGGGGAGTGCTGGATTTCTATTTATTTTTTTTCAAGTTTGACATGAGAGCCATTGCTTGTATCTATGGAACAAGAGTTAAAATTAGAATATATTGGCTAAATAAGATGAAATTTTAAAGCTGCTGTCATGATGACCACAGGAATGGTGAAGCACGAGGCATTTCTAAACAGAGTTAGGAGGTATAAGTTCCTGTGAATGAGTATATGCATAATGGCCAGAAGAGTCATTTTCTCACTAAAGCAGGTTCCTTCAGACCAAGGACAAAGGTAGATGTGAGAAACTGTTAATCCACAGCTCAAGCCCCATTCATCCCATAATTATAAAAGGCAGTAGTTTTTTTTCTCTGGCCATAGCCATCAAAAGGAAAAAAATACTTTTTGCATATCATTGACGGTCTTTACAAGTTCTGAAAAATGGTACTCACAATAAGCATTGTGACCAGAAGATTCTTCTTGGTGACTTGAGCGTGAGAGAAGATGTAGTTCAGTACAGTGTTCATGTCACTTTTATTCTCTTCTCGGAGGGCGAATACACATTTGTCATAGTGACCTGCACACCATGAAAAGAACTGGTTCTCACCCATGTATAAATGTTCACATTTACATGCTATTTGTTTTGTACTGTCTATAATTTATGAGACGAGCAGTGAGAAGAAACATCATAAGGATTTTCTTGGATGGATTTGTACAGAAACTGGCAATGTGATTTAGTAAAAGGAACACTGGACTAGGAGTCAGGCAATTTGGATATAAGATCTGGGTTCAAGGCCTAGTTCTATTAGCAATTTACTGTGTGCTCCTGGGAAAATCATTTTACCTCTCTGGGCCTCAATTTCATTAAATTTTTTAAAAATTGGGGAGGTGGGTGTACCTTAAAGACTGAAAGATTGGGAATAACTCAAACCCCAGTCTTACTCTAAACTCTCTCATGATTTCTTTAGACGAGAAATTTCTGTTTAAAAAGAAATGTAAATATCATTAAACTTGATGATCTTTAAGGTCTCCCCCAGAGCTTGAGATTCTGATTCCATGTTTGACTTGCAGAAAATAGTTGACCCTAATCAGTAGGAACAGTTTTAGCTCAAAAAATAAAACCACACCAAACTTAGCAATATCCATGAGAAGTGTGACTGCTACCCCTGGAATCAACATTTTCTTCTGTTAGTCCTTGAAACAGCTAAGCAATGCCTAGGAACGCCAAATCCAACCCAAGGTATAGATCAAGGAGAACCTTGCATTAAGTCAAAAGGTCTGTAGGGAGACTAAAGTTATGCATATTTTCACTTGCCTTCCCTAAGGCCACCAGGGGCAGGTTAGTTCTGAGTAGGAAAGCTATGTTTTACAACAGAAGCATAAGCCTCTGGTACACTGTAGTGATATCTGCCATGGGATATAAGTAATATTCAGTTCTTTAGAAAACAGCTTACCTCAGAATTAAATTTCCAAGTAAAGAGGAATTAGTGTTTGAATATTCTCAAGGGTCAGAATTTTATGAAATCATGAAAACAGTAAAGGATTATCACCTCAGTTCAGATTCCACGTTAAGTTACAAACCAGAACAGTGACGTTCAAACTGCATTATCATGGTTTCCTAGAACACTGAGTACACTGGACCAGTGTAACCAGGCTTTTAATTATTCTAAATATTAGAGATTGACATAAGCAATTTTTTTCCAAATAAAATTATATTTGAAAAACAATGGACTACAATATCGAGAGAGCTGCCAATTTCATAAAAGACACATTTAGACCAAAAGGGAAGCTGTTTAAAAATTAGCTGTTCTGCATTAATATTTTTCTCTACCAAGACTTAGCTTTGAAGTGACAACACAAATAAACTTTGGCAATAGGACCAGGGGAAATAAAAAGAACACATTTACCCGGGGTGAGGGGAGACATTAACAGAAAGAAAGCAATGATACTTTCTTGTTTTTTTTTTTTTTACTTTGAAGATCCTGCATACCAAGACACTCTTTTTTAAAAACACTTAATTGGCTGGGTGCGGTGGCTCACCCTTGTAATCCCAGCACTTTGGGCAGCCAAGGCGGGTGGATCACTTGAGGTCAGACATTTGAGACCAGGCTGGCCAACAGGGTGAAACCCCATCTCTACTAAAAATACAAAAATTAGCCAGGCATGGTGGTACACACCTATAATCCCAGCTACACAGCAGGCTGAGGCAGAAGAATTGCTTGAACCCAGGAGGCAGAAGTTGCAGTGAGCAGAGATTGCACCACTGCACTCCAGCTTGGGTGTCAGAGTGAGACTTCATCTCAACAAAAAAAGAACACACACCAAACAAAAAACAAAACAAAACAGTTTAATTATGAAATATATATACAGAAGAATATATAGAATATATGGTATCAGTTGAAATAAACACCCATGTGTTATTTTAAAGCCATTACATTTTAATAGAACATCTCTAGTATCTTTGAAGACCCCTGCGTACCCCTCCTCAGAAACAACTACTAAGCTGAATTTTATGTTAATTATTCTTTTGTTTTTCTTAACTTTTATCACCAATGTATGTATAGCTTAATTTTCCTGGTTTTTGAACCTGAAAAAAATGGAATCACTGTACCATTTCTTTTCCTTAACATTGTATTTTTGAGATTCATCCTTTTGTTCAGTGTATGCCTTGGTGCATCCATTTTCACTGCTGCATAGTAATCCATGGTAGGAATATACCAGACTTCAATGATCCACTCTACCTATGTATATTTAGATTGTTTCTTGTCTTTTTTAAGATTATGAACAGTGCTGTCACAAATACTCCTGTATATGTATCCTAGTAAACATGTGTAATAGTTTCTCTAAAGTATATTTTCTAGGAGTAAAATTACTAGGTTAAAGAATACAAATAAGTTCAACTTTATTAGGTACTGACCAACTGTTACCAAAGTGGTATATACCAATTTGTACTTCCATGTACAGAAGCAATGAAGATGATGATGTGACTTTTAAATTTTTGCCACTCTCATTGTGGTTTTGGTTTATATGCCTCTAATTACAAATGGGATTGAGCATCTTTGTGTAAGTTTATAAATTATTTGTACTTCTTCTTCTGTAAAATATCTTTCTATATCTTTTGCCCATTTCTCTATTAGGATGTCTTTAACTTGATGATTCATACCAATTCTCTAGATACTTCTAATTATTTTTTAGGTATATATTTTGTAAATATCTTCTCACACTTTGTAGCTTATATTTTCAGTCTCTTTTTTTGGAGACTGTGTCCTGCTCTGTCAACGGGGCTGGAGTGCAGTGATGCAATCACAGCTCACTACAGCCTCGACCTCCCCAGGCTCAGGCAATCCTCCAACCTGAGCCTCCCAAGAAGCTAGGACTACAGGCACATAACACTACACCTGGCTAATTTTTGTATTTTTTTAGAGACGGGGTCTTGCTATGTTGCCCAGGCTGGTCTCGAACTCCTGGGCTCAAGCAATCTGCCGGCCTTGGCCTCCGAAAGTGCTAGGATTACAGGCTTTTCAGACTCCTTATGACGTATTTTGATGAACAGAAGTTCTTGAGTGGAGTTTAAGTAATCAATCTTTTCTTTTGTAGTTTGTACTTGCTGTGTCTTATACAACAAAATCTTCCTATCCTGAGGTTATAACGATATTCTCCTAACCATTTAACAGCTTCACCTCTTTAGTACATATTTAAGTCTTTATCGGGAATTGATTTTTGTGTATAGGCATAAGATAGGGATTCCATTTCTTTCTTTCCTCTTTTTTTTTTTTTAAATGAATAACCCATTGTGCTGGTATCATTTATTGAAAAAAAAAAAATCTATCCTTTCCCCATGATCTACAATGCCTCCTCTATCATAAAATAAGTTTTCATATATGGCTGGATCTGTTTCTGGGTCATTAAGTTCCACTGATCTATAAATCTATCTCTACACCTATCTCACAATTTCTTAATTAATATGGCTTTATATTAAATCTTGATATCTGATTAGGCAAATCTTTTCACCTTGTATTTCTTTGGAAGTATCTTGGTTATTGTGAGACTTGTCTTTTATGGAAATTTTATAATTAGCATTACAAATACACTAACAGAATTTTTATTGAAATGTCAATCTACAGATGAATTTAGGAAGAATCGGCACCTAATAGTGTACATTCCAATTTAAGACCTTGATAATTTATTTAAATCTTCTTTACTATTATAATATTCTTGATTATAATTTTCCTCAAAAGAGGCTTGCACATTTTTTGTTAGATTTACTCCTTAGTATTTCATGTTTTGGGTTGCTATTTTATCAACTAATTAATTAATTATTTAGAGACAGGGTCTTGCTCTGTTGCCTGGGCTGAGTGCAGTGGTACAATCATAGCTCACTGCACCCTTGAATCCCTGGGCTCAGGCAATCCTCTTGTTTCAGCCTCTTGAGTAGGTAGGACTATAGGCATGTGCCATCATGCCTGGCTAATTGTTTTTAATTTTTTGTAGAGATGGGGTCTCACTATATTGCCAAGGCTGGTCTCAAACTCCTGGCCTCAAGCAATCCTCCTGTCCTGGCCTCCCAAAGTGCTAAGATGACAAGCATGAGCCACTACATCTAGCCTGCTATTTTAATTTTTTTTTTCCTGAACTGCTTTTCTAAACAATTGCTCTACTGTAAACAAATACTGTTGAATTTTGTATGTTGACTTTTGTATTTAGCAATCATGTTAGATTTTAAATAATTTAATAATCAATCTGTGAATCCTTTGAGGCTTTCTAAAGAGACACCCTATCATATTTAATAATGGCAGATATATTGCTTTATTACTTTCTAGCTCTTATACCCTTTAATTCTTTTCCTTGTCTTACTGCACTGGCTAGGACATCCACTATAAAGCTGAATAGAAGTAGTGACAGCAGGCATCCTTGTCTTATTCCTAATCTTAAAGATAATGTTTTCAACGTTTTACCATAATGCATGATGTATCCTGCAGATTTTTTTGTGGGTCCCTTTTACAAGATTTTAAAAGTTCCATTTCACTCCTAGTTTCCAAGAGTTTGTCATGAATGGATGTTAAATTCTGTCAAATGCTCCCTCTCCACACCCTGTTATCTTGAGATAATGAGCATGTTTTTCCTCCTTTCATCTATTTCATGATAAATTATATTAATTGACTTTCTCCAAACTGATCAACCTTGAATGCGTGGGATAAAGCCAACTTGGTTGTTATGTATTATTTTGTATGTTATTGGATGCGGTTTGCTGATATCTACATGAGGATTTTTGCTGGTCATGAGTGGCATAGGCTGCTTTTAAAGGAAGTGAAAAGGAGCAGATAAAGGAAAATGTTTCAAATTTCAGATAATGTTTCAAATTCTGTGATGTTTCACTGCCATCTTGTGGCAGGAAGCAATGTCAGCAGTAAACAGCTTTAAAATTTTAGCCAAGGTTATTTCACACTTAAGAGACAATTTATCATTTAGTGAAGCTCTTCAGAGAAAGCCAGGGATAAAGTCTACCTAAATGATATACTAAAAAGTATTGGAAAACCTGAACTTGCTCTTCCTAGATGCCTCTGGTTCAATTCATGGATTAGCTGCCAAGAATCAAGCTCTTCAGATATGGGTTTCTCAATTTCAGCCTGTGATGACTCAACCAACTTACACTACACAAGGTCAAAAAGATATCAACAGGAATGGTAATCTCTATTAGAAAAATTACTTCAGCCCTTTCTCAGAAGCACACTGGATTCCTAATTTCATCAAGCTGTGTTTCGTTGTTCTTTCTTTAGAGCTAGTGGATATAGAGGTTTAGTTTTTAAGGGAGTAGTGATAGGAGACTGTTTATTAATGGGAAGTGTTGTTGACAGGAGGGGGCTTAGCTCTTACACAGTCCTATAGGGATAGTTTGGGTTGGTTATCAGAATCAAGGCTTTCTTAGCTAGAGAGTCCTCAGGAAGAGGCTTACCATTCTGGAATTGTGTCTCTACTCGCAGGTACTGCCGGAGCAGATCCATCACCACAGCCTTCATGTGGCCTCGGATGCCACTTCGGTACCTAGGCAAATAGAAAGTCTCCACTGAAAAACCTGACAATCCAACACTATTAAGCAATAAACCCAAAGGCCAAATTTACCTCCACGACATTCCACTGAACTGCTTTCCCTCTGAATAAAGAACAGCCTAAAATGAACTACAAAATTAACTTAAATTCTAAGCCTAAAAGAAATCTCACTATAGACAAGACCTTTTTTAATAAAGAAGACAACAAAATCCTGCATAGCCCCACCTACCAACACCTTGATTCAGTTCCTACTGCTAAGTAGAAATTATTACCATACTCTTGAAATGGCTGAGATATCTGAAAAATTTATAAGTATCTTAAAGTTAAAAGTGTTCTGTGAGGCCGGTTGCCTTAGCTCACATCTGCAATCCCAGAACTTTGGGAGGCCAAGGCAGGAGGATCACTTGAGTCTAGGAGCTCCAGACCAGCCTAGGCAATATGGCAAAACCTCTTATCTACAAAAAATACAAAAAAATTAGCCAAGCATGGTAGCATGTGACTGTAGTCCCAGCTACTCAAGAGGCTGAGGTGGGAGGATTGCTTGAGCCTGGGAGGCAGAGGTTGCAGTGAGCTGAGATTGTGCTACTGTACTACAACCTGGATGACAGTGTGAGACCCTGTCTCCAAAAAAAATAAATAAATAAATAAATAAATAAATATGCTCTGTGAATATCCCTTTAGTATTAATAGCAACAACCACAATTACTTTTGCACCAACCTAATATAATAGGCTCCATAAGCTAAGAAGAAAAAATGTCATACTGGGCCCTGTGACAGAAGAAAAATTAGGAGCTTCATCAAAATGGCAAGGAAAAAGAAAACAACAAAATTTCTGTGCCTTATTAATTGACAGGCTGGACGCAGTGGCTCATGCCTGTAATCCCAACAGTTTGGGAGGCCGAGGCGGGTGGGTCATTTGAGCCCAAGAGTTTGAGATGAGCCTGGGCAACATGGCAAAACCCCAGCTCTTCTAAAAATACAAAAATTAGCTGGATGTGGTGGTGCACAGCTATAGTCCCAGCTATTCAGAGGGGTTGAAACAGGAGGATCACCTGAGCCTCAGGAGGTTGAGGCTGCAATGAGCCATGATTGAGCCACTGCACTCCAGTCGGGGCAACAGAGTGAGATCCTGTCTCAAAAAATAATAATAATAATAAATAATTGACAGAAAAAAATGTAGAATATTAAGAAGTCAGAAATATTGAGCATGAGAGTTAGCTCACAATTCTAAGATATTTAGAAAAGACAAGGTACTTTCTAAGATATAAGATGCTTTCCAATTTCTTGAAGTCAAATCTGAGGTAAATTTTTTTGTGACCACTTGAAAGAAAGGAAGACATGAGTATGGACAGGTCTGGGAATCTGGAGTTACAAGTTACTACCTCTGTACCAGCTGAACAATGCTCTGAGTATTCATAAAGAAGACTTCCCGTTCAGATTTCCGGTTCAATGTAGCTGCATGGCTATCTAGGATGTTTGCAATCTAAGGTATAAAAAAGGGAAAAAAATGAGGCCCAACCCAACAAAATGCCCCAAAGCATCAGCCTCTATAGCACGACCAGTAGGAATCTTCTTCTTATAACATGGCAGTTCCTATCTCACATGTTGGCAGCAGCTGGAAGTTACCAGGCGTAGTCTATATAGAGAATCACGCTACATAAGCAAGCAGATTTCATCCCTTGTCACCCTTTCCCAGATGAATTAATGACTACATTACAAAAACTATCATCTTACCAATATCTGTTCAAGGTCAAGATCCAAACATCACTCCCCACTTATCTACCTATATTCCCTACACATACATCTGCTTTATGGGTAAAGAGTAAAGATGCTGCCAAGGTAGTAAGAATGTCTCTGAAAATAAAACTACCAATAGGCCATGTGTGGTGGCTCACACCTGTAACCTCAGCACTTTGGGAGGCCAAGGAGGGAGGATAGCTTGAGCCCATGAGTTCAATACCAACCTGGGCAACATAACGAGACCCCCATCTCTATAAAAATTTTTTAAAAATTAGCTGGGCATAGTGGTGCACATCTGTAGTCCCAGCTACCTGGGAGACTGAGGTGGGATGAGCCATTGGGCCTATGGGGTCAAGGCTACAGCGAGCCATGACCGCACCACTGCACTCCAGCCTTGGCGACAGAGCAAGACCCTGTCTCAAAAATAAATAAATAAATAAATAAACAGCTGGGCACGGTGGCTCACGCCTGTAATCCCAGCACTTTGGGAGGCCGAGGTGGGCGGATCACGAGGTCAGGAGATCGAGACCATCCTGGCCAACATGGTGAAACCCGTGACTACTAAAAATGCAAAAATTAGCTGGCATGGCAGCGTGTGAATGTAATCCCAGCTACTCAGGAGGCTGAGGCAGGAGAATTGCTTGAACTCGGGAGGCAGGGGTTGCAGTGAGCCGAGATCAGCCACTGCACTCCAGCCTGGTGACAGAGCTAGACTCCATCTCTAAATCAATGAGTGAATGAATGAATCAATCAATCAACTAATATCACTCTATTTTCAATTCATGAAAATACCTCTAATTAGGGAATAGCCCCAGGAACAAAGCTATAAGGTATACATGATCCAAGTGTGCTTTTCTCATAACTACAGATACTTATCCTTCACATACAGTACTTTCACTGTTGGGTTTGTACCCTGAGGCAGTTTTGTGAGGAATACAATGCTTAAAAGTATACAAGCACAACATCCAAAAAGTAAGGAGGATCCAAATAGGAAGGAATCCTACAACATAAACTCTGGCATTGGTAGCCAGAAAAAAATATAGTGTTATCCTATAAATACCTGCTGGCTGGGAAACTGACAGAGGACTGATGTGATGTTGCTAGCATACTGAGCCATTTCCTTCTTGATAGACTTCTCCACATTGGGGGGAATGCGGCCAGACACACTGGTCATAATATCTTGCAATTCTAGGAGAGGCAGGGAGGGATCTCTGAGGGTTTTCATCAATCGCTCTACCCAGTCTTTTACCTAGAAAGAAAGCATTGGTAAAATAGGACCCAAGTTAACACAATCCCCCAAATAAAAAGATATATAGTTGTCATTCTGTATACGTGGGAAATTGGTTCCAGAACCACCACTCATATATGAAAATCTGCACATACTTGAGCCCTACGGAACCCATGTATAGAAATAGTTGTGGGTTCCATATCTCATCAATACTGTAATTTTGATCCATGTTTGGCTGAAAAAATCCACATATAAGTGGACCCACACAGTTCAAACCTGTATTGTTCAAGAGTCAACTATATCTGAATTCACTATCATATACTACTTCTTTTCAATAAAAATTTATATAATTTTCAATAGATATGGGGTCTTGCTATGTTGATCAGGCTGGTCTCAAACTCCTGGCCTCAAGCGATCTTTCCATCTCAGCTTCCCAAAGTGGTGAGATTACAGGCGTGAGCCAACTATCATAGAGTACTTTGAAATTGCAACGTAAGCATCTAACATTGCCCCTATTCTCCAGTTTAAAAAGGACTAATCACGGGCGGGCACAGTGGCTCACGCCTATAATCCCAGCACTTTGGGAGGCCGAGGCGGGCAGATCACAAAGTCAGGAGTTCAAGACCAGTCTGGCCAACGTGGTGAAACCCCACCTCTACTAAAAAAAAAAAAAAAAAATTAGCCGCGCCTGGTGGCACGTGCCTACAATCCCCACTACTCAGGAGGTTGAGGCAGGAGAATCACTTGAACCCAGGAGGTGGAGGTTGCAGTCAGCTGAGTTTGTGCCATTGCACTCCAGCCTGGGCAACAGAGCAAGACTCCGTCTCGAGGAAAAAAAAAAAGGAGTAATCACAATTAAATGTGAAGTCCATGACAAGGATAAGAAACATGGATTTAAAGACCTCAAGTCCCACAACTGAAGGTGAAAGAGTTCTAGGCCAAACAGCTTTCTTTTCCTCCCTCTTAAACAATCATTATGAGACTTGGAACTATTTTGGAGAATAGGTATCCCATTTGTACATCCCTTCCCCAGGAGACGTGATACATACCTTGCTGCTAAAGAAAGGATCTGGAAGGCAGTATCCATTCATTACATTGACCAGATTATCCAGGACATAATGGAACACTCGATGGAGTTTCTCGCCTCTGAGTGCCGTGCTCTGGATCCGTGGCAGACTACCTGTGTGAAGTTCAGCCTGTCAACCCCAACAAGAGATCAAGTCATCTACTACTTTTGATCTAAGGTACAAACACACCACTGCACTTAAGAGTTATCATTCAAAATCGAGACATCATACCCAGCTACCAGGAGGGAAGTCAATAGAGGAAACATCATAAGGAAATTACAGAATCTTAGTACTACAGTAACTCTTGCAAACTCTAGTTCCATAATACTACAGGCACAAATACAAGGCATAAGATTAATAGGGGACAAAGCTAAAGAAAACACTGGCAAACCAAGCATTGAAATCACTTGCCTCTCCAAACCACCAAGTTCTTTAGCTCTTAGAGAGCAATATTCGGAGCACCTTCCTACTCACCTGCTGAACCTTGCTGGGGTTGTCCAGTTGCATTTTGGCTAGTACACAGCCAGGGTCAAGAGCTGCTCCAGGTCGCTTGACGTAATGGATACAGCCAGACTCCACAGCTGTTAAGGTCATTACCATCTTCATTACCTATAGTGAAAAATAAACTAGACTCAGATTTATCTCTCTTTACACAGATGAGTGCTTAAAAGAACTAAAATTTTTCCCTTAGCATCTAAGTTGGACCACACCTAATTTGACCAAGAAAAAATGGGAATTTACCATCATCTCCTAGGGACTATCAAGGCAAGCAATTAGAAAATCTCTCAGTACCTCACTTTAGGAATTAATAACAGTTATTGACATTTCTCCTTTCTAACTTTTACAACCATTTTGGCATAATTTGTGATTATATTTGTTTTGTACTTAGAAAGTAAGGAACAATTTAATATCCTCATACCAGTGAATCCAATCTAAGACAACCAGGCCAAAACCTAAGGATCATTCTTCACTCCTCTTTCTCCCTTACCTACCAATTACCAACCCAGCCAGACATATCTTCTAAACCTTTCTCAAAAATCTTCCTCTCTTGCCAACTCTTCGGTTTACGCCTTCTTCATTTCTGGCCCAAAGTACTTCAAAGACCCCCTAAGAGATCTCCCTACTTGCTACATACCTCCCTCAAGGTCACGAAAAGCAATCTTCCTAGACCCCAAATCTCATCATACTACTTTTCCACTTAAATCTTTCAGAGATTACCTGCTGCCTCCAGGATAGTGAAAACTTACTAGTATGGTTTATAAGATCCTTCATAACCTCACATTCAAGATCTCACATTACTTCTTTAGCACCTTTGCTTGTCCCTCCCCATTAAACCTTAGTCTATTCTCAAGCCACACCAACACATACTTGCAGTTCCCTAAATACACTGTGCTGTCTTGCTTCTGTCTTTGTACATGCTATTCCTTCAACTTTAAGCACTCTTCCCTGCCCTTCTTCACCTGCTCTATCACTATCTGTCTTTCAAAACTAAGATCAAATGTCTCTTCTTTCAGAATATCTTCCCATACAAGCTTAGCTTGATTTGGGTTAGGTGACCCTCTGCACTCTATGCTTAGCTCTCTTAAAATTAATCACATGACATTTCTTGTCTGTTTTGTGCCCCACCTCCATGTATTTTCTCTGGATAGCCAGCAGTTAGGACACCTAACATTCAACAAGTGCTATTGCCTAGTATCTATTTTTAGAACTAGAGATTCCTCATTTGCCTATGTGTTTTAAAAATCTTAAGGTTCGCACTTCTAATTAAGCCAACTGATGTTTCTTTTTCATTCTTATTTCCAATCTGTTACCTTTTTTTTTAATTTTTTAGAAATAGGGTCTTGATTTGTGACGCAGGCCACAAATTGTACCACTCCAGTACAGTGGTACAATCTCCATTCACTGCTGCCTTGAATTCCTGGGCTCAAGGGATCCTCCCGCCTTAGACACCAGAGTGGCTGGGTCTACAGGCATGTGCCACTGTACGCCGCTAATTTTTTAATTTTTCATAGAGATGGGGTCTCACCATCTTGCCCAGGCTAGTCTCGAACTCCTGGGCTCAAGCGATCTTCCTGCCTCAGCCTCCCAAAGTGGTAGGATTACAGGCACAAGCCACTGTGCCCAGCCTCCTTTCTGTAACTTTTCAGTCCTAGTCCATCCCAGCCGACCCTTTTCCTACCTTCCCCTCCCATGATCCCACAGTCCTTTCACCACCCTGACCTCAATCTCAGCATAGCACTGGCCGGCAAACACATGACCTCCATCTTCTACAATGTACTGGATTAACTTCCCAGCAGAAGGTGAGCGCATCACCGATGGGTCATTTTCCTTCTCAAACACACAGGTTTTATTGCCAATTGTGATGCGATATCTAGGAGACAAGTGGAAGTATGTAAGCTAAGAAAGCACCTCAGGATGTAAAGGAGAATGGTAGAGAATGTCAACCTTCAAAGAAAAAAAATCCTGAAAACTTTATTATACACACACACAGACATATTCACTGCATATTTGTTTACAATGTCAATTAACATAAATTTCCTTCAATAAGGATCAGATTAAATATAGTATAATCATATAATGGAATACCACATGACTATTAAAAATAACAGGTACCACCATTTAAAAAAACACACACAAAGATATTGATGACGTAATAGCTAACATTTCTTGAAGCCTAGCTATGTTGTGGCAATGTTCTACACATTTTCAACATGTTAATTTATTTCATTCTCATAACACCATAACTGGTGTTGAACATTTGTGAATTTCTTTTTTTTTTGATACGGAGTTTTGCTCTTGTTGCCCAGACTGGAGTGCAATGGCGTGATCTCGGCTCACCGCAACCTCCACCTCCCAGGTTCACGTGATTCTCCTGCCTCTGCCTCCCAAGTAGCTGGGACTACAGGCATAAGCCACCACATCTGGTTAATTTTGTATTTTTAGTAGAGACAGGGTTTCACCACATTGGCCACACCGGTCTTGAACTCCCAGCCTCAGGTGATCCACCTGCCTCGGCCTCCCAAAGTGCTGGGATTACAGGCGTGAGCCACCGCGCCCAGCCACATTTGTGAATGTATTTAAAGAAAAACAGTATGTACATGAGTGTAACTTGTATATGCATATAAAATTTCTACTCAAATATGTAAGAAACTTTTAACAATGGTTACTTATAAAAAGGGGAACTTATTTTTCATTGTCCACATACACTGGAGTGGTAGGGAGACATGTTTTTAATTATAAACACTTTAATACTCTTGATATTTTTGTTAAGTGCATGTACTATTTTTTTTTTTTTTAACTACAAATGAGTACCAAGAAAAGCCTGGGAAAATCCCAAGAGCTAGTAGCTAATAAGAGAAAAGGCTAACAGGATGACCAGCAAATGGACCTCAAACAGCCACTTACCTATCCACTTCCTCTTTCATATACGTAGTATAACTGCTGCCATCATAGGACAAGAGCAGTCCACCGTCACTCAGCCGATGTACATCTACTTCTACACATGAGCCATTCATGATCACCACATAGGAGTTGGGGGACTGTCGAGTCACCTGTAGGGAATGAGAATGAGGATCAGTGTGTCCCTTCCAGGTACAGCTCCAAATGAAATTTGAATGCTTCAAAAATACAGATAAGAAAGATCTGTCAGGAGGAAGAAAATTCATGGCACTGATGCTATTTGCATCAGTGTCTGTGGACATGGCTCAGTCCTGCTGTAAGCAAAGAGGGCAACCTTAGTTGATTTTCCCCAACTGTGGTTGTTCTCTGTCTCTCCTTTATCTCTTGGCAGTGTATGTGAAGTTGAAGAACAACAAAAAAGATTTTCATAGAACAACAAACGCTGCTTCAGGACACTGACAAAAATAATGACGGTAATTTCACTAATACCCCCATCCCTGCATTAAATCAAACTTTTTCTCCTGCCTCTCAACCTAAAGAAAGATAGCTAAAAAAGTAAGGTGCAAGCTCCAATGGGGTTCTGCATACCTTAAGTACATACTTGACTCCCTCATAGATAAGTTCAACATCTACTGTATTCAGAAGTGTATGAGCAGGAAGGACTTGACCCCTGAAAGAACGATGAGAGAGGAACTTACTACAAAGTTCTAACAGTTATAAGAGAATCTAAAACATTATTGATTGTAGCATTTCCTAGAATAACAAAAGACTAGAAACAACCTAAATACCTAAATGATCGTTTGTAAGGAATTGATCACATCAATTATGAATCTTACAATGGATTTTTTTAAATTAGGGTAAAATACACATTACATTAAATTTGCCATCTTAACCATTACAAAATGCACAGTTCTATAGTGTTGGGGATATTAACACTATTCTGCAACCAATCTGCAGGACTTTTTCAACTGGCAAAAGTGAAACTCTACACCCATTAACAACTCCCAATTTCGCCCTCCCCCCAGTTCCTGGTAACCGTCATTCTACTTTCTAGTTCTATGAGTCTGACTACTCTTCATACTTCATATAAGTAAAACCATATAGTATTTGTCTTTTTGTGACAGGCTTAATTCACTTGCCCTAATGTCCTTAAGATCCACCTATGTTTTAGCATGTGTCAGAATTTCCTTCTTCTTTAAGGCTGAATAATACTGTATTGTATGTATATGCCACATTTTGTTTATCCAGTCATCCATCAACCAACATCTGAGTTGCTCCCATCTTTTAGCTACTGTGAATAATCCTCCTATGAATGTGGCTGTGCAAGTATCTTTCAGACCCTGCTTTCAATTCTTTCAGAATACCCAGAAGTGGTATTACCAGATCATAGGGTAATTCTATTTTTAATTTTTTCAGTAATTGCAATACCATTTTTCAATAGTGGCTGCATCATTTTACATTCCCATCAAGAGTGCACAAGTGTCCCAATTTCTCTACGTACTTGCCAATACTTGCTATTTTCTGTTTTTTGACAGTGGGCATCCTAATGGGTGTGAGGTGGTATCTCATCATGGTTTTGATTTTATTTACTTAATGATTAGTGATGTTGCGCATGTTTTCACATGTGGAACAAAACATACAGACATTAAAAAGATGTGAACTAAAAAACACTTTAAAAAATATACTGTTGAGTTAAAAAAGCAAGGTAAATAACAGCTTCACAGCATGCTACCATTTGAGTTTTAAAAAACCAGGAGGTGGGAAGAAACAAATATTGCATGTTGATATGGTTCGGCTGTGTTCCCACTCAAATCTCATCTTGAACTGTAGCTCCCATAATTCTCTTGTGGTGTGGGACGGACCCAGTGGGAGATACTTGAATCATGGGGGCGGTTCCCCCATACTGTTCTCATGGTAGTGAATAAGTCTCACGAGAGCTGATCATTTTATAAGGGGAAACCCCTTTCACTTGGCTCTCATTTTCTCTCTTGGCTGCCACCACGAAAGATGTGTCTTTGCTCTTCCTTTGCCTTCCGCCATGATTGTGAGGCCTCCCCAGCCATCTGGAACTGTGACTCAATTAAACTTCTTTCCTTTATAAATTAGCCAGTCTTGGGAATGTCTTTATTAGCAGTGTGAGAACAGACTAATACACATATATATGTTCATGTAAGTTTAGGGTATCTTTGGAAGGTTAGAAAAGAAATTGGTAATATGAATTTACTATAGGGGACGGAAACTGGATGGCCAAGGAACAGAGGTAAGAGAGAGACTTCTCACTGCTTATCTTTTTTGTGCCTTTTGAATTTTGAACCACATGAATGTGTTAACTGTTCTTAAAGATAAAGATTAAGGTTGGGCGCAGTGGCTCACGCCTCTAATTCCAGCTATTTGGGAGGCCAAAGCAGGCAGATCACGAGGTCAAGAGATCGAGACCATCCTGGCCAACATGTTGAAACTCCGTCTCTACTAAAAATACAAAAATGAGCTGGGCGTGGTGGTGCGTGCCTGTAGTCCCAGCTACTCATGTGGCTGAGGCAGGAGAATCCCTTGAACCCAGGAGGCGAAGGTTACAGTGAGCAGAGATCACGCCACTGCACTCCAGCCTGGTGACAGAGCAAGGCTCCATCTCAAAAAAAAAGATTAAGATTAAACGCGAAAAAATTATAAAACTTCAGTGTAAGCATATCTGCTCCTAGCAACTGAAACTTTATTTGAGAGTCTTTAAAAAGGCCGGGCAGCCGGGCACGGTGGCTCACGCCTGTAATCCCAGCACTTTGGGAGGCCAAGGCGGGTGGATCACAAGGTCAGGAGATTGAGACCATCCTGGCTAACACGGTGAAACCCTGTCTCTAATAAAAATACAAAAAAAATTAGCCGGGCCTGGTGGCAGGTGCCTGTAGTCCCAGCTACTCGAGAGGCTGAGGCAGGAGAATGGCGTGAACCCGAGAGGCGGACCTTGCAGCGAGCCGAGATTGCGCCACTGCACTCCAGCCTGGGCATCAGTGCGAGACTCTGTCTCAAAGATAAAAAAAATAAAAATAATAAAATAAGTAAAAAACAAAAGCATTTTAAAAGGAGGTGGGTGGGGGGCTTGTAGAGGAAAATGCATTTGACATATTTGTACACCAATAAGAAAACTATTTAACTAGGTTACAGATTATATGTTGCAGAACAGAAATAAATAAGACTGGATTGGTAAAAAGCGGCCCATGTATACAGGGAGTTGAAAGTCACGCCAAGGGATTTAGATTTGATACAGAAGAGAAATGCCAAGCTGCTGAAGGTTTTACTACATGAGAGTAACATAGTGAAAGATACTTATCATAGGACTTGAATAACTCTGAAATCTCAGTTCAATTTTTAAATTTTGTTTCTTTTCTTTCTTTCAGATACCTCAAAAGGGAGTTGATATAAGTCTAACAACACAGAAGGAAATAAAAGTGCCTGTGATTAAAGTGCTTTAAAATGATTAGCCACTTGGAACATTCCTCTGGGGACTCAAAGGCAGAGCTTAGTCTCCTCAATCAGCAATAGAAATTAGTTTAGCCCCATAGATGTCTGACCCTCTACTTGAAAGACTCATGAGGTCATCCTGAATATCAGCCTTAATTATTTACTTCTGAAAGGTGGTACAAGTAATACATGAAATATTTAGGGTTCAGTGCTAGGGAGAAATACCAGATTTTTATCACCAGGGTTTGGAGAGATTTGATACTTATACAGGACAGAATAACTACTGCAGATGGATTCCAGTTTTTAAAGAAGCAACCTGTTCTAACTGTGGTATAAGTTAATGTCTAGAATCTGCAGTTTGACTCCCCAAATAATTTGCCATAAATGTCAACATCCCCTCTTTCTTGCCACCATGGTCCATGAATAACAAGTAGCACTCATAAGCTGCCAGGAATGGACAGAAGAATAAATGGGTCTTTGAGCTTCAGTCCCTGTACTCAGGACCATTGATTAGTTTGTGTAGCCTACAAGAAACAAAGCCTACCTTTCTAAGGAGTGAAGGAAGTTAGAGACGCTATTCCGCAGGCTCACATCTGCCACGTGGAGGGCACCACACACAACCCCCAACATGGTGTCAGGTCGCTCAGCCTGAAAGGAGGAAAAAGAGGGCAGATCAAATGCATGGTCACTTGGCACCACAGCCTCTCAAATGAAATCAGGCTCAAATTTGTTGTGATGAAACAGCTAGCAATGAAAATCTCCATTCTCACTGCCCAACTGATTTTTTAGATAAAAATGAACACATTCACTTTTAGAATTTGATTAGAGGCACCACTTGAAGAGAAATGAAAAACAACTTTCTTCTTTTCTCCCTAAGACTTCCACTTAGCCAATCATTGAATAGCTCAAAAATAGGCTTCTGACAGAAATAAATTTAAAAAGACACAACGATTTGGCTACTGATAATCTCAAAGAAAAACGGTGTATAGCCAAAATTTGGACCTCCAAATTATATGAATCTAACGATTTTATACAAAATCTTGGATAATTTAGCATAGCCCCAGGAATTAAGGAATAAGTGATAACTCTTGATCTAAATGAGGCCTCTCTCTTCAGCATCTGGTAGATACAGAAGTTGGCAACTATGGACCAGGTTTAACATTAAATGAAGAAAAAGAAAGTAATTAAATCCCTGCATGCCTCACTTCAAATATACCTCAGGAAGTAATGCTAGAACATAAAATGACTGTGTGACACAAGCACAGGAACCATCAGAGTGCTAAAATTACACTGACTCCTAGATTTTTCCAGGTAGATCAAGAACCATTTACATTAGAATCAAATAAATTTCATGTAGTGACAGGGATTGAGTACACAAGTCTATAAAAACCCAATCCCAGCATCTGTTTGTGGAGAAATACACACCTGTACTTTTTCTGCTATCAGTCTGTCCAGCCAGCCAGTATCAATTCTGTTCATCTGAAAGCTTTCAGTCTCTAACAATTTGATCAGGTATTCAACTGTAGTTCGAAAGTCACCCCGAATAGACAGCTCCTTCAAAGCCACCACCATGTTTCTGGGAGAACAGAAGCCAATCTGTTTCAGCAACAAACACTTTAATGTTTTTCAATAATTTTAAAGATCTGTTTGGCCAGGCATGGTGGCTCACGCCTGTAATCCTAACACTTTGGGAGGCCAAGACAAGGCGGATCACGAAGTCAGGAGATTGAGACCATCCTGGCTAACACGGTGAGACCCTGTCTCTACTAAAAATACAAAAAATTAGCCAGGCGTGGTGGCGGGCGCCTGTAGTCCCAGCTACTCGGGAGGCTGAGGCAGGAGAATGGCGTGAACCCGGGAGGCGGAGCTTGCAGTGAGCAGAGATCACGCCACTGCACTCTAGCCTGGGCGACAGAGCGAGACTCTGTCCCCCCAAAAAAATAAAAATAAAAATAAAAGAAAGAACTGTTTCATTCCTTTGGAATCTTGAGAGGGAAGGGAGAGAGGCAGTTCCAAAAACAAATAAGGGTGCACATGTCAAGTGTGCTCATTCATGTGCATTCAAGAGAGGGAAATTTGCAAAAAGTCAGAAAACGTATGAATTCTAACTGATATTACCATAAGAGCATCAGCAAATCAGAAACATTTCATTATAATGAGTACAGAACAAATTATAACAAATTATATGCAAGTCACCCTCAGCTTTTACTTACTAAGTTTCCATTATTCCATTCATTTGTTGTTGGCTAACAAGAATTAGGGCATTAATTCTCCCTATCCTTGTACCTTATTTATTTTATGTATAATTTACATACAATAAAATATACTTATTTTAAGTATACAGTTCAATGAATTTTCCCAAGTGCTTAATTTAAAGATTTCCATACAGTAAAGCAACTCTCTGGGTGCAGTCATATATCAGCCTGACACTGCATGTGACAGTGTTTTTTTTAAAACTGCATTTTGGATATCTATGCAATGATTTGCTCATTACTTTTATTACTTCCCAGTTAAGTGCAAAGTGATCCAATTTTAGCAGAATTTCAAATACTATGGGGCTTTTCTGTATATTTATGCCCAGTGTCTATCCTGCACGGGACAGGTACTTACTTCCACAAATACTAATTATGTACCTCATACTAATAAGACACATACTATGATTGTAAGGAAGAAAGAACATAAATACAATAATCACTTTCAAAATATATGGCAGAATATCATCAATGCCAGACAGAATACTTACACAAAGTTCTGGAGAGGTTGTAAGAAGGGAGAAATTCATCTCCCTACAGTTTCATGAAAAATGTGGAAACTGACATGGGCTAAAGTATAGCTGATAATTATAACTGTGAGAGGAATCATATTCCAGGTAGTCCAGGCATTCCCTCAGCCTAAAATATTATTCTGTTGCCCACCTCTGTCCTCCTTTCTGTGTCCTCCTTTGACCTGACTTACTTCTACAAACTTCAATTATCAATCTAGATGTCACTGTCTTCTGGGATACCTTCCCAGAACCCCTCTAGACTGAGTTAGTTGACTCATCTGTATGATCCTATAATGCCCTTAAATAATCTGACTATCATCATACTTAATACATTGTATTTTAACTGCCAATTGTCTTACACCCTCTGGATTGTAAAGTTTTGTGAGGAGAGAGATTCTATCTTGGACCTCACTGTATTGCCAGAACCAGTAGATAGCAGATACTCAGTAAATATTTGTTGAATACAATGAATGAATGGGCCTGGCACAGTGGCTCACACCTGTTATCCCAGCACTTTGGGAGGCCGAGTTGGGCAGATCACTCGAGGTCAGGAATTCGAGACCAGCCTGGCCGACATGGTGAAACCCGTCTCTACTACAAATACAAAAACTAGCTGGGTGTGGTGGCGGGCACTCCATGTCAGAAAAAAAAAAAAAAGAATAAATGAATGAACAGAGGAAATAGCAAGAACAAAGAAGCAGAGGGAAGAAAATACAGGTTGACAAAATTAGCCAGGCATGGTGGCACGTGCCTGTAATCCCAGTTACTCAGGAAGCTGAGGCAGGAGAATCACTTGAACCCAGGAGGAAGAGGTTGCAGTGAGCTGAGATCGTGCCACTGCACTCCAGCTTGGGCGACAGAGCAAGACTCTGTCTCAAAAAAAAAAAAGGAAAATACAGCTTGAGTTCAGGGAATGGTATGATTGAAGCAGAGGTATAAGGATAGGAATGAGTGGCTAATCCATTCAACCAACGTTTACTGAATGCTTACTATGTTCAGGGGATATAGCAGTAACAAGACACAGTCCTGTTCTCATGGTATTTAGATTATGACCCATGGGAAATTATACTGGAATATACTGGAATATATGAGTTGGGGCATTCTGGCAAACAAGAGTCCAAACCCCAAGCTGAGATATAGACCTAATGAAATGAAGAAATAAGAAACAAAGAAAGCTCTAAGCTGAAGAATGAACTTTTGGCATAGTGTCAAGAAGGAGACTTATTGTAGATAACGTATTTTTAACATGCTAAAAATTAAGCTAGTTAGCTTTGTACTGTAGACAAATGTACAGAGCTGGTCAGAAATAAGGAACAAGGCTTCTGGATTGGGTTATAGGACATTCCCTGAAGAAAATACACAGTGGTCTGCCAAATCAGGACTTAAACCTAAATGCCAACAGAGGCCAGTCTGGGAACATAAATGAGTGAGGCAGACTGAATAGGAGCTGTGTTAACTACAAAGTTTATGTCCCGTCGAAAAGAAGCAGTCACACAAAACTAGCTGTTTTTTGTTTGTTTGTTTGTTTTTTGTTTTTTTGAGACGGAGTTTTGCTCTTGTTGCCCAGGCTGGAGTGCAATGGCGTGATCTTGGCTCACTGCAACCTCAGCCTCCTGGGTTCCAGTGATTCTCCTGCCTCAGCTTCCCGAGTAGCTGGGATTACAGGCAGTTGCCACCACACCTGGCTAATTTTTGTATTTTTAGCAGAGACGGGGTTTTACCATGTTGGCGAAGTTGGTCTCAAACTCCTGACCTTAAGTGATCTGCCAGCCTCGGTCTCCCAAAGTGCTGTGATTACAGGTGTGAGCCACCGTGCCCAGGCAAAATTAGCTAACTTTTAACAACTAGAATGTACAACCAATGTTGTCATTATAGTCCTACTTTTAAGAGCTAGCAGAAATCCATATTTTGATTTCAATCTCCTGATTTTTTAATATTGTCAAATTAAAAAAAATTAACACTTTGTGAGCCCATCAAAACACATCTGTATGTTGAGACTCACCAGAAAGCCAACAATTTGCAAGCTCTAGTGTAAACCTTTTTCACTTTGCAGAGCATAATATGGCAGCGAATATGCTTAAAAGGCAACTTCATACCAATGTTTTTTTCTGGTAGCAGTGTTTTAATTTTGAAAAATTCCACTTATAGTTTTGAAGAATGAGAAGAAATGTAAAGGACAAAATAGAGAAATAATGAGATTTCCCTACTTCTAAAAATAATATTAAAAACTAATTAATCAAGGCTGGGTGCAGCGGCTCATGCCTATAATACCAGCACTTTGTGGGGCCATTAGAGCCCAGGAGTTTAAGACTAGCCTGGGCAACAAAGGGAGACCCCATCTCTACAAAAAATTTAAAATTTGCTGGACATGATGGTGCACACCTGCAGTCCCAGCAATTCAAGAGGCTGAGGCAAAAGGATTGCTTGAGCCCAGGAGGTCGAGGTTTCAGTGAGCTATGATGGCACCACTGCATTCCAGCCTGGGTGACAGAGCAAGACTCTGCCTCTTAAAATTAATTAATTCAGGAAATTGATAAAAATATAAAACTAATCAATAAGTGTTTATTAATACAAACAACCATATATTAGGATTAATTACTAATAAACAAATGCTATTTATTAGTAATTAATACTAATAAACACTTATTAATTACCTACTCCATGTACAGTACAAAGGTAAAGGGAATGGTATTAAATGTTTGATACAAGGCAATAAACCATTAAAAAACAGAAAAGAACTAGTTCAAGTTTCAATTTTAGATAGATATTCCAAAAGATCTAAGCTGTTAAAATTACCTCCTTCAGCCCTATGTTTTAGGCAAGCAAAAGTGCTGTTAATTTAATATTCATTGTTTATGATTAACAGAATATTATCTAACATTTATGATATAGCAGTTATATTTGCATAAGCTGTTATATACAGCATGCTAAGGTCTCTTGTATTAGCAATGTAGACAGTTTCTTTATGTCCTTTTCATAATATGAGCAGTATAATTTTATTATTTTAAATAACTATAAGAGTACATCATGGTGACTATGGCTCATAACAATAGATTGTGTACTTGAAAATTGCTAATAGATTTTAAGTCTTCTCACAAGAAAAAAATAAAATAAAAGTCTATGATTTATTTGATACCTAGTTCTTGGCCAAGAATCTACCTCCCCTCAATAACAATACTGTTCCTGTGGAAAAATAAGATACCTTTAAAGCAATCAATTTTATACATTTATCAAAAATATTTGAAAGGAAAAATACTTCAAAAGGCTCAGAACAACAAACAGAAAAACATCTGCCAAGCACTGCATAATTTAATACAACATGAATGCAAGTGTAATTAAAGATATTCAAAATTTCTTCAAAAAGGTTGTTCATATTATTACTTTGACAGCAGATGATTCCTATTCCCATGCTCACACCTTCACTTAAGATTAGCACAAATTTATTTTGTAAAATGCAATCAAATGCTATTATACTCACGAAATTGCCTCTTCTCTGTTTTCTCCCCAAGAAAAGCAGTGACCAAACTGAGAATCAGCAAATTCATGAAGTCCCCCTGCAGCAGCAACACTGAAATATCCCCAAACATTCTTATTGCTGCGGAAATTTAGCTCCTGAACTGTTCCTGAGCTGGGCTTAAAACCCTGTTAGAGAATAAAGAATGAGAGACCATATTATGTTTCGAAGGAAGAGAAGATTTATATATTCATTGTTTAAGTTCTCTGTTAATCACACACAGAAGCAGAGAAGACACACAAAAATGATAAAGGCCAAGACCCAGTGCCACAGACCCACTGAAGACTCTACAGTGACTTAAGTGGGATTAAGTAACCAATGAAGCAACAACCATTTACTTATCTGCTCTGAGAAACCTCTATGTTTCCCACTCCAGAGGAAGTCCCAAGATATTTCAGAAGTATACTTTCAGATACTATCTTAACATTAAAGTTCATTAAAAGGAGGTATAAACCTTTTAAGTGATGGGTTACCTCATCTGGATTTTCACTAGTGATCCGAGCAGCAATAACATGGCCCCTTGGACAAGGAACGTGTGCAGAATCTTCAAAATCAATGGGAGAATCACCCCAGGGAGATACCCCATACATCATACGGATATCCTTGATTCTATATAGAGGAATCCCCATGGCAATCTGAAAGGTAATAAAACACACATCTTTAATTTTTCAGTTACTTCCCTTAAAGTGTAGAGGCTATCAGATAACCTAAAATATTTTTATTTTTGGAGCCACTCCCTAAAACATTCTATTTTTATAACCTGTATTCTACAATCATCAACTCTAAGTTGCTTGAAATACAATATATCACTACAGATAAGTAGTTAGAATATTCTCCACTTCTAAAGAAGTCCCCACATTCCTAATGCAACAGACACCAGTTCCCCTGTTGTCATTTCTCCATCACGTAATAAGAATGAAAATATCCAACAGAGGAGTAAATGTTAATAGCCATCCAAAAACAGACAGCTAGAAAGTCTTAATTGTGTCATAATTATCTCTTCCATCCCTGCAAACCACTGGAGGAAGTAAGTAAATCTTTAGTCTTTAATAGGAACCCAGAAGGTGTTCTCGATGTGGGCAAATGTTAGATAAAAATAATATCAAGCCTTATCATTAACTATTACTGCTTTCCATAATATTTGTTTCCTGGGCTGAGAGAAGACAATAATATTGACAGCAAGCACTTTACAAATTATAAAAATATATGTGTGCTACCACACTCTTGTAAGGAAAAACTTCAACCACTAATCTCTGATGCAGAATTATTTCAATAAAGAACACTAGTAAAAAAACAAAAATGAGTAGGGAATAATTATAATACAAAGTTGTGAAGTTTACTATAGCTAAATAATTGAATAAAGCATACATTATTAACATTTATTTCTAAAACATGACACATTATATCAGATGTGTCTGGCTAGAAAAAATAACATTCCTATGTCTGTACTACATCAGGAAAACCAAACCACACATGCATAACACATACAGGGTGAAAGAGAAATGACCATTAGGTGTGACTCAGATAGGAGGTGCTTTTCTCTTATCACACACTGGTTAAACCCATTTTTCAGGCCTCTCTGACTTTTCTAGGCTCTGCAACCCAGATCAGGGAGACTCACCTGGAGCTGTGCTGCAGGGAGATTGACATCAGCCACCATCTCTGTACAAGGGTGCTCTACCTGCAGCCGAGGATTCAATTCCAGAAAGTAGAAGCTGCCATCCTGGCTGTACAGGTATTCCACAGTCCCAGCACTCACATAACCCACCATTTTGGCAAGTTTCACCGCACACTCAAAGAAGAGAGATAAGCAAACATAAGTATCTCACCTTATCCAACTGCTAGACCACTACAGCCTCTCACTGACTCAACTGTTCAGTGTGTATAAGAGCCATCAAAAGCTTTTAGCCACATGAGAGCACATTTCTGATTATTATACAATATCCCTGGACAAGGATGAAAAACTCAATGAAAAATCGGGAGAAAAGAGCATTTTTCACTTTGCATCAAAAGCAACCTCACCCCACCAGACATAAATGCATGCAGACAAAAAAACATGGGGACAGACTCTTGTCCAGTTTCCAGTATTTCCAATATGCTCCTCTTCTTCCTAGAAACATAGCTAACTAGTTAGAGACTAGATTTTTTTTTTTTTTTTTGAGACAGAGTCTCACTCTGTCTCCTGGGCTGGAGTCCAGTGGCACAATCTCGTGGCTCACTGCAAACTCTGCCTCCCGGGTTCAAGTGATTCTCCTGCCTCAGCCCCCCAAGTAGCTGAGATTACAGGCATGCGCCACCATGCCTGGCTAATTTTTGTATTTTTGGTAGAGATGGGGTTTCCCCATGTTGGCCAGCCTGGTCTCAAACTCCTGACCTCAAGTGATCTACTCGCCTTGGCCTACCAAAGTGCTGGGATTACAGGCGTGAGCCACCATGCCTGGCCTGGTTAGTGGCTAAGTTTTGACAAACAGGACACCAGCATTGGTAAGTGATATGCATAACTCCCAAGTCATATATATATATATATATATATATATATATATATATATATATATATATTTTTTTTTTTTTTTTTTTTGGAGATGGAGTCTCGCTTTGTCACCCACCCAGGATGGAGCACAGTGGCGCAATCTCGGCTCACTGTAACCTCCGCCTCTCGGATTCAAGTGATTCTCCTACCTCAGCCTCCTGAGTAGCTGGGATCACAGGCACATGCCACCATGTCAGGCTAATTTTTATATCTTTAGTAGAGATGGGTTTTCATCATGTTGGCCAGGCTGGTCTCGAACTCTTGATCTCAGGTGATCCGCCCACCTCAGCCTCCTAAAGTGCTGGGATTATAGGCGTGAGCCACAGCACCCAGCCCTAAGTCATATTTTGAAAAGGAAATGTCTCATTCTCTATTCCTGGCTTTTTCCTTCTTATTCATTGGAACATAGTCATGATAGTATAAGCCAACTTCAATCATGCAAATGAGAACACACTAAGAACACCAAGAAAAGAAAGGAAAAGAAAAGAAAGAAAAAGAAAAGAAAGAATGAACCTGAATCCCAAGATGGTCTCGTGGAATAAAACACTTCCACCAGCCCTGAAAAGCTCACCTCAGACTAGGATGGGAGAGAAAAATAAACTTCTATTTTTGGGGGGGTCCGCTGTGTTTTTTGGACCTTTTTGTTATAGCAGTTTAACCTGTATCCTAATCGATACAGGAATTATTAAGTGCAGGTAGAATGTTGCTGTTTAAAAATATTAAAATATGAGATGCTAGCTTAGCAAAAGGGTAGTGGGTAGCAGAGAAACAGATACTGCAGGCTGGAAAGGTGATAATCTCCTTGTTGGGATAACACAACATTTGGTAAACTGTTTCCTACAATAACTTGGGATACTGACCACACACCAACTAAACCTTAAAAAAGATGGTCTGAAAGGGTCAGAGTGTCGAAAAAGCCAACTTCTTTTGTATCCCCCCAAACAGAAAATGAGATTATCACCCTGAAGCAACTCAGTGTCAAAGATCAAACGTGCTGCTTTAGTTTCAGCTGGCCCCAAGATAGCCAATATTAAATCAAGGCAAGAGAGATAGGCTAAGCACAGAAGCCAGTAAATAATAGAAGAAAAGTTTCTATATCTAGAAGAAATCTATGAGTATGATTAATCCAACCCAAAGCTGATTGCAAGCAAATAGCCCAGAAGCTTAGTTAAGTATTTGAAGGAATTGTATTTCTAAACAAACCACAAACCTGGCCTTCAAAAGCCTGCGACTGATGATTGGGATATTTGTGCCCTCAATCCTGCACCAGCAGGAAGTGGGTTGTGAAAGTTCTGCCAAAGAAGGCATAGTCTCCAAAGCCCAACTCACAGAGAAAACTGAATGAGGAAGAACTTCCCAGAAAACAATGTCAGGTGTCTTGAAGGACAATGAACAAGGGATTTACTCCCTTATTGCACTTCTCTGGAGTGTGCAGTAGCAGAACCAGGGACAGCCAGGTCTAACTGAGGTAGTATTCTATTATATAGCAGGGAATCATTGCAATTCCTACCTAAAAAGGAGGATTTGATAACTGCTATGGACCAACGATTGCTATGTATTTTTCATTTTTCCAAATGAGAGTTATCCTGTTCCTATTCCATCATTGTATATGGGTGTATGGTGAAGGCAGGGGATATAATACTGGGTAAATAACTTGTATTTTGAGTCACTGGCCCATGAAAAGCCACAATACATATCTAATGGAGAAGAATATACATCATATAGAGATCCGGAATCACCTCCAGTAATAACCCATCCAGTTACTAGTAACTGGATGGGGCTTCAGGTTGTCTTCCTTGGACAAAGGCTATGTGTGCTCTGAAAGTAGGAAAAAGGATAAAGGGATAATAGGTAGCCAGAGGAACAGACTGAGGCACAGATTATGAAATGCCCTCCAGTGACTTTTCTCTACTTCATCATTTTAGGAATAAAATCGAAATTTTTGCTGAGCACATGGTCACCCAGTTAGTGATCACAATTCCTAACATCCTTTGTGCTAGGTATAATTGTGTAACTGAATTTTGTCCAGTGGAATGTGAGCAGAAGTGATGTATGTGACTTCAAGATCATGCTTCCATATGCTTGCCCTCCACATCCCCTGTCTCTTCCTCCCACAGGCCACAATGTGAACATAATCTTGTGTGAGTTAGCTTAATCATGAAGATGACAATGTCCAAGAGCAAAGTTTGGCAAACTTTTTTGGTAAAGAGCCAGATAGTAATTATTTTCAATTTTGTGGGCCATATAGCCTCTGTCACAACTATTCAATTCTACCATTGTAGTGATAAAGCAGCCATAAATAACACATAAATAAATAAGCATCATTGTGTTCCAACAAAATTTTATTTACAAAAACAGGCAACAGGTGAGCAATAAACCTGTTTCTGGTAACAGCTCATCTCTGAACTATGATGAAAGAGAAATAGAAACTTACACCTTGTTTAAGCCACCGTATTTTGCTTATTTATTTATTTGTTTTGAGATGGGGTCTTGCTCTGTCACCCAGGTTGGAGTGCAGTAGCATGATCAAGGCTCACTGCAGCTTTGACCTCCCAGTGTCAAGTGATCCTCCCACCTCAGCCTCCCAAGCAGCTGAGAGTACAGACGTGTGCCATGACACTCAGCTAATTTTTGTATTTTTAGTAGAGATAGGGTTTCACCATATTGCCCAGGCCGGTCTCGAATTCCAGGGCTCAAGTGATCTGTCCGCCTTAGCCTCCCAAAGTGCTAGGATTACAGGCAAGAGCCACCATGCCCGGCCAAGCCACTGTATTTTGAAGGCATCTTTATTACAGCAGTTCAAGAGTACATCCTAATATATACACAACATAGGAAATAGACCTCTAACACACATGAAATATATTTTGAAGAATCTATTTTGATGTAGAGACTGGGTTAGGACTCCAGAAAAGACTATGTTCAGGCCTCTAAACTATAGTTATTCCGAAGGCATCGCTCATGACTTTGAGAAACTACTTTCTATACAAAAAGATAGAATGTGTGAACTCTGAAGATATTTAGAGGACTTTCCAAAAACGATAATAGAGTTGATTAAATTCAGCTGAAGACTTGATGATACTCAACCCAGCAAATAAAACTACCTGATTATGAGCCTCTTAAAAAAATCAATCATAAGATTAAAAATTCCAAAACATTTCTCTTCTTTATCCCTGTATCCTGAAATGGTACGCTGATTTTTTTTAGAAAGCGTTAACTACTTTTAGAAGCTTGACATGTTCCTTGACAATTCTCTTAGTGGGAGAACAGTAGAATTTTTTTTCTCTAAGAAAAGGATATAATTTTATTAATTATTCAGAATCGTTGCTTAAAATGCCATTGTTCTCAGATTGGTACATGAACTGAATGAAAAATGTTCTATGTAAGAAAACATAAAGTAAGCCTTTTAATATATGTACCTGTTCCATGTGTTCAAATACTGCTGGAGTAGCAATAGTAGCAGGTGCTTCTTCAATAATCTTCTGATGCCTGCGTTGTACAGAGCAATCACGACCAAACAAAGAGATAGCATTGCCATATTGGTCCGCTAAGATCTGCACCTCCAGATGACGAGATTGTTTGGCTAGTCTCATCACAAATATGGGAGATCCAGGAACTTCAGCTTGAACCTGTATTAGAAAAGGGGGAAAAAAAAAACCAATTCTTAAATTTTAAACTTTTTATCTATCTTGATAAGCTACTTTGATTTCAACAAGCAGATGTCCAGAAGTGTCAGGAACCATGTTAATCAGCAGAAATACAAAACTGAATAAAATACAGTCCATGCTGTCATCTTTAATATCTTTAAGATGCTGCATTCTTACATAACCAATATTAATTGATAAATATGAAAACATACGAACATCTGGTGCATCACAAAGGTAAACAACAAAATATTTGAAAACATAGGCACATACACAAATCCAACAACAGGGCAAAATACTGCCATCCTGTACTCTGTACAACCAAATGTACAACTTGTTCCAGACAAGATACTTTCCTGGTTCACATTACATCATATATGGTATTGTTGCAGCCAAAGGACTTTCATCTTTAGTTTTGAAGAATATTACTGTTGGGGACAGAATTCTAAAATGGTAACTATTTTTTTTCTCAGCACTTTAAATAATCCCAATGATTTTCAGCTTTCACTGTTTCTACTGAGATGCCAACTGTCAATCTTATTGTTACTATTTTGAAAGTAATCTTTATTCCTCAGCTGGTTTAAGATTTTCTCTCTTTCTGTCTTTTATAGGGGGGAGGGTGGTAGATTTACTCTGATAAGCATAGATGTGGTTCTTTGTATTTGTCTTGCTTGAGGCTCATAGTGCTTTTTGAATCTGTCCTTGGTATCTTTTATCTGTTCAAAGAAATTCTTAGCTTTTCTCTCTTCAAATATGGCTTCTGCTTCATCATTTCTTCAATTATTGTTTCTGCTCCATTCTCTTTCTCTTCTCCTCTGAGACTTAAAGTACATGATGTTAGACCATTTCACATAACCATATGTCTTTTATGCTCTGTATCTTTTTTGCTCTGTTTTGCCATGTAGCAAGTCATCTCAAAACTCAGTGGCTTGCTTAGAACATCAACCTTTTATGATGTTGTTCTCATCTGGGCAGTTCTTCTTCTGGTCTTGCACTTACATACATATCATCATCTGGTAGCTTGAGTGGGGTAGAATGGTCTCACTCAGATGTCTGGTGATTTGTGCTGACTGCTGGCTGGTAGGTCTAGGGAGCCTCAGCTGGAATCGTTCATCTCCAATGCAGGTGGCTTCTCATCCTGCAGCAGGCTAGACTAGGCTTCTTCAGTGATGTGTTCCAAGAGGGGAAGAAGCTGTAAGGCCTCTTGAGGTCTAGGCTCTCGAATTTATACATCACTTTGGCCACATTCTAATGGTCTAAGCAAGCCACAAAGCCAGCTAAGATTCAAGGGGTAGGGAAAATAGATGCCACCCCTGGAAGGGAGGAACAGCAAAGTCACATTGCAAAGGGTGTACATACAGGAATGGGAGGAGTTATTGTCGCCATCTCTTGCAAACAACTTACTATGCTCTACCCTATGGCCACAATAATTCACATACCTCCCACATGCAAAATAGACTCACCCCCTCCCAAGACCCCCAAAGTCTCATCCAATCATGGCATTGGGCTTGACGTCCATTTTCTCATGAGTCATGTCCAGAAGAAAATGAGGTTCCTTGGGTGCAACTCCTCAGGTACAGTTTCTCTTGATCCAAAGACCTGGGAACTAAGAAGACAAGTTATCTGGCCCAACACTCCCAATATTTATGATGATATTGGGAGGGGATAACTGCAAATGAGACTGCTGTTCAAAGAGGAGGAAATAGGAGGTACATAGTAGTCATTGGTCCATAGCAATTCTGAAATCCAGATAGGTACATGCTGTCAGATTCCCTTACTCCAGGGTCAGGAATGCTTTTCATTTTGTTTTGTTTTGTTTTGTTTTTCAGGATCTAGTTTGGTTCCCTGGGAGTAGGTCCTTAATCCATGGCATCCCCTGCTCCTAGCTCTGCCCTCTGGGCTCCTGACTCCACTCTCTGAGAAATCCCTCTTTTTATTTGAAATGACAGCTATTTACAGCTGAATAGCTTTCTGTCTGCTTCCTGCTCATTAAAAAGTTTAAGGCTCAGAGGTCACTTTTCATTTTGAACTGTTTCTGGCCCTTTCAGTCCCTTGGTGCATTCATCAACACAAGTCTCTTGACAACTTTGTGGGTTTCCTATGAATCATATTGGGGTTCACCGCTCACCCAAAGAGACACATCCACAACTCATGTCTGCATAGACCTCTCTATACTTTGGGCACGTCAGGATGCTGTGAGACAGTACCCTTAAGATACTTAGGGCCAGGCATGGTGGCTTATGTCTGTGATCCCAGCACTTTGGGAGGCCAAGGTGGGAGGATCATCTGATGTCAGGAGTTCGAGACCAGCCTGAGCAACATGGTGAAACCTCATCTCTAGTCAAAACACAAAAACTAGCCAGGCATTGTGGTGGGCACCTGTAATCCCAACTACTCGGGAGGCTGAGACAGGAGAATCACTTGAACCTGGGAGGTGGAGGTTGCAGTGAGCCGAGATCGCGCCACTGCACTCCAGCCTGGGCGACAGAGTGAGACTCCCTCTCAAGAAAACAAAAAAAAAAAAGATAGTTAGAAGCATGTTTCCAGCTGAAAGCATTAAAAAAAAAAAAAAGATACTTAGAAGCATCTTTCTAGCTGAAAGGGTAATTTATTAGCTACTACCTTAAAGATTTCTGAGGCCTTAAAGTCACAGGCACTCTTGACTTGGTCTTTACTCTGAGGCATTTTTTACTTTGCAAATCTTTTGCCAGCTGGAGAGACTCGGGATGAGAAACAATTCTATTTTCAACAAGTTCTGGGTCCTTTACATTTCTGTAAATTCTGCTTGTAAGCAAAACATCTTCTTTAGCTTACCTCTCTTTTACAGTTTTTTAGCATAAGCAACTAGAAGCACTCCACAGATACTTTAAACACTTGTAGAGAGCTCCTTAACCAGATCCATGACTTCATTAAATATATTATTTGTCTTCCAAGTTACCTCAGATAACATTTTTTTGCCAATTGTTCCATTATTACAGAACATGGATCTTTTTTCCAGACTCCAGTAACAATTACTACACTGCTTTTCCAGCCTCCCTTAACAATTCATCATTCTTCCAGTCTTCATTAACATCCTCCTCACCAATGTTCAGCCTACACCTATGAGCCAGTTTTAAAGTCAATGTCTTACGTTTTACTTTTCTGTTATGGCAACATCATACCGTTAGGTATCAATTTCTGTGTCAATTATCCATTGATACCTAACAAACTACCAAAATCTTAGTGACTTGGTATAGCAACCATTTTATTTTATTTGCTCATGAGTGTGTGGATCAGCATTTTGAACTGGGCACAACTGGCAGTTCTGATCTTGCCTGGAGTAATTCATGCAGCTATAGTCATCTGGCAGCTCAACTGGGGTTAGATGGTCAAATATGGTCTCATTTACATGTCTCAAATGTGGTGCTGCTGACTGTCCTAGTAGGACTAGGAGGCCTTAGCTGGGACAACTCATCTCTGCTCATGTGACCTCTCCTTCTCTAGTAGGCTAGAATGGGCTCTTCACATGGTAGTCTGAGGGCTTGCTCCAAGACAGCAAGAGCAACAACTACAAAACCATTGCAAATAATTTCTCACATTGCTCTATGTTTTTCATCCTTTTGTCTTTCTTCATGCTTCAGTCTGAATTTCCTTCTGATCTACTCACCAGTCGTTAATTATTTATCTTTTTCTAGATTTTTTTGTTTTGTCACCCAGGCTGGAATGCAGTGGCATGACCATAGCTCAAGGCAGCCTCAAACTCCTGGGCTCAAGGGATTCTCCCATCTCAGTCTCCAGTGCCAGTTACTGATTCTCTTCAACTGCATCTAATATGCTATAATTTTAAACTCCTATATTGACTTCTTCTTCTTCTTCTTTTTTTTTTTTTTAAGACAATGTCTTGCTCTGTCACCCAGACTGGAGTGCAGTGGCACAATCTCAGCTCACTGCAGCCTCTGTCTCCTGGGTTCAAGTGATTCTCCCACCTCAGCCACCCAAGTAGCTGGGATTACAGGCATGTGCCACCAGGCCCAGCTAATTTTTGTATTTTTAGTAGAGATGGGGTTTCATCATGTTGGCCAGGCTGGTCTTGAACCCCTGATATTGACTTCTTAATTTTAGTTATTGCATTTTCAGTTCTAGAACTTTTGTTTCTTCTTTATGATTTCCAGTTCTCTACCAAAATTCTCAATCTTGCCTTTACTTTCCTTGAATATATTACGCAGAATTACTTTAAAGTCCTTGTCTGATAATCTCATTATATAAACCCTCTGTGGGTCTGTTTCTACTGTTTTGTTCTTCTTGGTTTTCAATCATCTAATTTTGTATGCCTATTTTCAATTGAGTGGTTGATAAGCTGTAAGAAAAATTAATAGAAATAATTTTAAGTTCTGGATGTTATCTTTCTCTGGAAAGGATTTACATTTGCTTCCTGCAGGTGTCTAGAAGCACTAGCAATCCTAAAACATCTTGCTTAAATCAGAGGTTGAATGTTTTGAAGCCAAGATTTAGTCCCTGTGAGGGCTAGTCTATTTCCAGTTCACCCTTTCTCCCATGATGTAGTCAGTCCTTAAAGATCCTAACCTAAAATGTGGGAGGTTTTCCAGGGCACCCCTCCCCAGGAAGCCCTCTTAGTCTTTTAAGACTGTTGAAAACTTATCAGCCTTTCTACTATCTTGAACTAGAAGATATATCTAGGGGAAAAGTAGCCTCATATGTCAGGCTCACATCTCTGGGTTTCCTTTTTCTCTTGTATGTTAGCCCCATAATTCTTCACTGTCTTGAATGGTCTCTAATGCCGTAAAATGTAATATATCTATATCTATATCTATCTATCTATCTATCTATCTATCTATATATATATATATATATATATATATCTGGTTCAGCTTTTCTAGTTTGTTCCCAATGGGAGGATTAGTTTATTCAGCCAACTAGTATTGAAACTTAAGGACTTTCACAGAAAACCTTCCCTTAGTGTTTTAAGACTTTTCCACTATTTGATTCCATAAGTAATGAGTAGTTTTGAAATGTCTGTAAGAGTTAACATTAATTAACATGCCTTTTTTTTCTTTTTGCTTCTAAGAGCAGTCTTTTTTCTCTAGACTCTCTGAGTCACTGATCTACCTATGAAATTAGAATTCAATGAAAAAAATGTAAAAAAAAAAAAAAAAACCCAAGGTAATATTCAATTTCTGACACTTAAAATAGGATAATGTAGCAAAACAATACCTTATTTATTGATTTATTTATTTTACAATTTTTTGTAGAGATAGAGTCTCACTTTATCTTCCAGACTGATCTCAAATTTCTGGCTTCAGGCAATGCTCCCGCTTTAGACTCCCAAAGTGCTAGGATTATAGGCATAAGCCACCAATCCTGGCCAAGACAACACCTTTATCACTTCCTTTATCTAGTACAGATGCTCTTTGACTTACAATAAGGTTATGTCCCAATAAACCCAACATAAGTTGAAAATGTTCTAAGTCAAAATTGCATTTAATATACCTAACCTAATGAACACCATAGATTAGTCTAGCCTACCTCAAATGTGCTTAAAACACATTAGCCTACAGTTGGGCAAAATCTTCTAACACAAAGCCTATATTATAATAAAGTGTTGACTATCTCATGTAGTTTACTGAATGTTGTACTGAAAGTGAAAAACAATAGCTGTATGGGCACTCAAAGTAAGATTTATACTGAATGCATTATCACTTGCACAGTATTGTAAAGTTGTTTGTTTGTTGATTGTAAGTTGAAATTTTAAGTTGGGGACCACCTGTATATGAAATCATGGAAGACCCAGCTCATAAGACTTTCCTTTTAACTCTTAACAGTGAAGCAAGGAGTTTGCTGCTAAGTGTTTTAAGGGAAAAAAAAAAAAAAGCGAAATAAAAGGTAGCATGGCACACTAGTAAAAGAAGTGCAAAGTAGAAGATGATGAGGAAACTATGAAAAAGAGGGAAGCTAGGAGAGTGAAAAGAGCAGACTTCTGTCCCAATTTTCCATTTTTTGACAAATCTTTTACTATGTATTGGTAGGAGGAAAAAAAGTGAGTTAAATATGTGAGGGTAACTCTGAGGACAGAACAAAAAGAGACCCCTGTCTCCCTTTTCTCTTTCTGTTTAAGATTCTAAAAAGACATCACTTCTTTGGTCGTCTCCGCAACCAATGTATAGTATGGCCACATCAACTTGGCTGCAAAGCAGAGGGTAAGGCAAAGAGAGATCCTACATCGAGCTTTCCTGAGTCACTCTCAGTTCCTATATACTGTAGGCCTGCCATAGGGTTCCTGTGCCAGGGTGTGGTGGCCATGCAACACGGGCTAGGGTATAGAGTGCTGGGACAGCAGGGTAGATGAGACATATGATAGAAACTCAGAGGTCTCTAGGCAATGTGAACTAAAGTGAGAAAAAGTCAATCAGAGAGCCTGGGCCTGGCCAAGCCAAGAGCAACCATATCAGTATCATACCACCATATCACATATGACCTACAAAGTCAGCAGAACAGGGGCACAAAAATACAGAAAGGTATTGATTTTTCTTTGCCATTATGAGGTCCTATAAGCCATACGCACCAGGTAGGAAAGAGCTATCTGACAAACTGAGCACGTTTATATAAGACAGAATAACTCTACTGTTTGAATTACCTAATTAAATAAAACTTAAAATTGAGTTGGACATTTCATTAACCTTTTTTCTCTGCTAATATGCAGGTAGAAACTAGAGAGAAAGACAGTTAGCTATAGACAAAATTAAAAATTAAATATTTTCTGGGCATCCAAATTATAGTATGAGTTAAATCATATATCTCTGATATACATGTTAGTTCAAACAAACAAAAACAGCTTATACTCTACCTGTCTGAAGAGATTAGGGAAGTCATCTGCATTGTTGACTTTTCTAATTCCCTTCCCTCCTCCTCCCTCTGAGGCCTTGATCATTACTGGATATCCAACTTCCTCAGCTGCCTTCAAAAAGAAAGAAAAAAAAAATAGAAGAAACAGTGTTATTACCAGGGAAGGAGAAAACTGGCATTTTTCTCCCTTTAAGAATGCAGTCATTTAGTAATTCTAAATACAATAAAATAGAAAGATCTTCAAGATACACTATGAAAAAATAAATAGTAGAACAATATTTGTAGTATTAGGTTGAACCAAAAGAAATTGCCTTTTTCATAGATTTAAAAAAATGACTGAATATAGGCAATTTCTTATGGTTCAATCTAAAGTAATGTCACATGGGTCAAAAACAAAATTATATATGCATTCATACACCCACACATGTAAGTGCAAAGAAGTGAAGTCCAGAGTACATACCAGCAATGATTTAGAAAAGAATGGGTCCGGGCACAGTGGCTAACGCCTGTAATCACAGCACTTTGGGAGGCCAAGGCGGGCGGATCACCTGAGGTCGGGAGTTCAAGACCAGCCTGACCAACATGGAGAAACCCCGTCTCTACTAAAAATACAAAATTAGCTGGGTGTGATGGCGCATGCCTGTAATCCCAGCTACTTGGGAGGCTGAGGCAGGAGAATCGCTTGAACCTGGGAGGTGGAGGTTGCAGTGAGCCAAGATCACGCCATTGCACTCCAGCCTGGGCAACAAGAGCGAAACTCCATCTCAAAAAAAACAAAAACAAAAAACAAAGAAAGATGCGTGGATATAAAACTTTCCTTTTTCACTGTATGTATTTCTGCATTATTGGAATTTCTTGCTTATAGTATGCAGGCATCCATGTATTACAATTAAAAAAAAAAAAGACATAAGGAGTTCACTTAAAATAAGCTGAAGTGGGGTTGGGCGTAGTGGCTCGTGCCTGTAATCCCAACACTTTGAGAGGCTGAGGCAGGTGGATCACCTGAGGTCAGGAGTTCGAGACCAGCCTGGCCAACATGGTGAAACCCCTGGCCCTATTAAAAATACAAAAAATTAGCTGGGCGTGGTACTGCATGCCTATAATCCCAGCTACTCGGGAGGCTGCGGCACGAGAATTGCTTGAACCTGAGAGGCAAAGGTTGCAATGAGCCAAGATCGTGCCAATGCATTCCAGCTTGGGCAACAAAGTGAGACCCTGTTTCAATAAAATAACCAAGTCATTCCTTTGTCAAAATATTCCAGTCTTTTAAGGTTTTGCTACATTATAAGAATATCTTTAAAATGTATCACCAGGCCTGGCCCAGTGCTTCACACCTGTAATCCCAGCACTTTGGGAGGCCAAAGTGGGTGGATCACTTGAGGTCAGGAGTTGGAGACCAGCCAGCCCAACTTGGTGAAACCCTGTCTGCACTAAAAATACAAAAATTAGCTGGGCATGGTGGCGGTAACCTGTAATCACAGCCACTTGGAGGCTGAGGCAGGAGAATCACTTGAATCTGGGAAGTGGAGGTTGCGGTGAGCCAAGATGGCATCACTGTACTCCAGCCTGGGCAACAGAGTGAGACTCCAACCCAAAAAAATAAAATAAAATAAGTATCACCCAGAAAAAGAACATTTCAATTTTTAATCTATGTCAATCGATTACTTAATGAATGAAAATCTTTTATGCACAGTCTCACCTTTTCTAATGTTTCTTTATTCTTTTCTATGCTCATATAAACAGAATTAGTATGATGAACTCAATTGCTGAGTGATAGATGATCAAAGAGATAGCTTAAAAAAAAGAGAAAGACTTAAAAAAAAAAGGGGGTATCCCATAGGAGGTCAGTAAGTAAGAAGGTAGGCCTTTTAAAAATATATGAAAGCTTTAGTCACAGGTCACCCATTAAAAATATTTTGGAAGAATTTTAACACTTTAATATAATGTTAAGTAAGGAGCGGGGAGGTAGAAGGACAAAAAAATATTAAGTAGAAAAAAGTATTATGATTACCAACACAATACAAATAGTAAGACCCAAAACTTATAATTATCATAATTATAAGTATAGGAATCTATTAATAAAGATTTGTATATGATATAAATCTATGAGTTGAAAAGGGATAAAAAAATGAATAGGTTAATGGGCATTATCTTTGGATGGTGTGTTTGCATGTGGCTTTATCATCATCTTTGGCTTTTCAAATTTTCTACCAGAAAATGCTGTTTATAATTATAACCAGAAAAAATAAAAAAGAATGTTAGTCGATAAGCAAAATAGCTAGAATAGCTAGTTCCTTACAAAGAGCTTCTACTCTTTTGCAAATTATAACAAACAAAATAAAGCATTTGAAATTCAATTAGAAATATTAATTCTTCTTATTAAGGAGATTACAGGATGTTTAACTTAAAATGCAAACAATACAACAAAATTATTTGAACATTCAGCATCCCTCTTGAATTTACATGACACAAGTCAAACTCAAGCAGTGTATTTTTCTACAATAGCCTCTTTCATTATCTTTCATTATACCTGGAAGCATAACCAACACTTTAAACTATTTATAAAAGTGAAAGGGGAACAAATTGGAGGGAACTGTAAGGAAAGAAAAGGTAATGTTGGGGAAAGGATCTCCTTTTGCCTAGGTTCACATTTCTACATGGATAGACAATAATTAAGAGTAACACTTTCAGTCTTTCTTGGTTCACTCCCTTGCTCCTCCCCAAGGGAAAAATAATAAATTATGTGATTGGTCAACTTGGAAGGAGGGACTGAATATGCATAGCTCAGCCTTTTCCCCTTTGGGATCAGCCCACTGCACAGGACATATGCTCTTTGTCAGCTCTCAGCCATACACTAAGCTGAATTAAGCTCTCTCTCTCTGTCGAGGGAAATCTGTGGTCATTCAGCACTGCCAGTAACCAGTGGGTGAGTGAGCCTGCTTAACTCTGGTGTTTAGTTTACAAATCTGAATGTTGCTACACACTTAAGCCATTTTCATCAACATCTCTGTTCATAATAAAGCTGACTGTTTGATCTCTGCTTCCTGGCTTCTTGGTTCTGAATTCAACCAGTAGAAAAAGTATGTTGTTTGTTGTCCCCGCCCTCACACACTAACAGGTGGTAGAGAGAGAGAGAATCAGCACCTCCTTAAAACTCTGACTTAATCACCTAAGAAATGTTCTGTCCAGATGAGCAGCCTGCTTCAAAATGAATTTAGATTGTTTACATTTAAAGTCACTTCCTCAATCTGTACTTTTTAAAGGCAAAAGACTTATGCAATCTAAAGAGAAACCAGCGTATTCTATACTTTCAAACTACACCTCCTGGTCTTACATCCCTAACACCACCTTGGGTATATATCACGAGCCAGGCTCCCAATCTCCACATTTGTGACTATAACTGGTCAGCTGAAAGGTATCACTCCCTGGAGTTAGTAACCTACCTGTAGCCCATCATCCACATCTTTCACATAACCTTTTTCATATAGCTCCTGGGGAACATTTAAGATACGTTTTGAAAAATCATTTTCCTGCCAGTCCACACGAAGACCTGCAACAGACAATAGCAACTTAGGGCAATTACAAGATCTTCTGCTCTTGTCAATTTTCTGCTCTGCATTCTTTGAAATGCTATCATATTTACCCAAAACTGAGAGTGGATGGGAGAAAGAAGGATGCCATAAAACCCTGATCAGTCCTTGGGGTTAACAGGATTTAGCCACAGCATGACCCGGCAACTTGGGTTCTTAACGCTGGCAAAAGCCAGCCGAACTAACAGGGAGCAACTTATAAAAATGCAAAGACGTACAAGATCAAAACAAACAAAAAAAGAACATAGCATACTTCTCACAGCAACTCAGCAGGCAAAATACCTTCAAACTGTGTGTTCAGGCCTGCTCCAGGGCCAAGAGGTCTGGGAAATAATTCAATCTTTATGAGCCCTTGGAAATAGAAATGGCGGTTTTATTGGCCTCAGCAGAGTCATGATTCCATGCTCTCTGAACGTCCCTGTACTCAGCCATAAGGGGAACACTATAGCCTCTCCATTCAAACAAGAACAAATTCAACCTTTTATTTTAAACTATTTGACCCAGCAGATCTGGAGAGGATATTGCAATCTCCCTGGAGAGCCAGAGTAACAAGGGTTCAAATCTGTTCAGCCTCAAGACAGTGGTCATTCCCATTTAAAAGAGGTTTTAGTGTATGTCTGTTCCCAGTGCTTGAGTACTTAAGAAAAAAAAAAAAAGGTTCATATTGTTATCAGCTATAATAATTCACATGGAACTGTTTAAGGGATGTGTTGAGAATAAATCACTTTTTGAAAATTCTTGCCCCTCTGGCATGCCTGGAAGAAAGGTTAATTACTGACCTCATTTTCTGCATCAAGGGCAACTGAGGTTGAATGGTTTTTAAACAGTCAAATCAAATCATCAATAGATTGTGGGTTGATATCAAGAAAACATTGGCGCCAGGCGCGGTGGCTCATGCCTGTAATCCCAGCACTTTGGGAGGCCAAGGCAGGTAGATCACAAGGTCAGGAGTTCAACACCAGCCTGGCCAAGATGGTGAAAGCCTGTCTCTACAAAAAAATACAAAAATTAGCCGGGTGTGGTGGCGGGTGCCTGTAATCCCAGCTACTCGGGAGGCTGAGGCAGAGAATTGCTTGAACCCGGAAGGTGGAGGATGCAGTAAGCCAAGATCATGCCACTGCACTCCAGCCTGGGCAACAGAGTGAGACTCCAACTCAAAAAAAAAAAAAAAAAAGAAAAAAAAAGAAAAAAAACATTGGCAAGGAAACATTTGAGTAAGTGGGTTTTAGGTTTTTCCTAGTGATCCAGGCTACTCCCAGGCAGGTCTGAAGACCCAATTCCCCCTGGGAAGCCCACCTCTGAGGAAGATTCTAGCCTACCCAGAGTACATCTAAACCCACAAAACCATATACATGTTTTCCCAGAGTTTTTCTAAGTTAACTCACAAGATCACTCCAGATCACAATTTAGCATCTGTGTACCTGGAACTAAATTTATATTACTAAAAGAATCACAGGTGTATTAATTAAGCTAGGAGCTACAAGGTACCATTAATCAACCAGTATTCCATTTCTTGTCAAGTATACCAATACTTTTTCAAAAGAGGTAAGTCCCAAATATCCTACTGAGCTATTCTGTACTTCAAGATACAAACAAGAATTCAGTTCTTACCACTGCCGCTCCAGGGAAGAGTTGGGATACCTGCAGTTTGAGCCACTATGGAAGATGCAATCTTATCCCCTAAAGCCCACATGGCCTGGCTTGGAGGACCTAAAAACGAAACAGGAAAAGAATCCTGACTGTAACACCTTGGCCTCATTTCTGGCACATGTAGTTGCCTTGTATTATAGCTATTTATGTATTTGTCTTGTCCTCCCCCCACCCCTCACATATCAAGGAGATCATAAATTATGGGGACTATTATGCTTTGACTTATCTTTGTACCATCTGTAAAACCTAATGTAGTAAGCTTTTTGTGCAGAGTGAGAGCTCAATATATATAAATGTATGCTGAATTAAATTTTTGACAAATCTAGCTATAATGTTATCATTCTTCATGATCCAACTTCACCAGATCAATAAAGTCTTCTTTTTTAAGTCAATATCCTGAAATAAGGACTTTAAAGTTTTAGGATTCAAGTCTGAAATAGTATACGCTCTTTGGTCTTAGGGGAACCCAAAAAGGAGACATCTTTAAAAAGGTTTACAAAACATAATCTTCATTGTTTAAGGTCTCTGAGACCGAGAGAAAAATACTTTGAGCTATATAACCTCTGTTTTTCTCTCTGGTATAATGACAGCAGAAAAGTCAGAAGAAGTATCTCTCACTTGTAGGAGTATCACCTATATGCTTAAATGCACAGGTGCTGATTCATATTTAAGGGCACACTGCCAAGGCATCCTGAGTATTCAATTATCTTCACTATCTAAAAACAGGTCATTTTCCCACATGCTTTCTTAAGGTTAGCTGCAAAGTTTTAAAAGGTCAGAGTTTTAGAAACCAAAGCCTTCTCCATATCTCCATATCTGACCCAGGGACAGAAAACAAAATCAAGATGAAGTGAGATAAGCAAAAAATGAAAAAAAAGAAAGAAATGAAGAGGGTTACTCTGAGAGTTAGTAATAGATTGAGGGAAAAAAAAAGAGAGAGAGAGCCCAGCACATGTTAAACAGAAAATCAGACTATAGAGTAAAATGTGGGCAAAATTGACAGAAAGAAACAGAAAGACGGACAATATGTCAGAACAGCTTACCCATGAAGGCAATGCCATTTTTCAAGAGAAGTTCCGGTAGTTTGGGATTCTCAGAAGCATGACCCCAGCCAGCCCACACTGCCTGCAAGGGAATACAATATAATTCATTCTTAAAATTCATACAAAACCCCCACAAACTGCAAGAGTCTCTATCCAGGCTGGCCCTGTTTCTTGAGGTACAGTAGTTCCACAGCAGCCTAATGCTTAATTCAGCTTCTATGCTTGATTGTTGGCAAACTCTTTACAGAGTAACAATAAGTAGTCCATTGTGGCAAGATTTCTGAAGGGGTCAAAACCAAGTTGAAATTGATATTAAGATCCAGTTATACTTGTTGCTCTTTAGGAAACTCAATTCATAGCCTAGGCTGTAAAGGGCGTTTTCTAGAAAAACTGGCTATGTTTCACATATTCAATTACTATGGCCACTCCATTACATCATTATTGATTACACTGCCATCTAAGTTTAGAGTTTTTTCCTCTTTGGGCTTTAAGGTACCTACCCTAAACTTACTAACACAATGTGACAGGGAAGAAACAGCCTACTTCTTTAATATACCACCATCCTTTAGGCTAATATTCCACAACAAACAGGTAATTTTTACTGGCTCAAAGGTGAGATACCTAGAATAAATAATCTCTGAAAGATGCTTCCAAACCTTCTGTTTGTATTACGTTTACTTTATTTTTAGCCATTCCATTATTTCCATCTTTCTTTTCCTTATTTGGTTTAGTTATCCCATACACAGGCATTTAATAATTTTCGAAAATGATGCTTTACAAAAATGTTCTTCTCTAGATATCCCCTTGTGCCTAACTATAAAATGGCTGAATTTGGTTTTAAAGGACACATTGGCATCTCTTACTTGTACTGGGATCCTTTTAGCAATATCAAGAATTAATTCCACATTTGCATAGTTGTTGTTGTTTGGTCCTCCAGGCACTGGCACATAGTGATCTGCCATCTTAATGTATTCTGAAAATGCAAGCGAATTAATAGAGAACACATGATTTTTTTTTCCAGAAATATAATTGCACAGCAAAACTACGTAAAGGTCAGGGACTATCATAAGTAACCACAGGACAAACAGCATTAGTAGGATAATTTCCAGGACCATTTAGTTCGAGGCTCTTAGTTTGTTAAGTCACAAGCACTAATACGAGTTAATCCCATATTTAGAAGCTCTTATAGTAAAATAGCAATTCTCCAACATTTCACTATGTAATCTTTCTGAGGAATCTTTATGACTTCTATATCAAGGCTGATGTGTCTGTCAGTTAGGGGCCCAAGTGCAATTACTCTATTCCGAGAAAAAGTTCTAGTCCTGACATCCTTTGTCTTTAACTGGCACTGGACCTAGAGAAAGCCCTTTTCCTGGTACAGAGCTTGACAGAATGGAGAAAGATAGGAGAGCCTGAATGGCTTGCAAACTGGCTAAACAAGAAAGGTTAGTTACAGGAGTGTCTGGAAAGAGTTTATCTGGAATACTGAGGGTAACAGGTATTTGTAAGAAACTTTAGAAAGATAACCACTTTCTCATATATATTTGTTGTACAGTATTCCCTTTCAAATTTGTCACCTAACATCTCTATTTTCCTATTCTGGCAATGACAACTGTAACAGAAGAGCTACCACGTGTAGGGACTGTAACTAGCACTTTGTATATATATTATCTCATTTAATTCTCTCATCAACCCAATATGTGACAGAAAATGATGGCTTGGAGGAGTTAAGTAACTTCCTCAAAGTTCATTTCCACCATTTATAAATTTATTTTAGCTTTCAAATTTCAACTCAAGCATCCACCATTATTTACTAATAATAAATTTATTTTATCTTGTTCTTTTTTAAAAATGTAAGTTCCAGGATACATGTGCAGGACATCCAGGTTTGTTACATAGGTAAACGTGTGCCATGGTGGTTTGCTGTACCTATCAACCCATCACCTAGGTATTAAGCCCCACATGCACTGGTAAAGGACAGGAACAGACAGACACTTCTCAAAAGAAGACATTTATGCGGCCAACAAACATATTTTAAAAAAAACCTCAACATCAGTGATCATTAGAGAAATGCAAATCAAAACCATAATGAGATATCATCTCATGCCAGTCAGAATGGTGATTATCTTGTTCTTATTTCTAAAAGATTTTAAGTCCCTTCTAAAAAAAATTCTACTAAAAAAAATTCCGCTAGAATTTCTTCAAAATTAAAATAGGCTTATTGTTCTCTTTGATTATAGGAAGGAAAGCATGCAAATTATTAAACAATGTTAGATAATACAACAGAATATAACAATACTATATTTTAAAAGTGAAAATTGGCCAGGCGCAGTGGCTCACGCCTGTAATCCTAGCATTTTGGGAGGCTGAGGTGGGCGGATCACGAGGTCAGGAGATGGAGACCATCCTGGCTAACATGGTGAAACCCCATCTCTACTAAAAATACAAAAAATTAGCCGGGGATGGTGGCACAAGCCTGTAGTCCCACCACAGACAGAGTGAGGCTGAGGGAGGCTGAGGCAGGAGAATCGCTTGAACCTGGGAGGCAGAGGTTGCAGTAAGCTGAGATCACGCCACTGCACCAACCTGGGTGACAGAGCAAGACTCCGTCTAAAAAAAAAAAAAAAAATTAGCTGGGCCTGGTGGTGGGCACCTGTAATCCCAGCCACTCGGGAGGCTGAGGCATGAGAGTCGCTTGAACCCAGGAGGCAGAGGTTGCAGTGAGCCGAGATTGCGCCACTGCACTCCAGCCTGGGGGACAGAGTGAGACTCTCACCTATTGTCCCACCTCAAAGACAACCAGTTTATGCTTTACTGTACATAAATATATATATTTTTGGTATATATATGTTTAATATTTTTTATGGATACCTAATATTTCAATAGCCTATATAATTCATTTGACTACTAACTTATCAATGGAAGTACAGATTATGTATAATTTGAAAAATAATAAAATAATGTGTGTCTCTGTACGGCTGTCCAATTATATCCACAGATATGTTACTAGCAATAAAACTATTGGGTCAAAAGGTATTCACATTTTCAGACTCTCACTAGCAACATGGGTACCAAATACTCTCACCTATGTTAGGTATTATCAATGTCTTCAATTTTGTGAGTTTTGTAAGTTAAAAAAAAATCTTTAGTATTGTTTTGGTTTAGATTTCTTTTTTGTTTGTTTGTTTGTTTTTGAGACCAGATCTCACTCTGACACCCAGACTGGAATGCAGTGGCATGGTCATGGCTCACTGCGACCTCGACCTCCCGGGCTAAAGTGATTCTCCCACCTCAGCCTCCGGAGTAGCTGAGACTACCGGCATGCGCCTCTATGCCCAGCTAATTTTTGCATTTTTTGTAGAGACAATTTCACCACATGGTCCAGGCTGACCTTGAACTCCTGGGTTCAAGTGATCCGCCTGCCTTGGCCTCCCAAAGTGCTGAGATTACAGGCGTAAACCACCATGCCTGGCCCTCCATGCTTTTTATCAATAAGGTATAATCTCTTAATCTTAAGGTAGAGTATCTTCACAGATAACATGAAGAATAATATGGTATCAAGGATTTGCATCAAAATAATTGTGCACGGGGTTAAGAATATAGATGAAACTAGATTCGCCATAAGTTGATAATTATTGATATTGCATGACAGGTAGATGGGAAGGGATTCATTATACTCTTCAACTTTTACATAGTTAACACACACACACACACACACACACACACACACCCCAAAAAACACATTCATTTAAAATGCAAATCCTTAGATGTCCAACACACACACATACTCTCCTTAAAAGACAAAGTCTGTGCTTTTGAGGATGGAAAACAAGGTCCCCCTTGGCAAATACTATATCACATCTTGTAGCCATCCGTAATTTCTAGAAAACCACTTGTGTCATACCTTTATGCATTTGCAATGCTGTTCTTTCTGTCTGGTACACCTTTCTCTCCCCCCAATTGCTTCACTAACTCTTACTCATTCTTGGTTAGACATAATCTCTTTCAGAAAGCTGTCTTTCTCTCTTTTTTTTTTTTTTTTCATTGAGACTGAGTCTCGCTTTGTGGCCCAGGCTGGAATGCAGTGGCACGATCTCAGCTCACCACAACCTCCTCCTCCTGGGTTCATGCGATTCTCCTGCCTCAGCTTCCGAGTAGCTGGATTTACGGGCACCAGCACCATGCCCAGCTAATTTTTGTATTTTTAGTAGAGATGGGGTTTCATCATGTTGACCAGGCTGGTCCCAAACTCCTGACCTCAAGTGATCCACCCGCTTGAGCATCCCAAAGTGCTGGGATTACAGGCATGAGCCACCACACTCAGCCTAAGAAAGCTTTCTCTTAAGCCTGCCCCCAAGAATTAGATGTCTCATCTCTGTGTTCTCACCGGACCCTGTGCATGTTTCTTTTATAGCACTTACCTCATTGTATTGAAATCATTTGTTTCCTAGAACAAGATCACATCTTATTCAACTGTCAATCTCCATGTTAAGTGAATGAATAAATGAATTAATTGGAGTACCAGGTAGAAATGAATGAGGAAAAAGAAACCGGACCGGGCGCAGTGGCTTACACCTGTAATCCTAGTACTTTGGGAGGCCAAGGCAGGTGGATCACAAGGTCAAGATACCGAGACCATCCTGGCCAACATGGTGAAACCCTGTCTCTACTAAAAATACAAAAATTAGCTGGGCATGGTGGCACACACCTGTAGTCCCAGCTACTTGGGAGGCTGAGACAGAAGAATTGCATGAACCCAGGAGGCGGAGGTTGCAGTGAGCTGAGTTTGCACCACTGCACTGCAGCCTGGTGACACAGCAAGACTCCCTCTCAAAAGAAAAAAGAAAAAAACCACGCAAGTTAATCTGTATTTATTATAGATGATCTCATCTTTACAATTATCCAGTGAATTAGACATTAGGATCTTCCTTTTATAAGTATGAAACTTGTGGCTCAGAGATGTGAAAGTGTGCATCTAAATGATTTCATATAATAACATGATATAGTTTGAATGTATGTCCCTCACCAAATATCATATTGAATTGTAATCCCCAGTCTCGGAAATGGGGCCTGGTAGGAGGTGTTTGGATCATGAGGGCAGCTCCCTCATGAATGGCTTGGGCCATCTCCTTGATGATACGTGAGTTCTCACTCTAAGTTCACATGAGATCTGGTTGTTTAAAAGTGTGTGGCACCCTCCCCACAATTCTCTGTGTTGTTCCTGCTCTGGCTATGTGATGTGCCTACTCCCCCTTCATCTTCCCCCAGTAAGTGTCCTGAGGCCTCCCCAGAAGCAGAGCAGATGCCAGCACCATGCTTCCTGTAAAGCCTGTAGAATTGTGAGCCAATTAAACCTCTTTTCTTTACAAATTACGCAGCCTCAGGTATTTCTTTATAGCAATGCAAGAATGATCTAATATATAACATTTGCTTTCTAATAAATTGGTGTCTTCTCAATTTCTAAATAAGATGATATAATAACCTTTCTTTCTTAGGAATAATCATAATACCATTGTCTCAACAAAGAAAAAACATATGCAGACTAAAATAAGTATAAAAGGATAGCTCTTTTTCGCAGCTTCCTAGGAGTAAAAGATAAAAAAAAGTAAAAAAACATAGCTCTTCACATTATCTGTGGGTACTCTACCTTAAGAGATTATACCTTAGTGATAGAAGGTATGGAGAAGAAAGACTAGTCATATCTTTCAGCTATACCAACAGTCTTTATCTACAACTATCAGACAGAGAACCATCTGAGTAAAAAGAATATGTAGCCGAATTTACAGAGTGAAACACACTTCGGTCCCAAAAGGTCTCTCCCTCAGGAAGAGAAAAAAAAAATCTTAACCCAAAGTTTTTCTATAATTCAATATAACGCATAAGGAAAAAACAGCATTTCCTTCTAAATCTTTCCACTTACGCATTCCAAAGAATGTGGCATAGCAAATATTTAACACTGAAAAAGGCATACACTTGAAAGCCCAAATCAACACTTTTGTTAAATTTCTTCCTACTTATCCCTAGGACACAGGAATCTGTATTGAGGTTGACTATAGTGCAATCATTTTTATATGTCTATTACTGACACATTTTAAACAGAAATTATTTTAAAAGGATTTTACTTGGAAGTCCTATGTTTGGGAATCCCCCTAAGTTAACATTCTCCTACTTAAAGGCTGTGCTGTTCCATGTTTTAGTTTTGAGAGTGATGCTTTCATAATGCTAATAACTCACCTGCATTGGCTTTAAGGTCTTCAGGTGTGACCATGACAACGAATCTAATTGCACGTTCATTTCGAAACATTTCATAAGACCACCTACGGATAGACCGCATGCATTTCACTGCTGCAATGCCATTGTTAGCAATAAGAACCTGGGAGGGGGAAGGAGATGGGAATGGGAAGAAAAGGCAGAAAAAAGCAACAATGGAGGAAAAGAGATGAGAGAATTTTTACATATCTATCTTTCTGTGTAAAAGTCATACTTTCAACCAAGAATTCTTGTTACTGGTCCAGACTGTTAGAAACTGGCTTCCCCAAGGCCAAGCAGTATCTTTAAATGTTAACTAAGCAAATACTTGAGTATGTGCCAGCTAAAACATACTCCTTTCTAACTTCATTTATTTGAAGGGAAAAGTCACAATTACTTAAATCTGTGACTTTGTGAATTATTCTACCATACTACCATATTGTGGGTATGGTATATTATGAAATCAGGAATGGGGGAAGGCCAACCAGTGCAGTGCCATGCACTCTTCTCTGTTGCAATAAAATGAGGTACAGAGCACTGAACATGTTTAAAAACCCTGGTATTAGTTACTTTTCTCCAAAATACTGAACTCCAATACCTTAGAATTGTAGAGAATGCCTCAGAAAGAATGGTCACTGTTGTAGAAAAATAGAATAATCCTGAGACTTTCTGTAAACAAACCTTTCGTCTCCTTACCTATCTTGCAGTCATGCCTCTAAGGATAACACAGACTAATAGACACATAATCTGTCTTTATTGGAAGACTAATAAAAGGATGCTGATGAAGTAATACTTTTAGGAGTGGAAATACAGGTCCCCATCCTTTAATCTTTTAATCACTGGAAGCTATTTCAGCCAAGTCATCCTCTCAGCTCTGACATGGTTTAGACAAAAGTGACACGGAATTACATTTCAAAATACCTGGAATCTCTAAGTATATCATGTGGTATATTCCCTTGAAACATCTCAAATACTTGGTGGAAGCCAGTAAGTCACAGTGTATCAAACTCTTTAAGCCTTCTCTTCTGAAACTCTCTCTACTCCCTTAGCTTTCAAACCAGTGCTGTGGCATATTATCTCCCCACCAGCACCCACAAGCTAATCAATTCTTCATACCCTGTCAGATCAGTGCAGCCCCACCCTGTAAAACCACAAGATCTTTCAAAAACATGTTTTGTTTGAGACAGGGTCCCTCTGTCGCCCACGTTGGAGTGCAGTGGCACAATCCATAGCTCACTGCAACCTTGAACTCCTGGGCTCAAGTGATCCTTCCATTTTAGCCCCCCAAGTTGCTGGGACTCAAAAATAACTTTATGAGCACTATTTTAACTCCTTAATTAGCTATGATTAAATTATCTGTGGTAAATACATATTATAGGAAAACAGTGAAATTATATTAATAGGATGCTAGGGAGGCAGAAAGGCTAAAATTCACATAAAGAGGCAAAGCCTCTGAGAAACTAAATATCAATTGGGAGCAAATCTAGACAACAAATCTAGGCAAGCATTAAATCCTAAGTGCTTTTGACAAAATAATTCAGCAAGTTACAACTTACCTTCTCAATCACTTTATTTCCCCCAAAGCGAGTAACAAATTCTGCTGGAGAAGCCACAGTGAAATCTCGTTGAGAATCTATTTTCTTTCTGTCTCGGCCCTGCTTTACTAGGTGCAAGCCAGACATGCTGGACCTATAAAAATACAGAAGCCATAAAAACACCACCTATATTTTCTGGAGACCTGCTTTTCACTACCATACCCATAACAGTACTTTCACAACTGCATCCTGTGAAGACTGCATGCTGGCAGGTCACGTACTTTTCAAATAAAAGAGAGAAAAGAAAATGATCTTGCTTGTGGAAATTTAAGGAAAAAAAAGCGTTTCTGAATAATAAAAGATAATATCAAGGTTTACCAGCAGATGCCATCACAAAGAGATAGGCAAAGGATAAATGGTAGAAATAATAGACTCAGAGACCGTTAAAGCCAAAAAACAAGTTACCAGGGTTGTTTCTGGATCACGACTCTGGTGTGCAGATGACCTTCACCTCTGTATCTCTGACTTCTATCTTTCTTCTGAGCTATAACTCCACATTTTAAAACTGCCTACTAAATGTTTTACCTGGGTATCTCCTAGGTATTTCAAAATCAACAACTCCAAAACAAAATTCTTTACAAGGCAGCATAATATGCCATATTTAATCAGTTTTAAGGTTCTACTTCTTTTCTTTTTACTTTAAAAAAATCTCCTAGGCCGGGTGCAGTGGCTCATGCCTGTAATCCCAGCACTTTGGGAGGCTGAGATGAGAGGATGGCTTGAGACCAGGAATTCGAGACCAGCCTAGGCAACATGGCAAAACCCTGTCTATAAAAAAAATACAAAAATTAGCTGGCACAGTCGTGTGTTCCTGCAGCCCCAGTTACTTGGGGTGGGGGGTGGGGGGCGCAGCTGAGGCAGATAAATTGCTTGGGCACGTGTGGTTGAGGCTGCAGTAAGTCATAGTCATGCTACTGCACTCTAGCCTGGGTAACAGAATGAGATGGGTGTCTCAAAAAAAAAATCTGAAATTGGTATGTATTTTACAATTGATGCCTTATTAAATTGGCAGTACTGTTTTTGTTGTTGTTTTGAGCCAGAGTCTCACTCTGTCGCCCAGGTTGGAATGCACTGGCCAGATCTCAACTCACTACAACCTTCGACTCCCAGGTTCAAGCGATGCTCCTGCCTCAGCCTGCAGAGTAGCTGAGACTGTAGGCGCGCCACCACACCTGGCTAATTTTTGTATTTTTAGTAGAGACAAGGTTTCGCCATGTTGACCAGGCTGGTCTCGAACTCCTGACCTCAGGTGATCCGCCCACCTCGGCCTTCCAAAGTGTTGTGATTACAGGCATGAGCCACCGCGCCTGGCTGGCAGTACTGTATTTTTTCTTAGTGGTACATAAAATAACAGTGTTTCTAACAATCAATGGCACCTTGGATTAGACAAAATATGATAGTGGAAACAGCACAGGCCTGGGTTTACATTCCAGATCTGTCCACTTAAATGATCTTTTGCAAATAATTTAACCTTTTCAGCTTCAGTGTTCTCTTTGTAAAATATGCATGATATTTACTGTCCTGGTTATTTACCTATTGTCTCTCAGCTCCAAACCTACCCTTTTATGCTGTGCTCTGTGACAATGGGGCCAAGATTCTGCAAACTTCATTTCCAAGACTCCTTTGCTAGCTCCTTCCTGTTCTGTTCACCAAACCGGAAGGCAGAAAGGTAAGAAAAGGGCCTTCCTTCCTATTTCCCAGCTGTTATCAGTATTGCTCCAGCTGTAACAGAGACTTAATTCCAGTCTCTAGCTTCTTTCAACAGTCTGGTGAAAAGCCATAGAGGTACCAGCAGCAGTGGGTTGTGGCTCTTTGGCAGTCAGAATATCAACCTTGCCATGCTCACTCATCCTCTGGACCTCACTGCCTGGGCCTATCAATCACCTGTCAGGCCAAGGATCTGAGTACCAGCTACCCAAAGCTTATGCCCAGAGGTCCAGGCACCAGCCCTCCAGGAGACCTCCACCAAGCTCCTAGTTCTGGTAACACTACCTCCCCTTTTGTTCTCCCAGACTTAGAGGTGATAGCTACTTCCTCTAGTTATTAACTCTGGGGTACCTCAGCATGCCTTTTTTGTTGTTGTTCTTTTATTCTTCTAACACCCAATTATGCAATTCTCGCTATTGAATGTTCTCTGTTTATAACACCTACTACAATTTATTTTCCTTGTGACTGCACCTTGACTGATAGACCCTCCAAAAGAGTGTTCAGAGGATTAAATAAGATAGTGGACATAAGCTCCTTTGTACACCGTTTGATAGACAGCTGTTTTCTTTTCCTATTCCCACCTTTTCTTCCTTTCCCCTACAATTTAAACTTGATGGGGCAGTAAGGTGTCTTTTCAAAATAAGAAGGTATGATTAAAATCTTCCCACATGCAGCACAATATCTAGCTTTCTGTGCACATATAGTTTTACATATACATACATAAATAAGACCAGTCTTTCTTTCTTCTCTGAGTGTCTCTATGCATAAAACTCAATGAGTGGGCATTTTCCCTATACTTCACATGACTTAGTGTGGCTCTTAACTTGCAAAACCACCACCTACGGGAGTATAACAAGAAGGGACAAGGCCAGGCATGGTGGCTCACACCTGTAATCCCAGCACTTTGGGAGGCCAAGGCAGGCGGATCACTTGAGGCCAGGAGTTCTAGACCAGCTTGGCCAACATGGCGAAACCACGTCTCTACTAAAAAAAAAAAAAAAAAAAAACAAATATCCAGGCATGGTGGTGCACGTCTGTAATCCCAGCTACTCAGGAGGCTGAGGTGGGAGAATCACTTGAACCCAGGGGGCGGAGGTTGCAGTGAGCAGAGATCAAGCCACTGCCCTCCAGCCTGGGCGACAGAGCGAGACTCTGTCTCAAAAACAAAAAGACAAAAAAAAAAAAACAAGAAGGGACAGTTCAGAGTCTAGCAGCTACTTTGCCTACTAGACTTAAGGACAGACATAACAAAGGCTATGCACTCTGCTGTTGGCACTCAATATAAAATGCTCTGTACCCTTCTTAGAGACTGACATTTCAAGCTGGTCAATCTATTAAAATTTTCTTCATCCTTTTCTATCCAGGTATTTAGTTATACTGCATCTGGACTGGAACTTTAAAGTTAAGAGGCACCTTATAGAAAAAGAGGCCCACAAGGAGAATGATTTGTCTAAGGTCACAAAGGAAGTCTGTAGCATATATAGACCAGAAAACCAGGTTTCATGGTCATTTCAATGTTCTTCCAATTACACTATGCAACATATCTAATGATAATAAACACCAGAGGTCTAAAAACAGTGCCAGTGTACATGTTTTGTTTCATTTTTTTAATCACTTCATTTTTCTTTCATACATTCTTTTTAATTTTTTTATTATTGCATGTATTTTTAAATAAATAAAAATTACCTTCCTGTCCTTAACTTTGTCATGAACCTATTTCTTTTGGGCCCCAAGTCCATGGATCATTATCAGTGTATCAGACTGAGCAATAACATGAATGAATCTCAAAAACCTCATGTTCAGAGAAGGAAACCAGACACAAAAAAGTATATACCATATGACTCCATTTATATGACAAGGATAACTAATCTACAGTGCAGAACACGAATCAGTGGGCTGGGGCTGTGGGAACCGACTGCAAGGGAGTATGGGAATGATGGAAACGTTCTATATCTTGATCTCATAGTAATGGTTACATGGGTAGATATATGTGTTAAAACCATCAAACTACATAATTTTAAAAGGTGAACTTGGCCTGGTACATTGGTTCACACGTGTAAACCCAGCACTCTGGGAGGGCAAGGCAGAAGGATTGCTTGAGCCCAGGAGTTCAAGACCAGCCTGGGCAACATAGAAAGAGCTCATCTATACAAAAAAATCAAAAAATTAGCCGGCCTTGGTGGCACACGCCTATAGTCCCAGCTACTTAGGAGGCTGAGGTGGGAGAATCACTTGAGCCAGGAAGACTAGGCTGCAGTAAGCTATGATCACACCACTGCACTCCAGCCTAGGTGACAGAGTGAGATCCTGCCCCCGCTCCACCAAAAAAAAAGGGTAAACTTTACTGTACTTAAATTATACCTCAACAAACCTGACTTTTGAAAATACTCATTTACCTGCCAGGCATGGTGGCTCCCGCCTGTAATCCCAGCACTTTGGGAGGCTGAGGCGGATGGATCACTTGAGGTCAGGAGTTCGAGACCAGCCTAACCAATATGGTGAAACCCCGTCTCTACTAAAATTACAAAAATTAGCCAGACGTGGTGGCAGGCGCCTGTAGTCCCAGCTACTTGGGAGGCTGAGCAGGAGAATCGCTTGAACCCAGGAGACAGAGGTTGCAGTGAGCCAAGATCACGCCACTGCACTCTAGCCTGGGTGACAGAGTTAGACTCCATCTCAAAAAAAAAACAAAAAACAAAAAAATCATTTAACTGTCCACATAAAACAGGTATATCTGGCTGTAAATTATTCCTCAGTAAAGTTGGCTTTTAAAGAACTGTTACTAATGGTATTGAAAGGTAACACAGAGAATAAGGCTAAGGAAGTACCCACACCTTGAAAATCAGCAACTGTAAGTATGGCACAATCAAACATTTCTTCATCTGTCCTCATTATCTTCAACCCTCTAGGCACCTCCACTTCATATCCCACGAGTATTTCAAAGTCTGAGGATACAAAAATGTCAATCAAAATGCAAACTAGGACTGATCTTCTTAGGAACTTCCATTTTTCCATTACCCCATATACATTTAGATACCTAACCAATACCATGTGCTCTCCGGCAGTAATATAATCTACTCTATTACAGCTTGGCTTTCTCAACAACAGGAATCCACCACTGCATTATAGTATTTTTGTCAGTACTACTCCAATTCATTCTTCAAAATGCAACTAAACTGTCAGTGCTCCCAGTGAGCCTTTGCTGATGGGGATCCTTCCAACTTCACCCCTTAAGGAGGTAGGTAACTGAGCTTCCTCTGTGCCACACCAGAACATGCACTTACATCTTTCCTCCCAATCACACTGGACTGTTACATGAGCTTAACACATCTGTTTTCCCTGATAAATAGTGTGTGTTCCTTGAGGTCAGATACTCTTATTCATCCCTTGAGGTCAGAGATTCTTATTTATTGCTGTATCTCCAGCACCAAAGGGTACCTGGCACAGATAGAAGCTGTTCAAACATCTTTGGGTTTTTTTTTTAGACAGAGTCTCACTCTGTCACCCAGGCTGGAGTGCAGTGGTCCAATCTCGGCTTATTGCAACCTCCGCCTCCCAGGTTCAAGCGATTCTTGTGCCTCAGCCTCCCAAGTAGCTGGAATTACAGGCATGTGCCACCACGCTCGACTAATTTTTTCTATTTTTAGCACAGACGGGGTTTCACCATGTTGGCCAGGCTGGTCTCAACTTCCTGGTCTCAAGTGATCTGCCTGCCTCAGCCTTCCAAAATGCTGGGATTACAAGTGTGAGCCACCATACCTAGCCTGCTCAAACATTTTTGAATGGTGATTATTATTTATTAATTATTGACAACTACACAAAATAACACTATTTCTGAGTACTCGCTATGGGACAGACACTATGCTAAGCTCTTCACATGCACTGGCATATTAATCCTCGCAATAATGCTATGATGTTTGAGCACCATTTTACAAGTGAGGCTCAGAGGGATTAGGTAACTTGCCCATGATCATTCACACAGCCAGAAGTAACAAAACAGATCTGAATTCAACCTTTCTGACTCTAAGTCCTTGAACTTGATACCCTACAATACTGCCTCAAGTTAACCTGCACTGAATATAGTCACAGTTAATTATTCACTGTATATCCATGTAAATAATTATGTTTTTAGAGCAGGGGTATCCAATCTTTTTGCTTCCCTGGGCCACACTGGAAGAAGAAGAATTGTCTTGGGCCACGTATAAAATACGCTAACACTGGCGGGCACAGTGGCTCTTGCCTGAATTCCAGCACTTTGGGAGGCTGAGGTAGGTGGACCACGAGGTCAAGATATCAAGGCCATCCTGGCCAACAAGGTGAAACCCCATCTCTAATAAAAATACAAAAAATTAGTCGGGCGTGGTGGCGTGTGCCTGTAGTCCCAGCTACTTGGGAAGCTGAGGCAGGAGAATCACTTGAACCTGGGAGGTAGAGGTTGCAGTGAGCCGAGATCACGCCACTACACTCCAGCCTGGCAACAGAGCAAGACTCTGTCTCAAAAAAAAAAAAAAAAAGAAAAAGAAACACACTAACACTAATGATAGCTGATGAAAAACACATACACACACACACACACACACACACATCTCATAATATTTGTTTTTGTTTTGAGATGGAGTTTCGCTCTTGTTGCCCAGGCTGGAGTACAATGGTGCAATCTCAGCTCACCGCAACCTCCACCTCCTGGGTTCAAGCGATTCTCCTGCCTCAGCCTTCCCGAGTAGCTGGGATTACAGGCATGCGCCACCATGCCCGGCTAATTTTGTGTTTTTAGTAGAGATGGGGTTTCTCTATGTTGGTCAGGCTGGTCTCGAGCTCCCAACCTCAGGTGATCCACCCGCCTCAGCCTCCCAAAGTGCTGGAATTACAGGTGTGAGCCACCGCACCTGGTCAAAAATCTCATAATATTTTAAGCAAGTTTATGAATTTGTGTTGGGCCTCATCCAAAGCTGTGTTGGGCCTCATCCAAAGCTGTCCTGGGCTACATGCAGTCCATGGGCAGTGATTTGGACGAGCTTACTTTAGAGCAAATACCAGGTGATGTTTCTTTAAAACAGTTTTTGGAGAACAAATTTCTTAGATCTTTGCTGCCCATGTCTTCCAATGTTTACATATAAGCCCCAAATACATGCCAGTCATACTAACCATTACAAATCTCAATTCTCTCAAGAACTGAAAGAACACCTGATGATGTTATTAAATAAATGACTGATACGATTATACTAATCTGAGATGACATATACTAAATAAATGTAGTCTTATAGTTATCAAAAAATTAAGATAAAATTAAACATGAAGGAAAGGGCAAGAGTAAAAGGCAGTGCCTTTTAGGAGAATTTTTTTTTTCATTGAAACTGTAAAAATGTGAAGATACTAGAATGTTAATTTGACTGCTCTAAGAAGTAATTTTTTAACTTTGCACAAAACATAGTATGAATGTCATATATTCAATTAAAAATGTGCTTATGCATCTAGTAAGCAAAGCTGAACTACCCTTGCGGAAATGTGTTACCTGTTCAATGGCCTAAGGGATAATAGGTAATTTTAAAGAGGGTGATACGAGCATTTGTAGAGCTCTATATAACTGTATAACATCATGTAAATTTGTATGATTTTGTTTTGTGAATATAGTTTCAACTTGCTAAGTAAAGCAGTAAGGGGCAAACACTAAACTTACCAGTTAAAAAGCATTAAACAGTTAGACTTTGTAATGATAGTCTTTCAAGGTTTACCCTTGCTGCCATTATGCTGCTATGAAATTCTCAAAGCATCTTGAGAAAAACAAGCTTTGATTCCCCTTGGAACTTTCTAAACAGGGCAAAGTATATAAAGTCCTCTCAAGGGAAAGCCAGAAGTTAACAAAAAAAAGGCATTCTATAAGCAAGTTAAAAGAAAGATCAGACTTTAAACATAAGCATTTTTCTGTGCATCATCCTGAAAGATTTCAAAATGAAAAGAAGAGAATAAAAAAGGATAAAGAGTTTAAGAAAGGCCAGGTGCGGTGGCTCACATCTGTAATCCCAGCACTTCGGGAGGCCAAGGTGAGAGGATGGCTTGAGGCCAGGAATTCAAGGCCAGCCTTGCCAACATGGCAAAACCACATCTCTACTTAAAAAAAACAAAAACAAAAATTAGCTGGGCGTGGTGGTGTGTGCCTGTAGTCCCAGCTACCTGGGAAGCTGAGACAGGAGAATCGCTTGAATCTGGGAGGCAGAGGTTGCAGTGAGCTGAGAGCGCACCACTGCACTCCAGCCTAGGCAACAGAGCAAGACTTAGTCTCAAAAAAAAAGAAATTGACTCTAGGCAAATGACCAATAAGTACTTCAGTGCCGGCACTACCCGTGCAAAACAGGAAACAAAGTGTGAAGCAATGCAAGCACATATGTGAAATTTGGCTCCACACTAAATCCGGCTTCATGCTTAACTATATATTAAAAAAACTGGCAAACTGCCGACACATTTTTTTTTACAATACTTATTTTTACTTTAATCAAGACTAAGAACTTTAACTATGAAAATGTTAATTAGCCAAATTTCTCCAGTTCTCTATCAGGTTTTAAGCAATATTTTATTATCTAAACTTTTCCACGTCTTTCTCCCCTCCTTACCGGTTCCTTACTACATTGTTTCATAAATAACCTTTTCAAATCTGTAATTTGAACTAACTTTTAGAAAACTTCCGAATTAGACAAAATTATTATTTTTTCTCACTAATCACACAACACTTTCTGGCACATTTTGTATATAGAATTATGTGTTAACTAGAATTCTTATCCTTAGTAACCTAAAACTTCAATGAAACCCGAAAAAGCAAGAAATCCTGAACCATCAGAGATAAAAGCATTATAGATAAGAACAATTCCACAATTTGTAGAAACATATTTCCCCATGTCACAACCTTTTCTTAATTGGAACTGACCCAGATATTCAATGAGCATCAAAAATAATTTTAGGACTTTTTTTTTTTTTTTTTTTTTGTGACAGAGTCTTGCTCTGTCCCCCAGGCTGGAGTGTAGTGGTGTAATCTCAACTCACTGTAACCTCCTCTTCCCAGGTTCAAGCAATTCTCCAGCCTCAGCCCCCCAGTAGCTGGGATTACAGGCACACACCACCATGCCCAGCTAGTTTTTATATTTTCAGTAGAGATGGGGTTTCGCCACTGGCCAGGCTGGTCTCGAACTCCTGACCTCGGGTGATCCACCCTCCTTGGCCTTCCAAAGTGCTGGGATTATAGGCATGAGCCACCACGCCTGGCCAAGATTTTAATTTACACAAAAAGATTACCTAAAACATTTATCCCATTCACTGTACTCAATTCTTTCATGTTTAACGGTTTATTTAGATAACTTCTATAAACAGAGATATCAGACACTATCATTTAAAGTTAGTTATTTCCTTGCTAACCATGTTTTTAATAGCCAGCGAACATAAGGTGCTCACCTAAACCTAAGTAACAGCCTTAAAGGTAAATACACTGGTATTTTTTTTTGCCAATAACTCAGAAGACTTAGTTAACAACATTAAGTTACTCTCATTCGTTGAAAAAAAAAAAGGCACACAAACCAAGATCATTTTGTATGGGCTAAGTTAGTAGTTTTATAACCTTCTATGCCAAACATTGACATCTCAAAATATTTAGCAGAGACAAATATAAAATCCAGACAAAGAATGTATTCTGACAATTCTGAAGGCATTTCTAGTTTTATTTTACTAATAATTTTAAAGCCAGCTTGTTTAGTAAAGTTATACTTAAGTCACGTGAACTTGAAAATTGCTTAGACTTATTTACTTAATTTTTAAGTGCTCTTTTATTTATAAGCCAATTTGGTAGACACAACATGTAACAATAAGTGTGCATACAAATAAACACATCTAGACATGTATAGACGCACACAAACGAAGATTCAATCGCTTTTAACTGGGAATCTTAAGGCATGAGATAGCAATACAAGCTTGGGGGGTTTTCCTTTGTTTGCCCCAACAGATAATCCAATGAAGGCTGTGAACCAAAATTTCAGATATAGCAGTTTCCACAGCAGTTTGACACATGCAACTCCATCCCACTTTCCCATTCAACAGCAAGCTCCAGATTCCAAACAATATTGGGCCAAACAGTATTGCAACTGCGAGAGAAAATTCTAAGGAGGGCTTAATACTAGACCTCAGAACTCTGCCTAGGGTGTCCCCTTTGGAGAAGTTGAGGTCTGGAGGATCCCTGGGCCGTCCCCCTTTGGGGTCCAGTCTCAGAGTGTCAGACGTCTCTGACCTTAGGTGGGCACTGGTGCTGCTTAGCATGTTTTCCCTTCAGAGGCAATGGCCTACTATGAGGTTTCCTTTTGTCCCTGGATGAAGGCCTGGACTTCTGGCATCCTTATAATTTGATAAGGCCACACTTTCCCATGCTTCCTGTTCCACTAGAGTGATAGCCATGAACTGTAATGATAGGAACTGGAGGCTGGGTGGGTTTCTTTTGTCCTTAGCCAGTAGAGTAGGGGAAGGGAAGAATTTAGCATGAGAAAACAAGGTTTAAGTCACTGAAACAAATGCCAGCTCGCCCCAAGCTGTGCCACACGTAGGGATCAGGGACCACAACTGGAAAAGATAGAAAGGAGTCCTTCAGAGTGGCCCCGGCCAGAAACCTGCAGTTGCCTCTGTGTTTAGGTGCTGCCCACCAACCGTCCCAAGTTGGAAAGGAAAAGAGAGAGAGAGACTGAGATTCCCCTGTATGGAGCAGGAAAAACAAACAAGAAAAATAAACCCCAAACTTTGGGATTACCTCCTGGCTGGCTTGCCAAAATATGTTACCAGTGGAGGCTGTACAAGTTCTTGGTGTTTTGAACAAAGAATTGAACAAAACACACAAACAAAGCAGGGAAAGAATAAAGCAACAAAAGCAGAGACTTAACTGAAAATGAAAGCACACGGCCAGGCACAGTGGCTCATGTCTGTAATTCCAGCACTTTGGGAGGTAAATGTGGGGGGATAACATGAGGTCAGGAGTTCGAGACCAGCCTAGCCAACATGTTGAAACGTTGTCTCTACTAAAAATACAAAAATTAGGCCAGGCACGGTGGCTCACACCTGTAATCCCAACACATTGGGAGGCTGAGGCGGGTGGATCACGAGGTCAGGAGATCAAGACCATCCTGGCTAACACAGTGAAACCCCATCTCTACTAAAAAATACAAAAAATTAGCTGGGCGTGGTGGTGGGCACCTATAGTCCCAGCTACTCGGGAGGCTGAGGCATGAGAATTGCTTGAACCCGGGAGGCAAAGGTTTCAATGAGCCAAGATCGCACCACTGCACTCCAGCCTGGGCTAAAGGGCGAGACTCCATTTCAAAAAATCAAAAAATTAAAATAAAAAATAAAAAAAAGAAAATGAAAGCACACTCTACAGGTTGGGAGCTGGCCCAAGCAAGCCAGCCACTCAAGGGTCTGGTTACAGAATTTTCTGGGGTTTAAATACCCTCTAGAGATTTCCATTGTTACTTGGTATACACCCTGTGTAAATAAAGATGATGAAGTTACAAAGTCATTTATTCAGTGTATATCCTATGTAAAGGAAGAGGATGCTTCCTGTCATAACTGAAGTGCTTGTTTCCATTTGATTTAGTTCTAGAAAGTTCTTGGGTTCCCTGCCTCCAGGTCCTACTCGCTTGCATGATTCTCATTGTGTCCTCACAGAGTGGAAGGGGAAAGGCAGATCTTTGGAGCCTTTTTTTTTTTTTTTTTTTTTTGAGACAGAGTCTCGCTCTCTCTCCCAGTCTGGAGTGCAGTGGTGAGATCTCGGCTCACTGCAAGCTCTGCCTCCTGGGTTCACACCATTCTCCTCCCTCAGCCTCCAGAGTAGCTGGGACTAGAGGCGCCCGCCACCACGCCCGGCTAATTTTTTGTATTTTTAGTAGAGATGGGGTTTCACCATGTTAGCCAGGATGGTCTCGATCTCCTGACCTCATGATCCGCCTGCCTCGGCCTCCCAAAGTGCTGGGATTACAGGCATGAGCCACCATGCCTCGCCTGGAGCCTATTTTATAAGGGCACTAATCCCATTCATGAGGGCTCTGCCCCATGATCTACTCAACTCCCAAAGGCCCCACTTCTTGACATAGTGGTAATTAGATTTCAACATATACATTTTGTGTGTGTGTGAGGCAGAGTCTCGCTCTGTAGCCCAGGCTGGAGTACAGTAGCACAATGTCAGGTCACTGCAACCTCCATCTCCCAGGTTCAAGCAATTCTCGTGCCTCAACCACCTGAGTAGCTGGGATTACAGGATCCTACCACCACACCCGGCTAATTTTTGTATTTTTAGTAGAGATGGAGTTTCGCCATGTTGCCCAGGCTGGTCTCGAACTCCTGGCCTCAGGTGATCTGCCCGCCTCGGCCTCCCAAAGTGCTGAGGTTACAGACATGAGCCACCGTGCCCAGCCTCAACATATAAATTTTGGCAAAGACACATTCAGACACTATATATCAATATATACTTATAGAGATATATATGCACGTTTTATTTCTATATGTATAGCCATGAGGTTTTTATATAAAAACTATGTTATATATAAAACACATTTAAGGCCGGGCGCGGTGGCTCACGCCTGTAATCCCAGCACTTTGAGAGGCCAAGGCGGGCATATCACCTGAGGTCGAGAGTTCGAGACCAGTCTGACCAACATGGAGAAACCCCATCTCTACTAAAAATACAAAATTAGCGGGGCATAGTGGTGCATGCCTGTAATCCCAGCTACTCGGGAGGCTGAGGCAGGGGAATCGCTTGAACCCGGGAGGCAGAGGTTGTGGTGAGCCAAGATCGCGCCATCACACTCTAGCATGGGCGACAAAAGTGAAACTCTGTCTCGAAAGAAAAAAAAAAAAAACCACACACACATGCGTGTGTGTACATATATATGTATATATGTGCGTGTGTTTGTGTATGTATATGTGTGTGTATATATATATATATACACTTTTTTTTTGAGATGGAGTTTCGCTCTTGTCACCCAGACTGGAGTGTGATGGCGTGATCTCTGCTCACTGCAAATTCTGCCTCCTGGGTTTGCTCGATCAAGCAATTCTCCTGCCTTGGCCTCCCAAGTAGATGAGACTACAGGTGCCTGCCACCACGCCCAGCTAATTTTTGTATTTTTAGTAGAGACGGGGTTTCACCATGTTGGCCAGGCTGGTCTCGTACTCGTGACCTCAGGTGATCCACCCGCCTTGGCCTCGCAAAGTACTGGGATTACAGGCATAAGCCACCACCGTGCCCAGCCTATATATACATTTTTGAAATATATATTTATACATGTATATACATAAAAAATTTTGATACTATATTATATATATACACAAACATAGATTATATATATCTCAGTTACTTTGGAAAAAAAATTTTTAGAGATGGGTTCTCACTGTTGACCAGGCTGCAGTGCAGTGGCAGGAATATATCTCCCTGCAACCTCAAACTGCTGGGCTCAAGCAATCCTCTGGCCTCAGCCTACAGAGTAGCTGGTACTACAGGCTCATGCCACTGCACTCAGCTATATTGTAGTTACTTTTATACCTCTTTGCCTCTCAGTGGAAGTTTTGCTTGGTTATCCCCTCAAAGGGTGGAAGAAGTGGTAAAAAAGAAAAAGGGGCAATTACAGAGGCAGTTGGGGGAAAAAAAGGAATGGAAAAGGATGATCTAAAGACAGATTTTGCCAACTCAGTGTTTTTTGTTTATTTTCTGTCTTTGCCTAAGTTTAGTTTAACTTTCAGTAATTTTCTTCAAAATAAAAACTCTACATTATAAAAACAAGCAAACAAAAAAGATAATGGAGGGATGCCAGGCACAGTGGCCTGTAATACCAACACTTCTGGAGGCCAAAGTGGCAGAATTGCTTGAGTATAGGAGTTTGAGACTAGCCTGGGCAACACAGTGAGACCCCATCTCTACAAAAAACTTGAAAAAAAAATTAGCCAGGCATGATGGTGCATGCCTGTAGTCCCAGCTACCCAGGAGGCTGAGGTGGGAGGATCACTTGAGCCCAAGAGTTCAAGGCTACTGTGAGCTATGACCGCGCCACTGCACAAGCAAATCATTCAAGTCTTTTATGTCAATTCTCTGCAGGGAGGTGCAGACCTGCAAGAGGCCTGAAGAAGGCCCAAGAAGGCCTGACTCATTTCCTCCTCAGCCTGAGTTCTAATGGCAATAAGAAAGGTCCCAAAGTGAAGGAGTTCGGCATCCTGAACAACTCTGTCTGACTACATACCACAATTACAGCAGGCACCTTTCCTAGCCCCAGACACACATTCTAAAAAAGTTTTCTGCAAAACTATACAATATCTTTCCTTTACAGCAGTTGAAGAGACTTCACTGGAAATACTAGCCAAATCCAGGGAGTAAATCTGATACATCTGAGGTTCCCTTCAGGAAATAATAGCACAGCAGGGTCTGCATGGGGTGCTTGTTTTCAACGTAGCTAAAATATCACACATGGGCTCAGGGATCTTTTATTCAAATTCCCAATATAAAATAAAGGTTTAGACATTCAGGAGCCAATATGCCCATTTTTATTCATTTTCTTAAAAAAAATAGCCTTCATTTTTTAAAGATAGAAAAAAAATGATCAAATAAATCTCAGGGCTTAGCTGTCAGTACCTTACTGTTTTTTTAAAGATATATATATTACCCAAATGTGGTAGCCTAACACTTACCTTTGAAGCATGTAATATCTCATTTCCTTATTTTCCTCTGGAGAACCCTCCATATCAAGATGGGAAAAGAATGGAAGCTTTTTCTTCAGATTTCGGCCTTGTAAACACAAGCCGCAGTTCCTCCTCCTGTTGCAGCTGCTTAAAACCCAGGAGGACAAGAGATACTGTGCCTTCTGCCTGGCTTCAGTCAGACTAGAATACTCCTGATGGCCTCAAACTATAGTCTTTTTGTCTAATTGTTCCCAATTTCCTTCTTTCCCCACCTTTCTCTTCCTTTTTGCATCTTCTCTCCTCCACACACTTAGCTTACACACACAATTAGTTGATTTCCCAAGGGAACTGAGAGGAGCCGGGGAGAAATATAAAAGCTTGTTTAACTAGAAAGTAGATCTTAGCAGCTCTCCTTTAGTTGCAGCAAACATTTTCAACAACAGTCACTTTCTTCTGACAGTCAACGGAGAAAAGCTCCACTGCCTCTCCTGGCTGCCAGGAGCACATGACAGGGAAAGCCCAGGACAAAAAGACCAAATTTACAAGGACAATTAAGCCAAGAAAATAATGGGCTCATGAAATCCAGAGGGAGGAGCACAGCTCGGTCTAAAGAGGTAATTTCTGAGATCCAATCAAAACAAATAATACCAATTATCAGACTGCACGGTGGGGAAAAGCAGGTCAGGTGGGAAAGTAAGCACGTAGAAAGGAAACACGCCACTACTAGGGAACTTAGAATCAAGTGTGAGCCACGATTCTAATTTTCAGGCCAAAGTAGTGGTATATATAGACACCTAAACTAAGGTTTTATGCACCAAAGCTTGAGAATAGGAATGGAGCTGGTACAAAACGGATACAGAAAAGATTGTGGGTTAAACCCTTAAAAGGAAAAGAGACCCTGACAAATATTTTGGAGGTCTAACCCCCTTAAGCAGGGAAGAAAAATCCTGCCTAGAAAGACTACTTACTGAGACACATATATTACTATGAAAGCAAATTTGCCACAGACAGATCTCTTAAAGAAATAAACACTAGCTGAATGTTATCTTGTAATATCTTCCTGTTTTTAGCTTTTACTTAAGTAGATGCTCATGATATTCTGTGTATTAGGAGAAAAATCAATGGCAAAAGACCCTAAAGGCTTAGAATCTATAGAAAGACAACTTCCTGAGGCAAGTCCTCAGGACTGTACACCAAATCTAACCTGAATCATGAACCATAAAAAATTTATTCCCATCAAAATGCTGGATAGAAATAGTTAACAATCTGATGCCAACCACGCTGAGAATATATTAAGCTTCCAGAAAAACCTTCAAAAACAGAAGTACACAAATGACCTGGAGCATAGATAGAAGTTAAATAATCAGATAAAAGATAAATGATTACAACAAACAAACATTGATCTGAAGGACATTCGGGCAACTTAAGTTGTAAAGACTCAAGTTGCCCAAATTTGAAAGCAACTCAATCAGGCCACCCAACATGACAACCAGCTATAATAAAAAATGGAAGTCCTGGTTGTTCTCTGGTCTGTACTTCACATCATCCCTTCCACAATGTGCCAATGCCCATTAAGTTAGTCAAGTTTACTTTCCCTTTAAAGAACCAAGCTGACACAGAGGAGCCCTTCTATCTTTACGTCTCTTCAGAATAACCTGTCTCAAAAATAGAGCACTGCAGCCTTTGTTCAGGAAAGTTCAGTAGCCACAGATGAGAAGCTGCTCAATTTTACACACACTTAAGTGTCTACAAAACAAACTTGTTATACAAGTTCACCATTCAAAAATGCAAATAAAGCACTAAGTGTAAAAATAAGGCAGACTATTTTGCACTCAACTATATCAGAAAAATATACTAAAGAGGCACACTCAATAATCGAGTTTATGCTTCCTTTCACCAAACGGATCTTTCTACGACAACCAAACACTAACACAGCATACCCAGGTCCAAAAGCAAAGCTAGAGATCTATATAGATCTTTTATAGACACTGCTGCTCACAATCTTTCTCTAATATTAGAATACAAGAAATAAAAAGCCACATTCATTTCTCCAAATTTAAAGCATCCCCCTTTTAATCTACCATGAACAGTGTCCAACGTAGACACATACCTGGCACAAAATCCAACTAGAAGCCCACACTGATCCCAGCATTGTAACATGCCAAACACCAAGGATGACGTAGCAGTTTACCCGGCAGACAGTGATGCATTCGCTAGCTTGACTGCAACACAGTCTGAGTTATACTGCAGCACACACACTGTGAGAGACTGTTTTACATTGGGTTTTTACAAGCAGAGAAATCTTGGATCAAGGATGTGTCTCTGTCAAAAAATCAAGTGACCATATATTTAAAGGTTTCTTTGTGGACTCTAAATTCTGATCCATTGACCTATATGCCTAGCCTTGAAGCAATGCCACATGGTCTTGATAACTGTGACTTTATAGTAGGTTTTGAAATCAGGTAGTATGAAGACCTCCAACTTCACATTCCCTTTTCAAAAGTGTTTTGGCTATTCTAGGTCCTTTGTTTCCATGTAAATTTTAGGATCGGCTTGTCAAATTCTAGAAAGAAAAAGAAAGGCTGCTGGAAATTTGATATGGACTGTGAATTTATGATCAATTTAAGGAGAACTGCTGTCTTGACAATATTGAGTCCTCTAATCCATGAACATGGACTGCCTCTCCATTTATTTAGATTTTATTTAATTTCTTTTTTTTTTCTTTTTTGAGATGGAGTCTCGCTCTGTCTCCCAGGCTGGAGTGCAGTGGCACGATCTCCACTTACAACCTCTGCCATCTGGGTTCAAGCGATTCTCCTGCCTCAGCCTCCCAAGTAGCTGGAACTAAAAGAACACCACCACGCCCAGCTAATTTTTTGTATTTTTATTAGAGACAGGGTTTCACCATGTTGGACAGGCTGGTCTGGAACTCTTTTTTTTTTTTTTTTTGAGACAGGGTTTCGCTCTTGTGACCCAGGCTGGAGTGCAATGGCGCGATCTCGGCTCACTGCAATCTGCAACCTCCACCTCCCGGGTTCAAGCGATTCTCCCGCCTCAGCCTCCCGAGTAGCTGGGATTACAGGTGACTGCCACCATGCCAGGCTAATATTTGTATTTTTAGTAGAGATGGGGTTTAACCATGTTGGCCAGACTGGTCTCGAACTCCTGACCTCAGGTGATCCACCCACCTCAGCCTCCCAAAGTGCTGGGATTACAGGCGTGAGCCACCACACCCGGCCGGTCTGGAACTCTTGACCTCAGGTGATCCATCCGCCTCAGCCTCTGGGTTTGGGATTACAGGCGTGAGCCACCACCCCTGGCTGATTTTATTTAATTTCTGTCAGCAATGTTCCACAAGTTTTAGTGTATAAGTCTTATACCTTTTTTGCTCAATTTATTCCTATTTTATTCTTTTTAATGCTATCATGAACAGAATATTTTCTTAATTTCATTTTTGGATTGTTCATTTCTAGCTAGCATATAGAAATATACTTAACTTTTCTATATAGATCTTACACCCTGTGATCTTGATAAACTCATTTAAAAATTTTTTGTTAACAATTTTACTGAGATACAATTCACACACCATACATTTCACCCACTTAAAGGGTACAATTCAATAGTTTTTAGTATATTCACATAGTTATGAACTATCATCACAATAAATTTAAGGACATTTTCATTTCATTATATGTGTCATTTTTTTAAAGAGACGAGGTCTTGCTATGTTGCACAGGCTGGACTTAAACTCCTAGGCTCAAGCAATCCTCCTGCCTCAGCCTCCCAAGTAGCTGGGACTACAGGAACGTGCACCACGCATGGCAATTTTAGAACATTTTTATTACCTCCAAAAGAAACCCCATGCCCAGTAGCAGCCACTCCTCATTTCTCCAATATGCTCCCCAATCCTAGCCAACCACTAATCTACTTTCTGTCTTTATAGATTTGCCTATTACAGACATTTCATATAAATGGAATAATATAATATGTGGCCTTTTGTGACTGGCTTCTTTCATTTAGCATAATGTTTTCAATGCTGTAGCATATATCAGTACTTCATTTCTTTTTATGGTTGAACAATATTTCAATGTGTGGACACACCATATTTTGTTTATACATCATCAGTTAATGGATATTGGGTTGTTTCCATTTTGTGGCTCTTATTAATAATGTTATGAACATTCATGTATAAACTTTTATGTGGACATATGCTTTCCTTTCTCTTGGGTATACAATAAGGAGTGAAGCTGCCAGATCATATGGTTCATATGGTGAGAGTTTAGTTTTATAAGAAAGTGTCAAATTAGCCGGGCACAGTGGCTCACGCCTATAATCCTAGCACTTTGGGAGGCCGAGGCAAGTGGATCACTTGAGATCAGGAGTTCAAGACCGGCCTGGCCCACATGGTGAAACCCCATCTCTACTAAAAATACAAAAATTACCTGGGCATGGTGGCAGGCACCTGTAATACCAGCTACTCAGGAGGCTGAGGCAGGAGAATCGCATGAACCCAGGAGGCGGAGGTTGCAGTGAGCCAAGATCGCGCCATTGCATTCCAGCCTGGGCAACAGAGCGAGACTCCGTCTCAAAAAAAAGAAAGTGTCAAATTATTTTCCAGAGTGGCTGTATCATTTTACATTCCCACCAGCAATGTACAAGAAATCCAATTTTTCTGCATTCTCACAAACCTTTGGTATTGTGTCTATTTCTTATTTTAGGCATTCTGATAAGTGTGTAATGATATCTCATTGCTATTTTAATTTGCATTTTCCTAATACTAATTAATATTTGCATTTTCCTAATACCTAATAACTATTAGATAATTATAAAACATCTTTTCATGTGTTTATTTGCCATAGGTATATCCTCTTTGGTTTCATTTGCTTCTTTTTAAAAATCATTTCTCTTTTCTTATTGAGAATTTCTATTTATTTTATTTTTAATTTTTTGAGACAGAGTCTTGCTCTTTTGCCCAGGCTGGAATGCAGTGGTGCAAACACTCAATATGCTCAAGCGATCCTCCTGCCTCAGCCTCCCAAGTAGCTGGGACCACAGACATATGCTGCCATGCTCAAATAATTTTAAAATTTTTGTAGATGGAGTCTCAAATTCCTGGGCTCAGGAAATCCACCCCGCTTGCCTCCCAAAAGCACTGGGATTACAAGCATGAGCCACTGCACTCAGCTGAGAAGTTCTATTTATTGATTCATTGTTGTCATGCTTAAAAAAACAGTATTTAAGGGGCCAGGCGCGGTGGCTCATGCCTATAATCCCAGCACTTTGGAAGGTAGAGGCGGGCAATAACCTGAGGTCAGGAGTTCGAGACCAGCCTGACCAACGTGGAGAAACCCCATCTCTACTAAAAATACAAAATTAGCTGGGCGTGGTGGTGCACGCCTGTACCAGCTACTCGGGAGGCTGAGGCAGGAGAATTGCTTGAACCCGGGAGGCAGAGGTTGCGGTGACCAAGATCGTGCCATTGCACTCCAGCCTGGGCAACAAGAGCGAAACTCTGTCTCAAAAAAAAAAAAAATAGTATTTAAGATGGGGCACAGTGGCTCACACCTGTAATTCCAGAGATTTGGGAGGCCAAGGCAAGAAGGTCACTTGAGGCCAGGAGTTCGAAACCAGCCTGGGCAACATGGTAAGACTCTGTCCCTATAAAATATAAAAATAAAAATAAATAAATATGTTTTTAAAAATTATTTAAACATGTTTTCCTTTAGGTCTTTGAACACATTTACAGTCGCTACTTTGAAATCTTTGTTAAATCCAGTATCTAGGGACACTTGTAGATAATTTCTGTTGACTTTTTTCCTAAACATGGGTCACATTTTCCTGTATCTTTACATGTCTCACGGCTTTTTAATTAAAAATTGAATATAACCTGTCATGGGATTAGAAAACAAATTATGCATATGAACAATTTACAAATTGAACATATGAACAATTTGGATTCTGATTTCTTTCACCCATGAAAATTGTTGTTACTAGTTTGTTTTTTTCTTTCTTGGCTTAATCATTTGCCTGAGCTAAATCTGTGAATTCTGTTTCCCTAACAGTGTGCAGCCACTGATGTCTCAGCTCATTTTCTTTTTATTTCTTGGTTTTATGTTTAAATGTGGCTTTTGAGGAGTCACCCCTATGTCTGTGTAGCCAATGATTAGATAGAGTTTATGCTCATATACTTAAAGCTAGAAAGGCTTTTATCCTCTGTTTATGGGTCTGGAGTATGGGGGATATAGAGTAGTGCATTCAAAGTTCAGGTTTTTCAAGTCTGCCCTAGCTGTTACTTTCCGTTGGGCCTTATCATGTCTCTTCTGTGCATGTACATGCCTCAGCCTGCAATATGCTTGCCCCAACCACAAACAGGCAAAGTCACTGGCCTGTGCCACTCACCCACTGCCAAGTGGTCACTTCTCCCAACAATGCCATTGAGCATGGACATCATCCACCACCCAAACTGAGTAAACTCCCTTGAACCACAGCATCAAAGCAGCTGGTCTTCATGGTCTACCCACACTGGTAAAACTTTCATGACAAATCAGCTGGGGAAAGGGGAATAGGAACAATCCCAGACAAGAATACCACAAACTCCTACTGTTTTACGGAATTTTAGCAGTTTTTTTTTTTGTTTTTTTTTTTTTTTTTTTTTTGAGACGGAGTCTTGTTCTGTCGCCCGGGCTGGAGTGCAGTGGCACTATCTCGGCTCACTGCAAGCTCCGCCTCCTGGGTTCACACCATTCTCCTGCCTCAGCCTCCCGAGCAGCCGGGACTACAGGTGCCCGCCACCATGCCCGGCTAATTTTTTGTATTTTTAGTAGAGAAGGGGTTTCACCGTGTTAGCCAGGATGGTCTCAATCTCCTGACCTTGTGATCCGCCCACCTCGGCCTCCCAAAGTGCTGGGATTACAGGCGTGAGCCACTGCACCCGGCCAGCAGTTTTTTAATCATAAAATTCTCTCAAATTATTGTATGCCTTTTGGTTGATTTCAAGAGTGTTAAAATGGTTAATTTTGTCAAGTTTGTCAATCTTCATAATTGGTTTTTGTGTTGAAGATCTGCCAGTCTCCTCATTCAGCTATACCTGGAAGTCCTCCCTGTTTTATTTACTTTTTAATGACCGATATAACTTCATACAATGAAGTGGAAAAATCTTAAGTATAAAACATATATATGCAAAATTAATATATATATAGCCATATAACCAATCACCTCATTAAGATACAGAATATTTCCAGAGTCCCAGAAGGCTTACTTGTGTCCCTTCCTAGTCAATATTCTCCCTTAAAGGTAAAGACTACTCTGACCTTTTATAACCATTGATCAGTCTTGTTTACTCTTGAACTTCATAAATATAGTGTTATATAATGTATGTACTTTAATGTCTGACTTCTTTTGATCAATATTATGTGTATAAATTTATTATTATTTTTTTTTTTGCAATGGAGTCTTGCTCTGTCACCCAGGCTGGAGTGCAGTGGTGCACCCTCGGCTCACTGCAACCTCTGCCTCCTGGGATCAAGGGATTCTCCTGCCTCAGCCTTCCAAGTAGCTGGGATTAGAGGTAAGCACCACCACACCCAGGTAATTTTTTTTGTATTTTTACTAGAGATGAGGTTTCACCATTTTGGCCAGGCTGGTCTTGAACTCCTGGCCTCAACTGATCCTCCCACCTCAGCCTCTCAAAGTGCTGGGATTACAGGCGTGAGCCACCACGCCTGGCCTTATGTGTATAAAATTTATCTATGCTTACCACTTGGTCGAATTTATGGAAAAAAAAATTCACCCATGTTGTGATACAGCAGTAGTTTGTTCATTTTCATTTCTGTATGGTATTCCATCATATGATATACCATGATTTACTTACCTATTCTACTATTCACGGACATTTGGGTTGTTTATGAATTTTGACAATATTTGCTTATTTCTGATGGATAAATGAACTAATTTCCTCTGGGAATATACACTAAAATGAAATTGCTCACTAGTGAGGTATGTGCATGTTTAGCTTTAAATGATACTGCTAAATAGTTTTCTAAAGTGGCTGTACCAATTCATATTAATACCAGTGATGTGTAAGAGTCAGTGTGTTCCACTTCCTTGCTAACACTTGATATTGCTCGTTTTTTAATTTTACCTTTTTTGGTTGGGCTATGTGTTTAACTCATTGTAATTTTAATTTGCAAATCCCTGATGACTAGTAATATTGAGCACCTTTTCATATACTTACTTGACATTTGGTATCTTCTTTTGAAGTGCCTGTTGAAGTCTTTTCCCCATATTTCTATTGTGTTGAATGTCTTTTTTCTTATTGTTTTGTTTTGTTTTGCTTTGTTTTTGAGACAGAGTCTCGCTCTATCCCTCAGGCTGGAGTGCAATCTCAGCTCACTGCAACCTCCACCTCCTAGGTTCAAGTGGTTCTCGTGCCTCAGCCTCCCAAGCAGCTGATACTAAAGGCGTGTGGCACCATGCCTGGCTAATTTTTTATATTTTTAGTAGAGATGGGGTTTCATAATGTTGTCCAAGCTGGCCTCAAACTCCTGAGCTCAGGCAATCCATCCACCTTGGCCTCCCAAGGTGGTAAGATTATAGGTGTGAGCCACTGTGCCCAGTCATAAGATCCTTATAGTAGGATATTTTAATATTCTTCTTCAGCAACTGATATAACAAGTAGAAAAAAAAAAATCAAAGACACAGAAGAACAACAAACTGAAAAACTGAACATACATAGAACCTATAATCACCAACTGCAACATATACATTCATTGCAAGTGTTTATGAAACTTTATCAAAATAGACCATATACTAAGCCATAAAGTATCAATAAATTTCAAAGGTCTGAAATCACATAGCGTATATGCTCTGAACACAATGGATTACACTAAAAATCAATAACAAAGGTAATAAAATCCACAAGTGTCTTGATATATTTCTAAACAATTTATGAGTCAAAAAATCACAAGGAAATTAAGAAAATATTTTAATTGAATAATAATGAAAATGTATATCCAAGCTTGAGGAATATAATAAGACGAATTTATGAGTGAATACAGAGATGAAGAGATGGATATCAACAAAGCCAGAAGTTAATTCTTTGAAAAGGAACTGAATTGATAAATTTCTACTAAGACTGATAAAAATAAAAGAAAAAAATGCTAATTGCCAATATCAGGAATGAGGACAAGGGAATCACTATAAATCCTATAGACATGAAAAACAAGCATATTATTACAAACTTTATGCCAATAAATTTGAAATGTTAGAAAAAAATTGATAAATTTCTTAACGACTTTCCATTCCACCCAGAAAGACATGAAAATCTGAATAATCCTAAATCTACTACAGAAATCAAATACATAATATGTATAATTTAAAAACTACTAGCCAGGTGTGGTGACTCACGCCTGTAATCCCAGCACGTTGGAAGGCCAAGGCAGGTGGATCATTTGAGGTCAGGAGTTTGAGATCAGCCTGGGTAATATGGTGAAACACTGCCTCTACTAAAAATACAAAAATTAGCTGGCTTAGTGGTGCACGCCTGTAATCCTAGCTACTCGGGAGACTGAGGCACAAGAACTGCTTGAACCTGAGAGGCGGAGGTTGCAGTGAGCCAAGATTGCGCTACTGCCCTCAAATAAAATAAAATAAAAATGAAAATGGAAAAACAAAAACTACTACTATTATCTTTTGTGACTGTTCCCAATCAGTCTTTATACCTCTACCATTTATTCACAAGTATTTATTTTATGTTTTTATTTACTTTGTAGAGACAGTCTTGCTCTGTTGCCTAGGCTGGAGTACAGTAGCATGATCATAGTTCACTGCGGCCTTAAACTCTTGGGGGCTCAAACAGTCCTCTCGCCTCAGCCTTCCGAGTAGCTAGGAATACAGGCATGCAACACCATGCCCAGCTATTAAAAAAAATTTTTTTTTGTAGAGTATAGGTCTCTCTATGTTGCCTAGGCTTGTCCCAAATTCCTGGGCTCAAGCAAACCTCCTGCTTTAGTCTCCCAAAGCGCTGGGATTACAGGCATGAGCCACGATGCCTGGCTTCAACAAGTATTTATTGAGTGACTATTATATGCTATAGAAAATGATGAGTATACAGCTATAAACAAAATATATGGCTTCTGTGCTCATGTTACAGTATAATGGAGACAAGAAATCAAATAAATATATTACTAAAAACATTACAAATTGTGATAAATGCTATTGCAATGGGAAAAAAAGGAACACTGTAACAATAGAGCCTCTTTGGGGAAATGATATTTGATCTGAAACCTAAAGGATAAAGACCTCAAGTGATCAAAGAGAGTGAAAGTGAATTCTAGGCATAAGGACCAGTGCATGTGGCCTTGAGATAGGAAAAATATTGGACTACTATCTTTTCAGGGGAACTGAAAGGCCAGTATGATTGAAGCCCTGTCAGCAAATGGAAGTTGACAGAAGTCAGATCATTCAGGGTCTCATGAGCTGAGTTAAAAATTTTGTATCTAGGCCAGGTGTGGTGGCTTACACCTGTAATCCCAGCACTTTGAGAGGTGAAGGCGAGAGGATCACTTGAGTCCGAGACTTTGAGACCAGCCTGGGCCACATAGTGAGAACACATCTCTACAAAAAAATTTAAAAATTATCCAAGCAGGGTGGCATGCACCTATTGACCCAGGTACTTGGGAGTCTGAGGCTTGAGCCCAGAAGCTTGAGGCTGCAGTGAGTCCTGTTTGCACTACTCCAGCCTGGGTGACAGAGCAAGACCCTGTTTCAAAACAAAAAAACAGAAAAACTAGAATTTTGTATCTTATGCTATGTGCAGCAAGAAATAAGGAGGCAAAAGTATAATACAGACAGGAAATCTAGTTAGGTGATCATTCTAATAGTCCAAGCAAGAGCTGACGTGCTAAGGCTTGGACTAAGGTGATTGCAAGTGAAGGTACTGGGGTCAATACTGGAGATAGAATCAACCAAACTGAAGTACAATTCCCAGGTTTTTTGGTTTGAGCAGAGTGGCTGGAGGTGCTATTTAGTGAGATGTGGAAGATTGGGGGAGGATCAAATTTATGAAGAAGATAGGGGAAATCAAGAATTTAATGTCTATAAGACATTCAAATGAAAATGTCATATGAATAGGTGAACATAACAAGTGATCTCAGAGGATAGGTCTGGGATGGATATTATAAATTTGGGAATCATCAGCATATAAGCAGTAGCAAAGGGATGAATTTTATATATAGAAAATGTGGCTGGGTACAGTGGCTCACACCTGTAATCCCAGCACTTTGGGAGGCAGAGGCAGGTGGATCACCTGAGGTCAGGAGTCCAAGACCAGCCTGGACAACATGGTGAAACCCTGTCTCTACTAAAAATACAAAAAATTAGCCAGGCATGATGGTGGGCGCCTGTAATCCCAGCTACCTGGGAGACTGAAGCAGGAGAATCACTTGAACCCAGAGGCAGAGGTTGCAGAGAGCCAAGATTGCAACATTGCACTCTACCCTGGGCAACAGAGCGAGACACCATCTCAAAAAAAAAAAAAAAAAAAAAGAAAGAAAATGTATATCAAGTAAAAAGATAAGAAGGACCAGAACCAAGCAATGAAAGTATTCAACACTCAAAGGTTGCATGAAAGCAGAAGGACTTGCAAGGGAGACTGGAGATTGGTAAGAGTAGAATGGAGGTAACACAGGAGTCATGAAAGTGTAGTCTTTAGCAGAAAAGAAGGCATGTGTTTCAAGAAAAAAGTAGTCACTTGTATGGAACTGTTGAGAGACTTAGAAGGATGAGAACTGAAAAGCATCCACTGATTTAGCAATACAGTAGTCATTAGTGGTTTTTACGAGAGCAGTTTCAATAGCATAGTTGGGCAGAGGACAGAACAGAATAGCTTTAAGAATGAATGGGAGATGAGGAAGTAGGGATAGCACTTCTGAAAATCTTGACCATAAAATGGGGCAGAGAGATAAGGCAATAATCCAAAGGGAATGTGGCTATCAAAAAAAGGCCTTCTATAAAGATGGAAGAAATCAGAGTGCTTGGAACACTTCTCAGGACCCTCCCTCCTTTGGTCATCCTCTGTTCCAAGCACTTGGAACACTTCTCAGGAAAGAAGGAAAAATGTTGTCAGCATTGTTCTGGGTTACAAAACACACACACACAAATACACACACACACATACATACATATGCATGAAGAAAAAATGAGAAGGAGAATACAGATAAAAGTAAGTTTGAAATGAGGTGTTAGAAGAATTACTAGATAGTCTCTATTTTCTTAATAAAATAATGTGGCAAAGCTATAAATTAAAAGTGTCTAGAAGAGGCAGGAAATGGCACAAATGGAACTGCTGGTTTAAGGACAATGGAGAAGAAATGAAATTACTGTTGCAGAAAATGGAAGGCCAAATTACCAGAAGAGAAAAACAATATAGGAGAAAGAACAAGAAAAGCTTCATATTAGTTGGGCATGGTGGCGCGCACCTGTAATCCCAGCTACTCGGGAGGCTGAGGCAGGAGAATTGCTTGAATCCAGGAGGTGGAGTTTGCAGTGAGCCAAGATCATGCCACTGCACTCCAGCATGGGTGACAGAGCAAGACCCTGTCTCAAAAAAAAAAAAAAAGAAGAAGAAGAAGGAGAAGAGAAAAAAGAAAAGCTTCATAGCAGAGGCAGCATTTCAGAAGGTCTTTAAAGATTGATGACCTCAGATGGGCATGGTGACTCACACTTGTAATCCTAGCATTTGGGAAACTGAGGTGAGGAGATCACTTGAGGCCAGGAGTTTGAGACCAGCCTGGACAACACAGCAAGACTTCATCTCATTAAAAAGAAAAAAAGGAGTGATGACCTCCAAGGGTAAATGGAATTTCAACAGTCAGGGAAATGGCATTTCAGTAAGGATACATGACAAAGAGAGACACAGGAAAAGAGACTGAGACACAAATAGAATGATCAAAGGACATAAAGATGGAAAGTATATGGAATTTTAGGAAACAGGCAATTGTCTACTGCAACTGGAATAAGCAAAGAGGGAAAAAACACTGGGTAGAAACAAGACTGGAAAAATCAGCTATGGCCTAATTGTGGAAGAATCTGAATACCATGACTGAATGCCTCCACCACTTATTAGGTAGGAAAATTACATAATCTCTCTGAGCCTGTATCCTCCTCTTCTGGAAAATGGAGATAATTAACGCCTATTTTACAGGACTGACTGTTGTTTGGTTACATAAGATAAATATTGAAAGCACTTAGTGCTTAACTCACAGTAAATGCTCAATAAATGGCAGTAAAAGTTGGGGTTGTTATCTTGGGCTTTACTCTGAAAGCAGAGGGAAAACATTACATGTTTTTGAACAGATGTGAAACAGGGAGAGACTAAAGTAAGAGAAAATAGTTAAAGGCCATTGTAATAGACTAGGCTAGAGATAATGAACACCTACATAAAGTCAGTGATGGTGGGAACTGAAATAATAAAGGCAGCTGGGCCCGGTGGCTCACACCTGTAATGTCAGCATTTCGAAAGGCCAAGGCAGAAGAATCACTTGAGTCCAGGAGTTTGAAACCAGCCTGGACAACATAGCAAGACCCCATCTCTACAAAAAAAATTTTTAAAGAAACAAAAAAAATATATAAAGGGAAAAAATATAGAGATGACATGACACAATTAGTGGGTCATGATACATTTGGCAGATCAGGATATCCTGGAACCCAAATTCAATATTCTGAACACTCTGAAGAATCTTTCCTTGATGAACTCCTAGACATTTTCCTGACTAATGGAGTCCCAGTTTCATGACTATCATTAGATTTTACTAGGGAGGAGGTTAGAATTTTTACTTATGAAGAATTATTAAATTTAGCATTTTGAGATAAGAATTTTGGGGGGTTGCAGGAGGGAGAGCATCAGGAAGAATAGCTAATGGATACTGGGCTTAATACCAAGGTGATGGGTTCATCTGTGCAGCAAACCACCATTGCATACATTTACCTCCTGCACATCCTGCAGGTGTACCCCATAACTTAAAATAGAAGTTGAAGGGAAAAAAAAAAAGAACTAAAGAACTATGAATCTTGGGAGAAAGAATACTCAGAAAAATATGAGATATCAAACTATGGTTATTACAACTTCATTTTCATTTCAACAAACAGTATCTCCATCTGACAGAGGATTGATAGCCAGAATATATAAGGAGCTCAAACAACTCAATAGGAAAATATCTAATAATCCAATTTTAAAATAGGCAAAAGTTCTGAATACACATTTCTCAAAAGCAGACATACAATTAGCAAACAGCTATATGAAAAGGCGCTTAACATCACTGATCATCAGAGAAAAGCAAATCAAAACTACAATGAGATATAATCTCACTCCAGTTAAAATGGCTTTTACCCAAAAGAGGCAGTAACAAATGCTAAGAGGATGTGGAGAAAAGGGAACCCTTGTATTGGTGGTTCCCTTGATGGCTGTATAAATTAAAACACAATGGGAATGTAAATCTCCATACAACCACTATGGAGAACAGTATGGAGGTTCCTCAAAAAACTAAAAATGGAACTGCCATACAACCCAGCAATCCCATAGCTAGGTAAATGCAAAAAATAAAGGAAATCAGTATATTGAAGAGATATCTACACTCCCATGTTTATTACAGCACTATTCACAATGGCCAAGATTTGGAATCAACGTAAGGGTCCATCAACAGATGAATGGATAAAAAGAAATATGTAATAAAATAGAGAGTATATCTACTCCATACACACAATGGAGTACTATTGAGCCATAAAAAAGAATGAGGTAGATATTTCCCTAAGACATATTTCCTTTCTACTATATATTCTTTTTTTTTTTTTTTTGAGATGGAGTCTCACTCTGTCACCCAGGCTGGAGTGCAGTGGCGAAATCTTGGCTCACTGCAAGCTCTGCCTCACGGGTTCACACTATTCTGCCTCAGCCTCCCGAGTAGCTGGGACTACAGGTGCCCGCCACCATGCACGGCTAATTTTTTGTATTTTTAGTAGAGATGAGGTTTCACCGTGTTAGCCAGGATGGTCTCGATCTCCTGACCTCGTGATCCGCCCGCCTCAGCCTCCCAAAGTGCTGGGATTACAGGCATGAGCCACTGCGCCCGACCACTCTACTATATATTCTTGTGCAAGTAGATTTCCATTTGTACAACTTTAATTTCAATGTAACAAACATTTATTAAGCACTGAAATGTGCCAAGCATTGTTCTAAGCTCTGAAAAAGTGCTTCTTGGCTCAGGATTCATACCAGACTCTCCTGGAAAGTATTAGAATAACGATTCCTGGGCTCCACGACCAGAGGCTGTAATCTAATAAATCCGGGATAGGACTCAGGAATCCACACTTTTTTTTTTTTTTTTTTTTTTTGAGATGGTATCTCACTCTGTCAACCAGGCTGGAAGTACAGTGGCACAATCTTGGCTCACAGCAACCTCCGCCTTCTGGGTTCAAGTGATTCTCCTGCCTCAGCCTCCCAAGTAGCTGGGACTACAGGTACATGTCCCCATGCCCGGGTAAGTTTTGTATCTTTAGTAGAGACGTGGTTTCACTGTGTTGGCCAGGCTGTTCTCAAACTCCTGACCTCAAGTGATTTGTCTGCCTCAGCCTCCCAAAGTGCTAGGAATTTACAGGCATGAGCTACCGCACCCGGCCAGGAATGCTTTTTTTTTTTTTTTTTTTTTTTTTGAGATGGAGTTTCGCTCTTGTTGCCCAGGCTGGAGTGCAATGGCACAATCTCGGCTCACCACAACCTCCACCTCCCGGGTTCAAGCCATTCTCCTGCCTCAGCCTCCCGAGTAGCTGGGATTACAAGAATGTGCCACCACGCCCAACTAATTTTGTATTTTTAGTAGAGATGGGGTTTCTCCATGTTGGTCAGGCTGGTCTCGAACTCCCGACCTTAGGTGATCCACCCGCCTCTGCCTCCCAAAGTGCTGGGATTACAGGCGTGAGCCACCGTACCCAGCTGGAATCCATATTTTTAATAAAGTCTGTTGCACAGTTAAGGAGAACCTAAACATTGTTTTCCATTTTACAGATGTCTTATGTCTGAGCTGTATTTACTTACAACACTTTGACACCGAATGTACAGGTTTTTTTCCATATCAACAACCAGTTCTGTCCAGCTACCAACTGGGAGTCTCACAATTGAATTCTTATATTAATTACCCAGAGTTAGCACAGATCCTACAGGTTAATGGCTCAGTCCCACAAGACTGTCCCCTACTTCAGATACCAGTTGCAAATCCCAGCCACCTATACTCCTGACCAACCAGCTATAAATCGGAGATTCCCATGACCCCTTCCTCGTGTTTGATAATTTGCTAGAATGACATACAGAACACAGGAAAAGAGTTTACTTACTATTACTGCTTTATAAAGGATACAACTCAGGAACTCAGGAAGAGACATATAGGGCAAGGTATGGGGGAAGGGGCACAGAACTTCCAAACCTTCCTCCAGGCATACAGCTCTACCAGAACCTCTATGTGTTGACCATCCCAGAAGCTCTATGAACTCTGTTGTTTACAAGGTTTTATGGAGGTTTCATTAAGTAGGCATGGCTGATTAAATCTCTGGCCACTTGTGATTAGCTCAATTTTCAGCCCCTTGCCCCTCCCTGGAGGTTAGAGAGCAGACTTGAAAGTTCCAATTCTCTAATTATTCCTTGGTCTTTCTGGTTAACAGACCCCAGCCTGAAGCTATCCAGGGGCCCTCAGACCCCAGTCATCTCATTATCATAAAAGATACTTACCGGTCAAGAAATCCCAAGGGCTTTAGGAACTGTGTGCCAGGAACCAAGGATAGAGACCAAATGCTTATTTATTATCACAGTATGACATGAAAGACCCTTAATGACCTGACCTCTGTCTTACCGGCCTCTTCTTTTGCACCAACCATGCTGCCCACCTTCCATTGCAGTAATAGTCAATGACTTGTAATTGCCTGAAAATGCTAGACGTTTCACTGATACTTCTGCACATTGTCTACCCTACCAGCTCTACCCTTACATACACACACACACACACACACACACACACACACCCCTAACTTTGCTAGCCTTTTTTCTGTTCATCCTTCAAATTCTAGTTCAAACATCTCCAAGACCTTATTGGACCCTTAACAGAACTCATTGAGCCCACCATAATAATAATTAGTACTGTTGTGAGTATTAGAAATAATGTTAAGCACCTGTGACACAATGTTTGGCTAGACACTAACATATCCTATGGGTAACAAGAACCCTCTGAAGTAGTGTCATGAGATGAAGATGTGGAGAAAGGGGAAACCTCGTACACTGTTGGTAGGAATATAAATTAGTACTGCCACTACGGAAAGCAGTATGAAACCTCTTCAAAAAACTAAAAATAGAGCTTCCATATAACCCAGCAATTCCACTACTGGGTATATATCCAAAAGAAAGGAAATCAACATATCAAAGAGATATCTGCACTCCATATTTACTGCAGCACTATTCACAACAGCCAAAATTTAGAATCAGGCCAGGCGAGGTAGCTCATGTCTGTAATCCCAGCACTTTGGGAGGCCGAGGAGGGTAGATCACCTAAGGTCCAGAGTTCGAGACCAGCCTGGCCAACATGGCGAAACCGTGTCTCTACAAAAAATACAAAAATTAGCTGGGTGTGGTGGTGTACGTCTGTAGTCCCATCTACTTGGGAGGCTGACGTGGGAGGATCACTTGAGCCCAGGGAGGTTGAAGCTGCAGTGAGCCGTGATCATGCCACTGTACTCCAGCCTGGGTGACAGAGACCCTGTCACAGAAAAAAAAAAAAAAGAAAAAAAGATTTGCAATGACATGAGAAAGTGTTGTTATATGGGGAAAAAAAGCAGAAAGCAGAGCTGTATATTCATTATAATATCATCTATATGTATATTTTTAATGACATTTATCCTTAAGTGGTAAAAAATACAGAAAGGAAATATATAAAATATGAATAGTGATTACTATGGAATGATTGTATTCCTCAGTGTTTCTATTTTTTTAAATACTTTTTGAGGCTGGGCGCGGTGGCTGACGCCTGTAATCCCAGCACTTTGGGAGGCCAAGGCAGGCGGCCCTGCCTAGGCAACAGGGCGAAACCCCGTCTCTACTAAAAATACAAAAATTAGCTGGGAATAGTGGCGGGCACCTGTAATCTCAGCTACTTAGTAGGCTGAGGCACGAGAATCGCTTGAACCCGGGAGGCGGAGGCAGTGAGCCAAGATCATGCCACTGTACTCCAGCCTGGGCGACACAGCAAGACTCTATCTGGAAAAAAAAACTTCTTGGATTTCCTACTTTTCTAATAATAAACCTACATTACTTCTAATAATTTAACAATATAAAGTAGTAAATGCAAACTTCATTTGTAAATTTATGCTAACAGAAAGAAAAGAGGGGGAAATGCATGCATTACACTTGAAATAATAAAAGTAATAAACACTGTCAAGCAGCTGTACCGAGCCTTACTTACAACATTCATAATTTCATTTCCACAATTAGCTAAGTTTATAGAATGCACTCCAGAGACTAAAATACATATATGGCCACAGACAGCTCCTGTTTTCTGAATGGAAAGAAGGGGAGGATGGGAGATGGAAAGAGGAAACTAGTTCCCTCAGCAAAGGAGTACCAAGTTGCAGATCTCATAATGACCTTCTCTGTCTACTCACTACAAAGGCACCATGGCAACTGGGAACCTCAGAATATCAAGGAAGGAGCACTGAAAGTAGAAAGTTTGGAGAGCTATTAGGGGAAGGGAAGAAGCTCAGGAAAGCTAAATGAGAAATGCTAAGAAAGTCAATACATAAGAACACTCTCAAACTATCCATAAGCAAAGCCTTAATATAAACAAAACCAGAGCCAATTTCCTTATTTCCCATGTCAAAGCTTGATAGTGATGAACCAATAGATAGGAAGCAGGAATAAAATTTCCTGCACTTTCTTTTCTTTTTTTCTGTTTTTGAGATGGAGTCTTGCTCTGTTGCTCAGGCTGGAGTGCAGTGCAGTGGCGTGCTGTCAGCTCACTGCAACCTCCACCTCCCGGGTTCAAGCAATTCTTATGCTTCAGCCTCCCAAGTAGTTGGGATTACAGGTGCTCGCCACCACCTGGCTAATGTTTGTATTTTTAGTAGAGACAAGGTTTCGCCATGTTGGCCAGGCTGGTTTTGAACTCCTCACCTCAGGAGATCCACCTGCCTTGGCCTCCCAAAGTGCTGGGATTACAGGCGTGAGCCACCGCGCCTGGCCTCCTGCATTTTCAATAGTGGTTATTCTCAACGTGTGAATTATAATATTGATAGTATATATTTGCCATCATCAAAAGGCTTTCAGACCTAAATTTCCAAGTTTTAAGCACTAACATGCAAAAGACTTAAAGAGGTTTTTCCAGTAAAAAATTTTTATCTTATAAAAGGACTCCTTGATAATAAATAATGTATTATACCAATATGGCACATTTTACTATTCCAAAAGTTTCATAGCTATTACTTAACTCTATCTCTACCACTAGATTTAAATAAAGTCATTTCAAACTCAAGGAGTTTAAAGTGAGACTAAAAAGAAATGAGAATCTGTATGTCTTTCCTAGTCAAACACAAACATATATAGCTAAAACTAAAAAGCTCTGTCATAAATGGTACATAAAATGATTATAAAATTCATTAAAATATCATCATTAATGCAATTAATACCAATTGTTGCTCTGTAACTATAAAAAGTGTAGAATGGTAAATCTTCCTTTATTTTTCCTTCTGTTTCTCTATATGCTACCAAATTTTCACTAGCAATCATATACTTTCATGATTTGCTAACTTCCTCTTAAACGAGTCACTAGTCACTGTCATAAAAAAAGGTGGGGGGTGGTAATGTGATAGAATGTGACAGATTAAGAAATTTAAAGAACATAATACACAATTTGTGGATTGGATACTTGCATGAAGGAACCAGAATTTTCAGGTTCCTTGGAGAAATGAATAGAGTGTGTATATTAAATTAGATTAAAATTTATTGAAATAGAAAGTGAATTTTTTTGACTAAAAAAAGCAGATTATAAAACAGTGTGTACAGTATGACCTCATTTTAGTAAAAAAATATGAATATATACATATATGCATAGAAAAGGATACAGATGGTAGGGAGTAACCTTTGGGTGGCAAATATACAAGCGTTTATGTTTGCTTGCTTGTGTTGTTTTTTATTTTCTATTCTGCTTCTTTAATAAAGCATGATTTAAAAAATATTTTTTCTAGGCTGGGCACGGTAGCTCACACCTGTAATCCCAGCACTTTGACAGGTCAAAGTGGGAGGACCACTTGAGCCCAGGAGTTCAAGACCACCCTGGGCAACGTGGTGAGACCCCATCTCTACAAAAAAATTTAGGCCAGGCGCTGTGGCTCACGCCTGTAATCCCAGCATTTTGGGAGGCCAAGGTGGGTGGATCACGATGTCAGGAGTTCAAAACCAGCCTGGCCAAGATGGTGAAACCCTGTCTCTACTAAAAATACAAAAAATTAGCTGGGGGTGGTGGCAGGCCCCTGTAATCCCAGCTACTCAGGAGGCTGAGGCAGAGAATTGCTTGAACTTGGGAGGCAGAGATTGCAGTGAGCCAAGATCATGCCACTGCACTCCAGCCTTGGCAACAGAGTGAGACTCCATCTCAAAAAATAAATAAATAAATAAATAAACTTAGCTGGGAATGGTGGCACATACCTGTAGTCCCAACTACTCAGGGACTGAGCAAGAGGATTGCTTGAGCCCAGGAGTCTGAAGGTACAGTGAGCCATGATCACACCACTGCACTCCAGCCTGGACAACAGAGAGAAACCCTGTCTGTAAAAAAAATTTTTCAAGTATATATAAATATATATTTTCTAACTTCTATCCCTTTCTAACAAGGCTAACATTTAATTAGAGAAGAACTGCTCAACAGACCATAAGGCCTGGGCGCAGTGGCTCACGCCTGTAATCCTAGCACTTTGGGAGGCTGAGGTGGGTAGATCACCTGAGGTCAGGAGTTCGAGACCAGCTGGCCAACATGGCGAAACCCTGTCTCTACTAAAAAAACAAAAATTAGCCAGGCATGGTGGCGCACACCTGTTGTCCCAGCTACATGGGAGCCTGAGGCAGGAAAATAGCTTGAACCTGGGAGGCAGAGGTTGCAGTGAGCCGAGATCACACCACTGTATTCCAGCCTGGGCGACAGAGCGAGACTTCATCTCAAAAAAAAAAAAGCATATCTGTTACACCAAAGGTTTTAGTTTAGTGTAGTAGTTTATAGTACGAGCTCTGACTAGATTCAATACCCAAGCTGGCCACCTTGGGCATGTTATTTAATTTATGTCTCAATTCCCCATCCATAAATTGTGGGCAATAGGCCAGGCACGGTGGCTCCTGCCTGTAATCCCAGCACTTTGGGAAGCCGAGGCAGGTGGATCACCTGAGGTCAGGGGTTCGAGACCAGCCTGAGCAATATGGTGAAACCCTGTCTCTACTAAAAATATGAAAATTAGCCAGGCATGATGGCGGGCACCTGTAATCCCAGCTACTTGGGAGGCTGAGGCTAGAGGATTGCTTGAACCTGGGAGGCAGAGGTTGCAGTGAGCCGAGATCACGCCATCGCACTCCAGCCTGGGCAACAGAGTGAGACTCCATCTCAAAAAAAAAAGAAAAAAAAAAATTGTGGGAAATAATAGCACAATACTTACCTCATGGGATTGTTTTGATAATTCAGTGTGGTACTCCACATAAAGCACAGCAGAGTATCCGGCATACAGTAAAGCACTTATTAAATGTAACCTATTATTACCATTATTTTTCTAATTAGCCACTGAGAAAACTTGACTAATATTTCCTAAAGTTAATGTGAAAAATAGAATGTAGGAACAATAGATAGGCCTTCTCTCACTATTGTCCTCTAAACTTCTCTTTTGACCCAATGGAAGAAGTTGAAAGTCAATCCCAGATCCTCCCAGAATCTGACCTTGACACTATTACTGCCCAAGGATAAAGGTCTGCACAGCTTTATATGAATTGTGAATGAAAATGAAATCTGGCTGGGCGTGGTGGCTCACACCTGTAATCCCAGCACTTTGGGAGGCCAAGGCAGGTGGATCACGAGGTCAGGAGTTCAAGACCAGCCTGACCAACATGGTGTCTCTACTAAAACTACAAAACGTGGCCGGGTGCGGTGGCTCACGTCTGTAATCTCAGCACTTTGGGAGGCTGAGGCGGGCGGATCATGAGGTCAGGAGATCGATACCATCCTGGCTAACACAGAGAAACCCCGTCTCTACTAAAAATACAAAAATTAGCCAGGCGTGGCGGCATGTGCCTGTAGTCCCAGCTGCTGGGGAGGGTGAGGCAGGAGAATGGCGTGAACCCAGGAGGCGGAGCTTGCAGTGAGCCGAGATTGCGCCACTGCCCTCCAGCCTGGGCGACAGAGCGAGACTCCATCTCAAAAAAATAAATAAATAAATAATTAAAAAAAAATACAAATACAAAAATTAGCCGGGCATGGTGGTGCACACCTGTTATCCCAGCTACTCAGGAGGCTGAGGCAGGAGAATCACTTGAACCCAGGAGGCGGAGGTTGCAGTAAGCCGAGATCGTGCCACTGCACCCAGCCTGGGCGACAGAGCAAGACTCCATCTCAAAAAAAAAAAAAAAAATGAAATGTGGTATCTAGGAGCTTATTCCAAACTCATTAACATACTATGACTAGTATCATGGGAGAAACTTTACAAATTATTTATAATTACAAAAGAGCTCAAAATTTTCTAGTTAAATTATTCTGAAGAGTCCAACATCTTTACAGGCAATCTCATCTGAATTCTCAATTTTCAAAAATATTGGTAAAGTACTTTTCTTTCTAGATCAGAAAAGAAATAGAAATATAACTCAACTTCAGAGCCCTTCCTGAGTGAATATACTTTCTCCTTCCAAAGCAACAACTATTGTCTTGAACCCCAGTGATAGACATCTTACGCTGGTTTTAGGTATACACATATAACAGCAAATACAGATTGTTCTCAGATAAAGTTGTTAACCAAACATGCTTCATTTTATGTTAACCATAAAATGAAGATCATTCAGTGACTTGAACATATGTTTTAAGACACATGAGAGAAAATTGAGATCAAGTTTCAAATACTATTGATATGGGAAGGGGACAGGGAAGTGCTGGGTAGAGAAGGGCAGAGTCCCTGTCAAGGGCTCCACCTTTGACCTGTACCTATGGACCTAAGTGAGAACAGGCATGCCTGTTTTTGCATCCAAATGCTTCATTTTCCAAGACCACTCTGGCCTGCAACACCCCCAATCCTGTGCCCAAATAAACCCGAGACCACAGCAGGCACAGACACAAGTGATTGAACATCAAGAGGAGCAGAGGAACAGACCAGCAGACACCAGCAGGCCAGCAGACTTGCAATGGTGGAACGACAAGGCAGAGAAAGAGAGGAGGGACGTCTGGACACCGAGGGGAATTCAACTCGGGGCCGTCAGAGAAGAGTCCGGCCTCCAGGAGCCCTGATTCCTGGGGAAGACCACCTCCCTACTCCAGCCCCTCCTTCCAGCTCCCCATCCATGTCGCTGAGAGCCACTTCCACCACTCAATAAAACCTTGCACTCATCCTTCGAGCCCACATGTGATCCAATTTTTCTGGTACACTGGGCAAGAGCTCAGGATACAGAAAGCTGTCACACTGGCCCTCTGCCCTTGCAATAAGGCAGATGGTCTATTGAGCTGGTTAACACAAGCTGTCTGCAGACAGCAAAGCTGAAAGAGCACACTGTAACACATGCTCACTTGGGCTTTCAGAGTCGCAGACACCACCCCAAGATGGTGCCGTGGGGCTGGAGCCCAAAAGTGCTTCCCATGGCTGTTGCACCTGCCCATCTGCATCCTCCCCTTAGGGGTTTGAGCAGTGGGGCAACCGAAGGAGCAAGCAAGACACATCCCTGTGGTACATCCTGCAAGGGAGATGAGGGAACTCTCCTGTTTCACTATAACATGAAGTATACACTGGGCAAGGTAGCTCACACCTGTCATCCCAGCACTTGGGAAGGCCAAGGCCAGACAATCACTTGAGGCCAGGAATTCAAGACCAACCAGGGCAACATAGCAAGACCCCATCTCTAAAAAAATTTTAAAAATTAGCTCAGCACGGTGGTGCACACCTATAATCTCCACTACTCAGGAGGCTGAAGCAGGAGGATTGTTTGAGCCCAGGAGTTGGAAGTTAGTGAGCTATGATTGCGCCACTGAACACTTCAGCCTGGGTGACAGAGTGAGACCAAACAAACAAACAAAAAACCCATACATTTAGCATAGGATAAAAAAGATTTAAAGAAATCACACTATGCTAGAGAGGAAGGAGGTGGATTTTTAAAAAAGAGGAAAGAAATCACACTATGCTAAGAGGTAAAAGACCCAAATGTGGAGATAACCTGTTCCAACTGTACTTCAACCAGAAATTCAGCTTATTAGTTGACAAACTGTTTACAGTTCTATTTGGTTGATAGCATGCGGTGAATTTTAAGTATGCAAAACGATCTGACCTCAAGTGACATCCCATAGGAGCAGAGAAACTGCCAATATCCATACAACTAGATGGCTCTGTTATATGCCACCAAATCATACACTGGTTATCAAAATTAAGATGTCCACTGGCCGGGCGCCTGTAATCCCAGCACTTTGGGAGGCCAAGGCGGGTGGATCACCTGAGGTCAGGGGTTCAAGACCAGCCTGGCCAACATGGTGAAACCCCATCTCTACTAAAAATGCAAAAAATTAGCTGGGCACAGTGGCTCACACCTGTAATCTCAGCACTTTGGGAGGCCGAGGTGGGCAGATCACCTGAGGTCGGGAATTCAAGACCAGCCTGACCTACATGGAGAAACCCCATCTCTACTACAAATACAAAATTAGCCAGACGTGGTGGCGCATGCCTGTAGTCCCAGCTACTGGGGAGGCTGAGGCAGGAGAATCACATGAACCTGGGAGGCGGAAGTTGCAGTGAGCCGAGATTGCGCCACTGCACTCTGGCCTGGGCAACAAGAGCGAAACTCTGTCTCAAAAAAATTAATAAATAAGCCAGGTGTGGTGGCTCACGCCCACCCATACTCCCAGCACTTTGGGAGGCTGAGGCGGGCGGATCACGTGAGGTCGGGAGTTTGAGACCAGCCTGACCAACATGGAGAAACCCCATCTCTACTAAAAAATACAAAATTAGCCAGGCATGGTGGCACACGCCTGTAATCCCAGCTACTTGGGAGGCTGAGGCAGGAGAATCACTTGAACCCGGGAGGCAGAGGTTGCAGTGAGCTGAGATCATGCCACTGCACTCCAGCCTGGGCAACAAGAGTGAAACTCCATCTCAAAAAAAAAAAAAAATTTGCCAGGCATGGTGGCGCATACCTGTAGTCCCAGCTACTCGAGAGGCTGAGGCAGGAGAATTGCTTGAACCCGGGAGGCGGAGGTTGTGGTGAGCCGAGATCGCACCATTGCACTCCAGCCTGGGGAACAACAGTGAAACTCCGACTCAAAAAAAAAAAAAAAATTAAATTAAAAAAATAAATGAATAAATAAGTAAAATAAAATAAAATACAAAAAATTAGCCAGGCATGGTGGGCTGGGCACAGTGGCTCACACCTGTAACCCAGCACTTTGGGAGGCTGAGGCAGGCAGATCACAAGGTCAGGAGTTCGAGACCTGCCTGACGAACACGGTGAAACCCTGTCTCTGCTAAAAATACAAAAATTAGCCGGGCATGGTGGCGCGCACCTCTAATCCCAGCTACTCAGGGGGCTGAGGCAGGAGAATCGCTTGAACCCAGGAGGCGGAGGTTGCAGTGAGCCAAGATGGCGCCACTGCACTCTAGCCTGGGGACAGAGCGAGACTCCCTCTCAAAAAAAAAAAAAAAAATTAGTGCGGCATGGTGGAGAGCACCTGTAATCGCAGCTACTTGGGAGGCTAAGGGAGGAGAATTGCTTGAAACCAGGAAGCAGAGGTTGCAGTGAGCCAAGATCGCGCCATTGCACTCCAGCCTGTACAACAAGAGTGAAACTCAGTCTCAAAAAAAAAAAAAAAGTCCACATTCAGCCTTTCTTCTTAAATGTTCAATTGAATACTAGTGAGTTCCAGAAATATATCAACCTGGCTGATATATCAACCTCTAGCTGATCATATCTAAAAATAAAAAGCCAAATCAGTTGTCTACAATGAGGTCTGTATATTCCCACCAAGCTATAACTACTTTTTACTTAGGGTCTTATTTTCTTTTCTTTCTTTTTTTTTTTTTTTTTTTTTTTTTGCTCTGTTGCCCAGGCTGGAGTGCAATGGCATGATCTCGGCTCACCGCAACCTCTGCACCCCCGGATTCAAGCACTTCTCCTGCCTCAGCCTCTCGACTGGCTGGAACTACAGGCATGTGCCATCGTGCTCGGCTAATTTTGTATTTTTAGTAGAGATGGGGTTTCTCCATGTTGGTCAGGCTGGTCTTGAACTGCTGACTTCAGGTGATCCACCCACCTTGGCTTCCTAAAGTGCTGGGATTGCAGGCGTGAGCCACCACGCCCAGCCAGGGTCTTATTTTCAAATGTTTGGGTCATAAAGCTTAGAAAGTGATTCATCCAGCTGGGCATGGTGGCTCACACCTGTAATCCTAGCACTTTGGAAGGCTGAGGCAGGTGGATTGCCTGAGATCAGGAGTTCAAGACCAGCCTGGCCAATATGGTGAAACCCCATCTCTACTAAAATACAAAAAAATTAGCCGGGCATGGTGGCACACACCTCCAGTACTAGCTGCTCAGGAGGCTGAGGCACAAGAATATCTTGAACCTGGGAGGCGGAGGTTGCAGTGGGCTGAGATTGCACCACTGTAATTCAGCCTGGGTGAAAGAGCAAGACTGTCTCAAAAAAAAAAAAAAAAAAAAATGGCCAGGGTCAGGCATAGGCTGACAGGCACAGATTACAGGCTCATGCCTGTAATCTCAGCACTTTGGGAGGCCAAGGCAGGTGGATCACCTGAGGTTGGGAGTTCGAGTCTAGCCTAACATGGAGAAACCCTGTCTCTACTAAAAACACAAAATCAGCCTGGCGTGGTGGCGTATGCCTGTAATCCCAGCTACTCAGGAGGCTGAGGCAGGAGAATCTCTTGAACCCGGGAGGCAGAGGTTGCGGTAAGTGGAGATTGCACCATTACACTCCAGCCTGGGTAACAAGAGCGAAACTCCGTCTCAAAAGAAAAAAAAAAAAGGCTGGGCATGCTGGCTCACGCCTGTAATCCCAGCAATTTGGGAGGCTGAGGCGGGCAGATCACCTGAGGTCAGGAGTTCGAGACCAGTCTGGCCAACACGGTGAAACCCTGTCTCTACTAAAAATACAAAACAGCCGGGCATGGTAGCGGGTGCCTGTAATCTCAGCTACTTGGGAGGCTGAGGCAGGAGAATTGCTTGAACCTGGGAAGTGAAGGTTGCAGTGAGCCGAGATGGTACCACTGCACTCCAGCCTGGGCGACAGAGCGAGTCTCCCTCTAAAAAAAAAAAAGAAAGAAAGAAAAAAGAAAGTGATTCACCCAGTCTTTCATTGGACTCTAGAAAATACATGAGGCAAATCATCTCCATCGCAGGAAAAGTCTATTTTCTATTTGGGCTCATCCATCATACCACTAGACTTCTCAGCACCTAAACTTGAGAGAGAGACTCAGTCCCATCTTACATTATGGCAATTACTTCATTTGGTTTCAGATGACCTCCAGTTAACATCTCCTAGGAATGTACCTGCCCCCTTAATCTATGTCACCCATGAAGGATTAGGCTATTCGTTCTAAGAGCTGATCCTAAACTCAACTTAGTCTCTATTTAACTTTGAGTTCCAGGAGTGAAAAGGAGCATCTGAATCAATATCTTCATTTTTATAGATGACTCCAAGGAGATAATATGTACTGTCCATGGTCACACACCTAATTAGTGGCAGATGTCATAACAGAGGTCTTTCACCTATCAAATGAATTTGACTCAATTAAAATTACCCCAAAGGTCACCATATCCAGAAGTGACTTAAGGAATGGATAAACAGAAAACGTTTTTTCTATTTTAGAACATTAGCTAGCTGAGGAGTGAGTTGGAACTGGCATTGTCTCCTTTCCATGCTGCTGATCACACTTCAATCCATGGCTCCTCCACGAGCTACGGACATGATTTTTGCAACAGTAAGGCATGCAAAGAAATTCCAGACACTCATGCCACTGACCACATAGACTTTGCATAAGAACCATCAACTTTGGGAATGACTTGGCAACTACAAACTGCCTTGTGATATCACTAGCTGAGTTTCTTATAACACATTTATCTCACCATAGCCAAACTCAGTTTCCTAATCCAGCAAATGGATATTATGTTTCACATAGACTCAAACTGGACAGATTTCTCAAGGTGCTGTGTGGTTTTATGGATTTAGAGTTAAACCAGTCTTTCTCAACAGGGGCACTACGACATTTTGAGTAGCAGATTTCTTGGTTGTGTAGGATTATCTACTATACCACAGAAGGTTTAGTATCATTGGTCCTTTGTCCTTTGTCCGATAAATGCAAGTAGTCCTGCCAGTCACAACCCCCCAACACACTTCCAAATGACCTCAAGAGAGAAGAATGCCACCACTAGTATTAACCTTAGAGCCAATCATTAAGTGAACTATAAAATAAAAAATGTTTACATAAAGACCTAATCCCTTTTCCCTGCCACTAAAATACTGCTCTCTATTCCTCTTTTTAACCCAGAGATAATGCTTTGTTCACTAACTCCATAAAACCAACTTTGTCTGAACTAGTTATATAATTAAGACACCTGTATGGACGGGAAAGTAGAGTAGAAAAGTTAGTGAAATAAAATCAGGATATGAGTTTGAATCCAAGTTCTCTGGCTATTCAAACTTAGGCAAGTTATTTCTCCTCATTGGGCCTTAGTTTTCCCAACTATCAAAAAGTATTTTGTGGCCAGGTGTGGTGGCTCATGCCTGTAATCCCAGCACTTTGGCAGGCCATGATAGGAGGATCGCTTGAGGCCAGGAGTTCAAGACCAGCCTGGGCAACATAGCAAGACCTCTGTCTCTATTTAAATAATGTTTTAAATTAATTTTTTAAAATAAAATAAAATAAAAAGTGTTAGGCTAAATTATCTCTCTGGTTTATTACAATTCTAGGAACCTGTGAAGTAAAACATAATTAACTTGCTTTACACTTTTCTTTTGACCTCTACATAGCTAAATGAGGGTGACCACTAACGAACACTGCCTAGTCTCTCAGAAGCCCCGATCCCAAGCCCCAGGGATAACAGTAAGACAGAACAATCACATCCAGCCAGATCTCATACAGGATTTTATTATAGAGTTGATATATTTAGTGTATAAAATAGAGCTGAATTATTTTATGACCCATTAATAATAAAGGTGCCAAGATAGTAACAGCAACAACAGCCACCCTAACTTATGTTATCTAGGGTACACCTATAATCTGAATGCTGGCTGTACACAACAATCACCTGGATACCTTAAAAAAAAGCCCCAGTTCCACACCAAGCCAGTATCAAATGAATCGAAATCTCTGGGGATGGGGCTTATCTCCCAAGGCTCCCCGAGGTGATTCTGATGAACAGTGAGAACCAAGAACCACTGATCCAGACCTTTTAATCCAAGAACTGAAAAGTAAATGACCAAAGGTTAGTATCTCACACGCTAGTTATATAATCAAACATCGATAAATAAAAACAATCTAGTGTTACTATGTACTGACATTCTCAGTTAGGGAGAACTGTGTTTCTAGAGAAAAAGGAGAGCTCTATTAACAGCCCTTTATTGGGGACTGGCCCTGCTAGAAACAGAATATAACTTCCTGACAATCTGATGAATTAGTTCAAAAAAACTTACTACGAAGTTGACAACACCTGGAGAAGTCCTATCAATCATCAAGATAGTTAGAACAATGTTAGTCAAAGTAGTACAAAAACTGATGTTCCTCAACCTAACTCTTACTCACTAGGTCTCACTGAAAGACCTAGCAGGTAGAAGTGGCCAGGTGTAGTGGTTCATATCTTTAATCCCAGCACTTTGAGAGACTGAGGCAGGCGGATCACTTGAGGTCAGGAATTCGAGACCAGCCTGGCCAACATGGCGAAACCCGGTGTCTATCAAAAACAACAGAAATCAGCTAGGCGCAAGGGCATGCACTTGTAGTCCCAGCTATTCAGGAGGCTGAGGCAGGAGAATCTCTTGAACCTGGGAGGCAGAGGTTGCAGTGAGCTGAGATTGTACCACTGCACTCCCATTTGGGCGACAGAGTGAGACTCTATCTCAAAAAAAAAAAAAAAAATAGGCTGGGCGGGGTAGCTCACACCTCTAATCCCAGCATTTTGGAAAGCTGAGGTGGGCGGATCACAAGGTCAGGAGTTCAAGACCAGCCTGGCCAACATGGTGAAACTCCATCTCTACTAAAAACACAAAAAATTAGCTGGGCATGGTGGCAGGCGCCTGTAATCCCAGCTACTTGGGAGGCTGAGGCAGAAGAATTGCTTGAACCCAGGAGGCGGAGGTTGCAGTGAGCTGAGACCGCACCACTGCACTCCAGCTTGGGCAACAGAGCAAGACTCCGTCTCAAAAAACAAAAACAAAAACAAAAAAAACCTAGTAGGACATGAAAAATTTGATGGGAACATACATGATTTCTGAAAAATACATCATTTCTGACTTCCTCAACAAAGCTTTGAGTTCAGTGACATAGGAAAAGGCAAAGCAGTCTTAGCTGAAATCATCCTTGCTCTTTTCAGAACATAATCAGCAAAACTAACAAGACAGATTAAATAAGTAGACCATTGAACTCTCTCTTACCTTATGTGCAAGGCCAAGCCATCCTGTAGGCTAGAGATCCCCAAATCAGAGAGTGTATCTGAGCCAACAGAAGCAGGTGACAAGGAGCCCTCCTTCTCCTCCAGTAGGTCCAACTTCACCAGGTTGCTGATCTCATCCTCTGAGTTATCTTCAGACACAGAACCTATTATGAATCGAGAGTGCTGGTTCAGCTCCAGAGGTTGGGCCAAGGGAGATGGTTCATCCATTATTCCTCCAAAATGAGCTCTTACAGCTATGGAGAAAATGAAAAGTGAGAAAGGCAGGTTATGAATAATAATCTATATCTGAGGTCAGCCAGAGGTTATATCTAATAAACCATAGCTGAGACGTGGAAGCAAGGCAATTTGAGAACTAACTTCCTTGGCTATTCTATTTCAGGGCCTTTAATTTCTACAAGGGAGGAAAATTGAGATCATGATAACTATGCCCATAAATTAAAACCAGTTCCCTTTTCCTCAAAGAAATTTTTCTCAAAAGCCTATAAGGCATTCCTAATCTCATTTTCATTTGGTGGTGTCCAGGAAATAATTATGATCAATGGGGAAACCTTTGCAGTAGGAAAAAGCTGCTTGTTGTGATATTGATATTTTGGTTGTTAGTAATGGGGGAATAAATGGTAAGGGTCTGGATAGAGTAATGGTTGTTTGAAATAATATTTAAACTACATAATGCTCATCTGGCTTCAAACACTATATATTGAGAGGCTATAACTTTTATTTTATTATTTATTTATTTGAGACAGGGTCTCACTCTGTCACCCATACAGCATGCAGTACTACAATCATGGTTCACTGCAGCCTCAAACTCTTTGGGCTCAAGTGATCCTCCTACCTCAGCCTCCCCAGTAGCTGGGACTATAGGCACGTGCCACCATGCCCGGCTAATTCTATTTTTATTTTTCATTTATTTATTTATTTATTTATTTATTTATTTATTTATTTAGAGACGGAGTCTCGCTCTGTTGCCCAGGCTGGAGTGCAGTGGTGCGACTGCCACTCACTGCAAGCTCCGCCTCCCGGGTTCATGCCATTCTCCTGCCTCAGCCTCCTGAGTACCTGGGACTACAGGCACCCGCCACAACACCCAGCTAATTTTTTGTATTTTTAGTAGAGATGGGGTTTCACCGTGTTAGCCAGGATGGTCTCGATCTCCTGACCTTCCGCCTCAGCCTCCCAAAGTGCTGGGATTCCAGGTGTGAGCCACCGCACCCGGCCTATTTTTTTTTTCTTTTTTGAGACGGAGTCTCACTCTGTCGCCCAGGCTGGAGTGCAATGGCACGATCTCAGCTCACTGCAACCTCCGCCTCCCGGGTTCAAGCAATTCTCTGCCTCGGCCTCCCAAGTAGCTGGGATTACAGGTACCCACCACCATGCCCGGCTGACTTTTGTATTTTTAGTAGAGATGGAGTTTCACTATCTTGGCTAGGCTGGTCTTGAACTCCTGATCTCATGATCCACCCACCTCAGCCTCTCAAAGTGCTAGGACTATGGGTGTGAGCCACTGTGCCCGGTCTAATTTTTAAATATTTTGTAGAAATGGGGACTCCCTATGTTGCCTAGGCTGGTCTTGAACTCCTGGGCTCAAGCAATCCTCTCACCTTAGGCTCCCAAACTGCTGGGATTACAGGTGTAAGCCACTGTGCCTGGCCTATGAATTTTACGTATGTGTATACTTTTAAAACAAACTCCAGATAGGTAATTTTTAATTAAAAAAAAAAAAACTTTACTTGTCCTCATGAGTTTTTTCTTAAATTATGCATTTTAAAATGTCACCCCAAAATGACTACTTTTGGCTCTAATGTGCTGACACTGATATGAGAAGAAAATGAATCTATCACCAAATTTAAAATCTATAATCACCTCAAGTAAGTATAATTTTTCTAAATGTAGGGCCTTACCAGTTAGGATTAGATACTGCCAATAGCTAACTAAGAAACTAATTAACAGCAAACCATCATGACACGTGTTTACCTACATAACAAACCTGCATGTTCTGCACATGTATCCCAGAACTTAAAAGTATAATTTAAAAAAAAAAAAGAAAGAAAAAGAAACTAATTAATAAAGACCAAAACAGCAACATTCATTCTCTTTTATGGAATGAAGTGCTGCCCATAAAAATTTAAAAATATTTTTTAAAAACCAAAATAAGAGCCCACAACAATAAAAACCCAAACTAAATGAAACAATATTTCTTCTGTCATCTCAAAAATCCTATTTTAAAATTTCAAAACTACAGATCAACTCAGTATTAAATAGCTTGTACCCAGATCAATTATTTTAATTCAGAAAATAAGCCTGGGCGCGGTGGCTCACGCCTATAATCCTAACAACTTGGGAGGCAGAGGCAGGAGGATTGTTTGAGTCCAGGAGTTCAAGACTAGCATGAGCATCAAAACAAGATCCCATCTGTACAAAAAAAAAAAAAAAAAGATTGGCCGGACGCGGTGGCTCACGCCTGTAAATACCAGCACTTTGGTAGGCCGAGGTGGGTAGATCACCTGAGGTCAGCAGTTCAACACCAACCTGGCCAACATGGTGAAACCCCGTCTCTACTAAAAATACAAAAATTAGCTGGGTGTGGTAACAAGTGTATAATCCCAGCTACTCGGGAGGCTGAGGCAGAAGAATCACTTGAACCCGGGAGGCGGAGGTTGCAGTGAGCTGAGATCATGCCTCTGCACTCCAGCCTGGGTGACAGAGTGAGACTCTGTCTAGAAAAAAAAAAAAAAAAAAGATTAATAATTCCCAATTGTGGACCTTTTAGAGGTTCCCTTGACTGATCCCGACCTCAACTTGTATACTGATGGAAGTTCCTTTGTAGAAAAAGGACTTTGAAAAGTGGGGTATGCAGTGGTCAGTGATAATGGAATACTTGAAAGTAATGCCCTCACTCCAGCAACTACTGCTCAGCTGGCAGAACTCATAGCCCTCACTCAGGCACTAGAATTAGGAGCAGGAAAAAGGATAAATATATATACAGACTCTAAGTATGCTTACCTAGTCCTCCATGCCCATGCAGCAATATGGAGAGAAAGGGAATTCCTAACTTCCAAGGAACACCTATCAAACATCGGGAAGCCATCAGGAGATTATTCTAGGCTGTACAGAAACCTAAAGAGGTGGCAGTCTTACACTGCCGGTGTCATCAGAAAGGAAAGGAAAGGAAAGGGAAATAGAAGGGAACCGCCAACCAGATATTGGAGCCAAAAGAGCCGCAAGGCAGGACCCTCCATTAGAAATGCTTATAGAAGGACACCTAGTATGGGGTAATCCCCTCCAGGAAACCAAGCCCCAGTACTCAGAAGAAGAAATAGAATGGGGAACCTCACGGGGACATAGTTTCCTCCCCTCAGGATGGCTAGCCACCAAAGAAGGAAAAATACTTTTGCCTGCAGCTAACCAATGGAAATTACTTAAAACCCTTCACCAAACCCTTCACTTAGGTATTGATAGCACCCATCAGATGGCCAAATCATTATTTACTGGACCAGGCCTTTTCAAAACTATCAAGCAGATAGTCAGGGCCTGTGAAGTGTGCCAAAGAAATAATCCCCTGCCTTATCGCCAAGCTCCTTCAGGAGAACAAAGAACAGGCCACTACCCAAGAGAAGACTGGCAACTAGATTTTACCCATATGCCCAAATCTCAGGGATTTCAGTATCTACTAGTTTGGGTAGATACTTTCACTGGTTGGGCAGAGGCCTTCCCCTGTAGGACAGAAAAGGCCCAAGAGGTAATAAACGTTCATGAAATAATTCCCAGATTCGGACTTCCCCAAGGCTTACAGAGTGACAATGGCCCTGCTTTCAAGGCTACAGTAACCCAAGGAGTATCCCAGGTGTTAGGTATACAATATCACTCACACTGCGCCTGGAGGCCACAGTCCTCAGGAAAGGTGGAGAAAATGAACAAAACACTCAAATGACATCTAAAAAAGCTAATCCAGGAAACCCACCTCGCATGGCCTGCTCTGTTGCCTATAGCCTTACTAAGAATCCGAAACTCTCCCCAAAAAGCAGGACTTAGTCCATACAAAATGCTGTATGGACGGCCCTTCCTAACCAATGAACTTGGGCTTGACCGAGAGACAGCCAACTTAGTTGCAGACATCATCTCCTTAGCCAAATATCAACAGGTTCTTAAAACATTACAGGGAGCCTGTCCCCAAGAAGAGGGAAAGGAACTATTCCACCCTGGTGACATGGTATTAGTCAAGTCCCTTCCCTCTAATTCCCCATCCCTAGATACATCCTGGGAAGGAAACTACCCAGCCATTTTATCTACCCTAACGGCAGTTAAAGTGGCTGGAGCGGAGTCTTGGATACATCACACTCAAGTCAAACCCTGGATACTGCCAAAGGAACTCAAAAATCCATGAGACAATGCTAGCTATTCCTGTGAACCTCTAGAGGATCTGCGCCTGCTCTTCAAATGACAACCAGGGGGAAAGTAACTAAAATCGTAAATCCCCTGGCCCTCCCTTATCATATTTTTCTCTTTACTGTTCTCTTACCCCCTTTCACTCTCACTGCACCCCGTCCATGCCACTGCACCCCGTCCATGCCCCGTCCATGCCAGTAGCTCCCCTTAGCAAGAGTTTCTATGGAGAATGCAGCGTCCCGGAAATATTGATGCCCCATTGTATAGGAGTTTATCTAAGGGAACCCCCACCTTCACTGCCCACACCCATATGCCCCACAACTGCTATAACTCTGCCACTCTTTGCATGCATGCAAATACTCATTATTGGACAGGAAAAACGATTAATCCCAGTTGTCCTGGAGGACTTGGAGGACTCACTTCACTCATACCAGTATGTCTGATGGGGGTGGAGTTCAAGATCAGGCAACAGAAAAACACATAAAGGAAGTAATCTCCCAACTGACCTGGGTACATAGCACCCCTGGCCCCTACAAAGGACTAGATCTCTCAAAACTACATGAAACCCTCCATACCCATACTGGCCTGGTAAGCCTATTTAATACCACCCTGACTGGGCTCCATGAGGTCTCGGCCCAAAACCCTACTAACTGTTGGATGTGCCTCCCCCTGCACTTTAGGCCATACATTTCAATCCCTATACCTGAACAATGGAACAACTTCAGCACAGAAATAAACACCACTTCTGTTTTAGTAGGTCCTCTTTCCAATCTGGAAATAACCCATACCTCAAACCTCACCTGTGTAAAATTTAGCAATACTATAGACACAGCCAACTCCCAATGCATCAGGTGGGTAACTCCTCCCACACGAATAGTCTGCCTACCCTCAGGAATATTTTTTGTCTGTGGTACCTCAGCCTATCATTGTTTGAATGGCTCTTCAGAATCTGTGTGCTTCCTCTCATTCTTAGTGGCCCCTATGCCCATCTACACTGAACAAGATTTATACAATCATGTCATACCTAAGCCCCGCAACAAAAGAGTACCCATTCTTCCTTTTGTTATTGGAGCAGGAGTGCTAGGCGGAGTAGCTACTGGCATTGGCGGTATCACAACCTCTACTCAGTTCTACTACAAACTGTCTCAAGAACTAAATGGTGACATGGAATGGGTCGCTGATACCCTGGTCACCTTGCAAGATCAACTTAACTCCCTAGCAGCAGTAGTCCTTCAAAATCGAAGAGCTTTAGACTTGCTAACCGCGGAAAGCGGGGGAACCTTTTTATTTTTAGAGGAAAAATGCTGTTGTTATGTTAATCAATCCGGAATCATCACCGAGAAAGTTAAAGAAATTCAAGGTCGAATATAACGTAGAGCAAAGGAGCTGCAAAACACTGGACCCTGGGGCCTCCTCAGCCAATGGATGCCCTGGATTCTCCCCTTCTTAGGACCTCTAGCAGCTATAATATTGTTACTCCTCTTTGGACCCTGTATCTTTAACCTCCTTGTTAAGTTTGTCTTTTCCAGAATCGAAGCAGTAAAACTACAAATCGTTCTTCAAATGGAGCCCCAGATGCAGTCCATGAGTAAAATCTACCACGGACCCCTGGACCGGCCTGCTAGCCCATGCTCTGATGTTAATGACATCAAAGGCACCCCTCCCGAGGAAATCTCAACTGCACAACCTCTACTACGCCCCAATTCAGCAGGAAGCAGTTAGAGTGGTTGTTGGCCAACCTCCCCAACAGCAGTTGGGTTTTCCTGTTGAGAGGGGGGACTGAGAGACAGGAATAACTAGATTTCCTAGACCAACTAAGAATCCCTAAGACTAGCTGGGAAGGTGACCGCTTCCACCTTTAAACACCGGGCTTGCAACTTAGCTCACGCCCAACCAATCAGATACTAAAGAGAGCTCACTAAAATGCTAATTAGGCAAAAACAGGAGATAAAGAAATAGCCAATCATCTGTTGCCTGACAGCACAGCAGGAGGGACAATGATCGGGATATAAACCCAGGCATTCGAGCCAGCTACAGCTACCCTCTTTGGGTCCCCTCCCTTTGTATGGGAGCTCTGTCTTCACTCTATTAAATCTTGCAACTGCAAAAATAAAAATAGAAAAATAATAATTCCCAATTGTGATTTTGAAGTGCTCTAAGATATGGTACATTAATAGATAATAAATGTATTATTAATAACTCTGTATGCTATAACTCACTGTAAAGTATGAAAGTAAGTGGACAACAGTGTTCCTTGACATCAGATGAGAAACCGTCAATACTTTAAAATGTTTGGGAATCACCACTCAACATGTGAAAATTACATATGCACGATTGTTCTGGTGTAATTTGTGAGTCAGTTTACTCACTTACAGAGACAAACAGCATTTATAAATGCTAGAGTAGTGTGGTTCTCAAAGTGTGGTCCCTGGACCATTGGCATCACCTGGGAACTTGTTAGAAGTGCAAATTTCTTGGGCCCTTCCCCAGACCAACTAACCATATCAGAACCTACAGGCCAGCATCCATTAATCTATGCTTTCACAAGCCCTAAAGGTTGAGAATCACTGTGGTACAAGAATAAAACAGTAATTAACAAATTGGCAAGACTGCTAAAACAAAACTAAAGAAAACCTATACCAGCCTGGGCACTATAGTGAGATCCCATCCCTAAAAAAAAATTTTTTTTAATTAGCTGCATGTGGTGGCATGCACCTGTAGTCCCAGCTACTGGGGAGGCTGAGGTGGGAGAATCGTTTGAGCCCAGGAGTTCAAGACTGCAGTATGCTGTGATAGCACCACTGTACTCCAGCCTTGGTGACAGAGCAGGACCCTGTCTCAAAAAAAAAAAAAAAAAGAAAAGTAAAGAAAACTATAGACATTTCCCTTTTTTTTAGAGGCAGGGTCTTGCTCTGTCACTCAGGCTAGAGTGCAGTGGCACGATCCTCGTTCACTGCAGCCTCAAACTCCTGGGCTCAAGCAATCCTCCAACCTCAACCTCCAAAATAGCTGGGACTACAGGCATGCATCACTATGCCTGGCTACTTTTTGTTTTTTTGTACAGACAGCATCTCCACATGTTGCCCAGCCTAGTCTCAAACTCCTGAGCTCAAGTGATCCTCCCACCTTGGCCTCCCAAACGGTTGGGATTATCAGTGTGAGCCACTGAGCCCAGCCTAACATTTTCTGAAAGTGAACTGGAGATTACTTTAGCTAACTTCTATCTTTAAAACTAGAATCAGCTGGGCGCAGTGGCTCACGCCTGTAATCCCAGCACTTTGGGAGGCCAAGGTAGGTGGATCACAAGGTCAGGAGATCAAGACCATCCTGGCTAACATGGTGAAACCCCATCTCTAATAAATATACAAAAAATTAGCCGGGCGTAGTGGCGGGCACCTGTAGTCCCAGCTACTCGAGAGGCTGAGGCAGGAGTATGGCGTGAACCCAGGGGGCGGAGCTTGCAGTGAGCAGAGATCACGCCACTGCACTCCAGCCTGGGCAACAGAGTGAGACTCCGTCTCAAAAATAAAATAAAATAAAATAAAATAAAATAAAATAAAACAAAACTAGAATCAAATATAAAAGTATGATGCAACATGAGCCAAGATCACCACTGCACTCCAGCCTGGTGACAGAGCGAGACTCCGTCTCAAAAAAAAAAAAAAAAAAAGTATCATGCAACAAAAAAAATTTGCTGTCTAAATTTACTATACATTTCTCCCTTGAAATATTAGGTCTTAAAAAAAGTTCAAGATCAGCCTGCCCAACATGGGGAAACCCCATCTCTACTAAAAATACAGGCCAGGCACAGTGGCTCATGCCTGTAATCCCAGCACTTTGGGAGGCCGAGGCAGGTAGATCACCTGAGGTCAGGAGTTTGAGACCAGCCTGGCCAACACAGTGAAACCCCATCTCTACTAAAAATACAAAAATTAGCCGAGCGTGGCGCATGCCTGTAATCCCAGCTACTCAGGAGGCTGAGGTAAGGAGAATCGCTTGAACCTGGGAGGTGACAGAGCGAGACTCTGTCTCAAAAAACAAAAAAAAACAAAAAACCTTTAAAGGGCTCCCATTATTTTTGGCCAGGCACAGTCGCTAATGCCTGTAATACCCAGCACTTTGGGAGGCCAAGGTGAGCGGATCACCTGAGATCAGGAGTTCAAGACCAGCCTGGCCAACATGGTGAAACCCCAACTTTACTAAAAATACAAAAAATTAGCCAGGCGTGGCGGTGGGCACCTGTAATCCCAGCTACTTGGGAGGCTGAGGCATGAGAATTGCTTGAACCCAGGAGGCAGAGGTTGCAGTGTGCCGAGATTGCGCCACTGCACTCTAGCCTGGGTGACAGAGACTCCCTCCGTCTCAAAAGAAAAAAAAAAAGGAAGAAAAAAGGCAGAGAGGGAGGGAAAAGGGGTAAAAGGGAGGGAAAAAGAAAGAAAGGGGGAGGGAAGGGAAAGTTCCAACAGACTGACCACACTGAAGAACACCAAAAGTTACAGCAGCAAAAAGCCTATTTCTTTCACATTTACAGCAGTAAATAGTTAAGTTTAAAAGTAACAGTAGATCCAAAAAATAAAATCCCATCCCAACTAACAGAAGATAATGGGTGCCTTCTTCACAAAGTAAGAAAGCAAGGCACTCAGGTGCAGATTCTAGCTTGCAGTCTGACTGAAGTTAGATGACCACACACAAAAGAGAAAATCCACAAGGCACAATTCTTTGACTCCATGGGAGAAGAAAAAGAGAGTTAATAAAACACGGTTCCTGGGCTAATAAGTGAGAGTCTCAATAAGGCCAACTTCAAGTTCCTAGCTAAGAAGACCATGAAGGCAGCTTTCACTAAACGGTTACATAGATTGGAGGCAACTCAGTGTGAACAGCTAAAAAGCCTGTCCAGCAACTGTACTGAATAGTATTTCCCAGGCACGAGCCTACAAACCAACAGAAAAGAGAGGTCATGTATGGAAAATTACTGAGTAGCTGTCCAGACACTCTAGAAGCTACTCCACAGCCTGTCCCATTTCCACTGATTCTAGTCCTGAATTAAAGAGAGAATACAGTTGAGTACCATTGTTAGACTCTTTGTTCACTTCAGGTTATCCACCCTAAATCTGCCTATATTATTTTGTGGAAGTCAACTTTTAACACAAAAGCCTACAGTTTGATATTTTACAACATGAACAAAATTTTTATCACATTGTAAACAAGGAGTATTATTTGTAACTGACCTCTTATAATTCTTACTGTCTGAGTAGATATCCACTTCCAAAAAGACCTAGAGAGAAAGAGAAAGATTTTAAGGTTTTTTTTTTTAAGAAACAAACTTTTGTCAATTCCTGTTTTGCTCAGCATAATACAAAGGTAATAATATATGAAGTATCTATTTTACTGGTCAAATCTATTATTTAACTTAAAGCACAAAGTTTAGCAGTTTATTATTTGTTCAATTCTGTAAATCAAACACATTACATAAAGACTATTGTTTAAGAAAATATTAAACAATAGAACAAGCTTACCATTTCACAAGGTGGCTTTTCCAATTGTATACTCGATGAATACATTTCAAAATTTTCATTTCTAATATTTCATCAAAAAAGAGGCAGTGGGGAGAAGAGAACCACTAGATTCTCTACAATTCACTTAAGCTCTGATTATGTTTACAAGCGGTTACACCTACACACAAAGATTGGGAGCCAGGTGGAAGACAGAGTGCCCATTATACTAAGTCCCTAAACTGTAAGGGATCAAACAGTCTCTAGCAACTCCCCAAATCCTCGGTTTCCTTCTTAAGCCTGACAATTTAAATCTATCTAGGGTAGAAATTCTCAACTCTGATTATGTTTAAGAATCACCTGCGGAGCTTTTAAAAATTTTACAAAGTCTAAACTCCACCCTAGATCTGCTGAATCAGAATTGCAGCTGGAGACCCAGGGATATCAACTTTAAGTTCCACAGTTAATTGACACTGATGGAAATACACGCTTGAGAACCACTCGTTAAGGGCAGAGAAGAAACAAAAGGAAAGAACCTATTACACTGGTAGGGAAATCTAAAACTTCCGAGAGGACCCCTAAATGACAAGGGACAACATTTAGGAATATTAGGATTTATCCAGTTATGCAGTCTGAGCTAGTATTATTCCCTACAACTGAGAAGAGGAAGGAAAAAGTTTGGATCATGTAACCAAAGATGCAGTGAAAGTGGAGTTAAAACCTAGGACCAATCAAGCTCAAACTCTGACTGTCAAATATTGCAAGTGACTGCAGACTTGAAGGTCACTTAACGTCTCTGTATATCATACAGACAAGCCTCCTCATCTGTAAAAATAAAAAAGAAAGTCTTCTGGGCAGTAGTGTGCACCTACAGTCCCAGCTACTTGGGAGGCTGAGGCAGAGGTGTGCTAGAGTCCAGGAGCTGGAGGCTGCAATGTGCTATGACCACACCTGTGAAAAGCCAATGCACTCCAGCCTGGGCAACATAGCAAGACCCCCATCTCAAAAATAAATAAATTAACGAATTTAATTAAGTTTAAAGAAGGTCATATGTACCTCATGGGACTGCTGTGAAAACTAAGAATATATGAAAGGATTTTGTAAACTATAATGCAATAGGCCAGTGTTTTTCAAATTATGGGTTACCACCCAGCAAAACATTAAGAAATCAATTTAGCAAGTTATAACCAATATTTTGAAAATGAAATAAGATAGAAAATGTTAAGATATACCATAGTTTATGACAGTATCCATAGTTTTGTAAATTTTTGTTTCAGTTATATATAGGTCATGATGTAAATGACATTTTATTATGAGGTATGTCAAAAAAAGTCTTAAAGCGGCCAGATGTGGTGGCTCACACCTGTAATCCCAGCACTTTGGGAGGCCAAGATGGGCAGATCACCTGAGATCAGGAGTCAAAACCAGCTGGGCCAACATGGTGAAACCTCGTCTTTACTAAACATACAAAAATTAGCCAGGTGTGGTGGTGTGTGCCTGTAATCCCAGCTACTCAGGAGGCTGAGGCAGGAGAATCGCTTGAACCCGAGAGGTGGAGGTTGCAGTGAGCCAAGATCACCCCACTGCACTGTAGCCTGGGCAGCAGAGCAAGACTCTGTCTCAAAAAAAAAAAAAAAAGCCTTAAAGCCACAACTAATCCTTACTCCCTCACCCCCTCCACTTTATAACCTCACTAGACAGCAAAGACAGCCAGTTAAGTACATAAACCAACGATTCTTAAAAGTGTCTCAACTGTTGGAAATTTGATGAAAGCTATGGACCTTTTCTTGACAAAAATGTACCCTCATACAAAATTTTCATTCCATACAGGTTTGGGATTCCTAAACTCCTGCCCTGAATTAGGTTAAGACCTCTTTCTCCAGAAAGAGGACTAAAAAAGAAGCTGACCTTTGGGGAAGGCTCATATAATTGCTGTCTTAGTTCTGAAACAAGGCCTTTTTCCAGATCCAGTCTGCCTACTCAAATAAAAATTATTTTCTTCATTATATAAAATTGTTGACAATGCCAAATTCTCTTTTATTTAAAAAATATATCATGTGGCCAGGCGCAGTGGCTCACACCTGTAATCCCAGCACTTTGGGAGATGAAGACGGGCAGATCACTTAAGGTTCGGAGTTCGAGAACAGCTGGCCAACATGGTGAAACCCCGCCTCTACTAAAACTACAAAAATTAGCCAGGCATGGTGGCAGACACCTGTAATCCCAGCTACTGGGGAGGCTGAGGAAGGAGAATAGCTTGAACCCAGGAAGCGGACGTTGCAGTGAGCCAAGAATGCACCACTGCGCTCCAGGCTGTGGACAAAGTAAGACTGTCTCTCAAAAAAAAAAAAAAAAAAAAAAAAAAAAAAATATATATATATATATATATATACACACACACACACATATATTTTTAAATATATATGTATTTTAAATACATATATATATCCTATATATACACTATACATATAATGTATTATTCAGCTTTTATTTGGAGACTCTTGAAAATTTTTGCGGAAGGCTCCCAAACTGTGCCTTATGTTCCTGAAAATGTGGTAAAGCTAATTACAGCTAATGTATTTAAGAGTCAGCCTGGGCCAGGAGTGGTGGCTCATGCCTGTAATCTCAGCCATTTGGGAGGCTGAGGCGGGAGAATCCCTTGAGTCCAGGAGTTCAAGGCCAGCCTGGGCAATATGACGAAACCCCATCTCTACCAAAAAAAAAAAAGCTGGATGTGGTAGCACATGCCCATGGTCCCAGCTACTTGGGAGGCTGAAGTGGGAGGATCACTTGAGCCCAGAAGGTTGAGGCTGAAGTGCCACTGTACTCCAGCCTGGCCAACAGAATGAGATTTTGTCTCAAAAACAAAAACAAAAACAAAAAAAGTCAGCCTGCATTTCATTCAGAAATTTTTTTTTTCTTTTTATTGAGACGGAGTCTCAATCTGTCACCCAGGCTGGAGTGCAGTGGCACGATCTCAGCTCAATGCAACCTCTGCCTCCCGAGTTCAAGCTATTCTCCTGCCTCAGCCTTCCGAGTAGCTGGGATTACAGATGCATGCCACCACACCTGGCTGATTTTTGTATTTTTAGTAGAGACGGCGTTTCACCATGTTGGCCAGGCTGGTCTCAAACTCCTGATATCAGGTGATCCACCTGCCTCAGCCTCCCAAAGTGCTGGGATTACAGGCGTGAGCCACTGTGGCCGGCCCAGAGATATTTTTCTAAATAAATACAACAGATTTTACCAAATTTAGTTAGCATATTCTCCTTGAACTCAAATTACACTGTATTTTCCATGCAATTCTAATAAAGAGGCAGCAATTAGTTTTCATAGCCACTGATAAAAGTATCCAAGCTTTTACAACATGTCCTTGCCTCTCAAGTCATAGTAAGTTCACTTAAATGTTTTCAAAGAGGCCGGGTGCAGTGGCTCATGCCTGTAATCCCAGCACTTTGGGAGGCCAAGGCAGGTGGATCACGAGGTCAGGAGTTCAAGACCAGCCTGGTCAAGATGGTGAAACCCCATCTCTACTAAAAATGTAAAAATTAGCCAGGCCTGGTGGCGGGTGCCTGTAATCCCAGCTACTTGGGAGGCTGAGGCAGAGAACTGCTTGAACCTAGAAGGCAGAGGTTGCAGTGAGCCAAGATTGTACCATTGTACTCCAGCCTGGGTGACAGAGTGAGACTCTGTCTCAAAAAAAAAAAAAAAAAAAGTTTTCAAAGACAATAAGTGAATTTGCCTTGTTCACTTTGTCATTTATTTTTTAATGGATTTTGGTTATTAATTCAGTGATTCATAAAAGGATTACAGAAAATTTTATTTTAAAAACTATTTTAATTTACCACAAGTTTTAAATTTTAAAATAACAAGAACTTGTGTTCCAAATAGTGAAACAGATGCTGATTATTCAAAGATAAATAAGATTTGTCCCTAGCTAAGTGGCTATTGACACCTAAATATACAATTACAGTAGTATAATAATCTCTGAAAACACAAAAAATATAAACAAAAAAATAAAAAGATAAAAAATAAAAAAGAAATTTAAAAATTTTTTTAAAAAGAAAAAAAAACCTCTAGGCCAGGTGTGGTGGTTCACACCTGTAATCCCAGCATTCTGGGAGGCTGAGGCAAGAGGATGGCTTGAGCCCAGGAGTTTGAGACCAGCCTGGACACCATGGCGAAAACTGTCTGAAGACAGTGGGTTGGGCCGGGCATGGCAGCTCACACCTGTAATCACAGCACTTTGGGAGGATGAGACAGGCTGATTGCTTGAGGTCAGGAGTTCGAGACCAGCCTGGCCAACATGGTGAAACCCAGTCTCTACTAAAAACACAAAAATTAGCGGGGCGTGGTGGTGTGCACCTATAATCCCAGCTACCTGGGAGGCTGAGGCAGGAGAATCGCTTGAACCCAGGAGGCAGAGGCTGCAATGAGCTGAGATCATGCCATTGCATTCCAGCCTGGGTGACAGAGCGAGACTCCTTCTCAAAAAAATAAATAAAAATAAATAAATAAATAAACTAAAAAGGCATAACCCACAAAAAGACCAAAAAAGAAATTAAAAAGTCTGGGTAGACAACAAGACAATTTTCTTGGAAAGCAGACAGAAGAGCAATAAATGACTAGGCAAGCCCAAGAAAACTGAATCATAGCCCAACTGTGGTAAACTTACGATCAACACAATTTATGTCATACGTTCCCCAAAATGTTCAGAAAGTGGAGGTGAAAGAGAGCTAAAGAAAATAAGGAGGATTGGTTGAAATTGTTTCCGAAGCTTCAGATCATTACATTTTCTCCCCAACTAGTGAAGTCAGGTGCCTGCTGCTCTACCATCCTGAGACTTTAGGTTTATTCTCTAGAGAGGGTTAAACAGAGGGTTTCTAGATTGGGGGATACCAGCAACAGTAAGGGGCAGGGTACAATACTGAAAATAAATAAATTAAGTCAATATATTGAGTAAGATTTTCCGGTCCTCTTTCCCTAATCGTCACCTTCCCGGAGAGAGATTAGAGGATCCTTCTTGCCCAGGCTGGAGTCCAGTGGCATGATCTCGGCTCACCACAACCTCTGCCTCCCAGGTTCAAGAGATTCTTCTGCCTCAGCCTCCCGAGTAGCTGGGACTACAGGCCCGCACCACCATTCCCGGCTGATTTTTGTATTTTTAGCAGAGACGGGGTCTCACCATATTGGCCAGGCTGGCCTCGAACTCCTGACCTCGTGATCCACCTGCCTCGGCCTCCCAAAGTGCTGGGATTATAGGTGTGAGCCACCGTGCCCAGCCTAGAGGATCCTTCTTCGGAGAATCTGACCAGCTCAAGGAGAGAAAAATAACTAAAGTTACTAACATCAACGTCCCTAATTGAGTTGCCCAACCAGATTACACTGTAGTAAGCTAACCACCTCTAATCAGCTTTCAACACTTCCTCTTAAATATAAACAGACAATAAAGATTACCAGATGTCTGAGAAAAACTTCAACATGAAAGACTAAAAACAAATAACTACCTGTAGATTAAAAAAATGCAACTTGAAGAAAAGAGATTACAGGGAACAAGAAACCATTAAAAACTACAGGGGTCGAGGGGAGGGGAAAGCAACTTCACCTCTGCGGTATTTTCCCAAAAAACCCATAACCCTAGTTTAATCATGAGAAAATATCAGACAAATTTGAATTGAGGGACATTCTATAAAATACTTGATGAGTACTATTCAAAATCATCAAGCCATTACAAAAATGGAAAGACTAAGAAACTATCACAGATCAGGGGAGATTAATGAGACATGACCACTAAATACAATGTGGTATCCTACATTAAATACTGGAATAGAAAAACACATCACTAAAAAAGAAAAGCTACAGAAGGCCAGCATGGTGGCTCATGCCTGTAATCTCAACACTTTGGGAAGCTTAGGCAGGAGGATCACTTGAGGTTAGGAGTTTCACATTACAATGAGCTATAATGGAGCCCCTGCACTCTGGCCTGGGCGACAGAGAGGGACCCTATCTCTAGAGGAAAAAAAACCCAGGAAATACAGTTTTATAGTTTAGTTACTATTGTACCAATGTTAATTTCATAGTTTTGACTAAAGTATTATGGTTAGCCGGGCATGGAGGCATGCACCTGTAATCTCAGCTACTTGGGAGGCTGAGGCAGGAGAATCACTTGAACCCAGGAGGCGGAGGTTGCAGTGAGCCGAGATCATGCCACTGCACTCCAGCCTGACCAACAGAGCAAGACTCTCTCTCAAAAAAAAAAAAAAAAGTATTATGGCTATGTAAGATATTAACAATTGCCTACTTGAGGGTAGCAGATGGGAGGAGGGAAACGATAAGAAAAAATATCTATTGAGACCAGGTGTGGTGGCTCACTCCTGTAATCCCAGCACTTTGGGAGGCCAAGGCAGGTAAATCACGAGGTCAGGAGATCGAGACCATCCTGGCTAACACGGTGAAACCCAGTCTCTACTAAAAATACAAAAAAATTAGCCGGGCGTGGTGGCGGGCGCCTGTAGTCTCAGCTACTCAGGAGGCTGAGGCAGGAGAATGGCGTGAACCTGAAAGGTGGAGCTTGCAGTGAGCCGAGATCACACCACTGCACTCCAGCCTAGGCGACAGAGCAAGACTCCATCTCAAAAAAAAAAAAAAAAAAAAAAGATTTGATTGCCCTGCTAGATTATGGAATTGCATGGAGCCTGTAGCCCCTTTGTTTTGGACAATTTCTCCCATTTGGAATGGCTACATTTACCCAATGCCTGTATTTCCATTGTATCTAGGAAGTAAATAACTTGCTTTTGATTTTACAGGCTCATAGGCAGAAGGGACTTGCCTTGTCTCAGATGAGACTCTGGACTGTGGACTTCTGAGTTAATGCTGAAATGAGTTAAGACTTTGAGGGACTGTTGGGAAGGCATGACTGGTTTTGAAATGTGAGAACATGAGATCTGGGAAGGGCCAGCGGCTGAATGATATGGTCTGGCTGTGTCCCCACCCAAACCTCCTCTTTAATTTCCACGTGTTGTGGGAGGGACCTGGTGGGAGGTAATCGAATCCTGGGGGTGGGTCTTTCCCATGCTGTTCTCGTGTTAGTGAATAAGTCTCACGAGTTCTGATGGTTTTAAAAACAGGAGTTTCCCTGCACAAGCTCTCTCTCTGCCTGCTTCCATCCATGTAAAACATGACGTGCTCCTCCTTGCCTTCCGCCATGATTGTGAGGTCTCCCTGGCCATATAGCACAGTAAGTGCATTAAACCTCTTTCTTTTGTAAATTGTCCAGTCTCGAGTATGTCTTTATCAGCAGTGTGAAAACAGACTAATACAAGGGCTCAAGTGATCCTCCTACCTCAGCCTCCTGAGTAGCTGGGACTACGCACACACTACCACACCCAGCTAGCTTTTTTGTGATTTTTGTGGAGACGGGGTTTTGTTATGTTGCCCAGGCTGATCTCAACCTCCTGCTCAAGCGATCCTCCAGCCTCAACTTCCCAAAATGTTAGGACTGCAGGTGTGAGTCACAACAGCTGGTCTGAAATATTTTTAAAATAACTATTTTAGGCCAGGTGCGGCGGCTCGCACCTGTAATCCCAACACTTTGGAAGGCTGAGGCAGGAGGGTCGCTTGAGTCCAGGAGTTCCAGACCAGCCTGAGCAACAAAGCATAACGCCATCCCTACTTACGTAAAAAAAAAAAAAAGAAAGAAAGAAAAAAAATTTTTTAACAAGAAAGAATTTTTAAAAGCTAAAAATATGATCACAGCAATGAAACAACTCAGAAGATAAGGTTAAAGAAAAGCTTTCACAAATCAGAATAAAAAGTCAAAGAGGGCCAGGTGCGGTGGCTCATGCCTGTAATCCTAGCACTTTGGGAGGGCAAGGTGGGAGGATCACCTGAGGTCAGGAGTTCAAGACCAGCCTTGGCCAACAGGGTGAAACCCCAACTATACTAAAAATGCAAAAATTAGCCAGGTGTGGTGCTACACGCCTGTAATCCCAGCTACTTGGGAGGCTGAGGCAGCAGAACTGCTTGAACCCGGGAGGCAGAGGTTGCAGTACCCAACCTGGGTGACTGAGTGAGACTCTGTCTCTCAAAAAAAAAAAAAAAATTTAAAGTGATGAACAACAGGAGAGAAAAAGAAGATGAGAGAACCTGTTCAGAAGGTCCATATCTAAGTAACAGAAGCTCCCAAAAGCAAGAACAAAACAAAGGGCAAAAATTTTAATCTGATAATCATGCCAGATTGCCATGGTCATTGCCAGATTAAAAAGGCCCAACAAGTGCCTACCATAATGAATAAAAAGAGACACCAAGGCACATCACTGAAATTTCAGAAACTGAACACAAGAAAAGATCCTACAAGCTTCCTGAGAGAAAAAAGTTCACATACAAATGATCAAGAATTTGAATGCCTTTCAGACTTATCAGAAATAACAACAGAAGCTTGAAGGTTATTAAACAATGCCTTCAAAATTCTGAAGGAAAATTATTTTCAATCTAGAATTTTAGACACAATAGGTTGCTGATCAATTGTGAGGACAGGACATATTTTCAGACAGCAAAATCTCAAAATAATTACCTCCGATAATGATGCAATTAGAAAACATAATTCATTTTACAAACACCAATGCTATACGGGCGCGGTAATTCCAGCACTTTGGGAGGCAGAGACGGGCGGATCACGAGATCAGGAGATTGAGACCACGGTGAAACCCCGTCTCTACTAAAAATACAAAAAATTAGCCGGGGGTGGTGGTGGGCGCCTGTAGGCCCAGATACTCAGGAGGCTGAGGCAGGAGAATGGCGTGAACCCAGGAGGCAGAGCTTACAGTGAGCCGAGATCGCGCCACTGCACTCCAGCCTGGGCGACAGAGTGAGACTCCGTCTCAAAAAAAAAAAAAAAACACCAATGCAATAACTGATGTTGGCAAATATCGTAAATATATGTTAAAACTATTGGATAAAGGGTTTTCAGAAAACAACATATTCTTTATTATTTATTATTATTATTATTTTTTGAGATGGAGTCTCGCTCTGTTGCCCAGATGTGAGTGCAGTGGCGTGATCGCCGCTCACTGCAACCTCCACCTCCCAGACTCAAGCAATTATCGTGCCTCAGCCTCCCAAGTAACTGGGATTACAGGCGTGTGCCCCAACACATGGCTAATTTTTATATTTTTAGTAGAGATGAGGTTTTGCCACATTGGCCAGGCTGGTCTCAAACTCCTGTCCTCAAGCAATCCATCTGCCTCAGCCTCCCAGAGCACTGGGATTACAGGCATGAGCCACCATGCTCAGTGAAAACAACATATTCTTACATATATATATATATATAAAACATATATATAATATATATTATATATACATATATCTTACATATAGATAAGATATATCTTACATATATATTTTACATATATACGTATATAAGATATATCTTACATATATATATCTTACATATGTGTGTGTGTGTGCGCGCGTGTGTGTGTGTATATATATATAGCTTTTTTTTTTTTTGAGACAGAGTCTCGCTCTGTTGCCCAGGCTGGAGTGCAATGGCCAGATCTCAGCTCACTGCAACCTCCGCCTCCCAGGTTCAAACAATTCTTCTGCCTCAGCATCCCAAGTAGCTGGGATTACAGGTACCCACCACTTCACCCAGCTAGTTTTTTTGTATTTTCAATAGAGACAGGATTGCACCACGTTGGCCAGGCTGGTCTCGAACTTCTGACCTCAAGTGATCCGCCTGCCTCAGCCTCCCAAAGTGCTGGGATTACAGGCATGAGCCACTGCACCTGGCCATATTCTTACATATTAATTACAAAAGGGAAAAGTATCTTTACAATGGAGAAATCTGATGGATACCATCTTAACTAAGTATTCAAACTAAATATCACCAATATTAGGAAAAACTGACATCCTTGTATGATGTGTGTGTGGTTTACTCTGTGTGTGCATCACTGGATGTGATGCAATAGAAGTATACAACAGGCTAGGCACAGTGGCTCACACCTGTAATCCCAACACTTTCGGAGGCTGAGGCATTACGACTGCTCAGGAGTTCAAGACCAGGCTGGGCAACAAAGTGAGACTCCGTCTCTATAAAAAATAAAAAAATTAAAAATTTGCTAGGCATAATGGCACGTGCCTATGGTCCCAGCTACACAGAAGGCTGATATGGGCGGACTGCTTGATTCCAGGAGGTCGAGGCTGCAGTGAGCCATAATTGCACCACTGTACTCCAGCCTGGGCAACATAGTGAACCCGTCTCAAAAAAAGAAAAAAAAAACCAAAAAAAAAAACCCAGAAAAAATTAGCTGGGTGTGGTGGCACATGCCTGTAGTCCCAGCTACTTGGGACCCTTAGGTGGGAAGATCACCTAAGCCCAGGAGGTTGAGGCTGCAGTGAGCCGTGACTGTATCACTGCATTCCAGCATGGGCAAAAGAGCGAGACCCTGTCTCGAAAACAAAACAATGAACAAACAAAAAAATGTGTTTCGGGCTGGGCGTGGTGGTTCGCACCTGTAATCCTAGCACTTTGGGAGGCCGAGGCAGGTAGATCACCTGAGATTGGGAGTTTGAGAACAGCCTGACCAACATGGAGAAACCCTGTCTCTACTAAAAATACAAAATTATCCGGGCATGGTGGCGCATGCCTGTAATCCCAGCTACTCGGGAGGCTGAGGCAGGAGAATCGCTTGAACCTGGGAGGCGGAGGTTGTGGTGAGCCAAGATCAGGCCATTGTACTCCAACGTACATGGCCCCCTTTTGTGCTTTTAAAATGTTGAACCAGGCCAGGTGCAGTGGCCCACGCCTGTAATCCCAACACTCTGGGAGGCCGAGGTGGGCAGATCACCTGAGGTCGGGAGTTCCGGACCAGCGTGGCCAACATGGTAAAACCCTGTCTCTATTAAAAATACAAAAATTAGAGGGGCGTGGTGGAGCGTGGCGCATGCCCATAATCCCAGCTACTCGGGAACCTGAGGCAGGAGAATTGCTTGAACCTGGGAGGTGGAGATTGCAGTGCGCTGAGATCGCACCGCTGCACTCCAGCCTGGGCAACAAAGCAAGATTGTCTCAAAAATAAAATAAAATAAAATATAAAATAAAATGTTGAAACAGGCTGGGTGCGGTGGCTCACGCCTGTAATCCCAGCACTTTGGGAGGCCAAGACCGGAGGATCACCTGATGTCAGGGGTTCAAGACCAGCCTGGCCAATATGGTAAAACCCCATCTCTACTAAAAATACAAAAAATTAGCTGGGCATGGTGGCACACGCCTGTAATTCCAGCTACATGGGAGGCTGAGGCACGAGAATTGCTTGAACCCAGGAGGCAGAGGTTGCAGTGAGTCAAGATCCTGCCACTGCACTCTAGCCTGGGGTGACAAAGAGTGAGACTCTGTCTCAAAAAATAAATAAACAAATAAAATAAAATGTTGAACCACATGAATGTATTGCCAACTGAAGATTTTAAGTAAGTTTAATAAAAAGCTTTCCTCAATTAATTCCATGCTACTCTGATCCCTTATCTCATATCTGTCAGAGGATTTAGCCAGACAACTGAAATGTTATTCACTTATTTCTTTAATATGTGTTACTATGTAATTGACTCTGGGTTATCTCCTAGATGAGGCTGGGAAAAGTTATCCTCTCTTCCAAAAACAACAAAAAGGAGAGAAATGGAGGTCTTGCTATGTTAACGAGGCTGGTCTTGTACTGCTGGCCTCAAGCAATCCTCCCATCTTGGCCTCCCAAAGTGCTAGGATTACAGATGTGAGCCACCGTGCCCAGCCTCTTCTAATTGTTTTAGATCCACCACCCTCAATGCCTCACAATGCTGTGTAAACACCAGGCTTTCACAGGCTGCATTTTTTTTTTTTTTTTTTTTTGAGACAGAGTCTTGCTCTGTCACCCAGGCTGGAGTGCAGCGGCGCAATCTCGGCTCACTGCAAGCTCCGCCTCCCGGGTTCATGCCATTCTCCTGCCTCAGCCTCCCGAGTAGCTGGGACTACAGGCGCCTGCCACCACATTCGTCTTTTTAGTAGAGACAAGGCTTCACCATGTTACCCAGGATGGTCTCGATCTCCTGACCTTGTGATCTGCCCACCTCAGCCTCCCAAAGTGCTGGGATTACAGGGGTGAGCCACCGTTCCTGGCCAGGCTTCATGTTTTATCAGAATTGCAACGAATATTTGAGTTACAAAACTAGGAGACATAAACTAAGTCGTTATTTCAAACATTATCCTCTAGAAACATTTAAAGGCCTCCAGGTAAAATGCCATTTTGTGAATTCAGAAAGTTCTAGGATGAATTAATTTACGCTCGTAATCTTATTTCATAGAGCTGCATTTAGAGAAAACCAGAGTCTCAAGGAAAAGAACTGGCTCATGGCTGTATAATCTCAACACTTTGGGAGCCCGAGGCAGGAAGATCGCTTGAGCCCAGGAGTTTGAGACCAGCCTGGGCAACATGACGCAACCCCATCTCTACCAAAATTAAGAAAAAAAAAAATAGCCAGGTATGGTGGTGTGTGTCTGTAGTCCCCGCTACTTGGGAGGCTGAGGTGAGTGGATCACTTGAGCCTGACAGGTTGAGGCTGCAGTGAGGCTACAGTGAGCCATGACTGTGCCAGCACACTCCAGTGAGGGTGACAGAGTGAGACCTTATCAAAAAAAAAAAAGAAAAGAAATTTCTTCCTTAAGGAAATACTGCTTATTTTTTTTGCCTTCAAGTCCTACGGATGTGTTAAGGCATTATACTTTATATTACCTAACAGAGATCTATGCTGGAGACATTTACAGGTTAAAGCAAAAATTCCTAATTCCTTTGTAGCTACAACATCCTATGCAGTTTTAGGGAGGCAGTTTTAAGTTGAAAATTATGAAGAACTCCCAAAAATCAGTTGCCCCGTGATGCCTTAAGCCAGATGTGCCTATCGTTGGAAACTTTCAAACGTACATCAGATAAAATATTCTCTCATATTAAGTGGAAAACTGGAAAAGAAAATCCCTTAGGTACTTTCCAGTACTAAATGTTCTATTAAGTTATTGAATTTTGAGATAGAATCAAAGTAAAATTAAACAGCTTGCCTTGCCAGGGCCAGGAATACCACTAAATGCTAAAGCATAAAACAGGACCCAGCAATTCATTTTCTTGCTGCTAATCTACTGATATTACTCCTAATAAACTTAAAAACTAATCAAGCTCCTATCAACCTACTATTCCAAATCTTGGCATGTGTGTAAAATATATACACAACTAAGAACAGATTTGAAAAATGCTTATAAAAAAAGAAGATAGGCTGGGCACGGTGGCTCACAACTGTAATCCTAGCACTTTGGGAGGCCAAGGCTGGCGGATCACTTGAGGTCAGGAGTTCAAGACCAGCCTGACCAACACGGTGAAGCCCTGTCTACTAAAAATACAAAAATTAGCCGAGCATGGTGGTGTGCGCCTATAATCCCAGCTAATCAGGAGGCTGAGGCAGGAGAATCACTTGAACCCAGGAGAAGGAGGTTGCAGTGAGCTGAGATCACGTCACTGTACTCCAGCCTAGGCGACAGAGCAAGACTCCGTCTAAAAAAAAAAAAAAAAAAAAAAAAAAAAGATAATTTTACAGGAACTTCATTAAGAGTATTATACTCTATTTCTATCAAAGGGGATAACCAAATATTCATAAATGAGGCCTTATATTTCTTGAGAAAGACTCCCCAAAACTGAGTCTGTTTTTTTAAACTTCATGAGTTCATTCGGAATTTTCCAACTTTGCTGGGCATGGTGGCTCATACTTGTAATCCCAAAACTCTGGGAGGCCAAGGCAGGAGGATTGCTTGAGCCTAGGAGTTCGAAACCAGCCTGAGCATTACACTGAGACCTCATCTCTACAGAAAATTAAAAAATTAGCTAGGCATGGTGACATGTGCCTGCGATCCCAGCTACTCAGGAGGCTGAAGTGGGAGGATCGCTTGACTCCAGGAGGTCAAGGTTGTAGTGAGCCATGTTTGCACCACTGCACTCCAGCCGGGATGACAGAGAGAGACCCTGTCTCAAAATAAAGAAAATAATTTATACAATTTTATTCTATCTGAAATAACCACTCCATAAATAGTACTGCCATGCAATTTCCAGTCCTGATGTCATGGAATGGTAAACATTATTGTGGTTCCTTATATAAAACAGCATGAGTATGGCATGCTAAAAGGATGGAATGAGTCTAAGTCTCAACATCATCGAAAGGCAAGACCAACTGGGGCCACCAACCTTTAGGCAGGGCACTGAATAGCCCTTGCTGAAGCCACTTTTCACTTGCCTCCTTAAACATCCTAAGACTAGACAGCCCAATGGTAACTTGAAAAAGTAACAAATTAGTAAGAGAACTGCATCATTAGAGAACACTTAAATGAGATTGGCCAGCTAAACTCATAAGAATTAATGCCATATCAATCAGATTTATACAGTGTAAGTGCAACATCCTTATGACACTATTTGTCATAGTTTCTTACCTGTTTAATATCACCTTCAAATAGTCCATTAGATTCAAGCGAATACAGTACTCATTACAGTTTTTTAAAATTAAAGAAACAGGCTGAGTGCAATGGCTCACACCTATAATCCCAACACTTTGGGAGGCTGAAGTCGGAGGATCACTTGAAGCCAGGGGTTCGAGACCAGTCTAGGCAGTAAAGCGAGACCCCCACTCCACCCCACAAAAAAAATTTAAAATTAGCTGGGCGCAGTGGTGTACACCTGCAGTCCCAGCTACTCCAGAAGGTAAGGTGGAGGACTGCTTGAGCCCAGGTTGAGGCTGCAATGAGCAATGATCACGTCACTGCACTCCATCCGGCCTGGGTGACACAGCGAGAGAATCTCTAAAAAAATAATAAATCAAAAACACTTAAAAATAAAGGCCAGGCACAGTGGCTCATGCCTGTAATCCCAGCACTTTGGGAGGCCAAGGCAGGCAGATTACCTGACGTCAGTTAGAGAACAACCTGGCCAATATGGTGAAACCCCATCTCTATTAATATACAAAAATTAGCCAGGCATGGTGGCATGCGCCTGTAATCCCACCTACTTGGGAGGCTGAGGCAGGAGAATTGCTTGAACCCGGGTGGCGGTGGTTGCAGTGAGCCGAGATCACACCACTGCACTCCAGCCTGGGTGACAAAGTGAGACTCCATCTCCAAAAAAATAAATAAATACATAAAAAATAAAGTGGCCAGGCGCAGTGGCTCACACCTGTAATCCCAGCACTTTGGGAGGCCGAAGTGGGTGGATCACAAGGTCAGGAGTTCAAGACCAGGCTGGCCAACACAGTGAATCCCCGTCTCTACTAAAAATACAAAAATCAGCCAGGTGTGGTGGCAGGCGCCTGTAATCCGAGCTACACGGGAGGCTGAGGCAGGAGAATCGCTTGCACATGGGAGGTGGAGGTCACAGGGAGCCAAGATCACACCATTGCACTCCAGCCTGGGTGACAGAGTGAGACTCTGTCTCAAAAAAATAAAATAAAATAGCCAAGCACGGTGGCTCACGCCCATAATCCCAGCAATTTGGGAGGCTGAGGTGGGCAGATTATCCGAGGTCGGGAGTTCGAGACCAGCCTGACCAACATGGAGAAACCCCATCTCTACTAAAAATACAAAAAAATTAGCCAGGCGTGGTGGCACATGCCTGTAATCCCAGCTACTCGAGGGGCTGAGGCAGGAGAATCGCTTGAACCCGGGAGGCGGAGGTTGCGGTGAACCGAGATTGTATCATTGCACTCCAGCCTGGGCAACAAGAGTGAAACTCTGTCTCAAATAAATAAATAAATAAATAAAATGGAGGCCAGATGCGGTGGCTCACGCCTGTAATCCCAACACTTTGGGAAGATGAGGAGGGCGGACCACCTGAGGTCAGGAGTTTATGACCAGCCTGGCCGACATGACGAAACCCCATCTCTACTAAAAATACAAAAAATTAGCCGGGCATGGTGGCGCACACCTTGTAGTCTCAGCTACTCAGGGGGGTGAGGCAGGATTGCTAGAACCTGAGAGGTGGAGGTTGCAGTGAGCCGAGATCGTGCCACTGCACTCCAGCCTGGGCAAAAGAGCGAGACTCCGACTCCAAAAAATAATAAAATAAAATTAAATTGAAACAAGCAAAAAACCAGTTAATAATCTGTTAATAATCTGTTAAAGTAGAAGATTAATGGTAATTATCTCAATAGTTAATAGGAATTTTTTAGCCAATGAGTTTCTACTGTTTATTCGCTTTTTTGTAATCTTACTGTTTTACGGGTTTGGAAAGATACTTGACACATAGCTCCTATAATTATTATTATTATTATTTTTTTGAGACGGAGTCTCACTCTGTCACCCAGGCTGGAGTACAGTGGCGCAATCTCAGCTCACTGCAAGCTCTGCCTCCCAGGTTCATGCCATTCTCCTGCCTCAGCCTTCCGAGTAGCTGGGACTGCAGGTGCCTACCACCACACCCAGCTAATTTTTTGTATTTTTAGTAGAGACGGGGTTTCACTGTGTTAGCCAGGATGGTGTCGATCTCCAGACCTTGTGATTCGCCAGCCTCGACCTCTCAAAGTGCTAGGATTACAGGAGTGAGCCACCGCGCCCGGCAGCTTCTATAATTGTTAATCTTTAAGAACATGTTAGATAATGAGATAACTTTTTTTTCTGAATTACAAAAGGATTCTCTTCTCCTCCCACAATTGAAAATACTAATTTCTAATGCATTATTCCACAGTTTGTATTTTAATTTACTTCTTTCCTCAACTAAGACTATTAGGATATTAGCCATCCAATTAAAGGAAAAAAAGATTTTAAAGAAAGAAAAACACTAGCCCTAAACCTGTTAAACCAGTCCACGTGACAGGTATAAAAATTTTCCTAGTCATTGACTGCAAAGGAAATAATGTTACATAGTGATCTACACCTGAACCTGTTCACAGCACTTTAGAGAGGTCAACATCAGATGAGAGAGCGTTCTCTGAGGCTGGCTTTCACAATACCAGGTCTTCAGCATTACCTAGTTTTTGAACTATAAATTCACTAAGATAAATGCCACCATTTCCCAAGACTTCCTTTTTAAAAAGCAATTTAATCTTATGCTTGATGTATTTCTATTATGCACTGGTAAATCAAAACAAAACAAGCCTGGCGTGGTGGCTCATGCCTATAATCCCAGCACTTTGGGAGGCCGAGGAGGGTGGATCACCTGAGGTCAGGAGTTGGAGACCAGCCTGGCCAACATGGTGAAACCCTGTCTCTACCGAAAATACAAAAATTAGCCAGGCGTAGTGGCGCACGCGTGTAATCCCAGCTACTCGGGAGGCTGAGGCATGAGAATCTCTTGAAACCAGGAGACGAAGGTTGCAGTGAGCCAAGATCGCACCATTGCACTCCAGTCTGGGTGACAGAGCAAGACTCCATCTCAAACAAACAAACAAAACAACAACAACAAAATTCTACAACACTAGTAAACACAGATGGCTTCATAAATTAATACTTTACCTTTGGCATCTTTCATATGCCCACTTTAAAATGTTTAATATTCTTGGGTTCACATCAGTCCTCCTGTTATGCATTCAGTTTTACTGAGAAATGAAGAAACTGAGGCAAGAGAAGTGGGAAAAAACTTGCTATTTGTAGCAAGCAGGCATCTATCTGGACAGGTAAACTGTGGTCCTGCTCTATTAGGCCACAATGCTTTTCTGAAAAGTGCCTGTCAAATAAGCACCACAGAAATCCTTCTCATCACAGACATCCAGGGCATCCCCCTCAAGAAGGGACAAATATGAGTATTCTTCCCTGCTGAGTGAGAAAAGACCATGTAACCAAAGAAAGCATGCTTCTCAATCTATACTACCGAATTGGGAGGGAAAAAATGAATGGAAAGAGAGAGAAAATCCAAGGAAATAAACTTCTGAGACTGAAGATGTGGTTATTAGGTTTATCCACACATTAGGAAATTACTGAAACATCGCTTAAGTAGAAACAGAATCAGGAAGGCCTAGGGTCTTTTTTTTTATTCCAGTCTTAAACCTCCAAACAAAAATATCTGAAATTAAACTATTTCTCCTGAGCAGTTATATTCTTAAATGTCTCTATAGAACCCACAAGGCCTACACGAAGTCCCTGATTTTTAGAGGTGATTTCAAGTGTCCATTAGTGTCCACTCTCCCACTCTCAAATCCAAAATAATGTTGGCCCCGATCCGGGCAGGACCTTCACGCACATTTTCCTGTGAAATCATTAGCTTCACATCAGCTTCCTACGTCCTATTTCCAGTAACTTCCCTTGATCAGCATGGCAAACGAGGAGAGTAACAAAAGGCATGTACATTTACTATGTCCCTCGCAGAGAACATAATAAAATCCTGGGAACAGGAACTGGCAGATACAACCTGCCTGGCCCTGGCTCTCGCCACGATACAAAGGCACGGAGAGAGCAAGTGAGGTCTGCACCCCACACCTCACTCTGCAAGAGAGAAAGGACTTTCAATGCAATCAGACCCAACCCGCAACGCCCCCTTCCCACGTGGTCTTCTCCCTCTCCCGAGCCCAGAATCGGATTGGAGAGGGGTCTGGAAGGAATCAGACCACGCTGGAGCTGGGCAAGAGGGGTGGCGGGCGAGCTCCAGGCAGAAACTCCAGCCCCCCTTCCTAGAGGAGCCCTGAACTGTACGCCTCCCAGTTCCGGGATCTGAATCCCCACCTCCCGAGACCCCAGACCTCTCCATGTCTCTAGGGAGGGGACCTCAAGGCCTCAGAGCTGCGGGAAGGGCTGGGCTGCCCCGCACCCGATCTGGATAGTGTGGAGCCCAGGCCGCGTGCGGGTGAGCGGAGGCTGGGAGGCGGCCCCCTGCCTGCCGCCGCCCCTCCCTTGGCCCCAGTTTCTCCAGGTCCCCGGTCACAGGTTCTGGGCCGGCCCTCACCTCACCTCAGGGTGGCAACGTGTGCGGTCGGGCGATTCCGGAGCCCCTGCGTGGAGGAACTGCTGGGCGGGAGGAGACGCCGGCGGCTCGGGCGATGGCTGACAGGCGTGCAGCACCAGGCCGGCCCGGCACACGGAGAAGGGGCGGGGCTTCAGGGGCCTGACCCGCCCCCGCCCCGCCCCTGTCTCCCACCTCAGCCGGCGAGCTCCATGAGGTGACTACGTCCGGGGTTACTCCAGGCCGTTCACCTCCGACCCCGCTCCGGGCTGCGGCGCTGCCAGGGCCGCCGGGGGGCGAGGCGCGGGCCCGAGGGCTCAGCGGCAGCCAATGGGAGGGCGGCGCGGGGCGGAGCGATGTGAGGCGATGCCGATGGTCCGAGCGCGGATCTGCCATTCGGGGCCCAGCGGCTAGAGGGCGGGCGGGCCGCGGGCGGGCCGCGGGCGGGCCCTGGGCAGTCGTGGCGCCCCTGGCCCGGCCTTCGCGGCCCCTTCTGCCACAGCCGGGTACGGGGCCAACCCCTCGGCTCCTCCTCCTGGCGGAGAGGGGAGTGGGGGAAGCGGTCCCGCATGCGCCTCGCATCAGGGACAGAGGCGTCCCAAGTGAGGGGCCAGGACTAGCCGGCCTGTAGAGGCGGGGAAAGGGAACCCAGAATTAAGGCGGGCTAGAATGGGGCAGGCGGTGTGCGGGCCCGTTTGTCTGTTTAATCCTAACACATTAACAAGGGGTGGGCAATCGCGTCCACTACCTGTCCTCATCACGCTGGCTGGTTTCCAAGTCTGGGCGAGCTAAGTAACCCCATGCTGGAACTCCATAACCAGCCCCCCGTTTCGCTCCTCAGCCCCGAGACAGCCCACTCCAAAGGTGTTATACATGCTGGATCCTGGCGTGTTGAGGAGAAGCCTCAGTAAACGAAGCTCAGTAAGAAGGGGAATGTACCAAAGAACCACCGTCTTCTGCCTGCCCTGAGCAAAATAGTTGCCACAGCGTTCCAGACTTTTCGGATTGGAGAATGCTTCCCGTCCTCCACTGTGGGCACGCCGAGCCTTTGAGAGGAAGCCAGTCGGTGTCTCTAGTTTTGCCAGTTACTTCATAGCAAGACTTTCATGGTAGCTGTGTGTTGAAAATTAATAATAACTGGAAGGGGTCCCAACACAATACAAACATTGCGTAGGGAAGAAACTTGGAGAAAATTGCACTTGAGAAGAACAGGGTGAACTCAGCCCTTCCAAGGAGGAATTTAATGAAGCATGCAGCGCACCTTCTTAATGCTTACAAACTTGTGAGGAAGGCCAGGAGAGGTGCAGAGGATGACAGTTTGGTAGGAAGAAGTTCCACGCCAGAGAGTAAAAAGTGAATAGGATAGAAATACATGCCCAGGTAAGAAGTTCTTGGCGGAAGCTGAGGCAGAAAGAGGGAAAGATTGGTCAACAAGGAACAATATTTATCTAGGAGCCCTCATAATCCCACTAAGTGGGGCTTCCCTAAGAATTTATCAACCCATTTTTAAAATAATAGGGTCAAGCACAGTGGCACGTACCTGGACTGTAGTCCCACCTACTCAGAAGGCTGAGGTGGGTGGATGGCTTGAGGCGAGGAGTTCAAGTCTATATGTAGTGTACTGTGCCTGCGCCTGTGAATAGCCACTGCACCCCAGCACTGGCAACGTAAAAAGACCCCATCTCTAAATAAATAAGTTAATTAAATAACAGGGATTGGAAGCAGAGAACTTAGGAAAGATGTGGACTTTACAGAACAGGGATTCATATTTCACAATAATTATATCACTAATATATCAATCAGTTGGACAAATGTAGTGGGAGGAAAAAGATAATTGGGCAAGACTTCCTGGTTTAGTAAGATGTTTGATTTGACTCACCGAAAAAAATGGCCTGGGAAGAGGGAAGCCTTGCCTTTCCATAACAGCAGTCTCTGAAGCTGACATGAAGGGAGTGACTTCAAAAGAACTAAAAACCATGCGGTTGCCTCTTACTTTTCTTTTACCTTTCCTAGATCCTCTTAAGTAATAGGAATTCTTTCCCCAGGATTCTTTTTTTTTTTTTTTTGAGATGGAGTCTCGCTCTGTCGCCCAGGCTGGAGTGCCGTGGTGCAATCTCAGCTCACTGCAACCTCCACCTCCCAGGTTCAAGCCATTCTCCTGCCTCAGCCTCCCGAATAGCTGGGACTCCAGGCACAAACCACCAAGTCCAGCTAATTTTTGTATTTTTAGTAGAGACGGGGTTTCACCATGTTGGCCAGGATGGTCTCGATCTCTTGACCTCGTGATCCGCCCACCTTAGCCTCCCAAAGTGCTGGCCGCAAATGTGAGCCACCACGCCAAGTCTCCCCAGGATTCTTAATGGTGTTGCTGTTTACCAGCTTTACAAGCTCTGCAAAACCAGGGATTTACCCTCAAAAACTGTCCTTATGTGAAATTTCAGCCAGCCCCTGCATGTCCTGCTTTTGACTTCACTGATTATTTTAAATAATTGAGCTTTCTAAAGAACTGGCCAAAGAAAGTCCTAATAGAAGCTACAGTGAAAAAAAAAGTAATTAAGGAAGGATGAGTTACGATACCAAGGTCACTTACAGAGGATCTAATAATCTAATTGTTATCACCAAATGCTAAGACAGCTGGGCAGAGAATGAGCAAAGAGCTGTGTCTTTAAGACAGTACAACTGGAATTTCAGCAACCCCTGAGTGTTACGGTGTTTGGTGCATGCCACAACCTGCCCATCCCTACTGTAGGTTCTTTAGAGCTGCTCCATGAGTTATTGCTACACAAGCTATTACGTCTGTAAGAGGCGGAGGAGGAGAACCAAAGGGTGGAGAGAACTTACTATATGAGACTAACAAATGGAAGAGAAGGATGAGTGGTACATTTCTAGAAGCTGATACTAGAGGTCTGTTATGGGCTGAATTGTATCCCAAAATTCATTTGTTGAAGTCCTAACCCCTAATACCTCAGAATGTGAGTATATTTGGAGACAAAGTCTTTATAGAGGTAATTAAATTAAAATGAGGTCATAAGGGTGGGCCCTAATCCAGTATGACTGTCGTCCTTATAAGACGAGGCGACGAGGACACAGACACACATATGAAGACATAGGGCATGCATGGCCATGTACAAACCAAGGAGAAAATATCAGAAAAAAACTAACTGCTGACACCTTAATCTTGGACTTCTAGCCTTCAGAACTGAGGAAATGCATTTCTGTTGTTTAAGCCACCAGTTTGTGGTACTTTGCTATAACAGCCCTAGAAAACGAATACAAAATCCCAAATATATGACTTCCAGGGTTTTCAAGGTGATGTAAAGGTATTAGGGACTCATCCTGAGCATCCCAGCTACCTTCCAACCTTAAAGTTGCTTTCTTATCTTCCTGTGGGTAAAGTCAGAAAAGTATGAGAGGTCCCTGTCTTCAAGGTGATTATAGTCTATTTAAGAAGACAAAACTAGCACATTAAAACAGAGTGTCTGTGTCACACTCTTTAGATGATAGCCATATGAATTTGTAATAGCCATAGATGAGAAAAGATAAATTCTCAAAAATTGATAAACCCAGATATATATAAACATTATATGCGCCACTGTCCAGACAGCTTCATTTGGCATTTTTCGGTCAAATATTTAGATTAGGGCATCGTTTCTCAAAGCATGTCCCACTAACCACCTGATGAAACAAACACTAGGGTGCGCCAGGCGCGGTGGCTCACGCCTGTAATCCCAGCACTTTGGGAGGCCGAGGCGAGGCGGGTGGATCACGAGGTCAGGATATCGAGACCATCCTGGCTAATGTGGTGAAACCCCGTCTCTACTAAAAACGCAAAAAATTAGCCAGATGTGGTGGCGGGCGCCTGTAGTCCCCGCTACTCCGGAGGCTGAGGCAGGAAAATGGCGCGAACCCGGGAGGCGGAGCTTGCAGTAAGCTGAGATCGCGCCACTGCACTCCAGCCTGGCGACAGAGCGAGACTCCGTCTCAAAAAAAAAAAAAAAAACAAAACCACCAGGGTGCTTGTTAAAAATGCAGATTCCCAGCCCTTTTTTTTTTTTTTAATCACAACTACTCACTGCAGCCTCAACTCCTGGGCTCAAGCGATCCTGCCACCTCAGCCTCTCAAGTAGCTGGGACTACAGGGACATGCCACCACACCTGGTTGACTTTTTCTTTTCTCTTTCTCTTTTTCTTTTTTTTTTTTTTTTTTTTTTTGAGACGGTCTCGCTCTGTCACCCAGGCTGGAGTGCAGTGGCACGATCTCGGCTCACTGCAACCTCCACCTCCCGGGTTCAAGCGATTCTTCTGCCTCAGCCTCTCAAGTAGCTGGGATTACTGGCGCGTGCCACCATGCCCAGCTAATTTTTGTATTTTTAGGAGAGACGCGGCTTCACCATGTTGGTCAGGCTGGTCTTAAACTCCTGACCTTGTGATCCACCCGCCTTGGCCTCCCAAAGTGCTGGGATTACAGGCGTGAGCCACTGGACCTGGCCGACTTTTTCTTTTTTTAAAGCATCCCTAATAATTAATCACCCTAAAGTTTGAGAACAGTCGTTTAAGATTTATCATTATTGTTCCCCTCTTTGTGTGCCAGAGTCTCTGTTGAACAACAAGGCCTTCAATACCTGTCACTCTTAGGACAAGAAAGTCTCTCAAGTCAGGTTTGAGTTGAATCAAGGGAGGAAACAAAGTGCCTTAATAGAAAATAGAACCATGGGCTGGGTATGGTGGCTCACGCCTGTAATCCCAGCACTTTGGGAACACAAGGCGGGTGGATCACCCGAGGTCAGGAGTTCTAGACCAGCCTGGCCAACATAGTGAAACCCTGTCTCTAATAAAAATACAAAATTTGCGGCAGGGCACGGTGGCTCATGCCTGTAAACCCAGCACTTCGGGAGGACGAGGCGGGTGGATCACCTGAGATCAGGAGTTCAAGACTAGCCTGGCCAATATGGTGAAACCCTGTCTGTACTAAAAATACAAAAAATTAGCTGGGCATGGTGGCAGGCGCCTGTAATCCCAGCTACTCAGGAGGTGAGGCAGGAGAATTGTTTGAACCCAGGAGGCAGAGGTTGCAGTGAGCCGAGATCGTGCCACTGCACTCTAGCCTGGGTGACAGAGTGAGACTCTGTCAAAAAAATAAAAATAAAAAATAAAAAAATTGCTGGGTATGGTGGCACGTGCCTGTAGTCTCAGCTACTTGGGAGACTGAGGCAGCAGAATCACTTGAACCCAGGAGACAGAGGTTGCAGTGAGCCGAGATTGCACCACTGTACTCCAGCCTGAGCAACAAAGCAAGACTCCATCTCAAAAAAAAGAAAAGAGTCCAGCCATGGTGGCTCATGCCTGTAATCCCAAAACTTTGGGAGGCCAAGACGGGCGGATCACCTGAGGTCAGGAGTTCGAGACCAGGCTGGCCAACGTGGCAAAATCCCATGTCTAGTAAAAGTACAAAAATCAGCCTGGCATGGTGGCGGGCACCTATAATCCCAGCTACTTACGAGGCTGAGGCAGGAGAATCGCTTGAACCCGAGAGGCAGAGGTTGTAGTGAGCCAACAGGCCACTGCACTCCAGCCTGGGAGACAGAGAGAGACTCCGTCTCAAAAAAAAAAAAAAAGAAAAAGAAAAGAAAATAGAACCATGAAGAGCCCCCCCTGTCCTGGGGCTGTCTGACCATGAATCCAAATTCGTAGATAACAAGGTCAGTGATCAATTTTTAGGACAGAGAATAGAGGAATTATTGGGATATTATTTCCTGCTGACCACCAATAGTCATACTTTAATCTGGCTTCTGGCACTTGCCATGCTTATTCTTATCCTTATACCTTTGTTTATGGTGGCAGACTTGTCCAACTTTTCTCCTGTTTTTCTGAATCTTTCTAGTCCTTGGAAGTCCCATTTTCTCCAAGATTTCTCTTACTTCTCCAGCTTTCACTGATCTCTCTCTCCTTTGAATTCTTGTAGCAATATGGTCATACCACACAGTTCAGAATTTTTTTTCTGAGACAGAGTCTCGCTCTGTCTCCCAGGCTGTAGTTCAGTAGCGTGCTGTCAGATCACTGCAACCTCCGCCTCCCGGGTTCAAGTGATTCTCCTGCCTCAGCCTCCCGAGTAGCTGGAATCACATGCCCAGCCAATTTTTGTATTTCCGGCAGAGACAGAGTCTCACTATATTGGCCAGGCTGGTCTCAAACACCTGACCTCAAATGATCCTCCCACCTCTGCCTCCCAAAATGCTGGGATTACAGGTGTGAGCCACCATGCCTGGCCCACAGTTCAGAATTTAATTAGGATATATTTTTTTGTCTGCATACTGGTTTTAGCTCTCCAGTTAAATCCTGAAGGCAGAGACCATCTCTTATAGTTTGCTACCCCCTTTTATAGCTCTTCAAGTAGGACTAGGTATTTCTATTAGTAAGCGCTTCATTGACTGAAATAAAGATTAGCTCTGTACCTGAGAGGCCACTCTGCTCCTGATGCCTGCTTATCCGTCTTCACGTTGTCTCTGAGAGGCAAAGCCTCCAGTGGGATATATAGCTGCTTTACAGATGGACAGAATTCATCAAGAAAGTCAGTGCCTTGCCCACAACTGTGGCTCCAGTTGTGATATAAAAGAAAAATAAGACACAAAGTCCTTATCTGAATACTATGTCTCTTTGCTCTTGTTAATCACTCCAGTTTATCCAGAATTAAGAGCCTGAAGGAACTTCATACCATAAGGTCAGAAAATCTCCTCAGGAAGGCCACTTCATAAGTCTGGTCCTAATGATGAAAGGTAGAATTGCACAATGAAGGACAGCATGAGTAGTAGAGACTCCCCACGATGTTTTCACATGGACACAGGGTTTTCACATGGCATTTCTGCTCTCACTCCTTCCTTATCCAATGGCAAACACTTCCAGTCTCTATACTTCAGCCAGTTACCAAATCTTAACTTCTTCCTCCATGACACCTCCAATATATATGTTTTTAAGATCCCTTTCTAAGTCCTACACACCTCACAACTAAAATACCTGGAGAAATTTTAAAGGGCTCTTTAAAAACAGGAAAATGGACAAGATGACTTGTTTGGATTTTGCCCAGTCGTAGGATTCTGACATTTTATGTTGATCAGCTTTATAGCCTAGCCATCCCTGACTTCACTTTCCTCTAAAGCCATGACGGTGCTCCTGGTAAGTTGATTTCCTGCCCCATCCCTACCTTCTCTTTAGACTTCCCTAGTGTCTCCATCATTCCTATATCAGGTTCAGGTTTTTCCTGCTACATATTTAGGCCTCTACCTGTCTTCTACCTTCACTCTCTATTGTTGTTATTATATATGAAACACAATACATAATAAAATATAACATTAATAATTTTGTAGAGCCTTTATCGTCAAGAAAAATTGAGCCATCATTCAATTTCTTTTTATCCTTTTAATACCTTGTCTTAAAATTTTCCTGTATGTGATATCTTAGAGCAGAAGATTTCACAATGTCATGTCTTTTTTTTTTTTTTTGAGACGGAGTCTCACTCTGTCACCCAGGCTGGAGTGCAGTGGCACGATATCAGCTCACTGCAACCTCTGCCTCCCGGGTTCAAGCAATTCTCCTGCCTCAGCCTCCCAAGTAGCTGGGATTACAGGCACCTGCCACCACGCCTGGCTAATTTTTGTATATTTAGTAGAGACAGGGTTTCACCATTTTGGCCAGGCTGATCTGGAATTCCTAACCTTGTGATCCACCCGCCTTAGCCTCCCAAAGTGCTGGGATTACACACGTGAGCCACTGCACCTGGCCACAATGTCACGTCTTTTTAAAAAAAAAATCTCACCTCTGGGCCAGGTGTGGTGGCTCATGCCTGTAATCCCAGCACTTTGGGAGGCCAAGGCAATAGGGTTACCTGAGGTCAGGAGTTTGTGACCAGCATGACCAACATAGAGAAACCCTGTCTCTACTAAAAGTACAAAAATTACCTGGGTGTTGTGGCAGGCACCTATAATCCCAGCTACTCAGGAGGCTGAGGCAGGAGAATCCGTTGAATCCGGGAGGCGGAGGTTGCAGTGAGCCAAGATCATGCCATTGCACTCCAGCCTGAGTGACAGAGCAAGACTGCGTCTCAGAAAAAAATATATATATATATATCATCTCACCTCTGGTTAACTCCTAGACCTGCAGGTAGAAAGTTATTTTCCAACACAAGTCTTGTTTATCAGTGGACCTATTGTGCTGATGTGCCCAATTTTCTTATTGGAAAAAGAAAAAAAAAAAAAGAAGAAAGAATAAAGACAACAAAAAATCCATGAAAAGGAAATGTAGCTTCAATCAATGAACAAGATGGTCATAATCAGTTGAATAACATAGTTTTGGGGGTGAATACAGGCAAGCAAAACTGAGAAGAACCGATTCTTGGTATTGGCAGTGTCAGTCTCAAGAGCGGCAGCAACTCTACCTTCTCTGTGCTCTGTATTATAAACAGCTTGAGCTCTTTAATCAGGCTATGCTTTAAATCCTGACTCTGTCGCTAATTAGCTCTGTGGCCTTGAGGAACTGACACCTTTCTGAGCCTCAGTTTCCTTATCTATATTATATATATCTATCTTATATTCAGGATATAAAGCCTACCTTCTAAGGTGGTGTTTTGGATTAAATGATGTAACCAACATGTTAAGCTTCTGGCACAGAGCTTGTTAGATAGTAGGCACACAGAAAATATTACTTTCCCCTTTCTCTCCATGTTCCTTTCCTTTCATTTCCTATTAGTAATCGATACAGAACAGAATGCTTTATGGATCCTCAATTAATTCAGAAATTGTGATTGCTGGGCACAGTGGTTTATGCTTGCAATCCCAACACTGTGAGAGGCCAAGGTGGGTGGATCACCTGAGGTCAGGAGTTCAAGATGAACCTGGCCAACATGATGAAACCCCGTCTCTACCAAAAATACAAAATTAGCCGGGTGTGGTGGCACACACCTATAGTCCTAGCTACTTGGGAGGCTGAGAAAGGAGAATTGCTTGAACCCGGGAGGCGGAGGTTGCAGTGAGCCGAGATCACACCACTGCACTCCAGCCTGGGCAAGACAGAGTGAGACTCCGTCTCAAACAAACAAACAAACAAAAAATTGTGTCATTACTAAATTCACTGCCTCCTGCACCCACCATGAGCAACAGAGTGGAGGCCCTGTCTTAGCTATGAGGGAGGCTGAGGAAGGAGAATCACTTGAACCCGAGGGGCGGAGGTTGCAGTGAGCCGTGTTTGCACCACTGCACTCCAGCCTGGGTGACAGAGCGAGACTCCGTCTCAAAAAATAAATAAATAAAAAATTCAGTGGCTGGGCACTGTGGTTCACACCTATAATCCCAGAACTTTGGGAGGCCAAGGTGGGTGAATCACCTGAGGTCAGGAGTTCAAGACCAGCCTGGCCAACATGGTGAAACCCTGTCTCTACTAAAAATACAAAAATTAGCTGGGCATGGTGGCGGGAACCTGTAATCCCAGCTACTCGGGAAGCTGAAGGAGGAGAATCACTTGATCCCAGGTGGTGGTGGTTGCAGTGAGCCAAAATTGCGCCATTGCACTCCAGCCTGGGTGACAAGAGCAAGACTCCATCTAAAAAAATAATAATAATAAAATGAAAATTCAGTTCACCAACCCATCCGCCCCAATATTTCCAGGTTAATGGAGCATGTGATCAGGGACCTTGGGATATTATGAATCCTTTACCCTTACTTGGAAGGAGCAAATGACTGTGGCCTGAGCTTCTGAGTACCAACCAAAGGGCTGGCACGTGTGAGTATGCCTGGCCCCACTCAGGCTTATTATTGCATCACACAGGAAAGATTCTTTGGCCCCTTTGGCAAGCATGTGTAATAGTAGGAACCTGCATATATTACAAGTAGGAGTGTAATGAGGACAATCCCTTAGAAAACAGTTTGGCATTAATTGGTAAAGTTGTACATACCCTACATACCCTATAACCAGCGTCTACTTCTGGATTTATACCCTGGAGAAACTTTCAAAACTGCCCCAGAAACATTGCTCATTATGGCTACAAACTGGAAACAACACAAATGTCTCTCAACAGGAGAATGAATATATAAATTGTGATACATTCATACAATGAAATATTATAAAGCAATGAGAATGAACAGATGATTGCTACATGAAGAAATACGGATGGATTTTACCAACATAATGTTGAGCAAAAAATGTATGTTTCCTGCTACAAAAACAGGCAAAACAGGCCAGGTACCAGTGGCTCATGCCTATAATTCTAGCACTTTGAGAGGCTAAAGCAGGAGGATCACTTGAGGCCAGGAGTTCGCGACCAGCCTGGGCAGCATAGGGAGACCCTATCTCACAAAAATTATAAACAATTTAGCTGGGCAAGTGATACACGCCTGTAGTCCCAGCTACTTGGGTGGCTGAGGTGGGAGGATTGCTTGAGCCCAGGAGTTGGAGGCTTCAGTGAGTCTTGATCACACAATTCCACTCCAGGCTGGGTGACATAGCAAGACCCTGTCAAAATAAAACAACAACAAAAAAATGGGCAAAACAAGCCAGGTGCATGCCCCTGTAGTCTCAGCTAGTCAGGAAGCTGAGATGGTAGGATCACTTGAGCCTAGGAGTTCAAATCTGGCCTGGGCAACACACAGAGAGAGAGAGACCCCATTTCTAGAAAAAAAAAAATAGGCAAAACTCATTTGTGATGGCAAGAATCTGGATAATACATTCTTTTTTTTGTTTTGTTTTTGAGATGGAGTCTTGCTCTGTAACTGCAGGCTGGAGGGCAGTGGTGCAATCTTGGCTCACTGCAACCTCCACCTCCCAGGTTCAAGCAATTCTCCTGCCTCAGCTTCCCGAGTAGCTGAGATTACAGGTGCGTACCACCACACCCATCTAATTTTTGTATTTTTAGTAGAGACGAGGTTTCACCACGTTGGCCAGGCTGGTCTCCAACTCCTGACCTCAGGTGATCTGCCCTCCTTGGCCTCCCAAAGTGCTGGGATTACAGGCGTGAGCCACTGCGCCTGGCCCCTCCTTTTTTTTTTTTTTTTGAGACAGAGTCTCACTCTGTCACCAAGGCTGGAGTGCAGTGGCCCAATCTCGGCTCTGCAACCTCTGCCTCCTGGGTTCAAGCGATTCTCCTGCCTCAGACTCCTGAGTAGCTGCACTACAGGCATGAGCCACCATGCCCATCTAATTTTTGTATATTTAGTAGAGACGGTGTTTCACCATGTTGGCCAGGCTGATCTTGAACTCCTGAGCTCAGGTGATCCACCTGCCTCAGCTTCCCAAAGTACTGGGAATACAGGTGTGAGCCACAGTGTCCAGCTGATAATATTTACTTTTGATGGTGAGGAGTGACTGGGAGAACACATAAAAGAAATTTCCAGCCCAGACGCGGTGGCTCACGCCTGTAATCCTAGCACTTTGGGAGGCCAAGGCAGGCGGATTGCCTGAGCTCAGTAGTTCAAGACCAGCCTGGGCAACACGGTGAAAACTAGTCTCTACTAAAAAAAAAAAAAAAAAAAAAAATTAGCCGGGCATGGTGGTGTGTGCCTGTAGTCTCAACTACTTGGGAGGCTGAGGCAGAAGAATTGCTTGAACCCGGGAGGTGGACGTTGCAGTGAGCCGAGATTGTGCCACTGCACTCCAGCCTGGGTGACAGAGCTAGACTCTGTCTCCAAAAATAATGTAAATAAATAAATAAATAAATAAATAAAAATTAGGCCAGGTACGGTGACTCATCCCTGTAATCCCTGCACTTTGGGAGGCTGAGGTGGGCGGATCACCCTGAGGTCAGGAGTTCGAGACCAGGCCGGCCAACATGGCGAAACCCCGTCTCTACTAAAAATACAAAAATTAGCCGGACTTGGTGGCACATGCCTGTAATCCCAGCTGCTTGGAAGGCTGAGGCAGGAGAATCGCCTGAACCTGGGAGGCAGAGGTTGTAGTGAACTGAGATTATGCCACTGCACTCCAGCTTGGGCAACAGAGCAAGACTCCATCTCAAAAAAAAAAAAATACATAGAGTTTGATTCCATTTATATAACATTCAAAAGTAAACAAAATATTTTTAGTGATACATATATAGAGAGTTCAATTTTTTTGTTTGTTTGTTTTTGAGATGGAATTTCACTCTTGTTGCCCAGGCTGGAGTGCAATGTCACGATCTCGGCTCACTGCAACCTCCACCTCCCGCGTTCAAGTGATTCTCCTGCCTCAGCCCCCCGAGTAGCTGGGATTACAGGCATCTGCCACCATGCCTGGCTAATTTTGTATTTTTAGTAGAGACAGGGTTTCTCCATGTTGGTCAGGCGTGTCTTGAACTCCTGACCTCAGGTGATCCACCTAACTCAGCCTCCCAAAGTGCTGGGATACACGCATGAGCCACGACGCCCGGCTGATAGTTCAATGATTTTACAAAACATGGAAAAATAAAGATTGGGAGGAGGAAAGAGACCGGAGGACCAGAGGCACAGACATGTAAAGAGCATCCATGATGCTGGCAATGTTCAATTTCTTAATTTGGGTGATGGTAACATATGTTCACCTTTTCAGTATTATTATTATTATTGAAAATATACTTATGTTCTATATACTCTCCTGTATATATGGTATATTCCACAATTAAAAAACGGCCGCGGCCAGGCCGAGTAGCTCACGCCTGTAATCCCAGCACTTTGGGAGGCTGAGGCGGGTGGACCACTTGAGGTCAGGAGTTTGAGACCAGCCTGACCAACATGGTGAAACCCCGTCTCTACTAAAAATACAAAAATTAGCCAGGCGTGGTGATGGGCGCTTGTAATCCCACCTATTCGGGAGGCTGAGGCAGGAGAATGGCTTGAACCTGGGAGGCGGAGGTTGCAGTGAGCTGAGATCACGCCACCGTACTCCAGCCTGGGGGACACAGCGAGACTACGTCTCAAAAAAAAATAAAGGAAAAGAAATAAAGAAATAAAATGGCCATGCTGGTGGCTGATCCCTATGATCCCAGCACTTTGAGAGGCTGGGGTGGGAGGGCTGCTTGAGCCAGGAGTTCAAGACCAGCTTCGGCAACATACTGAGACCCTGCCTCCATTATTAAATTTTTTAAATTTAAAAACAAACCAAAACAAATGAACAAAATGGCATGCAGCCTTTAAAAAGCAGTAGCATAAGCCAGACGCAGTAGTTCACGCCTGTAATCCCAGCACTTTGGGAGGCCAAGGCAGGTGGATCACGAGGTCAGGAGATCAAGACCATCCTGGCTAACACGGTGAAACCCCATCTCTACTAAAAATACAAAAAATTAGCCAAGCGTGGTGGCGGGCACCTGTAGTCCCAGCTACTTGGGAGGCTGAGGCAGGAGAATGGTGTGAACCCAGGAGGCGGAGCTTGCAGTGAGCCGAGATCGCGCCACTGCACTCCAGCCTGGGCGACAGAGCGAGACTCTGTCTCGAAAAAAAAAAAAAAAAAGAGTAGCATAGTGTGCAGGTACAATAATTTTAAAGCTAGAAGAGGCCTTGTAAGCCATTTTGTCTAACCACCTCATTACAGAAACCGAAATAGAGGCCAAGAGAAGACAAGTGACCTGTTCAAATTGATTTAGTCAATTAAAGAGCCTAGGGTAGGCCTCCTGGCTTCCTGTCAAGTGCTCCTTCTGCAGACCCATCCTGATTCATCCATTTGGTCCTAGTTCCTACTCTCTTCCAACGCCATATCTCTGAACTGCATATGTCATAAAACTCATAACTTTTTTCCTGCTAAATTTGATGTTTTTGTTGTGGGAAAAGGAGATCAGAAGAGATATACTCTGCTCCACTGATATTCCAAATGCTTAGAAAGTCAGTCAAAATATCTAGGAGTAGAGAAATAGTCTATTAGAAATAATAGAAACATGGATCTATTTGTCTACACTTGGATTTTTTTTTTTTTTGGTGGGGGAGGATGGAGTCTCGCACTGTCACCCAGGCTGGAGTGCAGTGGTGCAATCTCGGCTCACTGCAACCTCCGCCTCCCGGGTTCAAGTGATTCTCTTGCCTCAGCCTCCCAAGTAGCTGGGACTATAGGCATGTGCCACGACGCCCAGATAATTTTTGTATTTTTGGTGGAGATGGGGTTTCACCATGTTGGCCAGGCTGGTCTTGAACTCCTGACCTCGTGATCCACCTGACTCAGCCTCCCAAAGTGCTGGGATTATGGGCGTGAGCCACGGTGCCCGGCCTACTCCTGGATATTTTGACTGCAGCTCTTCCACCGCTCTGCCCCCGACAGTATGGCCTACTCCAATATGCAGGCTGACTTTTTTTTTTAAATGGAGTCTTGCTCTGTCGCTTAGGATGGAGAGCAGTGGTGTGCTGTTGGCTCACCACAACCTCTGCTTCCTGAGTTCAAATGATTCTCCTGTCTCAGCCTCCCAAGTAGCTGGGATTAGAGACATGCGCTACCACTCCTGGCTAATTTTGTATTTTTAGTAGAGACAGGGTTTAACCTTGTTAGTCAAGCTGGTCTTGAACTCCTGACCTCAAGTGTCCACCCGCCTTGGCCTCCCAACGTGCTGGGATTACAGGTGTGAACTACCGTGCCTGGCCCAGGCTGACTTTAGAGTCTTTAAGTTACAAAAGAAAAGGGTAGGGTCTGCGAGGTGATCAAAGAAAACTCTTAGACTTCATCTTTCGCCAAGCACAAGGTCTCTTTTGGGAAAAGTGAGCTCTTTTGCCACCTTGTGACACTGGATGAGAACAGCAAGCCCTCAGATCAATTCCTACTCCTGCTCCAAGGTGGCAGCATTGTACCGTGGCATCTAGGAACTAATGTACAGAGAGTTTCAAATAGAGCAACAGGAGGGAAGGTGATAATACCTCAGGGGAGCAGAGAATCATGTCATCATGTTAAGGAAATAGTAAGCAAAAATCACAAAACCCAAGGAAGGCAATGGAGCCCCTCTGCCCTAACCACCTCCTCTGCTAAGAGAAGCAGGCAGCCAGAGGCAAGAGGGTGGGGAGGATGAATAAAGATTTCCTTGGACCAATAAAGATGTGAGGCATTTATGTTCCCTCTAGTCAGTGGCCTCATTTCTCTGCTTTCTTTCTCATAGCAAAACTTTTTTAAAAAGTTTTCTAGTCTGGGTGCAGTGGCTCACACCTGTAACCCCAGCAATTTGGGAGGCCAAGGTGGGCAGATTACTGGAGCTCAGGAGTTTGAGACCAACCTGGGCAACACAGTGAGACTGTGTCTCTACAAAACATAGCCCATCTCCAAAATAAAACAAGACCAAAGAAGCTGTAGAGTTTGATAAAGATGGGGTAGATCTTTATTCTCTTTTTTTTCTTTTCTTTTTTTTTTTTTTGAGACGGAGTTTCGCTCTTGTTGCCCAGGCTGGAGTGCAATGGTGCAATCTCGGCTCACTGCAACCTCCACCTCCCAGGTTCAAGCGATTCTCCTACCTCAGCCTCCCAAGTAGCTGGGATTACAAACATGCGCCACCATGCCCAGCTAATTTTTGTACTTTCAGTAGAGATGGAGTTTCTCCATGTTGGTCAGGCTGGTCTCGAACTCCCGACCTCAGGTCATCCACCCGCCTCAGCCACCCAAAGTGCTGGGATTACAGGCGTGAGCCACCGCGCCCGGCCCTTCATTCTCTTTTATGCTCCATCTATCTATGCCATGACAAAGTCTACAGATTATTACACTAGACACTAAAAAAATACAAATTTGGAAAAATCTTCAACAACAGTTATCTGTCTAGGAAAACCTTCCCAAGCCACAGACAGTACCACTCACCTGCCGTATTTAGCTCTTCCTCACAACCTCTCAGCCCAATGGTCATCAGAATGTTGTCCACCAATACTCACTTCACTATTCAGGAGTGTGAAGATGTGCAAAACTCAATAGGTATGTCTGTGCTAATGTGAGTTTATATATATAACTGGATTAATTCTAGAGATCATATGGTTCACGGCCGGCTGGGGTGGCTCACGGCTGTAATCCCAGCACTTTGGGAGGCCGATGGGGGCAGATCACTTGAGGTCAGGAGTTCGAGACCAGCCTGGCCAACATGGTGAAACCTGTCTCTACTAAAAATATAAAAATTAGCCGGCAGGGTGGCACACACATTTAATCCCAGCTATTCAGGAGACTGAGGCAGGAGAATCACTTGAACCCAGGAGATGAAGGTTGCAGTGAGCCAAGATTATGCCACTGCACTCCAGCCTGGGCAACAGAACGAGACTCCATTTCACAAAAAAAAAGGCCAGGCACGGTGGCTCATGCCTGTAATCCCAGCACTTCGGGAGGCCGAGGCAGGTGGATCACGAGATCAGGAGATTAAGACCATCCTGTCTAACACGGTGAAACGCTGTCTCTACTAAAAATACAAAAACATTAGCCAGGCATGGTAGTGGGCGCCTGTAGTCCCACCTACTCAGGAGGCTGAGGCAGGAGAATGGCGTGAACCTGGGAGACAGAGCTTGCAGTGAGCCGAGATCGTGTCACTACACTCCAGCCTGGGCGACCGAGCGAGACTCTGCCTCAAAAAAAAAAGAGATCATATGGTTCAGGACTCTCAATTTATAGAAGAGAACATTTAGATCCCAAGAAGTCAAGTAATTTTCTCAAGGTGATAGCTCATAAAAGGGCCTGTACTAGAACTCAATTGTACTGACTCCTAGTCCTAGTTTCCTGCTCTATTTCTATAATTCCTGCTCTAGAAATTATATTCCTTACTAGAAATCTCCACATCTTTTCATGAAAGTATATAAATCTCTGTGCCTGTGTCAGTGAGCATGCATGTAAATGTCTACGTGTCTATCTGCAAGTATTTGTAAAGCATATCAATGGGCGTTTATGGCCTTCCTGCTCGAGAAACCTCTAGGTAATCTAGTTCTCTATGTCGGCACCGGCAGCGAAGTCAGAAGAAGTCTGAGTGAATTATTAATAAGCAGAATTAGCCCTTTCTCCAATTAGATCTATTCCTGGGTCTTCAGGAAATGGGGCAAAATAATCAGGGTGGAATCAGAGTCTCTCAGGGTCAAACTTGGTTCCAGCTGCGTGTGGTGAAAGCAACTAGAGGCAGAGCTATCAAGGGCTGTGACAGATGAGCAGTGGTCTGTCTGCAATGAGCATGTGCTCAAGCTAACATGGATACCATCTTGGTCTTCAGCCTAATCATTGCATCCTATGATGCCAACAAGAAAGGTATGTAATTCTCTAGCCTAATCTCCTGGAAAATACAGAGAGAGGCCTAGAAAGAGTTTCGGGGTCTCTTCCACCAGATAGAGATGTAGCTGATATCCAGCAAGCAATACTTTCCAGAGTTAATCCCATGTATCCACTCGCCTCTAAGAAGGACTGCAACTTATTCATTCCAGAGAGATAGCTGTCTGTTTCATGATGAGAGGTCTTCAGAGAATGTGATGCATTCTTATGTCTTGTTCATGTAATTAACATTAAAAGTCCTTTCACTGTTGGATGGCTTTCTTTAGAGTTTCAGTATTGTCATCACCTAAGGTTCCCAAATTCATACTGTTCATAAGATGTTGCCTTTTTTAAGTTGGTACATGTAAATAGCTAGACGGTGATATTCTTGGGTGGGGAGAGCTGAGGGAAAGGGTGATATTGGGTGGAATGGCATCATTTGCTGCTCTTTGGTAACTGCTTATTTAAAATATGAGTTTTCAAAGTTTCATAAACATTTCATCTCTAAAATTAGCTAATCAAGGCTGGGCACGGTGGCTCATGACTGTAATCCCAGCACTTTGGGAGGCCAAGATTGGTGGATCACCTGAGGTCAGGAGTTCGAGACCAGCCTGGCCAACATGGCGAAACCCCATCTCTACTAAAAGTGCAAAAATTAGCCAGGCATGGTGGCATGCACCTGTAATCTCAGCTACTCGGGTGGCTGAGGCATAAGAATCACTTAAACCTGGGAGGTGAGGTTGCAATGAGCTGAGATCGTACCACTGAAATCCAGCCTAGGTAACAGAATGAGACTCTGTCTCAAAAAATAAAAAATTAAAATAAAAAAATAAAATTAGCTAATCAGAATTAAGACCAAATGGCACAAAGTGCAGCAGTAACGAATTTGACAAATTATAAAAATGTCACAACCCTTTGAATTATGTGCCAAAAAGCATAAATAACTAAGACCTATGGTTCTGTGGAAACCTATAGAGATACCAAGGTCAGACAATATAAATCTCCAAAAGCTTTATTTAATACAAGAAAGAAGACAGAATAGGAGGGAGAAGAGAAAATAAGCAGTATTTAAGGAAATGGGTTGGTTAGACTTTCATTAACTTAGTAAATTTTCTTAACTCTATTTGACCTTTCTTTGTCCTAAGGGTAATAGATTGGTACACAGTATTCTTTATACTAGGTCAACTACTACTTTGTATGTATTTGGCTGGGTGTTCTTTTTTGAGGGCCGGGCGTGGTGGCTCACACCTGTCATCCTAGCACTTTTGGGAGGCCAAGGCAGGTGGATCACCTGAAGTAAGGAGTTTGAGACCAGCATAGCCAAAATGGCGAAACCCCATCTCTACTAAAAATACAAAAATTAGCTGGGCATGGTGGTGCATGCCCGTAATCCCAGCTACTCGGGAGGCTGAGGCAGAAGAATCCCTTGAACCCAGGAGGTGAATGTTGCAATGAGCGGAGATCACGTCACTGCACTCCATCCTGGGCGACAGAGTGAGACTCCGTCTCAATAAATAAATAAATAAATAAATAAATAAATAAATAAATAAATAAAAGTAAAGTCTTTTTAGAGAGTGTTTGATCTCCCAAGTTGCAAGTTTTATGAGCAGGAACTGCAATCTTTCATATCTTCTCCATTGCCCAGAATTCTAAAAAGTAAGTACCAGTAAATTCTGATTTTCCCCAAACCTTCCCCGGTTCCCCTCCTCCCCCTCTGCTCACCCCCAGACCTCAGAGATAGCAGTTGCCGACTGGAACAGCTGCCTGGGATCTTCCCAAAAGACGTGAGAAGCATCAGAGAATTGCAAATGCAAGGTAGGGAATGGGTCCTTTCTGGAAAATGATATTGCCATTCCAAAAAATTTTTACCTTTAAAAGATATCTCATCTTCCCACTTCCTAGCCCATATCTCAAATATCCTATTTTAAGGATATGTATCCTCCCAGGGGGCTTTCTGGAAACCAATCTTTAAATTAACTGTCATTACCTAAGGCATGCTTATATTACTCAAATGGATGGAGATGAAAAAAGAGAAGGAGGCAGAACCTACCCCTCTCTGCATTAAAGAAAAATCTATGAGCATTTCTCTGTGCTAAATTTACTGCTGTCACCAACCTTCATGGGAACCATGGCAGAAGAAAGGCAGGACTTGTCTATTAGTACTATGAACACAAACTGAAGAAGTTAACTAAAAGGAGAGAAAGTACAGCAGTGGAGTTTAGCAGGGGTCATGAATGGAAATGGGTTAGCTTGGCACTGTTCAGATTAAAAACCAGCTTTGGCCAGGCATGGTGGCTCACACCTGTAATCCCAGCACTTTGGGAGGCCAAGGCAGGTGGATCACTTGAGCTTACGAGTTTGAGACTAGCCTGACCAACATAGTGAAACCCCATCTCTACTAAAGATACAAAAATCAGCTGGATGTGGTGGTGCACGCCTGTAACCCCAGCTACCTGGGAGGCTGAGGCAGGAGAATCACTTGAACCAGAGAGGCGGAGGTTGCAGTGAGCTGAGATTGCGCCATTGCACTCCAGCCTGAGCAACAAGAGCAAAACTCTGGGCAACAAGAGCAAAACTCAGAGATCGTGCCATTGCACTCTAGCCTGGACCACAAGAGCAAACGCTTCAAGGTCGGGTGCGGTGGCTCATGTCTGTAATCCCAGCACTTTGGGAGGCCAAGGTGGGAGGATTGCTTGAGCCCAGGAGTTCGAGACCAGCTTGGGCAACACAGCAAGACCCTGTCTTTTAAAAAATTAAAAAATTAGCCGAGCAAAGTGGCATACACCTGTAGTCCCATAGTCACAGCTACTCAGGAGGCTGAGGTGGGAGGATTGCTTGGAGATCGAGGGAGTTTGAGGCTGGAGTGAGCCATGATTGCGACACTGCACTCCAGCTTGGGTGACAGAGCAAGGCACCGTCTCAAAAAAACCAACCAAACAAAAAACAAAACCAGCTCCATTTTTCTATCTGGTTCTTCTCCTTCCAGAAACTCACACAGAAACCAAAAGGACAACATTCATTCAAAACCGGACTATAGCTACCCTGCAGTGCCTTGGCTCTGACAGCAAAGTAAAAGTCAACCTTGTATATTTGGAGAGAAGGCCAAAGGTCAAGCATATTTTGAAGAACCTGAGAATCATTGCTGCTCCCCGCAGAAACAGCTCTGCCTCCTCAAGCTGTCACCTAATCCCCACATCCAAGTTTCAGACTGGATCTCTTCTAAAAGGCAAAGGTGAGATTGGAAAAGAGGAAGGGGGCAGGCACTAACTTTTAGTTGACATCCTTGAAGGCAGCCAGAACTCCGTAGCAGGAAAAGCTACAAGAAAATGAATTATCCACTTTTTGATGGGGTTGTTTGTTTTTTTTCTTGTAAATTTGTTTGAGTTCATTGTAGATTCTGGATATTAGCCCTTTGTCAGATGAGTAGGTTGCGAAAATTTTCTCCCATCAAAAAGTGGGCAAAGGACATGAACAGACACTTCTCAAAAGAAGACATTTATGCAGCCAAAAAACACATGAAAAAATGCTCATGATCACTGGCCATCAGAGAAATGCAAATCAAAACCACAATGAGATACCATCTCACACCAGTTAGAATGGCAATCATTAAAAAGTCAGGAAACAACAGGTGCTGGAGAGGATGTGGAGAAATAGGAACACTTTTACACTGTTGGTGGGACTGTAAACTAGTTCAACCATTGTGGAAGTCAGTGTGGCGATTCCTCAGGGATCTAGAACTAGAAATACCATTTGACCCAGCCATCCCATTACTGGGTATATACCCAAAGGACTATAAATCATGCTGCTATAAAGACACATGCACACGTATGTTTACTGCGGCACTATTCACAATAGCAAAGACTTGGAACCAACCCAAATGTCCAATAATGATAGACTGGATTAAGAAAATGTGGCACATATACACCATGGAATACTATGCAGCCATAAAAAACAATGAGTTCATGTCCTTTGTAGGGACATGGATGAAATTGGACATCATCATTCTCAGTAAACTATCACAAGAACAAAAAACCAAACACCGCATATTCTCACTCATAGGTGGGAATTGAACAATGAGATCACATGGACACAGGAAGGGGAACATCAGACTCTGGGGACTGTTGTGGGGTGGGGGGAGGGGGGAGGGATAGCATCGGGAGATATACCTAATGCTAGATGACGAGTTAGTGGGTGCAGCGCACCAGCATGGCACATGTATACATATGTAACTAACCTGCACAATGTGCACATGTACCCTAAAACTTAAAGTATAATAATAAAAGAAAAAAAAAAGAAAATGAATTATCCTCCCCTTGGGCAAATCTACGTGCTCTCTGAGAGTCAGTTTTATAATCTCTAAGATCCCTTCTAGCCCTGATACTCTGTGATTTTCATGTGATCTCCATTTCTGATGGATCTTCTTTCAACAGTTTTTTAAAATTTCTTTTTTTTTGTTTTTGTTTTTGAGATGGTGTCTCGTTCTGTCACCCAGGTTGGAGTCCAGTGGTGCGATCTTGGCCCACTGCAACCTCTGCCTCCCAGGTTAAAGTGATTCTCCTGCCTCAGCCTCCCAAGTAGCTAGGATTACAGGTGTCTGCCACCATGGCTGGCTAATTTTTGTATTTTTAGTAGAGACAGGATTTCACCATGTTGGCCAGGCAGGTTCTGATCTCTGACCTCAAGTATCTGCCCGCCTTGGCCTCCCAAACTGCTGGGATTACAGGCGTGAGCCACCGTGCCTGGCCAGGTTTTTTTTTTTTTTAATTTCATTTTGCATGCACACAGTAAAATATTCAAACAGTATAGATTTATAGTGAAAAGTAAGTCTCTCTCCTACTCCTGTCTCTCAATTCTCCAGTTCTCTATCCCTGATGGAACCACTATTATCAACTTATTATATTTCCTTCCGGAGATACTCTAAGAATGTATGAATGTGCATATTTTAAAAACATAAATGGTAACATACCATATACACTGTTCTGCCCCTTGCTTTTGCTTGTTTTTGTTTTTTGTTGTTATTGTTATTTTGTTGTTGTTGTTGTTGTTTTCTTTGGAGATGGAGTCTCACTCTGTCACCCAGGCTGGAGCGCAGTGGCGCGATCTCGTCTCACTGCAACCTCCTCCTCCCAGGTTCACGTGATTCTCCTGTCTCAGCTTTCCAATTAGCTGGGATTACAGGTGCCCACCACCACACCCAGTGAATTTCTGTATTTTTAGTAGAGACAAGGTTTCACCATGTTGGCCAGGCTAGTGTTGAACTCCTGACTTCAAGTGTTTCACCCACCTCAGCCTCCCAAAGTGCTAGGATTACAAGCGTTAGCCACTGCGCCTGGCCAATCCCTTGCTTTTCCATTTAATAATATATCTTATAGGTCGTTCCATTTCAATACGTATATATTTACCCCATACTTTTTTATATTTGCCTCATTCTTTTTAACAGTTTTACATTATTCCATAGTATGTCTCTTCCATAGTCTTTTTTTTTTTTTTTTTTTGAGACAGAGTCTCGCTCCGTTGCCCAGGCTGGAGTGCAGTGGTGCGATCTCAGCTCACTGCAAGCTCCGCCTCTCGGGTTCACGCCATTCTCCTGCCTCAGCCTCCCGAGTAGCTGGGACTACAGGCACTCGCCACCACACCCAGTTAATTTTTTGTATTTTTGGTAGAGATGGGGTTTCACCGTGTTGGCCAGGATGGTCTCGATCGCCTGACCTTGTGATCTGCCCGCCTTGGCCTCCCAAAGTGCTGGGATTACAGGCGTGAGCCACTGCACCCGGCCATGTCTCTTCTATATTCTACTAGCCCCCTATTGATATATATTTTGGTCGTTTCCAATCTTTTGCAAATACAAACAATTCCGAAAACAATGACCGTATATATTCTTCTTTTTTCTCTTTTTTCTTTTAATAAATTCTTTTCCCCTCTTTCACTATTACTCAGTATCTATATATATTCTTCTTGTATACCTGCAATTTATCAATAAGATTTATCAATTTATCAATAAGATTCCAAGAAGCAGGATTGTTGCATCAAAGGCTGATAGTTACTGCTAAATTACCCTCACTAGAGGTTGGTTCCATTGTGCATATCCACACTGGGGGAGAATGCCTATTCCCCCACAGCTGCTGGACAGTGGTTCTTAACCTCAGCCTGAAGTTTCTCTCCTTCTGCCCTCCTTTCCTTTTCTCACCCTTTCTTTTTTTCATATAGTTTTTTTTTTTCTTTAGTGTAGCCGGTTCCTCTTTATAAACTGGCAGTCCCCTAGATGCTATTGCTACATTACTGGAAAAATAAAATAAAACTTGACATTTTTAGAGAAATTGGGGATCCACAAGCAGAATAATGGAAAAAACTTTAAACTCTAGACTAAAACTGGGAAATAAGTGGATAGGCTCTCAGGATGTTACAGAAAAACTCTTAAAAACTCAAAAGCGTCAGGTGCGGTGGCTCACGCCTGTAATCCCAGCACTTTGGAAGGCCGAGGCAGGCGGATCATGAGGTCAAGAGATCAGGACCATCCTGGCCAACATGGTAAAACCTCGTCTCTACTAAAAATACAAAAATTAGCTGGGCATGGTGGCGTGTGCCTGTAGTCCTAGCTACTCAGGAGGCTGAGACAGAAGAATAGCTTGAACCCAGGATGCAGAGGTTGTAGGGAGCTGAGATCACGCCACTGCACTCCAGCCTGGCGACAGAGCGAGACTCTGTCTCAAAAAACAAAACAAAACAAAATAAAAAAATTAGCCAGGCATGGAGGCACGCGCTTGTAGTCCCAGCTACTCGGGAGGCTGAGACAGAAGAATGACTTGAACCCGGGAGGCGGAGGTTGCAGTGAGCCAAGATCACACCACTGCATTCCAGTCTGGGCAATAGAGCGAGACTCCATCTGAAAAAATAAACAAACTCAAAAGACTCTGGCAGGGTTTTGAACTTTGAATATTAATGCAAATTAATTAAATCCAATTGTTTCCCTCTTAACATGTGACACCTTGCTGTCCATGGCAGCTGTGTTGGGGAAAAGTGGACTTAAGTCATTTTGGAGTTTGGAGCACTCTGGGTGGAGTGAATATAGTGCTAGGCATTGTGAGACTTGGGGCAATTAAGGACATTAGCTCTTAGAAATTGGGACAAGGAAAACTGAGGGGTTAAGGGGGAGGAGAGATGCCAAAGATCAACCTGACCTAATTCAAAAATTTGCACTTGGTTAGCCTCCCAGAGAAAAAGAAACTCTTCCTCTTTCCTTCATAACATAGTAGTTGGTTCCCACATCTAGAATTTAAGCTAATACTCTGTACTATTTGAGCTATGCAAAAAGATTAAATGGATATTTGTAGATTAGTTTGGGGACCTAATCATCACTCATGATACATTTTTATGAAACCATAATGATGAATCCCAAAAAACCTATTTATTTATTTGAGACAGAGTCTCGCTTTGTCCCCCAGGATGGGGTACAGTGGTGCAACCTCAGCTCACTGCAACCTCCGCCTCCCAGGTTCAAGCAATTCTCGTGCTTCAGCCTCTCGAGTAGCTGGGATTACAGCACCACCATGCCCAGCTAATTTTTTGTATTTTTAGTAGAGATAGGGTTTTGCCATTTTGGCCAGGCTGGTCTCAAGCTCCTGTCCTCAAGTGAGATCACTTGAGCCCAACTCAGCCTCCCAAAGTGCTGCGATTATAGGCGTGAGCCACCTCACTTGGTCCAAAACAACCAATTTATGTATGAACTTTTGAAACATAATCCCTTCTACAAGTTTGAAACTTCCTATCCTGAATTTAAATCTCCACTCAATACCAGAAGTGATAAACCTCAAACAGGGTAGAAATAAAAATTAGAGCCGGGCGCGGTGTCTCATGCCTGTAATCCCAGCACTTTGGGAGCCCGAGGCGGGCAGAACATGAGGTCAGGAATTCGAGACCAGCCTGGCCAACATAGTGAAACCCCGTCTCTACTAAAAATACAAAAATTAGCCGGGTGTAGTGGTGTGCGCCTGTTGTCCCAGACAGTCTGCATAGGAGGATGTCCTGGAAATGGTCAGAAGACAGTTCATGAAAATGTCCTCAAGTAAAATAGAAATTTGGAACTGTAAGGGTGAGAATGTTCTGCAATACAAATGCTCATCAGAAGATGTGGGTCAACATGGAATGTAGAAAAAGGTAAATGGAGACTATTTGTTATTATTTAAGAAATTTGGAAAAGGAAAAGACGGCTGTTATCAATATTTCAAAATTTCCTTCTGGTGGAGACAGATGACTCATTAGGTCATCTTTTTCCCCCTCTTTCAATCATAATATCATTCAGTTTGCAAAGTGTTTACACACATGCTTTCTCATTTTTATTTGTTTCTGATCTTCACAACACCCCTGTGAAATAGGTAGAGCAAGTATTATTTTACTATTACCATCTTACAGATTAAAAAAAAAAACACAGATAACTTGTGGTGACTTGTCCAAAGTGAGATTTGTTTATTTTTATCTAATGTGACTTATAAACATGTAAGTTATCACTTCGAAGAACTGACTAGCACTATGATGAAAATGTTCTTGTTTTTTCTTTTGAACTTGTTGACTTTATGTCTGTCTCTGCCAATGTCTGCCAACACTGTCTTCCTGATTAAACTGGAATCGGGGATCACCTCTTCCCCTATGATTTCATGTACAGTGCCTGGTACTATGGCCACTGGCCTCTGAGGTAAAGAACTATCATTTTCTCATGGACTTAAGACATGGAAGAGTAATTTAGAAAAGTCAAGTAGAATTTATAGACCTTAATTTAATAAGCAATGATATGAGACCACTAAAAATAGAACAGAAACCACACTGTCTGAATTGGATTAGGTCAATTCTGGAGACGAGTGAGGTTATTTCCAGACTCCAGCTAGACTCTATCCATCTCCCATCACTTCCACTGCTGGTGTGAATCACATCATCTCTCATCTGGACTTTTGCAATGGCCTCCTAACAGGTTACCCTCCTTCTACCCTTGCCCACCCCAACCCATTCCCCACACAGTAGCCCAGAGATCCTTTGAAAGCAAGGCCAGGCTGGGCACAGTGGCTCATGTCTGTAACCCCAGCACTTTGGGAGGCCGAGGTGGGCAGATCACTTGAGGTCAGGAGTTTAAGACCAGCCTGGCCAGCATGGTGAAACCCCATCTCTACCAAAAAATATAAAAATTAGCCGGGTGCGATGGCATGCACCTGTAGTCTCAGCTACTTGGGAGGCTGAGGCACGAGAATCATTTTAACCTGGGAGGCAGAGGTTGCAGTGAGCTGAGATCACACCATTGCACTCCAGCCTGGGTGACAGAGGGGGACCCTGTCTTAAAAAAAAAAAAATTGCTGAATGAATGAAATCAAGGAGTACATGAAGCTGGGTGGCTTTTCCTTCTTCCAGCTCCTCCTGCTTTCCCCAGTCCCCTCTCAGAGTAGTTGATCTAGATTCTACTAGACACACTTGCAGCAGTCATTAAGGCTAACTGTGATATTTCATGTTCTTCCTTGGACTTTGGAGCCATCTCTTTTTAAAGAAGGAAACTGTCAACAGTTTTTATGGCCTTCATCTTTATTATTATTATGGCCTAAATAATGATAGGCAATGATATCATTGGCATGACTCCTTCACTTTGATCCTATGTTAGTTAAAAGTCCCATGGGCATTTAATCCATATCTCTTATTAGTGTCTCTATCCTCATTTACTCTTGGCATTATTTTGTGCTCACACCCTAAACCTATGGACAGACAGGTTAATGGGACCACAATTGGAAGTTTACTATCAGCTGGGCAGGGTTTCATCAGATAAAACCAAAGGCAGGATAAAGTTTTCCCCTAAAGTTTCATCTTTTCTACTTTGTTTTATAGCTTTTTTACCAGGGATCTCACAATGTAAAGTCCTGGGGGCTTCATCAGAGACTTTTCCCACCACTGCCCCTTCTATAACTCCTGGGAATAAAGAAGGAGAGAAAACTACAAGTACCGGTAATTTTTCTAGCTTTGAAATGACAAAGTACAGAATAAGTAGGAGTAAAATGGGAACAGAAAAGAAACATTTTTAGCCCCAGCGTTAGTCTGGATCTACTGATATTTTTCTTGAGGTTGAGAAGTTACTGAATGTACATTGAAAAATCATTCAATTTTTTATTTTAAAAAATTAGCTTCTCTAGGCCGGGTGCTGTGGCTCATGTCTGTAATCCTAGCACTTTGGGAGGCCGAGGTGGGCGGATCACCTGTGGTCAGGAGTTCAAGACCAGCCTGACCAACACGGTGAAAACCCGCCTCTACTAAAAATACAAAAATTAGCCGGACGTGGTGGCAGGTACCTGTAACCCCAGCTACTTGAGAGGCTGAGAAAGAAGAATCGCTTGAACCCAAGAGGTGGAGGCTGCAGTGAGCCGAGATTGTCCCACTGCACTCCAGCAGGGGCGACAGAGTGAGACTTTGTCTCAACAACAACAACAAAATTAGCTTCTCTATAAAGGTCCCAGAAATGTTTGTAATTTGACACCATCAATGATCATTTATCTCCACGCAAATGAGCTCACCCTGTCGCCAGAATTAGGGACAGAAAAAACTGTATTTCTGTAGTAGGTAATTCTAACCACTGTATGTATAGATGGACAATATTTAAACACTAAGCAATTATAAGAGTGATGACACCAACCAAGTGCTTTTCTTTTTCTTTTTTTTTTTTTGAGACAGGGTCTTGTGTTGCCCAGACTGGAGTGCAGTAGTGCAAACATGGCTCACTGCAGCCTTGACCTCTGGGGCTCAAGTGATCCCCCCACCTCAGCCTCCTGAGTAGCTGGGACTACAGGTGTGTGCCACCATGTTCAGCTAATTTTTAAATTTTTGTAGAGACAGGGTCTCACCACATTGTCCAAGCTGGTCTCAGACTCCTGGGCTCAAGCGATCCTACCGCCTCAGCCTCCCAAACTGCTGGGATTACAGGCATTGCCCACCACGCCCGTCCCCAAGAGCATATATTTGTTTTGATATGGAGTCTCACTCTGTCACCCAGGCCGGAGTGCAGCGATGTGATCTCAGCTCACCACAACCTCCCCCTCCTGGGTTCAAGCAATTCTCCTGCCTCAGCCTCCTGAGTAGCTGAGATTACAGGCATGCACCACCACGCCTGGCTAATTTTTGTATTTTTAGCAGAGACAGGGTTTCACTATGTTTGCCAGGCTGGTCTCGAACTCCTGACTTTGTGATCCGCCTGCCTCAGCCTCCCAAAGTGATGGGATTACAGGTGTGAGCCACTGCGCTGGGCCTCCAACAGCATACTTTCATCTTCACTGTTTTTTTGTTTTTGTTCTTTAAGATGGAGTGTCACTCTGTCCCCCAGGCTGGAGTGCAGTAGCGTAGTCTCAGCTTACTGCAACCTCTGCCTCCCGGATCCAAGAAATTCTCCTGCCTCAGCCTCCTGAGTAGCTGGGACAACAGGCATGCACCACCATGCCTGGCTAATTTTTGTATTTTTAGTAGAGACGGGTTTCACCATGTTGGCCAGGCTGGTCTCAAACTCCTGACCTCAAGTGATCTACCCACCTCAGCCTCCCAAAGTGCTGGGATTACAGGCATGAGCCACCGCACACAGCCTTCTTCACTGTTTTTTTAGCAACAGTCCTCCTTAAATTGGCCAGGACTAAAATTCTGTAAGATTCCAATTTGGGTTACATCCTAGTTTCTACCAGGGGAAAAATGTGATATTAGTAATAATGAGATGCACATTAGGGCCAGGTGAGTTGGCTCACACCTGTAATATTCCAGCACTTTGGGAGGCCAAGACTGTAGGATCACTTGAGGCCAGGAGTTCAAGCTCAGCGGGAAATATAATGAGACTCTGTCTGTATAAAAAAATTTTAAAAATTAGCCGGGCATGGTGGCGTTCGCCTGTGGTCTGAGCTACTCAGGAGGCTAAGGTGGGAGGATGGTTTGAGCCTGGGAGATTGAGGCTGAAGTGAGCCAAGATTGTGCCACTGCATGCCAGTCTTGAGTGCCAGAGTGAGAAAAAAAATGCATATTAGCCATTTGCCGCCAGATTGAGCTTCTGACCCAGAAGCAGTGCTAATTTTTACATTTCTTCCTCTTATATTCTATGAAAGCCAGGAGAAACATAGGAAAGGCGACTTTCTAATCCCATAAAATGTGTCAGAGCAAAATGGTAGGAACCCTGATAAAGCTGACAGTAAAAGAAGTTTAGAGCTCCATGTGTACCCGAGATTTTTCTTCCTGCGAGCAGTGTAAGAATCAGCCCTATGTGATTATGGAAAATCCCCAATTCCAGGGAAGGTGACTCAGTGGGAAGAGAGTGCAAAAGAAGTTAGAGCAGAGCCCATGATGCTCAGCTCACCCTCACACCCCCTCCAGCCCTGAGTTTGAATTGGAAATTCTGCCTCTGCCTCTGGGTTAGTCTGGGCCTCTAATAGTCTTGTGAGCCAGAAGAACTTCAGGTCAAAGGATCAATCTCTTTCCTCTCTCAAATTTTCTTTTCTCCCTCTTCCACTCCCCTCTCTCCTTTAGACACAGATGAGAACCTAGAGAAGAGACAGAAATGGAGTATTGTGGTCAAAATTCTGATTGCTGTCACCCTGTTGCTCAGTGGAGTTGCCATTATAGTATTTGTAATTTTTGAAGTCCCATGTCCTGTAAGTTTGCTGTTGTATTGAATCCTTGAACTTGACCCATAAAGACTTTCTTCTGTTCCAGAGGCAGCTTGGCATAAGGAGAAAAGCATAGACTTTGGAATTTGAGGAGATGTGCCACTCACACTCACTAGCTGAGTGGTGTTGGGAAAGTTGCTTGACTGTTCTAACCTCAGTGGCCTCATGTGTAAAATAAGTCTCATGATATTTGCCTCTCATGGTAGTTATAAAGATTGAGATTCTGTGTGAAAGGCACCTGGCACACAGGTGCTCACTAAATGCAGTTCCTTTCCTCTGCTGTACTTAGACATTTTCTAGGAAGGATAGGTCCAATAGGACTGAATATTTTATTTAGAAGAGATGGCTTCCTTTAAGTTGCCCAACAAGAGGTTTGGAAGAAAACCAAATGCTTACCAGCCACTTCATATTAATACCAGTCATTTTCTCCCTTCAGTATCAATGCCTAGGAGCCAGGAAGCTGTGCCAATGCCAGTGGTTGTGGAGATGGCAAAAGAAGGGAGGCCAGCCACCTGGGACAGCTGAATCCAAGCCTGACTCTCAGCCCCAGAAGGAAAGTGTTCTCTGTGTGGTTTATGTCATTTGCTTAAAGAAGGTGGGGTAGGGGCCGGGCGTGGTGGCTCACACCTCTATTCCCAGCACTTTGAGAGGCTGAGGCAGGTGGATCACCTGAGGTGATCGAGACCAGCCTGACCAACATGACGAAACCCTGTCTCTACTAAAAATACAAAAATTAGCCAGGTGGCACATGCCTGTACTCCCAGCTACTCGGAAGGCTGAGGCAGGAGAATCGCTTGAACCTGGGAGGTGGAGGTTGCAGTGAGCCGAGATTGTGCCATTGTACTCCAGCCTGGGCAACAGAGTAAGACTCTGTCTCAAAAAAAAAAGAAAGAAAAAAAGAAAAACAGAAAATGGGGTTAATATATAAGTGCTAGGAGATTCGTCCCTAAGAGGACTGTGAAAAAATATTTTTTTTAATGTGCTGGGAACAGGGAGCTGCTTCAGTTATGAAGCAAATGTGGGCAATCCTTCTTATGTCAGGAAATAGGTAGGATTTTATCCTACTGTTTTCCTAACATCAGTCCAGACATGATACAATAGGGTGCTTATTGAATACACATACCTCTGGGCCCCATATAAACTGAATCAGATCATTTAGATTGGAGTCAAGAATCTTACTTTTAAGATTTTTAAGGCCAGGCCTGATTCATCATGCCTGCAATCCCAGTGCTTTGGGAGGCAGAGGCAGAGGCAGGAGACTTGCTAGAGTCCAGGAGTTTGAGACCAGCCTAGGCAACATAGCGAGACACTGTCTCTATTAAAAAAAAAAGTATATATATATATATATATATATATATATATATATACACACACACATTATATATAAATATATATAATTATATATTTATTATATATAATTATATATAATATATTATATATATATTATATATAATTATATATAATATATTATATATAATTATATATTATACATAATTATATATATATATATATATATATATATATAAAAGGCCAGCTGGGCCGGGCACGGTGGCTCACGCCTGTAATCCTAGCACGTTGGGAGGCCAAGGCAGGTGGATCACGAGGTCAAGAGATTGAGACCATCCTAGCCAAAATGGTGAAACCCTGTCTCTACTAAAAATACAAAAATTGGTGGGGCATGGTGGTGTGCACCCGTAGTCCCAGCTACTCGGGAGGCTGAGGCAGGAGAATTGCTTGAACCCAGGAGACAGAGGTTGTGGTGAGCCGAGATTGCGCCACTATACTCCAGCCTGGGTGACAGAGCAAGACTCCGTCTCAAAAAGAGAGAAAAAAAAAAAAGCCAGCTGGTGGCATGTGCCTGTAGCCCTAGCTTCTTGGGAGGCTGAGGTGGGAGGATCACTTGGGCTCAGGAATTGAAGTCTGCAATGAGCTATGATCGAGCCACTGCACTCCAGCCTGGGAAAAAGGGTGAGACCCTGTGTCCAAAAAAAAAAAAAAATTATCATTTCTCCTGAACATTGGAAGAAATAGGCCTGAAGGGACTACAAAGTCTAGTCCAGAATAGAATTAGAGATAACCAGGTAGCTGCAACTGTGATTGAACTTCTATGAACACAATAAGCTACTAAATGATAAAGGAATAAAAATAGGGCCAGGCGTGGTGGCTCATGCCTGTAATCCCAGCACTTTGGGAGGCCGAGGTGGATGGATCATGAGGTCAGGAGTTTGAGACCAGCCTGACCAACAAGGTGAAACTGTCTCAACTAAAAATACAAAAAATTAGCCAGGCATGGTGGCACACGCCAGTAATCCCAGCTACTCAGGAGGCTGAGGCAGGATAATCGCTTGAACCCGGGAGGCACAGGCTGCGGTGAGCTGAGATCACACCACTGCACTGCAGCCTCGGTGACAGAGCGAGACTCTGTCTCAAAAAAAAATAGTACTAAGATAGCAATCTTATATACATTATCTCATTTGAGCCTTACAGAAATCCTGGAAAGTAGCCAGGGCAAGTATCTACATTTTACTCATACTTAAGTTGAGGCTTGAAGAGGTTATGTGACTTCCCAAGGTTACACAGCTGTTAGAAACAGAACTATGATCCAGATCTTTTAATTACTTTGCTAGTGGGTTATAGGTTCCAAGCAATTATTGGTTCTCATACCTATGTGCACCTTGATCATACTTTCTCAGTGTAATTATCGATTAACAAAGAGGCAAAATGAAGTGCACTTGGAATTACATGGGGTTTTGTACTTAGCCAGCCCTTTTCTTGGTACATGAAGAACTATACACTTGCATCCTTTTTTAACTTTCATATTTCCTTTCAATCTCTAGGTTGGACAAGATGCTGCCAATTCATCAAACCCAAAGAAAGCTGCAGAGATCACTGTTATCCACCAGACATACTTCTGAAAAGTTCTGCTCTATCTCAAAGACTGAATGATACTACACAGTCCTCTCCCTATTAATATGGGCACATTCTTGCCAATTTCACACTTGTATCTTCAGCAGGGACATTACAATCAAACACCAATTCCTGGTTAATGAAGGGAGAGTGTGGGCTTAGCAGAGTTACCCTCATGCCCCTATCTGAGCCACAACCTTCTGTAATTCACTTCATACATCCATCTAAATGGATACCTTTCCATCCCCTCAAACGAGAACAAAAAGTATTCCCTGCAAGCACTATGAATGGACCTTACTACTCTCTTTGACAGAAGACTCAAACACAGCCTCTAAGAAACAAGGCAGCTGTTAGTGTGACATAGCTTCCAGCTCCTCTGTTATCTTCACAGCTGACTTCACACTCACTGGCCCTCAATAGCTTAGAGTGGGACTCCTGATCTCCCTGGTTGACGTTTATAAGGTTTTGTAATTTAGCTTCTGGTACTACATGTATCTATCCACACACTGCTGAAGGGAACTTGACCCTACGCATTCCAAAAGCCTTCCTCATAAGTTATCCCCAAGGGGTTCAGGGACTACAGACCATTAGTACCCAAGTGAAGTCTTCTGACGATCCAGAATTCCTAAGGTGGCTCTGATATTATATCATACTTTAATAGAGAGTTGCATACCTTTTGGACAAAGATTCCAGAGCAAAATAATTATGATAATGCTGTTTCTCACAGGAGAATAGCTATGAGTCAAATCTAACCTGCTTAAATAAGAGTTTGGTGAGAAAGTGAAACCACCTGATCTTGAATCAATGTTGAGGTGAAAAAGGAAATGTCAGGAGGGATAAGACAGGGTGAGGCCCTGCTTCTTTTCCTAAGAGTCTGAAACCATTCCATTTCATTTTGGTGAAATGTGTCTGTTTCTAAGAAATTCTGTTTTCTTAGTTCTCTGGTTAAAAAAAAAAATACATAAACTGTATCCTTCTTTCTTTCACTTCAAGTGCTGTCCAAAAAGTGATTATCAAAACAATACCAACAGGGGAAAATCTCACCCTAAGGCTCGATTTAATATTCAAGTCCAGCCTGAAAGAGAACACATATAAAGCATGGATAATGAGGATATGTTTCAAAGAAGCTCCAAAGAACCTCTAGGGCCAGGCATGGTGGCTCACGCCTGTAATCCCAGCACTTTGGGAGGCCAAGGTGGGTGGATCACCTGAGGTAAGGAGTTTGAGACCAGCCTGGCCAACATGGTGAAACCCGTCTCTACTAAACATACAAAAATTAGCCGGGCATGGTGGAGGGCACCTATAATCTCAGCTACTGGGGAGGCTGAGGCAGGAGAATCGCTTGAACCCGGGAGGTGGAGGTTGCAGTGAGCCCCGAGATCTCACCATTGCACTCTAGCCTGAGTGACAGGAGCAAAACTCCATCTCAAAAAAAAAAAAAGAAAAAAAAAAGAACCTCTAAATGTCCATAGAGCATACCTTGAAAATATAGTAGAGAGGAAAGAGCACTGAGGTTGGCATTTGGATGAATGAGTATATTATTTGCATCCTGCCACTGATCCACGATGTTGCCTCAAGTTTATTTTGCCATCTGTGACTTAGTTTGACAATAAAATAGGAAGAAAAAAAATGCCTGCTCTTTCCCAAGACCACTGGTGAGGATGATTAAAAGCATTATATACTTAGAAGCTCTTGGTCCAGAACTAAGGCCTACATGCATCCTCACCCTTCCCAGCCTCACCCACCACTGAATGTCCCTTAATCCTGAAACATGAGATGTCCCGGGAGATAAAACCTATGGCAAAATCTGCGCTCATCAACTCTTCTACAAGAGTATAATTGGAGGCCGGGCACGGTGGCTCAAGCCTGTAATCCTAGCACCTTGGGAGGCCGAGGTGGGCAGATGGCTTGAGGCCAGGAGTTTGAGACCAGCCTGGACAACATGGTGAAACCCGTCTCTACTAAAAATACAAAAATTAGGCAGGCATGCTGGTGCGCACCTGTAATCTCAGCTACTCCAGAGGCTGAGGCACAAGAATTGCTTGAACCTGAGATTGAACCATTGCACTCCAGCCTGGGTGACAGAGCGAGACTGTCTCAAAGAAAAAAAAAAAAAGAGTATAATTTGGGTAACATTTGTACTGACTTTATAGAAATTCACAGACAGAATCAAAATTATTTTGCTTTGGGGACAATTTGTTTCCCCTGACAAAGCATAGACCCCTCTGAGGATTTTCTGACTCCCTAATCCATTAATAACTTCAAGTCCTATATTCCCTTCCAGTGAAGATCTGTAAAAACAGAGATGGGAGAGATGGCAGAGGAGAAAGGAGAACTCCTGTGTGGGCTTTGGGATGTGGATCTGCAGATCACTTCAGAGCTGGGCACCATTTCTAGTGTCACCATTATAGACCAAGTTATACAAAACTTGATAAAACACTGTTTCTGTGGAAGTGCCAATTATTCCTGTGGAATTATTTGCTGTTTCTTTTCTTTTTCTTTTTTTTTTTTTGAGATGCAGTTTCGCTCTGTTGCCCAGGCTGGAGTGCAATGGTTCAATCTCAGCTCACTGCAACCTCTGCTTCCCGGGTTCAAACTATTCTCGTGCCTCAGCCTCCCCAGTAGCTGGGATTACAGGCATGCGCCACCACACCCAGCTAATTTTTGTATTTTTAGTAGAGATGGGGTTTCACAATGTTGGTCAGGCTGGTCTCCAACTCCTGACCTCAAGTGATCCACCCGCGTCGGCCTCACAAAGTGCTGGGGTAAAAAGTCCAGGCGTGAGCCACTGTGCCTAGCCTTATTTGCTGTTTCTATTGCAAGTTCTTTCTTATTAAGCTACCACACTTTGTTTTTATAATTATTAAAGTGCATTCTCGGCCGGGCGCGGTGGCTCACGCCTGTAACCCCAGCACTTTGGGAGGCCGAGGCAGGCGGATCACGAGGTCAGGAGATCGAGACCATCCTGGCTAACACGGCGAAACCCTATCTCTACTAAAAAAAAAAAAAAGAAAAAGAAAAAATTAGCCGGGTGTGGTGGCAGGCATCTGTAGTCCCAGCTACTAGGGAGGCTGAGGCAGGAGAATGGCGTGAACCCGGGAGGCGGAGCTTGCAGTGAGCCGAGATTGTGCCACTGCACTCCAGCCTGGGCGACACAGCGAGACTCTGTCTCAAAAAATATGTATATATAAAATATATAATAAAATAAATAAAGTACATTCTCATTATAAAAGCTTTTAGAAAATACTCAAAAGTATAAAGAATAAAAGTAATACCTAATCTCTCTTCCCAGAGATAATCATTAACACTGGTTAATATGTAATCAGTGGTTAATATATCTCTTTATGGACATTATAAATATATATACACATATAATAAAAAGACACATACAAAACTTCATATTCTTCACACCACTTTAAATCTGTCTCTTTGGCTGGGTGCAGTGGCTCATGCCTGTAATCCTTGCATTTTGGGAGGCCAAGGCAGGTGGATCATTTGAGTCAGGAGTTTGAGACCAGCCTGGTCAACATGGTGAAACACCATCTTTACTAAAAATACAAAAAATTAGTTGGGCATGGTGGCAGGCGCCTGTAATCCCAGCTACTCGGGAGGCTAAGGCAGGAGAATCGCTTGAACTCAGGAGACTGAGGTTGCGGTGAGCTGAGATCGTGTCACTGCACTCTAGCCTGGGTGACAAAGCAAGACTCCATTTCAAAAAAAAAAAAAAAAATCTGTCTCTTCTTCTTGGCTAATATATTACTACTACATTTCAAGAAGTTGTGTTTATTTTCAAGTTTTAGAGGTGACTAGAAGCTGTTCCACCTTTTTTTAAATTTTAATTTTTTGAGATGGAGTTTCACTCTTGTTGCCCAGGCTGGAGTGCAATGGCGTGATCTCGGCTCACCGCAACCTCCGCCCGGGTTCAAACCAATTCTCTTGCCTCAGCCTCCCAAGTAGCTGGGATTACAGGCATGCACCACCATGCTCGGCTAATTTTTGTATTTTTAGTAGAGACGAGGTTTCACCATGTTGGTCAGGCTGGTCTCGAACTCCCGACCTCAGGTGATCTGCCCATCTTGGCCTCCCAAAGTGCTGGGATTATAGGCGCGAGCCACCGCGCCTAGGCTGTTCCACCTTTTTAAAGGGTTGATGTCACCCCAATACTTTTTGATAGGCCCAAAAATTAAGATAGGTAGTTGCTTAGGGCAAAGAAGGTACATTCACAAAAACCTCCAATTTAAACTTTTTAAGTTATTGCTGAATGACATTAAGTAAACAGCCATATTTGCGTGTGTATTAAAAGCATTACTTTGTTAAACAGAAACACTTAAAATATACAACAGCCAGGCATGGTAGCTCACGCCTGTAATCCCAGCACTTTGGAGGGCCGAGTCGGGTGGATCATCTGGGGTCAGGAGTTCGAGGCCAGCCTGGCCAAGATGGTGAAACCCTGTCTCTACTAAAAGTACAAAAATTAGCTGGGTGTGGTGGCACATGCCTGTAATCCCAGCTACTCGGGAGGCTGAGGCAGGAGAATCGCTTGAACCCAGGAGGCAGAGGTTGCAGTGAGCTGAGATGGTGACACTGCACTCCAGTCTGGGTGACAGAGTGAGACTCCATCTCAAAAAAAAAAAAAAGATAAATATAAATAAAATATAAAACATATTTTGTATCTCTGTTTTGCCATTTCTTCATTTTTTAGATAAACCCATAATCTCAAAAATCAAAGTGACCTGGGACTGTGGATCTCTGAAAGGCCTGAACAAGCCATTAACATCCTTCCTTTTCTGTACTCCCAGGCTAGTGCAACGGTGGTTTCAGGAGTGGTACTGGCCTTAACCATTATTTCCTCATATCTCCTACCCCCTCCTATTAATATTTTGGATGCTTTCTAATCACTGCCCAGCAGATTCTGACCTAGAGCACTTTTCCTATGTCTATGTCCATAACTAGCCATTTTCCAAGGAAGAGTTGCTGCATGTACTTATGACTAAAGGCCAGAAGAAATCTTTTTATTTTTTGTTTGCCCTGGACAGGTTGAGAGTCCTATGATCCCTTCCTCCCCATCCCACTGATACTCCACTCCCACTTTCAAAAAGTATTCCATTTTCTGAGTTGACACAATGGCCCTCAGGTTGCCTTGAATTACTTATCTTCCCTATTATTAGTAATAGTAGTAGTAGTATTATACTTTAAATTCTAGGGTACATGTGCACAATGTCCAGGTTTATTACATATGTATACATGTGCCATGTTGGTTTGCTGCACCCATTAACTCGTCATTTACATTAGGTATTTCTCCTAATGCTATCCCTCCCCCATCCCCCCACCCCACGACAGGCGCTGATGTGTGATGTTCCCAGCCCTGTGTCCAAGTGTTCTCATTGTTCAATTTCCACCTATGAGTGAGAACATGCGATGTTTGGTTTTCTGTCCTTGCGATATTTGCTCAGAATGATGGTTTCCAGCTTCATCCATGTCCCTACAAAGGACATGAACTCATCCTTTCTTATGGCTGCATAGTATTCCATAGTGTATATGTGCCACATTTTCTTAATCCAGTCAATTACTTATCTTCTTATATGTACTTACTGGTTCTTCTGCTTGAAGCCCAGTATCTGTGTTAATTTGTATATCTCTATATTACTTTGTATCAACAAAGCACCATGTTCATAGCAGATACTAAAAATATTTGTTGATAATGTCACACCACCAAATGGATAAGCTAAGGGTAGCATAGCTGACTTTCTAGAAGAGAATGAAGTAAGCTTTATTTTTATATCAAAGTTGCTATCAGTTACCAGGGAGATGCAAACCAGTAAAGGGTCATACTATAATTGTTGCTAACACTTGAATTCATCTCTTTAGACTTATTTTCCCTCATATTTCATCATCTGTTCCTTTTTCTCTTCCTCTTCATTATTACAACACTTTTCTTTTGTCTTTCCTTATTCAATGACCTGATTTGTCAGTGATCAAATTCTAAAAATTTCCCTCAATCTGAACTTCTAGTGAACTTCGATCCATGTTTATACTGAAATTTCAGATCCAAAAAGTCTTTCCTTTACCCCACCCTCCTTCACTTGGTGCAGTGTAGCAACAGGTGCACCTTGGACCGTAATTGAGGAACTTTCACTGGACTCTTGTGAATTTGCACCATCCAGTGGCTGAAATTGCTAACTGCATCCTCTGAAAAAAGGCAGTGGGCACAAATAAAAAAATGTAAAATGGGGGCTGGGCGCGGTGACTCACTCCTGTAATCCCAGCACTTTGGGAGGCCGAGGCAGGTGGATCACAAGGTCAAGAGATTGAGACCATCCTGGCTAACACTGTGAAACCCCGTCTTTACTAAAAATACAAAAAATTAGCTGGGCGTGGTGGCGCGCGCCTGTACTCCCAGCTACTCAGGAGCCTGAGGCAGGAGAATCACTTGAACCAGGTAGGCGGAGGTTGTAGTGAGCCGAGATCGCACCACTGCACTCCAGCCTGGGTGACAGAGCGAGACTCTGTCTCAAAAAAAAAAAAAAAACAGTTTGGCCTCCTCTTCTAGCTGTTGTGGTATCACTTTTTTTTTTTTTTTTTTTTTTGAGACGAAGTTTCGCTCTTGTTGCCCAGGCTGGAACGCAACGGTGCAATCTCAGCTCACTGCAATCTCCGCCTCCTGGGTTCAAGTGATTCTCCTGCCTCAGCCTCCCGAGTAGCTGGGATTACAGACATGCGCCACCATGCCCTGCTAATTTTGTATTTTTAGTTGAGATGTGGTTTCTCCATATTGGTCAGGCTGTCTCGAACTCCTGACCTCAGGTGATCCGCCCACCTTGGCCTCCAAAAGTGCTGGGATTATGGGATTACAGGCGTGAGCCACCATGCCCGGGCTTTTTTTTTGAGACAGAGTCTGGCACTGTTGCCCAGGCTGGAGTGCAGTGACACGATCTCAGCTCACCGCAACCTCAGTCTCCTGAGTTCAAGCGATTCTCCTGCCTTAGCCTCCCGGGTAGCTGGGATTACAGGCGCCTGCCACCATGCCCAGCTAGTTTTTGTATTTTTAGTAGAGACAGGGTTTCACCATGTTGGCTAGGCTAGTCTCGAACTACTGACTTCAAGTGACCCACCCACATCAGCCTCTCAAAGTGCTGGGATTACAGGCGTGAGCTACTGCATCGGGCTTTCATCATATCCTTATGAAACGCTTATGAATTAGACATTATTATTTTCATTTTACATAGGAGGAGAAAGGAGATGCAGGAAGATAATAACTTCCCTAAATTCTTTTTTTTTTTTAGATGGAGTTTCACTCTTGTTGCCCAGGCTGGAGTGCAATGGTGGGATCTCGGCTCACGGCAACCTCTGCCTCCTGGGTTCAAGCGATTCTCCTGCCTCAGCCTCCCAAGTAGTTGGGATTATAAGCATGCACCACCATGCCCGGCTAATTTTTTATATTTTTAGTAGAGATGGGGTTTCACCATGTTGGCTAGGCTGGTCTCGAACTCCTGATCTCAAGTGATCCACCCGCCTCAGCCTCCCAAAGTGCTGGGATTATAGGCATGAGCCACCGCACCAGGCCCTAAATTCTTAAAGGTGATAAGGAGTGGAGACAGAATTCAAATTCAGGAAAGTTTCAAAGTCCATGCTTGCTTTTTCAATTATATTAAACAATGCCAAGTTCCTTGCATATTCCAAGCATTTATTGGGCACCTGTTGGTTGCACAAGAGTATAGACTGCCTGTCACCAAATGATGCAAAATAATTTAGGAGCCTGTTTTGACAGTCACAAGATGGAGGTCCTGTACATTAGGCAGAAAAGTATGCAGCTAGGCAGCCTAGTAGGCATTTTAGAATTGTCTGATAAACCGAGCCACTTAGCAACAATATATTTCTAGTTCACCTAATTTTTTGGGTTCTGCCCAAAGGCTGGTGACTCATGAGACAGATATTCCGCACTCTGTGTACATGAGAAAGAAGTCAGTAAGGTGAGGAAGAAGCAGAAGAGATGGGTAACGAAGGCCTGGATTCACGAAAACTGTTTAATGGCCATGGTATTATGAAAATCCTGATGCCAGCCAACTCTTGAGTGTTAAATAATGAGAGTCAGTTTATTAGTTATATTTGGACAGATCTGGTTTTTTGCTTTATTTTTATAAATAATGTTCTAAGAAATTTATTTTATTTAATTTACTTATGGCATATTTAAACATTTTTTGGCAAATAAAAATTGTGTATATTCATGATGTACAACATGTGTTGATAGATGTACTCATTGTGGAATGGCTAAATCAAGCTAATTAACAAATCCATTACCTCAAATATATACCCATTACCGCAAATACTTATTTTTTTGTGTGGTAAGAACAACTAAAATCTACTCTCTTAGCAATTTTCAAGCATATATATATTTTTGTTTGTTTGTTTGTTTTTGTTTTTGAGACAGGGTCTTGCTCTGTTGCCCAGGCTGGAGTGCAGTGATGCAATCTTGGCTCACTGCAACCTCTGCCTCCCGGGTTCAAGTGATTCTCATGCCTCAGCCTCCTGAGTAGTTGGGATTACAGGCATGCACCACCACGCCTGGCTAATTTTTGTATTTTTAGTAGAGATGGGGTTTCACCATGTGGGCCAGGCTGGTCTCAAACCCCTGACCTCAGATGACCCACCTGCCTCAGCCTCCCAAAGTGCTGGGATTACAGGTGTGAGCCACAGTGCCTGGCCTCAAGTATATATTTTTAACTATAGTCACCATATAGTATAATAGATCTCCTGCACTTATTCCTGCTGTCTAACTGAAATTTTGTATCCTTTGGCCAAAATCTTCCAATTCTTTCTCTCTCATCCCCTGGTAACCACCATTCTGCTACTTCTACAAGCTTGACTTTTTTAGATGCCACACATAAGTGAGATTAAGCAGTATTTGTTTTTCTGTGCCTGGCTTATTTCACTTAGCATAATGTCCTCCAGGTCCATCTATGTTGCTGCAAATGACAGGATTTCCTTATTTTTTAAGGCTGAACAGTATTCCATTGTGTGTGTGTCTGTGTGTGTGTGTGTGTGTGTATCTATATCTCACATTTTCTTTATTCATTCATCCATTGGCATACATGTAGGCTGTTTCCATGTCTTGGCTATGGTGAATAATGCTGCAATGGATATGGGAGTACAGATACCTTGACATGCAGATATCATTTCCTTTGGATATATACCCAGAAGTGGATTATTGGATCATATGGTAGTTCCATTCAAAAATTTTTAAGGAACCTCCATACTATTTTCCAAAATGGCTGTACTAATTTACATTCCCACTGACAGTGTACAGGGTTTTTCTCCACATCCTTGCCAATGCTTATCTCGCTTTTTGATAATAATCATTCTGACAGGTGTGAGGTGATATCTCATGGTAGTTTTAATTCACATTTCCCTGATGATTAGTGATGTTGAACATTTTTTTCACATACCAGTTAGCTATTTGCATGTCTTTTTCTTTTGTTTTTCTTTTTTTTTTTTTTTTGAGACAGAGTCTTGCTGTTGCCCAGGCTGGAGGGCAATGGTGTGATCTTGGCTCACTGCAACCTCCGCCTCCTGGGTTCAAGTGATTCTCCTGCCTCAGCCTCCTGAGTAGCTGGGAATACAAGCGCCCGCCACCACGCCCAGCTAATTTTTGTTTTTTTAGTAGAGACAGGGTTTCACCAGGTTGGCCCGGCTGGTCTCGAACTCCTGACCTCAGGTGATCCACCCGCCTCGGCCTCCCATGCTACTTGCATGTCTTCTTTTGAGCAATGTCTTTTCAGGCCCTTGTCCACTTATCTGATGTAGGGGTCGTGAATATTTTCTCCCATTCCGTAGGTTGTCTCTTTACCTTTTTTTTTTTTTTTCCAGACGAGGTCTCACTCTGTTGCCCAGGCTGGAGTAAAGTGGCACAATCACGGTCACTACAGCCTCAACTGTCTGAGCTCAAGTGATTCTCCTACCTCAGCCTCCCAAGTAGCTGGGACCACAGGCGTGTGCTATCATGCCCAGCTAATTTTTTGATTTTTTTGTAGAGTTGAACTCTCACTAAGTCACCCAGTTTAGTCTCGAACTCCTGAGCCCAAGCAATCTTCCCACCTAGGACTGTCAAAGTGTTGGGATTACAGGCATGAGCCACCGCACCAGGCCAGAAACTCTACGTTTGATTCTAACCACAGCAGCTTAGCAGCTGAGGACAAACTGTTGGGATATTTTGGTCTCAGTCAATGGCAGCCAGGTTACCAACCCTGACAAGATACAAGTTTTCTTCGTTGGGTTCCTGGTACAAAAGTCAACCTTTTCAGTTACTTATGAATGAAAGGGCATGAAGATTGTGCTATTAGTTTATCCTGAAGGTCAATCTTCAAAAATACTGGTTCAACATGGATTTGGATATTATTAATATAAATTTATGGCTTAAAGAGGACAAAAGGTGTTTTTTTGGGTTCCTTTACAGAGATATTTAGTGAGGGAACAAGGCACTTAGTCATCTTTGCTATGACAGGTTAAATACAAGGTGTACTGGGAACATGTAAGAGGGTGACTTAACTCAGCCATTGGGGGGTCAGGAGAAGTGTTCCTAAGGAAGTGATGTCTAAGTGAGGTAGGCAGTACCTTGGCAAAAAAAACCTTGAAGTTAAGAGTGCATATGAGAAATGAAGGTATGTCCACCTGGCTGGCAAATGGAGTCTAAGATAGGGCAGTGATGATAAAGATATAGGAAGATGCTAGATCTGGAAGGGCCTTCTAAAAAGAATGACAATATAAATTTATTGTACAAATGGAGACTTTACTGAGAGTGAAACCAGGCAATATTAATACTTAGGTAGGGACAACAGATATAAACCAGGCTATTCTCAGCAAATCAGAAATTATGGTCACCCTACTTGTAAGTCACATTCAGGTGCTTAGACTTTCAGTGAAAGCATAGAGTATGTATCTTCTACATTTTGCCTAAGTGACTTCATTCTTTTTTTTTTTGAGACAGAGTCTCGCTCTGTTGCCCAGGCTGGAGTACAGCGGCACGATCTCAGCTCACTGCAAGCTCCACCTCCCAGGTTCACGCCATTCTTCTTCCTCAGCCTCCTGAGTAGCTGGGACTACAGGCGCCCACCACCACGCCCGGCTAATTTTTTGTATTTTTAGTTGAGATGGGGTTTCACCATGTTAGCCAGGATGGTCTCGATCTCCTGACCTCGTGATCCGCCCGCCTCAGCCTCCCAAAGTGCTGGGATTACAGGCGTGAGCCACTGCACCCAGCCAGTGACTTCATTTTTACTTTTGCCTTTACTTACTCATTTCACAAGTATTTGAGGATACACTTCAGAGCACTGAGGTTACAAAGACAACAGTGTCTGTCCTCAAGGTCTGTCTAGGTAAGACACACAGCCAAATAAACAATTCTAATACAGTTATACAGTTTTAGTTCTGACACCTCCAATGAGCTGTAGACTTGTATTTGTCATTTCCAGTCAGAATGCAAAACACAGATCCAAAACAGAACTTTCAATTTCTCCTCCAAATCTATTCTTCCTTCAGCTGGTCGTGTAAGTGATGCCACTATCACATCCACTTAAGACAAAAACCCAGAGGAGTACTGCCTTAATCAGTAATCAGTGTTACCCTTCTTCTCACTGTGCATGTTAATTTTGCCACATCTTTTTTTTTTTTTTTTTTTTTGGTACAGTGTCTCACTCTGTCACCTAGGCTGGAGTGCAGTGGTGTGATACTGGGTCAATGCAGCCTCAACCCTCTGGGCTGAAGTGATCCTCTCACCTCAGCCTCCTAAGTAGCTGGGACTACAGGCATGCGCCACTACACCTGGCTAATTTTTGCAATTTTTGTAGAGACGAAGTTTCACCATGTTGCCCAGTTCTCATGCCTCCTTGAACTCCTGAACTCAAGTGATCTGCCTACCTTGGCTTCCCAAAATGCAGGGATCCCAGGTGTGAGGCACCGTGTCCTGCCCTCTCCACATCTTTCTTAAGCACACTGACTAAATTGGTCTAAGTAGAGCCTAACATCAACTGAAGGGAGAGGGTAATTTCCAGGTAGTTGAATGCTATGATTTTTGTTTTTTTGTTTTTGAGACAGACTCTTGCTCTGTTGAACAGGCTGGAGGGCAGTGGTGCGATTTCAGCTCACTGCAACCTCCACCTCCAGGGTTCAAGCAATTCTTGCGCCTCCCAAGAAGCTGGGATTACAGGCATGCGCCACCACACCCAGCTAATTGTTGCATTTTTAGCAGAGATGGGTTTTCGCCATGTTGCCCAGGCTGATCTTGAACTACTGGCCTCAAATGATCCATCTGCCTTGGCCTCCCAAACTGCTGGGATTACAGGAATGAGCCACTGTGCCTGGCCCCTGAATGCTATGTTTTTAACGACTAGATCTCAGTATTATGTGGGACTAATTTTTCTACAGTATTACAACACTGATTACTGATATTCATTGTTGACAATCATGACATCCAGATCTGGATATTTGCCTTAGCCAGTCTCAAAATTTGAGTTTCAATGACAAAGACACAGATATGTCCTAAATGACTGACCCCACTTCCACTATGTGAAGTTGAGAGTGGTTGTAAAGCTGTACAGCTATAGGTGAAACACTAATGTTAATCAACTATCTGTTGAACAACTACCATGTAAAAGGACAATTTATGCCTTAGAGAGCAATTTAAAATTTTTTTAGAGATGGGGGTCTCGATACGTTGCCTAGACTGGTCTCAAACTTGGGCTCAATCCATCCTCCTGCCTCAGTCTCTCGAGTAGCTGGGATTACAGGTACACACCACTTCACCAGGCAAAGGGCAATTTTAATATTTCTACCATCCATTCTCCACACAGCTGCCACAGTGATTTTTTTTTTTTTTTTTTTTTTGAGATGCAGTTTCACTCTGTTGCCCAGGCTTGAGTGTAGTGGCACAATCTTGGCTCACTGCAACCTCCACCTCCCAGGTTCAAGTGATTCTCCTACCTCAGCCTCCCGAGTAGCTGGGATTACAGGCGCCCGTCACAATGCCCAGCTAATTTTTTTTGTATTTTTAGTAGAGATGAGGTTTCACCATGTTGACCAGGCTGGTCTCGAACTTCTAACCTCAAGTGATCCGCCTGCCTCGGCCTCCCAAAGTGATGGGATTACAGGTGTGAGCCACCGCTCCCAGCCCACAGTGATCCTTTTACAGCAAAGCTACTCCTTTGCTCTCAACCCTTCGTCATATTCTGTCACTTCCCAATAAAATCCAAACCTTACCAGATGATACATGATCTGCCTTGATTTCCATCTAATTTCTCTCATTTGCTGTGCTCCAGCCACACTGGTCTTGCCCTTTCTCCATGCCAAACAAATCCCCATTTCAGGGTCACTGCACTTGCTGCTTCTCTTCTAGGATAGTTTCCCTCTAGAAATCCATGTTGCTCCTTCTCTCATTAAATGATCAGATATTTATGTGCCTCCTTAGCTAAGAGGCCTTCCTTATCTACCCTAACTAAGAGAATCCCCATATCACTCTTATCCTTTTATCCTGATTTATTTTTCCATAAAACTTGCCACATTACTGGGCATTATCTATCATTTAGTAATGTGTATATTGCTTATTGACAGTCTTCCCTACTATAATATGAGCTCCATGAGGCAGAGACTTTGTTTTGTTCACTGCTGAATTCCCAGCACCTACAACAAGCCTACTCACTAAACATTTGTTGAATTAATCTTCAGGATACATCAAATGTAAAATATCCTATCATATATTTATTGATGTGATGCATAGGAAAATGTCTGGAAGGGTACATACCAAAATGTTAATTATTTATTTAACCTGGTGGGAGGTGGTTTTTCTTTCCTTTTCTTTTCTTTTTGAGACAGAGTTTCGCTCTCGTTGCCCAGGCTGGAGTGGAATGGCAAGATCTTGGCTCATTGTAACCTCTGCCCCCAGGGTTCAAGCGATTCTACTGCCTCAGCCTCCGGAGTAGCTGGGATTACAGGTGCCTGCCACCACACCCGCGTAATTTTTTGTATTTTTAGTAGAGACGGGATTTCACCATGTTGGTCAGGCTGGTCTAGAACTCCAGACCCTGTGATCCGCCCGCCTCGGCCTGCCAAAGTGCTGGAATTACAGGCGTGAGCCACCGCGCCCGGCAGGGCTTTTTTTTTTTTTTTTTTTTGGAATGAACTTGTATTATGCATATACCAAAAAAGAATGAAAGGGTTCACACAGGCATAAAGTGTAAGTGAATTCTAAAAAAAGGTTGGGCAAATTTATCAAAGGCAGACTTCTAAATAGATGTAACAGTTATATAGTTCAGATAAACCATGGTTTGAATTCCCTTCCCCAGTACTTCCTAGCAGTGTGATCCCAAGTTATTTATGTCAGTGCCTAGATTTCTTCACCTGGAAAATAGGGATAACAACAGGTGCCTACCTCACAAGTTTTAAATGAGACCGTATGTGTAACCTGCTTTGTGCAATGTCTGGCATGCAATAAGTACTCGACAAATGGTAGCTATTAGAATCATCATTAACAGCAGTAATAAGAGATCTTGGGACATACCTAGCCCTCAAGATTGACATCAGAGTAGACCACCACATCCTCTCATCATTGCGCCTCAATTTGGGCCTCTGAAGCCCAAAGAGGGGATGGTTCTTTCCAAAGAAGACAATTTCGACGTTCCAGGAGCATCTGATTGAAACGCACCCTCTTCACCCCTTAAAATCAGTCTGGTTCATCCACGAGCAGCCCTTCGGGGCCCGGACTGGAGAGGCGCCACGGCTCGCCGTCCCTGGGCCCAGTTCCCTCAGCCTCAATTTCCCTTGCTGCAACAGGGGTGGAGATGGGAACGTTATCCCCAAACCCAGGCAGTCCCGGCTCGGCCCGCCTCACCGCACTCCGGAGGGGACCAAACAGCCCCACGCGCCAGGAAGCCTCAGGCAACGGGCCACGCGCCACACGGGCAAAGTGATTACTGGTCGGATCAAAAGTCAGGCAAGCGGCTCAGCCCCATCCTCCCAGTCCTCGGGCACGGGGACAGCAGCAGGCGCGCGGCGGGGACCGGGAAAAGGCCAAGAGGGCGGTGGCGGGCGCTCAGCACCCGGCGGGGGCCTCCACGGCCGAGGGGCGGAGGCGGCGGGCGCGCGGCACGCGGCGCGCTCGCCACTGCGCCGCCCGGGGGCGCGCACGCAAAGCCCGGAGGCGCGCGCGACCGGCGGCTCTTTGGCGCGGATTAGGGGGTCTCGGCGAGGTGAGGCGCCAGGCAGCGCTGGGCGGGCGGGCGGGCGGGTGGCGGAGCGCGAGCCCCTCTAGCGGGACTAGGGAGAAGCGGGGGCCACGAGGTGCGGCGGGGGAGGAGTCGCGGGCTGCGGGCCCCGGCGGCGGGCTTGACGCGGCAGGCTGGCGGGCCGGCGGGCGGGCAGCGGCGGGCCTCGCCGCTCTGTGGGGGAGGGCGGTGTGGGGCCGGGCCTGACCCCGGGGGCCCGCCCCGCGTCTGGGCGGTGCCCCAGTGCCCCGGCCTCGCCATTTCCCGCTCAGCCCTGGAGCGCGTAGCTCTACCAAGAATGGCCACTGTGCCAGATGCCCCTGACCAGCGTTGCCCATTTGAATTTCCTAGCAGGCCCCCCAAAGTAGGTATTTCAGTACCCTGTTAGAGCTGAGGCGCAGGTAAAATGACTGGCCCAGGCCGGTCCCACCCCGTAAGGATTTGAACGTTGGCTCCACAACTCGGGAGCCTGCGCCTTTCCTCCTCCCAACGTGGACTCCTGCCCGGCGAAGTGCCTCACTTCCTTCTCCCGGTAACTGATTCGAATTTGGCGATTGTTAGTTTGGAGCTAGCGCCAGTGTTTCCACGGAAGTTGGTGTCAGAATGTGGTCTCTTGTGAAAGGGGGAGAAAGAAGATTCTGCAGACTGCAATATTGTGCTTTTTTGCCTTTTTTTTTTTTTCTCCTAGGCTGTACTGCAGTGCAGTGGCACGATCGCGGCTCACTGCAATCTCCGCCTCCCAGGCTCAAGCGATTCTCGTGCCTGAGGCGTGGGCCACCACGCCCAGCTAATATTTGTATTTTCAGCAGAGGTGGGGTTTCACCATGTTGGCCAGGCTGGTCTCGAACTCCTGACCTCAAGTGATCCTTCCGCCTCGGCCTCCCAAAGTGCTGGGATTACAGGCGTGAGCCACCACGCCCGGCCCTACTATTTTTTTATTTTTTGAGATGGCGTTTCTTTCGCCCAGGCTGGAGTGCAATGGCGCCATCTCAACACACTGCAACTTCTGCCTCCCAGGTTCAAGCGATTCTCCTGCCTCAGCCTCCCGAGTACCTGGGATTACAGGCGCCCGCCACCACACCTGGCTATTTTTTGTATTTTTAGTAGAGATGGGGTTTCGCTGTGTTGGCCAGGTTGATCTCGAACTCCTGACCTCAGGTTATCTGCCCACCTGGGACTCCCAAAGTGCTGAGATTACAGGCGTGAGCCACCGCACCCGGCCTCCTACTGTGCTTTTTCGAGTGTTGATCAGTCCCTATTGACTGTGCATCCTTTACTGGACGTCTGTTTTTGTTTTTGTTTTTTGAGAGGGAGTTTCACACTTGTTGCTCAGGCCAGAGTGCAACAGCGCGTTCTCAGCCCACCGCAACCTCCACCTCCCGGGTTCAAGCAGTTCTCTTGCCTCAGCCTCCCAAGTAGCTGGATTACAGGCATACGCCACCACGCCCAGCTAATTTTGTATTTTTAGTAGAGACAGGGTTTCTACATGTTGGTCAGGCTGATCTCGAACTGCCGACTTCAGGTGATCTGCCTGCCTCGGCCTGCTAAAGTGCTGGGATTACAGGCGTGAGCCACTGCGTCCAGCCTTGACATCTGTATTTGAAATGACACAGCTATCCCTTGTAAGACACTGCGCAAGTAACATACTCTTTCAGAGCTTGCTTGCTTTTGAAAAAGCAGCTTGCCCCAAAAGTGTGGGAGTGAGGATTCAAAGAATCCCCACACCTTGGTACCCACGGGTACCTAGCAAATTGAAAAAGTTCAGTAAATTTGGCAGTTATTTGATTGCTGCGTTCGTAATACACCCTTGCTAGACTCATTTTTCTTCAGAGCTCAACTTTTCCTGAGAGGACAGCAAAGGGAGACCTACCCCACCCCAAAAAGGGAAAGTTCTTTGATGGCAGCGTTAGCAGAAATGTTGCCCACACTTAGTGATGAATTATTCTCCAAGCTAAAAATTACCAGGGTGAAAAAAATCACTTCAGAAAAGCTAAAGATAAATTAACCTTTTGTAGAATTAACATTTATTAGTCCACTACTATGTGTTTATTGTATTCCTCCTGTATGCTTGGCATTTTAAAAGCATACAGATAGGTATCCGATATAGTCTCTGCTTTCACTTATTTATTATTTATTTTTGAGACAGGATCTTGCACTGTCGCCCAGGCTGGAGTGCAGTGGCACAATCTCGGCTCACTGCAACCTCCACCTGCCTGGTTCAAGCAACTCTCATGCCTCAGCCTCCCGAGTAGCTGGGATTATAGGCGCCCGCCACCACGCCAAGCAAATTTTTTTGTATTTTTGGTAGAGACGGGGTTCTCACTATGTTGCCCAGGCTGGTCTGAAACTCCTGACCTCTGGAGATTCATCTGCCTCAGTCTCCCAAAGTGCTGGAGTTACAGACATGAGCTACCACACCCAGCCTGCTTTCACTTAATTTAGAAGTGGGGGAAAATAGACATTCAGAAGTAATACTCACAAAGTAGAATGTGAAAAATGCCAGATAAAAAGCTGTGAGTGGGCCGGGTGCGGTGGCTCATGCCTGTAATCCCAGCACTTGGGGAGGCTGAGGTGGGCAGATCGCCTGAGGTCAGGAGTTCGAGACCAGCCTGGCCAACATGGTGAAACCCCGTCTCTACTAAAAATACAAAAATTAGCCAGGCCTGGTGGCCCGCGCCTGTAATCCCAGCTAATTGGGAGGCTGAGGCAGGAGACTCGCTTGAACCCGGGAGGCGGAAGTTGCAGTGAGCTGAGATCGTGCCATTGCATTCCAGCCTAGGCAACGAGAGCGAGACTTAGTCTCAAAAAAAAACAAAAACAAAAACAAAAAGCTGTGAGTGTACAGAAGAAGGATTATTTTTTGACTTAGTGTAAAATATTATTTTATTTCTGCTTCAAAGAAGATACTTTGGGCCAGGCATGGTGGCTCACACTTGTAATCCCAGCACTCCAGCACTTTTGGAGGCCGAGGTGGGCGGATCACTTGAGGCCAAGAGTTCGAGACCAGCCTGGCCAACATGGTGAAACCCTGTCTCTCCTAAAAATACAAAACAATTAGCCAGGTATGGTGGTGGCACATGCTTGTAATCCCAGCTTCTCAGGAGGCTGAGGCACAAGACACAAGAATCAAAAATGAGAACCAAATGGAGAATGAGAATCCCTTGAACCTGGGAGGCAGAGGTTGCAATGAGTACTCCAGCCTGGGCAACAGAGCCAGACTGTGTCTCCAAAAAAAAAAGAAAAAGAGACTTAGTCTGTCCTCCAAGCTGGAGTGCAGTGGTGGCTCACTGCATCCTCGACCTCCTAGGCCCAAGCGTTCCACCTCATCCTCCTGAGTAGCTGGAACCATAAGCATGGGCCACTGTACCCGGCTAACTTTTTTTTTTTTTTTTTAAGAGATGGGGTCTCCCTATGTTGCCCAGGCTGGTCTTGAACTCCTGGGTCCCAGTAATCCTCCCACGTCAGCCTCCCAGAGTGCTGGGATTACAGGCATGAGCCACTGTGCCTGGCCCTGTTACGTACTTGTTGAAAGAGTGAGGAACAAATGTATGTTGTAATAGATAGGATTTTTTGGTTTCCAGTTACAGAAACTCGTTCAGTCTTATGATTAAAGTTGAGTTTATTAAAGTTTATTAAAGAGAGAGAAATGAGAGAAGAGTTAAACAGTTGAGCCACCTGGGGCTAGGGATTTCAACAGCCAGAGCACATGGACTGAATTCTTTGAATGAATTCTAGTGAATAACTAAGCTCCAACTGCCTTCTGTCCTTTCATGTCTTACTCAAGATCCAGATTTCTGGAAGAAGAGACCTGGTTGCTTTAGCTTTTGTCAGGGGTGGGGAATGGGGTATTGTGATTGGCAGCCCCACCAGTATCACATGAAATGTGGGAGGGTCAGTTTCCCAAATAAAGATGGCAGCTAAGGAGAGAAATGATGCTGAGTAGAGAAAGCCAACAGTTGTTTATTAGAAATATGTAGCATTTGCCCCTGCCACCCTCAGTGCCCCATAGACCCAGATCCTTCCTCATAAAAAAGAAAAATATGTAGCATTTATAGAGGACCAGGTACCATGCTACATTACTTATATGGATTATGATATTTGATTATAACATTTAATTCTCACAACTTTGGAAGGTAGGCACTGTTATACCCACTACAGAGGAAGAAACAGGTTTTCAGAGGTGGAATAATTTTTCAACATTACAAAGCTAAGATGTGGCAGAGCTGAGTATGTTGCATATCTTCTCTTTATCTTGTCCCTTTGAATGATTTTCTGATCCATGTGCCACTTTTGTTTGTTCCTAGGGAGTCATCAAGCTTTGGTGTATGTGTTGGCCGGTTCTGAAGTCTTGAAGAAGCTCTGCTGAGGAAGACCAAAGCAGCACTCGTTGCCAATTAGGGAATGGACCGTTTGGGTTCCTTTAGCAGTAAGTACAGTGGGAACAAGTCTCAGGTGACTTATTATTATTTTTTTTTTGAGATGGACTCTCCCTCTGTTGCCCAGGCTGGGGTACAGTGGCATGATGTTGGCTCACTGCAACTTCTGCCTCCCGGCTTTAAACGGTTCTCCTGCCTCAGCCGCCTGAGTAGCTAGGACTACAGGCGCGCACCACCACACACAGCTAATTTTTTTTATTTTTATTTTTAGTAGAGATAGGGTTTTACCATGTTGGCCAGACTGGTCTTGAACTCCCGACCTCAGGTGATCCACCCACCTCGGCCTCCCAAAGTGCTGGGATTACAGGTGTGAGCCACCACTCCCGGCCTTCAGGTGACTATTAATAGCAAACTAGAGTGGAAGTTGATCAAGGAAGAAAAATAAACGATGAAGTTAGGCAATAAAGCCCTTTGACTCTGATTCTAAGGGAATTATGAGTATCAAAATAAAATCAATTAATACATATTGATTACCCATTGAACACATGACACAAACATATGACCCTGGGTCTTACAAGAAAATGAAGCAGCCGGGCGTGGTGGCTCACGCCTGTAATCCCAGCACTTTGGGAGGCCGAGGCAGGCAGATCACGAGATCAGGAGATGGAGACCATCCTGGCTAACACAGTGAAATCCCGTCTCCAGTAAAAAATAAAAAAAATTAGCCAGGCATGGTGGCAGGCGCCTGTAGTCCCAGCTACTTGGGAGGCTGAGGCAGGAGAATGGCATGAACCCGGGAGGCGGAGCTTGCAGTGAGCTGAGATTGTGCCACTGCACTCCAGCTTGGGCGACAGAGTGAGACTCTGTCTCAAAAAAAGAAAAAAAAAAAAAAAAGAAAATGAGGCTGAGATGGACCAGGCATATTCTGATTAACCTGTAGTTAAACCTAGAAAAGCCATGGGATTTCTGTTTAGACCAATAACATGTTTCAGGCACCTTGATAAGAAATGTGTCAGTGGTAAGATAAAGGAAAGATCATCCCACCTCCCCCTTGATGTGGAACTTGTTTCTAAGAGTAAACCACGGTAGAATAATTTAGAGAATTATGGGGTATGTATGAAGTAAATTCAAGTAGCCATAACTATGGATAAAAAAATTATACTGGCCAGGTGCCATGGCTCACGCCTGTAATCCCAGCACTTTGGGAGGTCGAGGTGGGTGGATCATGAGGTCAGGAGTTTGAGACCAGCCTGGCCAACAAGGCAAAACCCCGTCTCTACTAAAAATACAAAAATTAGCTGGGGGTAATGGCGAGTAACTATAATCCCAGCTACACGGGAGCTGAGGCAGGAGAATCGCTTGAACCTGGGAGGCAGAGGCTACAGTAAACCAAGATCATGCCACTGCACTCCAGCCTGGGTGACAAGAGCAAGAATCTGTCTCAAAAAAAAAAAAATTATACTGCTCTTTTTCCCTGATTCTGAATATATGAGATTTGGCAGAAATAGAAATTCCATTGTTAGATGTTTAGTAGTATCCTAATGAGAAGAATCAGAAAAGTACTTTTTGGGTGTTGTTTCCTCTTCAACAATTCGTGTTTTTTTTGAGATGGAGTCTTGCTGCATTACCCAGGCTGGAGTGCAGTGGCATGATCTCGGCTTACTGCAACCTCCACCTCCCGGGTTCAAGCAATTCTCCGTCTCAGCCTCCCGAGTAGCTGGGAGTATAGGCGTCTGCCACCACGCCCGGCTAATTTTTGTATTTTTAGTAGATACAGGGTTTTACCTTGTTGGTCAGGCTGGTCTTGAACTCCTGACCTCAGGTGATCCACCAGCCTTGGCCTCCCAAAGTGCTGGGATTACAAGCGTGAGCCACCGCTCCCGGCCTGACAGAACAATTTCTTAAAGGAGCTCTAATTTACTTTTTGATCACACTCCTAATATAAATTTAGGAGAGAATGGAGTCTTCAGACACATCTAGTTCAACTCTTTCATTTTACATGTAGAGAAATCTAAGTGGACTGCTCTAATGCTGGGAGTGTCCAAAATAAACTTCTTTTTGGAAATAATTTCAAACTTAAGTTGCAAGAATAAGAATACAAACAATACCCACATACCTTTTGTTAACCTTTTACTCCATCTGCTTTGTCATTTGCATGTGCACTGTCTGTCTCTGTGTGTGTGTATATATATGTTTTTTATTTTTTAATTTTTTTTATTTTTAAGAGATGGGGTCTCACTGTGTCACCCAGGCTGGACTGCAGTGACACAATCATAGCCCACTGGAGCCTTGAATTCCTAGGCTCAAGCGATGCCCCCACCTTGGCCTCCCAGTGTGTTGGTATTATAGGCATAAGCCACCATGCCTGGCCCAATCTTTACTATTAAGGTTGCAAAAAGATGATTCCCCCCCCACCCCCTGCCAAATCTAGTGCTCTCTCCACATTTACTAGTTAGCATTTTTAGTTTTTATTTTAAGTTCAGGGGTACATGTGCAGGGTTGTTATATAGGTAAACTTCTTGTCACAGGGGTTTTGTGTACAAATTATTTTGTCACCAAGATAATAAGCATAGCACTCGAGAGGTAGTTTTTGGGTCCTCTCCCTCCTCCCACTGTTCACCCTCAAGAAGGCCCTGGTTTCTGTTCCCCTCTTTGTGTCCATGTGTTCTTGTTTTTTTAGCTCATACTTGTAGGTGAGATCAGAGGGTATTTGGTTTTCTCTTCCTGTGTTAGTTTGCTTAGGATAATGACCTCCAGCTCCATCCATGTTGCTGCAAAGGATGTGATCTCATTACTTTTTTATGGCTGCATAGTATTCCATGGTATATATGTACCGCATTTTCTTTATCTGTTCACTTTTTTACTTATTTTTTATTATGGACACAGGAATTCCTATTTTTTCAAGGATTTACGATTTATTAGCATACATAACTAGCTAGGTTCATGGATTATTCCAAATTTGGCCACTGGGAGTCCCTTCAAATGGGCTCCTACATCCTTATAGCGTACTCTCATCATTTTTTTTTTCTTTTTAGCATCTCCGTCCTTTTTGGCATAACTAAATACTCCAAGTGCATCCTGTACTCCCCCCGCCCTGGAATCAGCCACTTCTCTGAGGAGTCCTGGTACTTTTACAAGGGAGTCATATCAGAGACCGAGATCTTTTCATCTACTAGAATATTTTTGCATCTTGGCCCTTTTGGCTGACAGAACTAGGAAATATATGCATGTTATGTGCTATATACATATATGCCAGTATACATACACACATGCACATTTACGTACACATATACTTCTTTTGAGGAAATCATGAGTTCACATTGATACCTCTAATTCATCATCATGGGCTTTTTTCTTGTCTGCATTAATTCCTCATTCACATGTCTCTACTCAGTGAGAACCCTGGCTCCCAACATCAATATAATTCCACTATCCCCTGCCCTCAACCCCTTGTACTTACCAACTTCATTGTTTTCTGGTTTAATCTGTCCCTTAATCCTTTTTGCAAAGAAAAGAGGACTGTTTTTTACTCTAATTTTTTTCTTTTTCTTTTCTCTTTTTTTTTTTTTGAGACAGAGCTTCGCTCTTGTCACTCAGGCTAGAGTGCAGTGCCACGATCTCAGCTTACTGCAGTCTCCACCTCCTGGATTCAGGTGATTGTCCTGCCTCAGCCTCCTGAGTAGCTGGAATTACAGGTGTCTGCCACCACACCTGGCTAATTTTTGTATACGGGATTTCACCATGTTGGCCAGGCTGGTCTTGAACTCCTGATCTCAGGTGATCCACCCGCCTTGGCCTCCCAAAGTACTGGGATTACAGGCACAAGCCACCGTGCCTGGCCTCTAATTTCTTATAGGAAAGATAGCATACTATATATATGTGTTCTTTTGTACTTTTAAAAAAATTCTTCAATCAGCACCAGGATTGTACTTTTTTCCCCTCACTTAATAGTATCTCCTGGAAATACTGTATTAGTTGGTAGAGGTTGTCCTCATTCTGTTTTTTATAGTTGCATAATACTTCATTGTGTGGATATGTTATTATTCAAATAATTGCTTATACTTGGACATCTAAGTAGTATTTTGCAATTACATCTAATATTATATATAACCTTGGATGTGTGTATTTTTGTATTATTGGAAATGTATATTCATGGTAAAAAATTCCTGGAAGTGAGATTGCTGGGTCAAAAGATAATGCCCCTCTATATGAGTTGTACTATTTTGTATTCCCACCAGTGATACGTAAGAGTGCCCCGGCTGGGCGCGGTGGCTCAGGCATGTAATCCCAGAACTTTGGGAGGCCGAGGTGGGTGGATCATGAGGTCAGGTGTTCGAGACCAGCCTGACCACCATGGTGAAGCCTCTACTAAAGATACAAAAAATTAGCTGGGCTTGGTGGTACGTGCCTGTAATCCCAGCTACTCAGGAGGCTGAGGCAGGAGAATCGCTTGAACCTGGGATGCAGAGGTTGCAGTGAGCCAAGATTGTGCCACTGCACTCCAGCCTGGGCGACAAGAGTGAAACTCCTTCTCAAAAAAAAAAAAAAAAAAGTGTCTATATTCCCACAGCCTGACTAATTATATTGTCAGGCATTGAAACTTTTGCCAATCTGATGGGTGAGAAACTATATGTCAGGGTAGTTTTAAATTTTATCTTGCTTATGAGTGAAGCTGAACATTTTTTCATATGTTTAAGGCCATTTTATGTCTCTTTTTTTTCCCCAAATTGTCTTTGTGTCTTTCGCAGCAGGATCTTTGGTCTTTTATTCTCCCTCTCAATTTTTTTTTTTTTTTTAAACGGAGTTTCACTCTTGTCACCCAGGCTGGAGTGCAATGGTGCGATCTCGGCTCACCGTAACCTCTGTCTCCCGGGTTCAAGCGATTCTCCTGCCTCAGCCTCCCAAGTAGCTGGGATTACAGGCACATGCTGCCATGCCCAGCTAATTTTTGTATTTTTAGTAGAGATGGGCTTTCCTTCGTGTTGGCCAGGCTGGTCTCGAACTCCCAACCTCAGGTGATCTGCCTGCCTCGGCCTCCCTCTCAATTTTTTAAAGTTGTTTGCATACTAGGGATTTCAGTGCTTTTTTTCTGATATGTTTACAAATATTTTCTTAAAGTATACTTGCTTTTTTACTTTCCTTATGGTGTTTTTGCCAAAAAAAGTTTTTTGTTTTCTTTTTATTAATGTAGTCAAGTTTATTAACCCTTTATTGAATTTGAATGATGGTTAAAAAGCCTCACTCGGCCACACATGGTGGCTCACGCCTGTAATCCCAGCACTTTGGGAGGCCGAGGCAGGCAGATCACGAGGTCAAGAGATTGAGACCATCATGGCCAACATGGTGAAACGCCATCTCTACTGAAAATACAAAAATTAGCTGGGCATGGTGGCACACACCTATAGTCCCAACTACTTGAGAGGCTGAGGCAGGAGAATCACTTGAACCTGGGAGGCAGAAGTTGCAGTGAGCCAAGATCGCACCACTACACTCCAGCCTTCCAGCCTGCCAGCCTGGCAACAGAACGAGAGTCCGCCTCAAAAAAAAAAAAGCCTCTCTCTTGTTTCCTGTTATCTCAGTGAAAAATTAGATAAAAAGTCTTTCTCTTAGATTTTAAAAAATTTTGAAATACCTTTTGAAGGACAGTTGGGCTCTGTGTATCAAAAACCTAAAAATGCTCAATAACTGTACACTCAACAATTTTAGTTCTAGGAAAATATATATCCTGAGGAACAGATGTGAAATGTACATACAAAAGACCGGGCACAATGGCTCACGACTGTAATCCCAGCACTCTGGGAGGCTGAGGCAGACGGATCACCTGAGGTCAGGAGTTCGAGACCAGCCTGGCCAACATGGTGAAACCCCGCCTCTACTGAAAATACAAAAATTAGCTGGGTGTGTTGGTGGGCGTAATTCCAGCTACTTGGGAGGCTGAGGCAGGAGAGTCGCTTGAACCCGGGAGGCAGAGGTTGCAGTGAGCTGAGATCGCGCCACTGCACTACAGCCTGGGCAACAGAGCAAGACTCCGTCTCAAAAAAAAAAAATTAGCTGGGCATGGTGGCATGCACCTGTAGTCCCAGATACTAGGGAGGCTGAGGTGGGAGGATCACTGAGTCTGGGAGGGAGAGTTTGCAATCAGCCAAGTTTACTATTTGGAAATAAAATACATAAGACAATATGTCTACATATGTGATTTCTTTTTTTTTCTTGAGACATAGTCTCGCTCTGTTGCCCATGCTAGAGTGCAGTGGCATGATCTCAGCTCACTGCCATCTCTGCCTCCTAGGTTCAAGTGATTCTCATGCCACAGCCTCCCGAGTAGCTAGGACTACAGGTGTGCGTCACCAGGCCCAGACAATTTTTGTATTTTTATTGGAGGTGGGGTTTCGCCATCTTGACCAGGCTGGTCTTGAACTTCTGGCCTCAAGTGGTCCACCTGTCTTGGCCTCCCAAAGTGCTGGGATTACAGGCATGAGCCACCATGCCTGGCATACATAATTTCAAAAATTAAAAATAATAATGCTCTAACTATAATAAAAGAGATAAATACAAGAGAAGTAATCTATGGTAAAACAATGCAATTTATAATAAAGCAATATGTATTTCAATATGTTTAGACATAATTACAATAGAAGACATGATTTAAGTACTAGATACTTGAACCCATATGTTGAATCACTGTGCATATACAAATGCAGAATGATTCAAGCGTGTCATGTTGGTGACTAAGAAACACCACAAGCTAGAATAACTAAACGTTCTGAACAAAACAAAATACATTCTCCTCTAGACTTATATACAATTGCCTGTCTGGAAATTTCAGTGCATATTAAAATTCTCAAAAATACTTTGCTTTATATATAACATGGAATTAGCTTCTAGGTCATATGAGATTTTTCATTCACTTGAATGTCTGGTGGGACATTTGAAAGTTGCACAGGACACACAAAAAAGTCAATTTTTATTAGAATGTATTGAGCATTGTAGGATACCTAGAATCCCTGTTTTAGGGGCCTGCAGAATGCCAGTGGGGCACTGGTCATTGTGGCAACAAAAAGGTACCTCCTCAGATTTCCAAATGGCTCCCTAGGGGGGAGTTGAGTACAATTAGGTTATATAATATAATTAATACAATGGAATGTTATTTATCCATTAGAAAGAACAAGGAAGGTCAATGTGTATTGTCATGAAAACATGTCCGCAATTTGTTGTCAAGTGAAAAAACATGTATGATATTCCACTTTTTCTTTTTCTTTTTTTTTTTTGAGACGGAGTTTCGCTGTTGTCACCCAGGCTGGAGTGCAGTGGCGTGATCTCGGCTCACTGCAACCTCCCCCTCCTGCGTTCAAGTGATTCTCCTGCCTCAGCCTCCTGAGTAGCTGGGATTAGGCGCCCACCACCACATCCAGCTAATTTTTTATTTTTAGTAGAGGTGGGGTTTCACCATGTTGGCCAGTCTGGTCTTAAACCCCTAACCTCTAGTGAGCCACCCGGCTCAGCCTCCCAAAGTGCTGGGATTACAGGTATGAGCCACCGTGCCTGGCTATTTTTTCTTTTTATTATTTTTGGTAGAAGCAGGGTCTTGCAGTATTGCCCAGGGTGGTCTTGACTTCCTAAGCTGAAGCGATCATCCTGCCTTTTCCTCCCAAAGTGCTGGGGTTACAGGCATGACCCACAGAGCCCAGCCTCTACTTTTGTTGAATATATGTACTATATTATATAGAAGAAAGGTTGGAAAAATATTTTTCAAAATGCTAATTGTGGATGACATACTTTACAGTTTTATTTTAGTCTGGAATGTTAAGAACTTACTTTTACAAAGTAATTGCTTTTTTTTTTCTTTTTGAGAGAGGGTCTTGCTTTCTTACCCAGGCTGGAGTGCAGTGGCATGCTCAAGGCTTACTGCAGACTCGATCTCAGCTCAAGTGATCCTCCTACTTCAGGCCTCCGTATAGCTGGGACCACCAAGCATGCACCACTGCACCTGCCTAATTTTGTGGGGTTTTTTTTTGTAGAGACATGGTTTCACCATGTTCCCCAGGCTGGTCTCGAACTCCTGAGCTCAAGTGATCCACCCACCTTGGTCTCCCAGAGTGCTGGAATTACGTGCATGAGCCACCGTGGCCCGTGCAGTAATTGCTTCTTGACATAAGGATTTAAAAAATCACTTTGGGCCTGCAATCCTAGCACTTTGGGAGGCTACGCCAGGTAGATTGCTTGAATCCAGGAGTTCAAGACCAGCCTGGGCAACATGGGAAAACCCCCCCTCTACTAAAAGTACAAAATTTAGCTGGGTGTAGTGCACATACATGTAATCCCAGCTACTTGGGAGGCTGAGGCATGAGAATTGCTTGAACGTGGGAGGCAGAGGTTTCAGTGAGCTGAGATCAAGCCATTGCACTGCAGCCTGGGTAACCAGAGTGAGACACTGTCTCAAAAAAAAAAAAAAGACCACTTTTCAGGAGTTCGAGACCAGCCTGGCCAATATGGTGAAACCCTGTCTCTACTAAAAATATAAAAAATTAGCCAGTCGTGGTGGTGTGCACTTGTAGTCCCAGCTACTCGGGAGGCTGAGGGAGAAGAATCGCCTGAATCCAGGAGGTGGAGCTTGCAGTGAGCTGAGATCGCGCCACTGCACTTCAGCCTGGGCGACAGAGCAAGACTCCGTCTCAAAAAAAAAAACTACTTTGCTCAGTGGCTGATGCCTTTTTTAAAAATAGGATAGTTGGAGGAAAGAGAGAAGCAAGCTTATATCTAACAGGAAGTGAGGAAGAGGGTAACTTGGTAGAAGTTGGCACCTGTCACTTAATATACAATAATTTTTGGCTCAGCGCAGTGGCTCACTCCTGTAATCACAGTACTTTGGGAGGCTGGGGCAGAAGGATCACTTGAGGCTGGAAGTTTGAGACCAGCCTGAGCAACATAGCAAGATTTGTTCTTCTGCATTAAAATTTAAAATGGGGGAAATGGAGTAGCTGCGCAGTTTCATATATTGAATTTGAAGCTACTGCCAGGAGTACATTTTTTTCTTTCATCATTTTCTTCTGTGTCTTTTTTTTTTTTTTTGAGATGGAGTTTCGCTCTTGTCACCCAGGCTGGAGTGCAATGGCACGATCTCAGCTTACTGCAACCTCTGCCTCCCGGGTTCAAACAATTCTCCTGCCTCAGCCTCCTGAGTAGCTGAGATTACAGGTGCCCACCACCACACCTGGCTAATTTTTGTATTTTTAGTGGAGATGGGGTTTCGCCATGCTGGTCAGGTTAGTCTTGAACTCCTGAGCTCAAGTGATCAACCCGCCTCAGCCTCCCAAAGTGCTGGGATTATAGGTTTGAGCCACCGTGCCTACTCTCTCTATCTTCTTAAAAACAAATAAAGAGAACAGTGATCTTCACTTGGAAGAGGGAAAGGTACCTTGAAGAACATTTCTTGGACTTTAGGGAGGCAAATACTGTTACAGAATGTGAGAAATCCTGTTCCAGGCTGAACAAATTAAATTCCTTCATCTACCTTCAAAGCTTTTCTTCTCTTAGATTCTTGTGATTGATCATAGAGAACAATTTTGCTAGGTTGCCGTGACTCCAGAGGCCGAATTTGGGGCAACCAGGGACACATATATCTGCATTTTTATGAGTTTTGAGAGTTTGGATTGTACTCCTTGTCTTCATAGTTTGGAGACATACCACTGTCATTGGAGTAGAAGATCTGCTGTGTTATGTACTTACCATGGGAGAAAGGGAGGAAGCTTCCTGGGTTTCAATTCCCACTCAGAGCCAGGTGTGGTGGCTCATGCCTATAATTCCACCACTTTGGGAAGCTGAGGCAGGAGGACTTCTTAAGACCAGTGTGGGCAACACAGTGAGACCCTGTCTCTACAAAAAGTAAAAATTTAGCCAGGCGCAGTGGTGCAAGTCTGTCCCTCCTCTTGGGAGGCTGAGGTGGGAGGAACACCTGAGCCTGGGGAGATTGAAGCCACAGTGAGCCATGATCTCACCACTGCACTCCAGCCTGGGCAACAGTCTAAGACCCTGTCTCAAGAAGACTCTGTCTCAAGAAGACCCTGTCTCAAGAAAAAAAAGAAAAATCCGAACTCAAATATAAAATAGTATATTCCAAAATATGTATTTAGAAGAGACATGTATTTAGAGGCTAGCTGAGTGTGATGGCTCATACCTGTAATCCCAACACTTTAGGAAGCTGAGGCAGCTCAAATTCCTGGAACCGTTTGAGCCCAGGAATTCAAGACCAGCCTAGGCAACATAGTGAAACTCTTGTCTCTACAGAAAATAAATTTTAAAAAAGTACCCGGGTGTGGTGGCTTGTGCCTGTAGTCCCTGCTAGTTAGGAGGCTGAGGTGGGAGGCTCATTTGAGCCTGGGAGGTTGAGGCTGCATTGAGGCATGATCGTGCAACCACACTTCAGCCTAGGTGACAGAGTGAGACCCTATCTCAAAAAAAAAAGGAGTTTTCTCTTATTTGCCCCAACTTTTTATAGAAAAGTCAAAAGAACAGTACAATGATGATGATGTGTTTTTTTATTTTTTTATTTTTTTTTGGAGACGGAGTCTCTCTCTGTTGCCCAGACTGGAGTGCAGTGGCGTGATCTCGGATCACTGCAACCTCCGCCTCCCGGGTTCAAGCAGTTCTTCTGCCTCAGCCTCCTGTGTAGCTGGGACTACAGATGCATACCGCCATGCTTGGCTAATTTTTTTGTTTTTTTTTTGAGACAGAGTAAGACTCTGTCGCCCAGGCTGGAGTGCAGCGGCGCGATCTCGGCTCACTGCAACCTGTGCCTTCTGGGTTCAAGTGATTCCTCTGCCTCAGCCTCCTGAGTAGCTGGGATTACAGGTGTGCACCACCACACCTGGCTAATTTTTGTGTTTTTAGTAGAGATGGGGTTTCACCATCTTGGCCAGGCTGGTCTTGAACTCCTCACCTCATGATCCACCCGCCTCGGCCCCCCAAAGTGCTGGGATTACAGGCATGAGCCACCGTGCCCAGCCAATTTTTTTGTAGTTTTAGTAGAGACAGGGTTTCACTGTGTTGCCCAGGCTGGTCTCAAACTCCTAAGAGCAGGCAATCTGCCTGCCTCAGCCTCCCAAAGTGCTGGGATTACAGGCGTGAGCCACCATGCCCAGCTGATTATTATTATTATTATTATTATTATTATTATTATTATTATTTGAGGCAGGGTCTAGCTCTGTCGCCCAGGCTGGAGTGCAGTGGCACAATCTTGGCTCACGGCAACCTTTGCCTTCCGGGTTCAAGTGATTCTGTGCCTCAACTTCCCAAGTAGCTGGGATTATAGGCTGCGCCCCCATCCCTGGCTGTTTGTATTTTTAGTAGAGACAGGGTTTCGCCAGGTTGGCAAGGCTGGTCTCAAACTTCTGGCCTCAGGTAATGCACCCACCTTGGCCTCCCAAAGTGCTGGAATTACAGGGTAAGCTAATGTGGCCGGCCTACAGTGATTATTTATATGCTTGCTACCTAGATTCAGCAATTGTTAACATTTTGTCAGATTTTCTTTATATTGTATGTGCAGGTATGTGTCCATTTTATGCTCCTGGAAAAATAAGTTTGGGATATTATGAAACTTCCAGTTAAAAATGTGTTTGTGACTGGGCATGGTAGCTCATACCTGTAATTCCAGAGCTTTGAGAGGCCAAGGCAGGAACATTCTTTGAACCTAAAAGTTCAAGACCAGCCTGGGCAACATGGTGAGACATCGTCTCTACAAAAAATTAACCAGGTGTGGTGGCATGTGCCTGTAGTCCTAACTACTTGGGAGGCTGAGGCAGGAGGATTGCTTAAGCCCAGGAGTTTCAGGTTACAGTGAGCTATTGTCAAGCCACTGCACTCCAGCCTGGGTGGCAGAGCAAGACCCTGTCTCTAAAAATATATAAATAAATCAACAAACAAACATATGCTTGTAAATTTCTCTGCAGGGTTCATATCTACGTAAATGCTGTGTGAAAGGGAACAATGCTGCCCTGAAGTTAAAAGGATCATAATTTTTGCTTTTTTTTATTTGTAATGAGCTCATCTTGTCTCCATGAACTTTTCAGCTTAGCTCACTACTTGTGTGGTCATTTGGGGATTTTCACCTTTTTGCACTTAAGATAACCGTAAGGTGGTCTGAAATGTGCATTTGTTTTCTGTTTGTTCTAGATGATCCCTCTGATAAGCCACCTTGCCGAGGCTGCTCCTCCTACCTCATGGAGCCTTATATCAAGTGTGCTGAATGTGGGCCACCTCCTTTTTTCCTCTGCTTGCAGGTAACTCACTAATGCTGGCTTCTCCTAGCCTAGTTTTATGCTATTTTTTATGATGTAATATTTCGGAGATTACTGTCAACTGCTAAGGAGATCTATGTCTTATTAAATCTATTCCTTCCAATTTTTCTTTTTCTTTCTTTTTTTTTTTTTTTGAGATGGAGTCTCACTCAGTCGCCCAGGCTGGAGTACAGTGGTGTCATCTCTGCTAACTGCAATCTCCACCTCTTAGGTTCAAGCGATTCTCCTGCCTCAGCCTCCTGAGTAGCTGAGATTACAGGCACACACCATTATGCCCAGCTGATTTTTGTATTTTTAGTAGAGACGGGGTTTCACCATGTTGGTCAGGGTGGTTTTGAATTCCTAACCTCATGATCCATCTGCCTCAGCCTCCCAAAGTTCTGGGATTACAGGCGTGAGCCACCGCACCCGGCCCCAATTTTTCATTATACGTTTTACCAGTGAAAAGTTGAGAAACAGAGCAGTTAGATGAGACAGACTGTTGATTAGTCCACATCTGTGTTTAAACCTAATACTTGGCCGGGCACAGTGGCTCATGCCTGTAGTCCTAGCACTTTTGGAGGCTGAGGCAGGTGGATCCCCTGAGGTCAAGAGTTCAAGACCAGCCCGGTCAACATGGTTCAACATGGTGAAATCCCATCTCCACAAAAATAAAAAAAAATTAGCTGGGCATGATGGCGGGTGCCTGTAATCCCAGCTACTTGGGAGGCTGAGGCAGGAGAATCTTTTTTTTTTTTTTGAGACGAAGTCTCGCTGTGTCACCAGGCTGGAGTGTAGTGGCACAATCTTGGCTCCCTGCAACCTCTGCCTCCCGGGTTCAAGTGATTCTCTTGCCTCGCAGATTGCACTCCAGCCTGGGCGACAGAGCAAGACTCTGTATCAAAAAACAAACAAAACCCTAATAGTTAACACTGTTTTTTTTGTTGTTGTTGTTTTGTTGAGACGGGAGTTTCGCTATTGTTTTCCAGGCTGGAGTGCAATGGTGTGATCTTGGCTCACCGCAACCTCTGCCTCCCGGGTTCAAGCGATTCTCCTGCCTCAGCCTCCTGAGTAGCTGGGATTACAGGCATGCGCCACCACACCCGGCTAATTTTGTATTTTTAGTATAGACAGGGTTTCTCCACGTTGGTCAGGCTGGTCTTGAACTCCAGACCTCAGGTGATCTGCCTGCCTCGGTCTCCCAAAGTGCTGGGATTACAGGGCGTGAGCCACCGTGCCCAGCTATTTTTTCTTTTTTTTCTTTTCCACGACAGAGTCTTGCTCTATCACCCAGGCTGGAGTGCAGTGGCGTGATCTCGGTTCACTGCAAGCTGTGCCTCTCGGGTTCAAGGGATTCTCCTGCTTCAAGGGATTCTCCTGCTTCAACCTCCCGAGTAGCTGTGGTTACAGGTGCATGCCACCATTCCCAGCTAATTTTTTATATTTTTGGTAGAGATGGGGTTTTCTCATGTTGGCCATGCTGGTCTCAAACTCCTGACCTCAAGTGATCCTCCTGCCTCAGCCCCCAAAGTGCTGGGATTACAGGCGTGAGCTACCACGCCCGGCCATAACACTGTTTTTTTAAGTTAATTTAAAGTATTGAAATTACAGGAAACATAACTGGAAGATTATTCCTTTTGATGACACTGTTTATTGTCTTGTTGAAGACTGATCTCTGTACAGATGACAAGGGAAGAAACAATTTTTGTGGGTGATAATGGTAATAATAATACTAATTATAAGTACTTGCTCTGTCCCAGGCACCACTTTGAGTACTTTACATGAATTAACCCTTAAATCATCACTGTAATCCTATGAAGTACCTATGATTAGTATCCCCATTTTATAGATGAAGAAATTTAGGCTAAGAGAGGTTAAGTAACTTGTTCAGGGTCACACAGCAAATACCATATTTTATCAGATCTAAGACACCATTGATTATAAGAAGCACCTCAATTTCAGAAATGTTAAAATGTAAAACTGGCTGATGAAAGTTGTGATGTACTTTCGATTATAAGATGAATCTTGATTTCAGAGAGTTTTTTTATTTTTTTGAGACAGGGTTTCACTGTGTCCTCTAGGCTGGAGTGCAGTGGCATGATCATGGCTCAATGCCACCTCTATCTTCCAGGCTTAAGTGATCCTTCTACCTCAGCTTCCCAAGTATCTGGGACTACATGCTTGTGCCACCATGTCCAGCTAATTTTTTTTTTTTTTTTTTTTCTGTGGAGAAAGGGTCTCGCCTTGTTGCTCAGGCTGGTCTGGAACTCTTGAGCTCAAGCAATCCTATCACCTCAGCCTCCCAGAATGCTAGGATTACTCCAGGCCTACTTCAGGGACTTTTTATTTTTCTTTAAAAAAAAATAAAGAATTTTTTTTAGAGATGGGGTCTTGCTCTGCTGTTCAGCCTGGAGTGCAGTGGTATAATCATAGCTCACTGCAGCCTCGACCTCCTGGGCTCAATGATCCTCCTCCCTCAGCCTGCCCTGAGTAACTAGGTCTATGGGCACAAGCCACAATGCCCAGCCCAGAGTTTAAAATATGAAACAATATTTATCTTAGAATGGCTGAAATACGGTTTCAGAGCCAGGATTCAAATTTAGGCTATATGATTGTGATTCCAGGGCATATGCTCTCCTCAAAGAGTTGTCTTAGAAAAAAGTATTTTTTTCAGACTTGTTTTTTCTCCATGAGGGCCACTGAAAAGCTGTGATCATGATTCCACCATTCTATTGCAGCTGCAGACAAGATTAAATGAATCCTTAAAAAATTGTTGTCCGGGCTCGGTGGCTCACGCCTGTAATCCCAGCACTTTGGGAGGCCAAGAAAGGTGAATCACAAGATCAGGAGTTCGAGGCCAGCCTGGCCAAGGTGGTGAAATCCCGTCTCTGCTAAAAATACGAAAATTAGCTGAGTGTTGTGCCGGCTGCCTGTAATCCCAGCTACTCGAGAGGCTGAAGCAGGAGAATCAACTTGAACCTGGGAGGCAGAGGTTGCAGTGAGCTGAGATGGCGCCACTCTAGCCTGGGTGAAAGAGCAAGACTCCGTCTCAGAAAAAAAAAAAAAAAAAAAAAAAACTTGTCAAGAAGTGGTGTGGTGGCCCACACCTGTAATCTTAGCACTTTGGGAGACTGAGGTACAAGGATCCCTTGAGCCTAGGAGTTCAAGGCTGCAGTGAGCTATGATGGTGCCACTGCACTTCGGCCTGGGTGACAGAACGAGACCCTGTCTCCAAAAATAAAATTTTAAAAACCCAAACTTGTCAGAAGAATAACACAAACCTCCTCTGTCCTTTAAGAAAGTAGCTTTTGCTAATTTAATTTTTCTTTCTTTGCAGTGTTTCACTCGAGGCTTTGAGTACAAGAAACATCAAAGCGATCATACTTATGAAATAATGGTAATGATGAAGTTGCTGGGAATTTCTGTTCACTTTTTTTAAGAATTAGACTGGGAAGTAGTTTTTCTTTTCCATTTTTCTTTAAGCTCTCTTGGACTTCAGGGAATTAGTTTTCTTAATCTCTGAGTATCTTTACCTTTTCTCCCCTTCGGAAATAGGTAATTGTTATCCAATAAGTTTTTTAGGGTTTTGTGGATCTATCAAGGTATTTAAGCACAAAAATAGTTTTATATACTCAGATTTTTGTTTGAAATTTGGAAATTATTCAAAGGAAATACTTTTGATATGAGGATAACAGGTATGCTGCTTTTTAAACTCATTGATAAACATAGCCAATGTGTTGTCACTGTGTGCTCATGGTATTTTTATGTGGTTCATGTGGACAGTGGTGTTTTTGTTGAGCAGTTCATTCCCTTGCCTTGGGGAAATTAGTTACCTTCTGAGAGTCAGGTTATAAAGTGAACACAGCAAATGAATTAATACATAAAATCACTGAAGAGGCAGACTGGTTTATAAGCTTGAATAAAACTTGGCTATAGCTTAATTGTAATGCCACACTTAAAGAAGGAATAAGAGTGTTCGTAGTGTCCTTCCAAGCCCTGGCCATGGGAGTGGGTGGTTTAATAAGCCAAAGTGAATATCCAGTCTGCTTGACGGGTATATATACCTTTGTCAAGATAGTTTTGTTGGCCAGGCACAGTAACTCACGCCTGTAATCCTAGCACTTCCAGAGGCCAGGTTGGGCAGATCACTTGAGGTCAGGAGTTCAAGACCAGCCTAGCCAATATAAGGTGAAACCCTGTCTCTATTAAGAATACAAAAATTAGCTGAGTGTGGTGATGTGCACCTGTAGTCTCAGCTACTTGGGCGTCTGAGGCAGGAGAATCGCTTGAACCCAGGAGGCAGAGGTTGCAGTGAGCCAAGATCGCACCACTGCACTCCAGCCTGGGCGACAGAGTGAGACTCCATCTCAAAAAAAAAAAGACAGTTTTGTCAGTTATCAGAACATATTAAGCATATAACTAAATCTCCTACTTCAAGCAGTTTTCTGACATTTGGCCCCCATGCAGTTGTTCTTACAGGAAAGGATCCTGGCAGGCTTGACAGTTAAAATTTCACATAGTAGATTAATCTATATTTTCTATCGATGCTGCAACAAATTACCAAAAATTAGATATCTTAAGACAACACAAATTTGTCTCACAGTTCTGTGGATCAGAAGATCATTAGGCTCAGCTGGTTTGCTCCAGGTTCCATAAGGCTGAAATGAAGATGTTGGCCAGCCTGGGCTCTCACCTGGAGGCCCTGGGGTAGAATCCACTTCTAGGTTCTTTCAGGTTGTTGGCAGAATTCACTGCCTTAAGGTTTTAGGAAGGATGCCACTGTTTTGATCAGGGCATGTTCTCCGTTTCCACAGGCTGTCTGCATTCCCTGGCTCTGGGCCCCCTTTCTCCATCCTCAAAGCCAGGAGCACAGGAAGTCCTTGAGGTTGTTGATGAAATCCAGGGAATCTCTATGACCTCTCCTATTGCCTTATCTTTCCTGTGCTGAATCTTTATGAGTGATTCTTCTGCTTTCCTCTTCTACTTTGAGACAGGGTCTCACTCTATCACCCAGGCTAAAGAGCAGTGGCACAATCACAGCTCACTGTAACCTCGACCTCCCAGGCTTAAGCTATCCTATCTCAGCCACCTGACTAGCTGGGACTATAGGCACAAGCCACCATGCCTGGCTAATTTAAAAATTTTTTTTGTAGGCCAGGCTTGGTGGCTCATGCCTGTAATCCCAGCACTTTGGGAGGCCGAGGCGGGTGGATCACAAGGTCAGGAGATCGAGACCATCCTGGCTAACATGGTGAAACCCCATCTCTACTAAAAACACAAAAAATTAGCCAGGTGTGGTGGTGGGCGCCTGTAGTCCCAGCTACTCGGGAGGTTGAGGCGGGAGAATGATGTGAACCCGGGAGGCAGAGCTTGTATTGAGCCAAGATTGTGCCACTGCACTCCAGCCTGGGCAACAGAGTGAGACTCCGTCTCAAAAAAAAAAAAAAAAGAAAAAGAAAAATTTTGTAGACAGGGGTCTAGGGGCCTTTCTATGTTATTCAGGCGTCTAGGGGTCTTTCTGTGTTATTCAGGCTGGTCTCAAACTCCTGGGCTCAAGTGATCCTCCCACCTCAACCCTCAACCTCCTAAAGTGCTGGGATTACAGGTGTGAGCCACCACAGCAGGCACCTCAACTATGTATAAGGACTCATGTGGATTACATTGGGCCTATCAGGGTAATCCAGGATAGTCTCTCTACTTTAAGGTCAGCTGATTAGTAACCTTTATTCCATCTGTAAAGTCCTTTCCCAGCAGTACCTCGCTAGTGTTTGATGGACTAGTCAGAAGACAGGAATCTTAGGATGAGGGGAACATCTTTATTTTTATTTTATTTATTTATTGAAAAAAAAAATAGAGACAGGGTTTCTCCATGTTGCCCAGGCAGGTCTCGAACTCAGGGGTTCAAGTTATCCTTCCACCTAGGCCTCCCAAAGTGCTGGAATTATAGACATGAGCCACCATGCCCAGCCAGAGAACATCTTTAGAATTGGGCCTCCTACAGCACTGCAGTATATTTACTTCAGTCTCTTAAAAGTTTAGAAAGGGTGAATCAGCATCTCTGAGCCTGACTATTGGTGGAGTCCTATTAAAATGAGTTTCTGGGCTTATAATATTCAGGGTCAGATTCTAGGCCACAATGAATTAATCAAAGAACCAGTTAGAGTTCTTGGGAGCCAACTAACTAGCCTTCCTCTATCCATCTCTAAACAATTTCAGTCTTTTAATGGCTTCAGTAATTGTAAGACTTGGAATAAATTTTTTCCCCCTTTAAATGCAAAAATGAAGGGTTAGGAGACTGTTCAAAGTAGCTGTGGATTTGAGTTAATTTCACCAAGGTTATCAGGTCTTCAGAAAGCTGGTTTATTTTTCCCAAATTAATGCGAGAATACCTAGAGCCAGAATACAAATTTATTCATTCACATTGTGAAATAACTCCTTAAGGGATAATTCAGTATAGCTTGGGTAGGTTGGTAGTCATGCTTATTCACTGTAGGAAAGCTGACCATGAGCTTTCTTTAGCTATTCTGGCATCATGTCTTCTTCATAATGCTGAAAGCACTGACTAAGTTTCACTCCACATCACTTCATTCTGATTACATCATCCTTTTCTCACGTATTCAACACCCATACAATCACATTTCAGAGTACTGTCCTTTACTTTGGGGAGCTTTTGGGGGTTACTAATACTTCCTTTTTGTGGCCCATCTTATTTATTCCCAGTGAATCTTTCCTTCTATAGGCATGATGACCAAATTTTAGCTTTCTACACAAAACTTGATTTTTTTGCCTCAGATAACTTTAAATGGTTTTCAGTACTTTTGTCATGTCACAGAGCTGTATTTTTGGGAGTTACTCATGCTGTGGTAGGTGGTGTGTTAACCAGGATTTCTGAATTCTATGCCTATTTTTGTCTTGTAATTCTTAGAACTTTGAACAAGTCAAGGCAGCTCTTTCTGCCACACCCTTTTATACCAGTGATTCTTAAACTTCAGTACATAAGAACTGCCTGGGAGCTTCTTATAAATGTAGATTTCTAGACTCTTCTGTGAGAGATTGTGGTTCAGAAGTGCTGAGGTTTGGTCCAGGAGTTGAATAATATTAATTCAACTTTTTGTAAAACTGCCTTGTGCCTTCTTTGGTGTGTCTGTGATGTAGAAAGTTTTTATTGTTTATCTCACAGTAAAGTTGGTTGAGAAACAATTAATATTCTAAAATACAGTTTTACAAATGACAGTCTCTTCAACTAATGTGTGTGTTGTCATATTTACATGTCTTTTGGTACTTGCTGAATTGAGAGTGATTATGAATTTAGTATAGATATAGACTCTGAAATTTCTCTGTTGGATTTCATAATACCTCATGTGCTAGATATATTCGTAGTACGTGCTCAGATGAAAATGTGTTGCTTATTGGTAGTGTAATCTCACAAATCATGACTTTTTTTTTGTCATTAACAAAAGGTATAACAAGTTCTAAGTGCCTGTGTAATCTGAAGACCTCCTGTGTGGTCTTCAGATTATTTTTTTTTTACTTGTTATTATAGAAAAGTTCAGATATACACAAGAGAGAATGATGTTTGGTTATCTATTGCTATGTAACAGCTACCTCAAAACCTCATGCTTAAAAATGACCATTTTATTATCTCCCACAGTTTTGTGGGTCAGGCATTCAGATTAGGCACAGTGAGGGTGGCTCTTGGCTCCACATGATGTACTTAGGCTGAAAGTCCCAAGAGGGTTATGAATTTAGTATAGGCATAGACTCCAAAATTTCTCTCTTGGATCTCATAATACATCATGTGCTAGGCATATTCATAGTACGTGCTCAGATGAAAATGTGGTTGTCATTGTAACCAACTACTACATAATGGTAATAAATTTCCGTTTACCCATCACTAACTCTTAAAATTATTGACTCGTGGCCAATCTTACTTTATCTAAACCATCACCTTTTCTTTTATCTTTTCTTTTTTTTTTTTTTGAGACAGAGTCTTGCCCTGTCGCCCAGGCTGGAGTCCAGTGGGTTGATTTCGGCTCACTGCAACCTCCGACTCCTGGGTCCAAGCGATTCTCCCGCCTCAGCCTCCTGAGTAGCTCAGATTACAGGCACACACCACCGTGCCCGGCTAATTTTTGTAGAGACAGGGTTTCACCATGTTGTCCAGGCTGGTCTTGAACTCCTGACCTCAGGTGATCTGCCCACCTCGGCCACCCAAAGTGCTGGGATGACAAGCGTGAGCTACTGCACCCAGCCTAAACCATCACCTTTCTAGATTATTTTGAAGCAAGTATCCTAGACAGTATATCATTTCATCTTTCAGTATTTCATTAGGTCTCTACGTAATTCTAGTCACTTTTCACATTCCCCGTCATTTCATAAAGGCTTAATATCTAAAACCCTGCTGCCTTTTTTACCCTTGAAACAATCACTGTTCTGATTTTTTTTTTTATCAGCGTAGATTGGTTTTGCATATTCTAGAACTGCATATATATGGAATCATACTGTATGTACACTTCTGTTGTTTCTGGTTTCTTTCACTCAGCTTTTTTATTTATTTATTTATTTTTTTTTTGTGACAGTCTTGCTCTATTGCCCAGGCTGGAGTGCAATTGCACAATCTCGGCTCACTGCAACCTCCGCCTCCCGGGTTCAAGCAGTTCTCCTGCCTCAGCCTCCCAGGTAGCTGGGATTATTATAGGCGTCCACCACCGCGCCTGGCTAATTTTGTATTTTTAGTAGAGACGGGGTTTCACCATGTTGGCCAGATTGGTCTCGAACCCCTGACCTCAGGTGATCCACCTGCCTTGGCCTCCCAGAGTGCTGGGATTACAGGTGTGAGCCACCGCGCCTGGACTCACTCAGCATGCTTTTGAGTTTTATTCATGTTGTGTATGTTACTGGTACATTTGCTACTAATCATTTCTTTTAATTACTGAGTAATATTCTGTTGTACGAACATAATACAGTTTTTTATCCATTCTCCCTTTGATGGACACCTGGGCCTTGCCCACGTTTAGGCTATTGTGAATAAAGCTGCAATGAGTATTCTTATATAAAGCTTTCTATGTACATATGTTTTCACTGTTTTTTGGATAAATACCTAGGAGTGAAATTGCTGGGTCATAGAGTAAATGATTGTTTAACTTTTAAATAAACGATTGGCAAGTTTTCCAAAGCATTTATATCATTTTACACCTCTGTCGACAATATATGAGAGTTCTGATTGCTTCATGTGCTTGCCAACATTTGGCATTGTCAGTTTCATTCATTTTAGCTATTTTAGTCAGTGCAGTGTGGTATTGTGGTATTACAATTTTTTTTTTTTTTTTTTTTTTTTTTTACTTTTTGCAGTTTGTTTAATTCAGATACAAATAAGATTCACACATTTCAATTTTCCAATTGGTTGCCTTTTATGTATTTTCTATTCTGTATGGGTTTTCCTTCCCTTTCTCTCATTTCTTTTTTTTGGTCTTATTTTAGAATAATTATTTTTTAAATTTTCTTCTTAAAAATATAGGGAAATAGAAATAGAGTTTTGCCATGTTGTCCAGGGTGGTCTTAAACTCCTGGACTGAAGGGATCCTCCCACCTTGGCCTCCCAGAGTGCTAGGATTACAGGTGTGAGCCACCGTGCCCAGCCATTTTTGGGTTTACTGAAGTTGCAAATGTAGTATAGAGAGTTCCCATCTATCCTTCATCCTGCTTCCCCAAATGTTAACATCTTACATTATAGTACATTTGTCAAAATTGAGAAATGAACATTGGCCGGGTGCGGTGGCTCCTTCCTGTAATCCCAGCACTTTGAGAGGCTGCGGTAGGAGAATTGTTTGAGTCCAGGAGTTTGAGACCAGCCTGGGCAATCTAGAAAGACCCCATTGCTGCAGAAAAATTTAAAAATTAGGTGGGTGTGGTTGCACATGCTTATATTCTTAGCTACTTGTATGGTGGAGGCAGGAGGATTGCTTGAGTTCGGGAGTTTGAAGCTACAGTGAGCCATGATCACACCAGTGCACTCCAGCCTGGTCAACCCACAAGACCCCGTCTCAAAGAGAAAAAAGGGCTGAGCTCGGTTCCTCATGCCTGTAATCCCAGCATTTTGGGAGGCCGAGGTGGGCGGATTACTTGAGGTCGGGAGTTCAAGACCAGCCTGGCCAACATGGTGAAACCCTATCTCTACTAAAAATACAAAAAATTAGCCAGGTACAGTTGTGTGTGCCTGTAATTCCAGATGTTCTGGAGGCTGAGGCAGGAGAGTCGCTTGAACCCAGGAGGTGGAGGTTGCGGTGAGCCGAGATCATGCCACTGCACTCCAGCCTGGGCTATGGAGCAAGACTTGGTCTCAAAAAAAAAAAAAGTGGGGGGCAAAAGAAATGAACATTACTACAATACTAGTAACTATAGATTTTATTCAGATTTCTCCAGATTTTCCACAAATGTCCTTTTCTGTTGCAGGATCCAATTGGGGATCCCACATTGCATTTAGTCATAATGTTTTCTCCAATCTATGACAGTTTCTTAGATTTTCCTTGTTCATGACCTTGACAGGTCGAAGTGTATTTTGTACAGTGTCTCTCAATTTTGTCTTCATAGGTTTGATATTTTATCATGATTAGATTTGGATTATAGATGTTTAGGTGGAAGATCACAGAGGTGAATTGCCTTCTCATTTTATCATATCAGACGATACATAATTTAACACTGGTGATGTTGAAAAATGAGCAGCCAGCCACAAGAGATGCATGAGGCAGGGTGTATGTGGGAAGGGGTACGGAGCTTTCCTGTCCTCTCTGGGTACACCGCCCTCTACCTCCATGTGTTCAGCAGCCCGGAAGCTCCTCGCTCTCATTTCTTATTATTCGTTTGATTTTTAAAAGCTGGATTGTTTGTCTTACAGATGTTAGTACAGTCTGGATTCTGTTGACTAATGTGTTCCTCTCTCTTCTGTGTTTCCTATAAATTAGTAGTTACATTTAATGACTACTTCAGATTCATTTAGGACCATTGTCTGGATCTGCTAATTCACCAAGGATTGCAAAACATTAATCTTTTAATTCTATCACTCATTTTAATTTATGAGTTAGAAATTTCTTATTATTGTGTGGTCCCTTGGAGTAACGTTTATACAGGAAAGGAAACAGAAAAGATGATTACTTCCCTTTATTTACTAGTTTTGAGAATATGCATTGGTTCCCTAGCATCCTCTACATATTTAAATATTTGATGTTTCAGTCCTTTGTGGTTATTATACTTATTGATGCTCAAAATATTCCATTTTTAGTTAACAGGAGTCTCTGGAAGTTGACTTCTGAATTTTTTTGACATGACCTTTATAGTCTTTAAGAGCTTCTTTGCTGCCAGGCACGGTGGCTCATGCCTATAATCCCAGCACTTTGGGAGGCCCAGGCGGGCAGATCACCTGAGGTCGGGAGTTCGAGACCAGCCTGACCAACATGGAGAAACCCCGTCTCTACTAAAAATACAAAATTAGCCAGGTGTGGTGGCACATGCTTGTAATCCCAGCTACTCATTGCTACTGGGTTGGTCATTTTTCCTGGACCTTTTCAATGAACGATGTTAGGAAATTATTTTTCTTGTAAGATACAACACATGAGTTCATAATAAAACTTTCAATTTAAATACGAGACTACAAGAGTTTTGTTTGTTTGTTTTCTGTTTGTTTGTTTGTTTGTTTTTGAAACGGAGTCTCTCTCTGTCCCGCAGGCTGGAGTGCAGTGGCGCCATCTCGGCTCACCGCAAGCTCCACCTCCCGGGTTCACGCCATTCTCCTGCCTCAGCCTCCCGAGCAGCTGGGACTACAGGCACCTGCCACCACACCCGGCTAATTTTTTGTATTTTTAGTAGAGACGGGGTTTCACCGTGTTAGCCAAGATGGTCTCGATCTCCTGACCTCGTGATCTGCCCGCCTTGGCCTCTCAAAGTGCTGGGATTACAGGCATGAGCCACTGTGCCCGGCCTGTTTTTGGTTTTTATGAGACAGAGTCTCTTGCCCAGGCGGGAGAGCAGTGGTGCAATCTCAACTCACTGCAGACTCTACCTCCCGGGTTCAAGCGATCCTCCTGCCTTAGCCTGCCAAGTAGCTGGAACCACAGGTGCGCGCCACCATGCCCAGCTAATTTTTGTAGTTTTTGTAGAGACAGGGTTTTGCCATCTTGCCCAGGCTGGTCTCAAACTCCTGAGCTCAAGCAATCCACCCACCCAGGTCTCCCAAAGTGCTGGGACTACAGGTGCATGCCAACACTCCCAGCTAATTTTTGTAGTTTTTGTAGAGATGGGGTTTCACTATGTTGCCCAGGCTGGTCTCAAAACTCCTGAGCCCAAAAAGTCCACCCACCCAGGCCTCCCAAAATTCTGGGATTGCAGGCATGAGCCACCATGCCTGGCCAACTACGAGGTTTTTACATAACCTCACAGATCTTACAGCTATATCTTTTTTTTTTCCCAAGCCAAAAATTATACTTCCCAATGACACTAACCAACGTAATTATTTATTTGCTTTACCTCATAACATATACACATACACTAATCTCAAAATAACTGTCAATACTAAAGAAACATTTTAAGATTTGGCAATTTCTTTTGTTTTTAAGGTATATCCTACTTAGAGATATTTAGTCAAATTAAGTGTTTCAAAATCACTTGAAATAGTTCCTTTCTGTGTGATTATGCCTTCAAATTGATTTCTGAGTTCGTTATATTTTGCATTTTATTCTTAAGATTTTGAAGTTTATTTTTATTTTTATTTTTTGAGACGGAGTCTTGCTTGTTGCCCACGCTGGGGTTCAGTGCTATGATCTCGGCTCACTGCAGCCTCCACCTTCCAGTTCAAGCGATTCTCCTGCCTCAGCCTCCCGAGTAGCTGGGACTACAGGTGCGTGCCACCATGTCCGGCTAATTTTTGTATTTTTAGTAGAGACGAGGTTTCATCATGTTGGCCAGCCTTGTCTTGAACTCCTGACCTCAAGAGATCCACCTGCCTTGGCCTCCCAAAGTGTTGGGATTACAGGCGTGAGCCACTGAGGCCAGCCTAAAGTTTAATATTATACTCTTTATGTTTCAAAGTTAAATCTACAAGCAAGGAATATTCAGAGACATCTAGCTTCTGGATAGATGTCTCTACCCTGTTCTCTTTCTTCCTCCCCATAGTAACCTTTTTTTTTTTAAAGTGTGTTTTATTCTTCCATTTAAAAAAATACATACATATTTGTCTTTTCCTCTTTCTTAGCTAAATGGGAGCGTACTGAAATATTTATCTCTACCTCTGTGTTAAGTTTAAAAATATATGTATATCTGCATGAATTGCTTGGCATTTATAGGTGATATGGAGGCCCTTCTAGCTAATGGTGGAAACGGGTGGGAGAGGTGGACAACTAATAAGAATGTACCCTGGGTATCTCTCATCATTCGGCTGTAAACTATTACTACAGTTGAAGTTCCTAGATTCCATTTATTTTTAATTTTTTTTTTTTTTTTGAAACGGAGTCTTGCTCTGTCGCCCAGGCTGGAGTGCAGTGGCGCGATCTCAGCTCACTGCAAGCTCCGCCTCCGCCTCCTGGGTTCATGCCATCCTCTTGCCTCAGCCTCCCAAGTAGCTGGGACTACAGGCGCTCACCACCAGGCCCGGCTAATTTTTTATATTTTTAGTAGAGACGGGGTTTCACTGTGTTAGCCAGGATGGTCTCGATCTCCTGACCTCGTGATCCGCCCTCCTCGACCTCCCAAAGTGCTGGGATTACAGGCGTGAGCCACTGTGCCCGGCCTATTTTTGATTTTTGAGACAGAGTCTTGTTGTGACGCCCAGGCTGAAGTGTGGTGGTGTGATCTCAGCTCACTGCAACCTCTGCTTCCGCAGTTCAAGTGATTCTCCTGCCTCAGCCTCCTGAGTAGCTGGGACTACAGGCGTGTGCCACCATGCCCAGCTCATTTTTGTGTTTTTAGTAGAGATGGAGTTTCACCATATTGGCCAGGCTGGTCTCGAACTCCTGACCTCAGGTGATCCGCCCGCCTCCGCCTTCCAAAGTGCTGGGAGTATAGGCGTGAGCCACCGTGCCTGGCCCCTAGATTCCATTTGTATCTCTGTTCTTAAGCAAAACTTTTTTCTCCTTAGACTTCAGATTTTCCTGTCCTTGATCCCAGCTGGACTGCTCAAGAAGAAATGGCCCTTTTAGAAGCTGTGATGGACTGTGGCTTTGGAAATTGGTAAGAGCTTGGTGTTAAGAGTTGTCCTGCCCTAGTGGACTCAGAGAAGAAGCTGTTGTTGAAGAGTAAAGGAAGGAACCTCAGGAAGAGAAAGTATGTGTTGCTTTCCTATCAACCCATGATTTAGAGGCAAGTTAGTCCCCTCTGTACATTATTTTTCCAGTGTCGAAATGTGTCACGAGGATATGGGATGTTTAGCGGTCCATGACTGAGCAGCTTTAAAAGGCCACTTTGGATGTATCAACAGTGGGAAGATTGATTATTATTCCTTTCTGAATAGTAGGGAAGTTTAGTTTCGTTAGTTATTACTCCCTTCTGATTTTATGAATTTTTGTTAGTTGTAGATGCCCTAGTCATTTAAGTGAATCAGACTTTAGCTAGATGGTCATACGTAAGATTCAAGTTTCACAGACTTCCTGATAGCATTCTCTGTTTTTAGCTTTCAAACACCTACCTGCCTTAGTCCAAAACCGGCGGAATTGAATAGCACTTATTGCTGTTGACCTAGGGGGCAGCACCACTTAATACTACCACTTTCGTTTTTATCTTTTGGGAACACTTTCATATGGATGCTTTTATTTTATGAACTAGATAGCAGAGGCATTATTGAATATATTTTGTTCACAAATTATCTGAAGCCTAGGGGGTTGAAATGATTTCTTGTGATTACATAGCTTATTACTGAAGGACTCTTAATTAGGTCCTCCCTGTCCTGACTTACTAGTGTATATAACCTTTCTTGGTGTTCATCAGAATAAACTCTGCTGCCTGCCTCCCTTATGTCCAGGGACCTGAAGAAGGAGACCTGAATTTAGTTCACATTTTGCTTGTATTCATTCATTCAGTATTTATTAAGCATCATAAAATACTGTGTACAATGAGAAATACCAAAGGAGGTAGAAAAGTAATCACTTGTGAGGAGTTTGCTAGTCATCTTTGGCCTAGTTTTTCATTTTTTGCTTACCATTCTCTCTAAAATAGTCTAAACCTCTCTGTCCTCCTTCCCTCTTAACAAAGAACATAAAAAAGACATAGCTTCTCTATCCGCTGTGGGTAAGGCACTAAGTTTGGCAGTGAGTGGGCTAGAGCTAAGAATTATGAGATGCATCCTGTCTTCAGAAAGCTTATAGTTTAGCAGGGGACTTAAAAATACAAGTGATTGAAGTACACAAAACAGCACAGTGATGCCTTAGGGGAGGTCAAGTGAAATGCTGTGAAAAAGAGACCTTGAGGAAAGGACTTCCACCTGTACCTCTCCATTACCTTGGCTCAAGTCAGGGATTTTTTTTTATTGAGACAGTCTCACTTTATCACCCAGGCTGAAATGCAGTGGTGTGATCACAGTCACTATAACCCCGAACTCCTGGGCTCAAGGGATCTTCCCTCCTCAGACTCCCAAGTAGTTGGAACAACAGGTGTGCGCCACCATACTCAGCTAATTTTTAAATTTTATTATTATTATTATTATTTGGAAACAGGATCTTGCTCTGTCGCCCAGGGTGGAGTACAGGGGCATGAGCTTGACTCATTTCAGCTTCAACCTTCCAGGCTCAAGTGATCCTCCCAGCTCAGGCTCCCGAGTAGCTGGGACTACCGGCGTGTGCAACCACCCCTGGCTAATCTTTGTATTTTTTGTTGAGATAGGATTTTACTGTGTTGCCCAGGCTGGTCTCGAACTCCTGAGTTCAAGCCATCCTCCCACCTTGGCCTCCCAAAGTGCTGGAATAACAGATGTGCCCCACCATGCCTGGCCAGATTCTTAAGCAAGTTTCTTAATTATTTTGGGCCTCATTTTTCCTTCTTTGAAATTGAGATAGTAACAATATCCATACCACAAATTTGATACTAGGTTTAACTTAAATTCTGTTGTGAATGTTTCTAGCTCAGTGTCTGGCATCTCATAGCAGCTCTAGTAAAGAAATGTTTATGTTAAGTGTTTGGTAAACCGTAAAATATTAGGCAAAATAAAACTATATTTCTGTATATTTTGAATGTTCTGAAGTCACTTCTTATTATTTACAGCAATTATTTCTGTAGGGCCTAGCTCACAGGAAAATTTACAAATTTTCCAGTCATCTTTATTTATTTATTTATTTATTTATTTATTTATTTATTATTTTTTTTTTTTTTTGAGATGGAGTTTCGCTCTTGTTGCCCAGACTGGAGTGCAATGGCGTGATCTCTGCTCACTGCAACCTTTGCCTCCTGGGTTCAAGCAATTCTCCTGCCTCAGCCTCCCAAGTAGCTGGGATTACAGGCATGCATGCACCACCACGCCTGGCTAATTTTGTATTTTTAGTAGAGACAGGGTTTCTCCATGTTGATCAGGCTGGTCTCTAACTCCCAACCTCAGGTGATCCACCTACCTCCCAAAGTGCTGGGATTACAGGTGTGAGCCACTGCGCCTGGCCTCAGTCATCTTTCTTTAAGTGGAAAAGAAAGGACTTTTTAGTCATTATTTCTGTGTTTTAGACTAGCAAGATATGGAACACCAGATTACACCAATCTAGGCTTATATTTATGTCATTTTTCTGCTGATATCTTTTTGATATCAATTTGGAAATATGAGAGTATATTATATGGATGTGACTTAAAATATGAAAAGAGCAAATGATGCTTTTAGTATTATGTGTAAATACAAGTACCACTTCTCTCTTTTTCCCACAATCCTCTAGGCAGGATGTAGCCAATCAAATGTGCACCAAGACCAAGGAGGAGTGTGAGAAGCACTATATGAAGCATTTCATCAATAACCCTCTGTTTGCATCTACCCTGCTGAACCTGAAACAAGCAGAGGAAGCAAAAACTGCTGACACAGCCATTCCATTTCACTGTAAGTGCCTCCCTATCTTGATAAGATATACTTAGCTCATCCTTGGGCCCTGTTTCAGTAGCAGATAAAGAGTGATTTGATGACTTGGACAGCTAATGATATCACGGAAGATAGGAGGAGTTAGTATGGCAGCTATTGAGAGTCAGGATCGACCCAGCATGGTGGCTTGTGCCTGTAATCCCAGCACCTTGGGAGGCTGAGGCGGGTAAATCACTTGAGGCCAGGAGTTCAAGACCAGCCTGGCCAACATGGCGAAACCCTGTCTCAACTAAAAGTATAAAGATTAGCTGGACGTGGTGGCAGACACCTGTAATCCCAGCTACTGGGGAGGCCAAGGCAGGAGAATCACTTGAACCGGGTAGGCGGAGATTGCAGTGAGCCAAGATCACATCACTGCACTCCAACCTGGGTGACAGAGTGAGACTTCATCTCTTAAAAAAAAAAAAAAAAAGAGTCAGGATTATAATGTGGCAAAGAAGGAACATACTCTAAGGGTCAGAGTTCTATACAGGACATCAAGGTGCTTGAAGCCAATGTGTAGTTCCACCTACCTTGAGTCCTTTGAACATATCAGTTAACTTAGTGCTTTCCTTTGTAAAATAAGATGTCAAAAAGGGAAAACCTTTTCTATGCTATTATGAGTGCAAGTTTTTTTTCAATCCCTTTGGAGAGCTTATGATTATACATATGAGTTGCTTAGAGAATACAGTATTTGACTCATTATTATTAATTGCCTTGGTGTCAAGCCCAAGAATCAGTTTGTTATTTTTGTTCGCTTGGTTGTGTCAGTGATGGCGAACTTTTTAATCTCATGTGCGTGTGGGACCAGTGGGTCTCTTAATAAAATATAACCAAAAACATGATGAATTATAAATGACCATCTTTCCTGAATGACTCTCAGGGTACAAGTAATGAGATATGAATGTTTTCACTTCCCTTTTCTCTTTCCTCATACTCTCTAGAAACAGTTTTATAGCTGACTAACTTAAAGGCTGGTAATACCTCCTTTTTTTTTTTTTTTGGAGACAGAGTCTCGCTGTGTCTCCCAGGCTGGAGTGCAGTGGCACAACCTCGGCTTACTGCAACCTCCACCTCCAGGGTTCAAACGATTCTCGTGCCTCAGCCTCCTGAGTAGCTGGTACCACAGGTGCATGCCACCACACCTGGCTAATTTTTTGTATTTTTAGTAGAGAAAAGGTTTTGCTGTGTTGGCGAGGCTGGTCTCGAACTCCTGACCTTATGATCTGCCCGCCTCGGCCTCCCAAAGTGTTGGGATTACAGGTGTGAGCCACCGTGCCTGGTTGATACCTCCTATTTGGATAGCACTTTGGTGTTAGCACTTTGTTCTCAAATCCATTAGACCATTTGTTTCCTAACAGCAACCCAGTGAGATAGGCAGAGCAAGTGCTTTTGTTTTACATTCGAGAAGACCGATGCAGACAGGTTAGTTTGTGCAGGGTCATGGGACTAGTGTGTGTTGGAGCTAGGACTTAATTTCAGCTAACTTCCAATTCCAGTGTTTGTTTTTTTCCCGTCTTTTTTTTTTTTTTTTTTTTTTGCCTCTCAGTTGGATGAGTTTTGTAAATTGAAGTTCATCCTAAGGGATAAGGGAGCCGAAGCCAACGGTAAATATTTAGGTTCTGTAATATTAAAGGAAAAAAGTCATGATTTCCTTTCATTTTAGGAAAGCAGAAATCAGAAGAAATTTCCCCATATTTACTTAAAGGATTGCCTGAGTCTTGGTTTTTCTTTTTAAAAAACCTGTTTTCATAATACTTTATCTTTTTCACATTTCCTTTTATAAAAACCATTTTAAATTTTATTTATTCTTGGACTATTATGTCATTTTTTTCATGCCAATATTGTATTAGTTAACTCAGAAACCTTCTAAATTCTTCCAGCTACAGATGACCCTCCCCGACCTACCTTTGACTCCTTGCTTTCTCGGGACATGGCCGGGTACATGCCAGCTCGAGCAGATTTCATTGAGGTAGGATAAATGTGTTTTTAGCACAAAGTAGGAAAAATTCATTTTTGTTTCTCATGAGCCTTCTGTCTCACCCATAGATTCCATACCACTAAAAGGAGATTTTTCAAGGCACTATAATTTGTAGGACCTTTAGGCAGCCACATTTTCTTAGGTTTGAGTGCCTTTTCTCATTTGTAAACATTTTCACATATGGAACAGTAAAAATTCTTTAAACAAACAACCTATTTCTGGCCAGGCTCAGTGGCTTACACCTGTAATCCCAGCACTTTGGGAGCTGAGAATGGAGGATCGCTTGAGTCCAGGTGTTCGAGACTAGCCTGGGCAACGTAGTGAGACCCTGTCTCTACAAAAAATAAAAAATTAGCTGGGTGTGGTGGTGCATGCCTGTAGTCCCAACTACTTGGCAGGCTGATATGGGAGGATCACTTGAGCCTGGGAGGTTAAGGCTGTAGCGAGTGGTGATCATTCCACTAAACTGCACCCTAGACAACAGAGTAAGACCCTGTCTCCAAAAAACAAAAAAACCCCAGCAAACCCACCTCTTAAGTTGCATCAGTGCTGGCTTCCACTTCCTTAGGTATGAAATTCCTATAGTCTGGTTCTTTTTTTTTTTTTTTGAGACAGAGTTTTTGCTCTTGTTGCCCAGGCTGGAGTGCAATGGCATGGTCTTGGCCCATTGCAACCTCCACTTCCTGGGTTCAAGCGATTCTCCTGTCTCAGCCTCCCAAGTAGCTGAGACTACAGGTTCCTGCCACCATGCCTGGCTAATTTTTGTATTTTTAGTAGAGATAGGGTTTCACCATGTTGGCCAGGCTGGTCTCAAACTCCTGACCTCAGGCAATCCACCAGCCTCGGCCTCCCAAAGTGCTAGGATTACAGGCGTGAGCCACTGCACCTGGCTTGTAGTCTGGTTCTTATTGTACATCTAGGGGCTTTCAAGATTGTACTGTATCAGGGGTTGACAAACTTATTCTATTAAAGGCCAGATAGTAAATATTTTAGGTTTAGTATGCTATAAAGTTTCTATTGTAACTATACTTTGTCATTATTGTGCTAAAGCAGCATGGGATAATATAAGAATAAATGAATACGCCTGTGTTCCAGTAAAACTTTATGTACAAAAACAGACAGTAGGCTGAATAGTAGTTTACTGATTCCTGTACTATATCCACAAGTATATAAAGAATGATGAATGTGTATAAAAACTATATGTTCCTTGCTCAGCTATGGAATTAAAAGACATGTGAATGTAGCCACAAGTCTCTTGATTTATCATCTAATTCACAACTTGAAAGATAGTTTGGCCAAATGCGGTAGCTTACACCTGTAAATCCCAGCACTTTGGGAGGCTGAGGCAGGCGGATTGCTTGAGCTCAGGAGTTTGAGACCAGCCTGGGCAACATGGCAAAACGCTGTTTCTTCAACAACAACAACAAAAAAAACCCGAAACCAAAAATTAACTTGAGTGTGATGGCACATGCCTGTAGACCCAGCTGCTTGAGAGGCTGAGGCAAGAGGATCACTTGAGCCTGGGGGTTCGAGGCTGCAGTGAGCCAAGATCACACCACTGCACTCCAGCCTGAGTGACAGAGTAAGACCCTGTTTCCAAAAAAAAAAAAAAAAGAATGAATTGACTTTATTTATTTATTTCAGAGACAGGCTCTTGCTCTGTTTCCCAGGCAGTCTTGAACTCCTGGTCTCAAGTGATTTTTCCACCTAAATCTCCTGAGTAGCTGGGATTATAGGTGCATGCTACTGTGCCCAGCTCAGACTAATTTTAGTTTTTAGAGCAGTATGTTTAGCTTCATTCCTAAACTCATAACTATTCCAATTTTTTGTTGTCACTACTGCTTGTAAGCCTCTTAGATTTTTCCCATGACTTCCTATTACCTGTGCCAGTATTGTGGCCTTTTGCCATATTTAGACTTTTTAAACAACTGTTTGCTTGTGTTTTTTCTGTTTACTTCTAAAGCATGGCTGCTGTAAAGACACTAATCAAAGCCGATGGGTTTGGGGTGGGGATTTTTTTGTTCCCCTAAACAGGAATTTGACAATTATGCAGAATGGGACTTGAGAGACATTGATTTTGTTGAAGATGACTCGGACATTTTACATGGTAACAGTTTATTTTGTCAAATGTTTATCGAGCGCCAACTGTGTGATGACACTGTCTTGGGTGCTAGGAATTGAAGGATGAATAGAACATGTCCCCTGCCCTTATAGAATTCAGAAATCTAGTGGTTAAGTTGCTGAACTTACTGTGTTGTTGGATTTTGACCACAGTGAATAAGACTTGTGATGAGGGTAAAAATATTGATTATATAATAGTAGTAGGAAATATCTGTTGGACTGTGTGATTTTACTTTTATCTGAGGTAAATCTACACTAAGGTAATTGGTTAAATGGCCCTCACTTGCATTCTTAGAAGGAAGGGAATCAGTTTGAATTCTTGGGACTTCACTAGCAACTGCTATCACTAAATGTTCACTATATTTTGTTACCCGGAATTTCCCCTAGCAAGGAAAAAGAATGGAAATTCCTCAAGAGTTTTTAGGCCCAAATGGGGAATTTCTTGTTTCTCAGGACTGTTGAATTTTCAACACTGCTGGATTCTTTTTTATGTTTGTTTTTGAGACGGAGTCTCACTCTGTTACACAGGCTGGAGTGCAGTGGCGCGATCTTGGCTCACTGCAACCTCTGTCTCCCAGGTTCAAGGGATTCTCCTGCCTCAGCCTCCCAAGTAGCTGGGATTACAGGTGTTTGCCACCATGCCCAGCTAATTTTTGTTTTTTTATTAGAGATGGGGTTTCGCCATGTTGGCCAGGCTGGTCTGCAACTCCTAACCTCAAGTGATCTGCCCGCCTCAGCTTCCCAAAGTGCTGGGATTACAGGCGTGAACCACCACGCCTGCCCCAGCATTGCTGAATTCTAATCTTTGATTAGCCCTCTAAGGGTTTATGTTAACTCTTTTCCTAAAACTTATGTGGTGAATGCCAAAGAGCTGTTAAGAGTAGATAGTTAGACTTTGAGTCCCTTTTTTCCTTCTTTCCATTTTCAGTGAACTACATACTAATATATACTAATACTACATAATAATACCCAATACTTTTTTTTTAATTTTAGTTCAGAATTGAATATGATACAGTAGATCAGTAATTCTCTATTGGAATCTGTATTTCCCAAAGAGCATCTTCATGATTTCTGTTAAATTTACATCCCAGGCAGGAAAGACAAGTAGAGTATACTTGTTAAATTATAAATCAAGTTTTCATATTGCATGGACTGGTACACTGTCCCTAGAAGGGGAACTTGATTCTTTTCTCTCCATAGAAGAGCTGCCTGGATATTTGTTATACCAGATCTAAGATAAAGAAATAGTCTTCCTAAAAATTTTACCTTAAGAAATTTTTCTCTACACATTTCTTGAGCGGTGGGTTTTTTTTTGGGGGGGTTTTTTTTTTTTTTTTGGCAACATTTTATTCCTCCTTTTCTCCCACACAACTTTAAGGAAAGTCAAAGTGACGCAGATTGAACTAAAAGAGGAAAGCTTGAAAGCAAACTACTTTAGCATTAACTAAATCCATTGTATTTGTTCAGTCTTCCGTGTCAGTCTCGTCAATCCCAGTGACTCATGTTATCTTTTCTCACCTCTTGTGGTGTTCCCTTTGAAGGTAGTATGCAGACTGCCATTCATAGACACCAGCTTTAATTGAAATGGTATTGTTTTCTGGCTTGTATCTTTCTTATAGAATGCCAGACTACTCTGCACAAAAGGGGCAGCTTCATAAATATCATTCTTTTAGATTCTGCTCAAAAATACCAAATTTTTGGCTGGGCATGGTGGGTCACACCTATAATCCTAGCACTTTGGGAGGCCGAGGCTGGCTGATCACTTGAGGCCGAGAGTTCAAGACCAGCCTGGGCAACACAGTGAGACCCTGTCTCTAAAAAAAAAAACCTTTAAAACAAATTTTTAAAATATTATTATTGTTTTTCCTCCTCCTCCTCCCTGCTTTTTATTTTTACCTATATATTTATTTTTTACAGAATTTTAAAGTCAACATCTATAATGTTAATAATGGCTTGACTTGGTGAATCACTTCTCTAGAGCCTAATCCAAGGTCTTCATTCATACTTCTCAACATTATTAAGAAAACTATAGTAATGGTCGGTGTTTAATTTCATTCTTCATTCTTCATGGGAGTAGGACTTGCAGTTCCTTCTGGTTCACTTGGGGTCCTTTTTGTAATTAAGTGGGGATAAAAAGAAACAGAAGCAACTGATTGATCAGCAATTTATAGTTCAGTTAGCTTTTCAAACCCATAACATACTTTAGGTATTTGTACTCTCCCTGAAGTTTCTATAGCCCTGTAAATTATTGATTTTCATTTGAGCTATAACTGGAACTTATGTTATTAATCTTTATACATAGTTAGCTTTAACACAACATAAATAATAATTCTTTCCCTCTGCCCCATAGTAAACTGTAAGATGTTTAGATGAGTGCTTTTATTTTTTATTTTTTTTGTGACAGACTCTCACCTTGTTAGCCAGGCGGGAGCGCAGTAGCGTGATCTTGGCTCACTGCAACTTCTGCCTCCCAGGCTCAAGCGATTCTCGTGCCTCAGCCTCTGGCATAGCTGGGATTAGCGCCACCATGCCCAGCTAATTTTTATATTTTTAGTAGAGAGAGGGTTTTGCCATGTTTGCAAGGCTGGTCTCAAACTCTTGGCCTCAACTGATCTGCCCACCTCTGCCTCCCAAAGTGCTGGGATTACAGGGGTTAGCCACCGCGTCCGGCCCTAAATGAATGCTTTTAAAAAGATGATAACACTTCAGATTTGGGTATGGTTGGCTCACACCTGTAATCCTAACACTTTGGGAGGCCAAAGTGGGAGGATTTCTTGAGCCCAGGAATTCAAGGTCAGCCTAGACAACAAAGTGAGACCCCCCACCTCTAAAAAATAAAAAAGATGATAACAGTTTAAAGAAGCTTGTCAGCACTACAGACCAAAGGAATGACTTGCTCATGCCACAGAGAGGTATTTTGTTTACAGCTCTGAGTCTTTACAGCAGCTCCTGTGGCAGCATGACCATGTCCAGGAGCATATTGTCCCTGAGCTGTCACTCGCAGAACACTCAGTGAAGTGCACTAGGAGCCCATGGAAAGTCAGGAAGGAATGAAAAGGGGCTTTATAAGCACACCTGGAACAGTTAGAGGGGCACAGATTTTGTAGAAATCAGGACACTGATTCAGCCTCTGGCTTGCTTCTGAGTCATGGTATAATCATGAGTAAGTGCTTGGAATCTTGCTTGCTGTTTCTTTATGTCCTCTGCCATTAAAGAAGAGGTGACACTGATTAGTCAGAGTGTAAATGTCTCTAATGAAACATGGTACATAATTCAGATTTGTGTTGTTACCATTCCATTATACCATTATGCTCTTAATATTACTGAGCATTAACAACATTATTTTTATGGTTCCTCATTTAGAACTACTGGAAGGTTGCAGACTGTTTGGCTGGGTTTTGTATTTAGAACCTATCCAGAATATTGGCTGATGCCACCAAGACCTTTTCCTCACCCACACAAAGATTTTTGCCTTGAATCATGGAATTTGTTTAATAAATTTGGTTTGCATGGTTCATTATAGAGACCTGGGACACAATGGAGGGATAATTGTATTGCAGCCATACCAGAAGGCTTTCAGAATGTATTTCAAATGTATACTGCAAGTGAAGCAGTATCCAAGGAAAAATAAGGAAGTTCCGTGATCCCTAATTGGTACTTACTCATATTTTATTGAAATAAGCAGAAATGTTTGGTTCAGAAAGAGAGAGAGAGAAGACTCATATCTTAGAACTGTCTTGTCTCATGTATGTTGTGAGATCTCAATGCACATGCTTAGTGTAGTTCCTTCTTGCTGCCATCTCTTTCCCCATCTCCTTTCATTTGTAAAAATTCTTCCTAAATTTTTAGAGTACTCTTTCCCTGAGTTTCTCAGGATCCTAAAGTCCTGGTTGTAATGTCTTCCAAGTCATTGTTGCCCCATAACCCAGGCAAGCAAGAGATATGATGAGCTCCTCCTATGTGTTGGGTCTGTGTTTCCAGTACTTCTCAGGGTTGCACCTTAGTACAGTTCACAATTTCTTCTCCCTCTGTTCTGGAAAGGTAATTTTAGAAAGTTTTCTCTCCTAGGCTTGGATCTGTGGACCCCTTCACCTTTCACTGTATTTTTCAAATTGTATTTCTTTGGCACATATTATTAGCCTTTAAATCCTTTAACAATTAGTAGAGCAGAGGTCCAGCCTGGTCTCTGTATATTCACCTACTGGCAGTTCCTTTCACTTATAGTGATTTCACTGTTTTTTTTTTTTATTTTTTTTGAGACGGAGTCTCGCTCTATCGCCTAGGCTGGAGTGCAGTGGCGCGATCTTGGCTCGCTGCAAGCTCCGCCTCCTGGGTTCACGCCATTCTCCTGCCTCAGCCTCCCGAGTAGCTGGGACTACAGGCACCCGCCACCATGCCTGGCTAATTTTTTGTATTTTTTAGTAGAGACGGGGTTTCACCATGTTAGCCAGGATAGTCTCGATCTCCTGACCTCATGGTCCACCCGCCTCAGCCTCCCAAAGTGCTGGGATTACAGGCGTGAGCCACCGTGCCCGGCCTGATTTCACTGTTTTATACATAGGATATTTTAGACATGAATACTATCAGTAATAATTGCTAATACATATAGCATTTACTATTAGTTACCATTCTAAGCTCTTCATATATATTAAGTCATTTAATCCTCAAAACCTTATGAGTTGCATATTATTATTATCCTCATTTTTGTGGATGAGGACATTGAAGCATAGAAAGGTTAGATAACTTGCCTGAGATCATACAGCCAGCAAGAGGTAGAGTCATCCCCAAGTCTGTGTTCTTAATACTGTACAATACTTAGCTGTCTTTACAATCTTGATTTTTTTTTTTTTTTTTTGAGACAGGGTCACGCCCTGTTGCCCATGCTGGAGTGCAGTGGCACAATCATGGCTCACTGCAGCCTCAACCTCCTGGGCTCAAACTATCCTCCCACCTCAGCTACCTGAGTAGCTGGGACTCCAGGCGTGCACCATCACACCTGGCTAATTTTTAAAATTTTTTTGTAGAGACAGGGTCTCACTATGTTGCTCAGGCTCAACCTTGAATGTTTGTTGCTGTTTCATTTTTGTGAGGTTTCACATTTGTTATCTTCTATAGCTTCAACACATTCCTGAGGAATAGATATTTTCCTGTTTTACATTCAGGGAAGCAGACAAAGAAGTTAAGTAATTTGCCTAATCCAGGGGTGTCAATCTTTTGGCTTCCCTGGCCCACACTGGAAGAAGAAGTGTCCTGGGCCACACATAAAATACATTAACGATAGCTGATGAGCTAAGGAATAAAAAACAAACAAACTCATAATGTCTTAAAAAAGTTTACGAATTTGTATTGCGCTGCATTCAAAGCCGTCCTGGGCTGCATGTGACTCACGAGCGACAGGTTGGATAAGCTTGGCCTAATGCTTCCTGGTTGCTTACTTTAGCCATTAGATCACATGATCTTCCCTGCACAAAATTGTTTGTGTGCATCTTGGCCAAAAGCTTGGGGGGAAATGACTTAAATAGTGTTGCTTCTGGGGAATACCTGTGTCACAGGTTTCTACTTGTTTGGTCGCAGTAGGGATTTTGATTGGCCTCCCTGCAGTTAAGGCCTCTGAGTTGGTTTTCTTGCCAAGCAAGCAGTAAGTGCCTTCTGTCAAGAAAACAGAAACATGTTGTTAGCTATTTTGAACAATGTTAGAAATACATTGCAGTGGGAAGGAGCTGCCTCTGACTTCTGCCCACTTCTTGAAATATTTTAAGGCTAGCCGTTTGGAAACTTTATCATTCTCCAGTGTAATCACAGGGAGACTGTGCTTCCCCCAAAGCTGAGATTTCAGGGGCCTTGTAGCAATGGACAAATTACAGGTGATTTTGGTTTGTTTGTTTATTTTTAATGATCTCTGGTTCTCTGTTTGCTAGCTTATACTGCAGCTTCCAGCTGCTTTAAGTAGACTGTGAGCAAGTGATTCTCATTCTTGTAGATTCTGCCTTCTCATTTCTGTTCTGCCTGCTGTGCTGTTGTCCTCCCTAGGTTATTCATACAGTTAAGATATTGTATTCAGTTGCTGCTGAGTGTGCTCAGAGATAGCTTCAAATATGAATTTTTATCTGGGAGAATTCCAGTTCTCCTCCCATTTGCTCCTATGTGTTTCTTTTCTTCCTTTTGTTCTCCAGAGCCAGTTGTACAAGTTTAAACTACTGAAGTGATCAAACTGTAGTACCAATTATCAGCAGTATTTATTCAGAGGCTTTTTTTTTTAAAAGAAACAGAGTCTCATTCTGTTGCCCAGGATGGAATGCAGTGGTACAATCTTTAGCTCACTGTAGCCTTGAATTCCTGGGCTCAAATGATCCTTCCGCCTTAGCCTCACAAGTAGCTAGGACAACAGGCACACGCCACCACACTTGGCTAATTTATAAAAAAAATTTTTGTAGAGACAGAATCTCAATGTGTTACCCAGGCTGGTCTCAAAACTCCTGGCCTCAAGCGATCCTCCCACCTCAGCCTCCCAAAGTCTGGGATTACAGGTTTTTTTGTTTTTTGGCTTTTTTTTTTTTTTTGAGACGCCCTCTGTAGCCCAGGTTGGAGTGCAGTGGTGCAATCTTAGCTCACCACAGCCTCTGCCTCCCAGGCTATAGCAATCCTCCCACCTCAGCCTCCCAAGTAGCTGGGACTACAGGCACATACCACCATGTCTGGCTATATTTTTGGTACATTTTTGTAGAGACAGGGTTTCACTATGTTGCCCAGGCTGGTCTCGAACTCCTAAGCTCAACCCATCTGCCCACCTCAGTTTCTCAAAGTGCTGGGATTACAGGTGTGAGCCACCATGCCTGGCCTTTTTTAAAAATTAAATCACTCCTACACAAATCTCAGGAAACAACATGGCATCTTGTATCTTACAAAAATCGCAGAAATGGGCCTGGCGCAGTGGCTCATGCCTGTAATCCCAGCACTTTGGGAGGCCGAGACGGGCAGATCACCTGAGGTCAGGAGTTTGAGATCAGCCTGGCCAACACGGTGAAACCCCGTCTCTACTAAAAATACAAAAATTAGCCAGACATGGTGGTGGGCACCTGTAATCCCAGCTACTTGGGAGGCAGGGGCAGGAGAATTGCTTGAGCCTGGGAGACAGAGGTTGCAGTGAGCCAAGACTGCGCTGTTGCACTCCAGCCTGGGCGACAAGAGCAAAACTGTCTCAAAAATAAAAAATAAATCACAAAAATGTTTTGTTAAAATTAGCAGTAATTTTACTGGCTCTTCAAGACATTTTCTTTCCTATTAAATTCATCTTACTGAGTAGATAAATGAGATAAGGCTTATAAAGATCTTGAAATATGGCCAGGCGCGATGGCTCACACCTGTATTCCCAGCACTTTGGGAGGCCAAGGCGGTGGATCACTTGAGGTCAGGAGTTGCAGACCACCCTGGCCAATGTGGCAAAACCCCATCTCTACTAAAAATACAAAAATTAGCTGGGTATGGTGGCGTGCACCTGTAATCCCAGTTACTTGGGAGGCTGAGGCAGGAGAATGGCTTGAACCTGGGAGGTGGAGGTTGCAGTGAGCTGAGATCATGCCACTGCACTCCAGCCTGGGAGACAGAGCGAGACTCCATCTCAAAAAAAAAGATCCTGAAATATGGTAAGTACTCAGTGTGTTTTAGCTATCATTATTGTATTTGTTTCCCTTTCTGGCTTTAACTGTTGACTTCCTAATCCTTCCTTTCTCTTAAGAGATAGAGTCCACTATAAAACTTGTATTTGGTTATACTGTATGTCAGAGGCACTTCCTATCCTTGTTTCTACCCACCACTTCTACCACATAGGCTTGTAAAGTGCATCTCCACCAGCATAACATTCTAAAGCCCATCATTCCACAGCAACTGTGTTATAAAACAGTGACAGGTATAGGCATTCTATGATATCTGGACTTTTATATGTAGCAACCCTATAAATCAAGAAATATTTCATTTGTAGAAAGAGTTCTGCTACCTAAAAAAAAAAAAGAGTTTGAAAACTATTGCCTTAAATCTTGGACCTGACAGTATTGAATTATTTTTAGTTTGTGGGCAGGATAAGGAAAAGTAAACCAATGTTTAAATATTTGAACTTGTTAGAAATGAACAAAAAGAATCCATGGTAGTTAATTTTTCTTTTTTACCCTAAACTTTTAAAAATACTGCATTTCCTCCCTTCTTCAGATTATCCAGATAGGACTTAGGTTATTTTTATCTCAGACCCAAGGGAGAATGACCTGGATAAAGTACTCCTGGACATCTCCCAGTGATTGAAGTTACATACATATATATAGGACATCTGCTCATAGCCCAGCATGTAAGATTTTGGTATTGAACTTTCCAGTCTAAGAATATCCTTCAGATGAGAACATGTAGAGAGAGAGAGAAAAGAAAAAGAGAGTATCTTAAGGGCAGGTAGCAGTGAGATGCACAGTAATGAGTCAGTATGTGGTATCAGAATTTATCTCTATTATCAGGGTTATTAACAGTGCATCAGCATTGTACATTGCTCAATTTTTGTTTGCTTTCATGTAATAAAAGAAATTATTGATTCTAATGAGCCATCGTATTCTGTTCTTTTACTTGATTGGTCCCACTTTTTTTCTACCCTAACATCTACTTCCAGCAGAAGTGTGGCTTCCAGTTGTTCCATGGAGGCACCTTCAGGGACTACTTCTGGGAAAGGCAGCTGGAGCTAGAACAGGCAGAAGGGGTTCAGCTAGAGCAGATCTGACTTATCTGTTCCAAATAAGATTTTATTTGAACATACAGTTTAAAACTTACTGTAGTAGAACATGTAAATAATGTGTTGACTTATTGCCCTCATGGGCTAAACTGGAACTTGGATCTCACATTCTTTGGATGAGGAATGAGATTGTATTACTCTTCAGAGTTAATCAGCATTCCAGAGGCTTTAGGCTCTATTTTGGATTGAAGCTTACTACCTTGAAATAACTGATTTTTTTTTTTTTTTTTTTTTTTTTTTTGAGACAGAGTTTTACTCTTGTTGCCCAGGCTGGAGTGCAGTGGTGTGATCTCGGCTCACTGCAACCTCTGCCTTCTGGGTTCAAGAGATTCTCCTGCCTCAGCCTCCTGAGTAGCTGGGATTACAGGTGTCCGCTACCACACCCAGCTAATTTTTTGTATTTTTTAGTAGAGACAGGGTTTCACCATGTTGGCCAGGCTGGTCTTGAACTCCTTGACCTCAGGTGATCCACCCACCTCGGCCTCCCAAAGTGCTGGGATTAGAGGCGTGAGCCATCGTGCCTGGCTGAAAGAACTGATTCTAATACGTAGCCAAATTCTTTGTTACAAAGGTTGGTATGTTATTAGAAATTACCTAACATTGAGCCTCTGGAGCTTCTGCCCTGAAAGTTGAGCTATGCAGTTTCAGCAGGTACAAGATCTACCCCAGACACAAGAGGCGCTATGCCAGGACCGATGGGAAGGTTTTCTAGTTCCTTAGTGCAAAATGCGAGGGCATTACTTTCTTTCTTTCTTTTTTTTTTTTTTTTTTTGGAGTCTTGCTCTGTTGCCCAGGCTGGAGTGCAGTGGCGTGATCTCGGCTTACTGCCATCTCCGCCTCCCGCGTTCAAGCAATTCTCTGCCTCAGCCTCCTGAGTAGCTGGGATTACAGGCGCCTGCTACCACATCCGGCTAATTTTTGTATTTTTAGTAGAGACAGGGTTTCACCTTGTTGGCCAGGCTGGTCTTGAATTCCTGACCTCATGATCCACCTGCCTCGGCCTCCCAAAGTGCTGGGATTATAGGCGTGAGCCACTGTGCCTGGCCAAGGGCATTCCTTTCTAAGGAATCCTTAGCAAATAAACTGGTCCTCTACAGAAGAAAGCATAAAAAAGGGACACTTGGAAGAAATTCAAAAGAAAAGAACCTGCTGAGCAGTCAAATTCCAGAAGGCCATTACTGGTGCATCTCTTGCTAATATAGTGGCCAAGAGGAATGAGAAACATGAAGTTAAAAAGGCTCAATGAAAACAAGCTAGCAGGGCTGCTAAGGAAGCAAAAAAGGCTAAGCTAGCATCTGAAAAGACCGCAATGGCTGCTGCTAAGGCAGCATCTACACAAAAGATGGTGAAGCCTGTGAAAGTGTCAGCTCCCCGAGGTGGTTCAAAACACCAAGTTGGCAGATCAGATTCTTAAAGATTGGACTGTAGAAAAATATAAATTATATTACCTAACATTTGAATAACGTATTTTAGTTTTTCAGAGGACACGTGGCAGGTTATATTGTGCTATAGAGCCTCTTCCACAAATACATTCAGTAATTAAAACAAAAAACACCAAACTCTCAACTTACACAAAGCTTAATTGATAACTTATTAAGAAAATTTCAGATTCTATTGCAATCATTCAATCTCAAGGTGCTTTCAGGATCCATAAGTGAGAAGAAAGGTTTAATGTAGCATAGTGCCAAGTTTTGCATTACTCATATTTTCTTCTAGCGTTGTTACTATCTGGCATTCATTTCTTAACCCTAGAGGTCTTCTGGTTATTAAAAAAAAAAAAAAAACCTGTGGGAGTTTTTTGCTTCTGAAGTTTGTTTTTTTGTTTGTTTGTTTGTTTGTTTGTTTGTTTTTTTGAGACGGAGTCTCACTCTGTCGCCCAGGCTGGAGTGCAGTGGCGTGATCTCGGTTCACTGCAAGCTCTGCCTCCCGGGTTCAGGCCATTCTGCTGCCTCAGCCTCCTGAGTAGCTGGGACTACAGGCGCCCGCCACCATGCCAGGCTAATTTTTTATATTTTTAGTAGAGATGGGGTTTCACCATGTTAGCCAGGATGGTCTTGAGCTCCTGACCTTGTGACCCACCTGCCTCGGCCTCCCAAAGTGCTGGGATCAGAGGCATGAGCCACTGCGCCTGGCCGCTTACGAGGTTTTTTAAAATACACATTTCATTTTCAATTAAGGCAGATTTAGAATATAGCATAAACACAGAGAAAGTAAACATTTAGACAATTTCAGTGTTTTTCCTACTTAATACTCTGGAACCAGACTGCTTATTTTTGGATCCCTGCTGTGTACTTAACAGCTGTGTGATCTTGGGCCATTTGTTTTGTATGCATGGTGTATAGGGCATATGCGGGAGTGATAGGAAACAAGAATGGGGCCGGGTGCAGTAGTTCACGCCTGTAATTCCAGCACTTCGAGAGGCCAAAGTGGGTGGATTACTTGAGGTTAGGAGTTTAAGACCAGCCTGGCCAATATGGCGAAACCCTGTCTCTACTAAAAATACAAAAATTAGCCAGGCATGGTGGCGCACACCTGTAATCCCAGCTACTTGGGAGACTGAGGCAGGAGAATCCCTTGAACCCGGGAGGCAGAGGTTGCAGTGAGCCAAGCGCCCCTGCACTCCAGCCTGGGCAACAGAGCGAGACTCCATCTCAAAAAAAGAAATGAGTCGAAAGGTAGGCGTAATCAAGACAATAAATAGTCTTGTGTAACATGCAAGAGTTTGAACTGTACGTGGATGGGAAGCCACTGAAGAATTATAAGCAAGGGAATTACACCATTACATTGTGCTTTAAAATATTTTTCAAGTACCATTTGGAAGAGGTGAGTTACAGTAAGGCAAGAATGGAGTCGATAAGTGAGTAATGATGCCTCTCCTACAAGATAGCATGAAGATGACAGGAGAGACAAGATGCCTGAGCTAGGGAATAGGATTAGGGATGAAGGGATGAATTTGAGAGATGTAAGCGTTAAGTGCAGTGTGGCTAAGACTCATCGACTATGGAGGAGAAGGAGGAAGAATCCAGATTGAGTTCTGTCTTGGATAGCTATCTTTACTCTGATGCAGTTATCCAATATAGGAGTTTTAGAGGATAGGAAAGGGGTAGAATATAAGTTTGCAACTGAAGGGCATGTGAGTAAATTATATGCAGTAGGAACTGGAGCTTAAAATAGATATCGAGTTTGAAATTATGCATTTTGATGGTACTTGGACCCATAGAAGTAGAGGAATTTATAGGACTAAGGTGAGGGGTAAAAAGGAATTAGAACAGAATCTTTGGAACTCTGAAGATGGAAAGAGTGGCTAGGGAAAGAAAGAACCAGAACTATTACACTGATAAAACTTTTACTATTTACAGCCTCTTTCCTCCTTCTTCCCTGTGTCTTTAACATGAGACTAAAGCCAGGAAAGGATTGGGTCCCAGGAAACCAAGCAGGGCTTTTACACTGGTTAGGATACTTGATGGAACTTTTCACTACAGAATGCAAAACTCTACACTCTAAACAGTTGCTGCTCCCCAACTGAAAACTCCTACTCTGGGAAAATGTCTACACTGTACCTTTATTCACATTAGTCTTGCCTTGACATTGTCTGTTACTCCTGTGCAGTTATGACCACAATCATTATTCTTTTTTTTTTTTTTTTTTTTTTGAGACGGAGTCTTGCAGCAATGCCCTGGCTGGAATGTAGTGGTGCCATCTCGGCTCACTGCAACCTCTGCTTCCCAGGTTCAAGCAACTGTCCTGCCTCAGCCTCCCGAGTAGCTGGGACTACAGGCACTTGCCACCACGCCCAGCCAATATTTGTATTTTTAGTAAAGACATGGTTTCACCATATTGGCCAGGCTGATCTTGAACTCCTGACCTCAAGTGATCCATCCATTTCAGTCTTACAAAGTGCTGGGATTACAGGTGTGAGCCACTGTGCCCAACCAACATTAATTCTTTTTTTTTTTTTTTTTTTTTTTTGAGACGAGTCTCGCTCTGTTGCCCCAGGCTGGAGTGTAGTGGCATGATCTCGGCTCACTGCAACCTCACCTCCTGGCTTTGAACGATTCTCCCACCTCAGCCTCCCGAGTAGCTGGGATTACAGGTAACTGCTATCATGCCCAGCTAATTTTTGTATTTTTATAGAGATGGGGTTTCACCGTGTTGGCCAGGCTGGTCTTGAACTCCTGACCTCAGGTGATTTGCCTGTCTCAGCCTCCCAAAGTGCTGGAATTACAGGTGTGAACCACCACGCCCAGCCCAATATTCATTCTTATGAGTACTCTGATGCAATTTCTAGCCCATGTATTACCAAAGATCAGATATTCACTATATATAGTAATAGTTACATAACAATGTCCAAAAAAGGTGTTTAATAGAAAGGAGAATTTTTTTTAACTTTTATTTTAAATTCAGGGGTACATATGCAGGTATATTGCATAGGTAAACTTGTATCATAGGGTTTGTTATACCGATTATTGCATCATCCAGGTATTAAGCCTGGTACCCATTAGTTATTTTTCCTGATCCTCTCCCTCCTCCCACCCTCCACCCTCTGATAGGCCCTAGTGTGTGTTGTTCCCCTCTATGTGTCCGTGTGTTCTCATCATTTAGCTCCCGCTTATAAGTGAGAACATGTGGTATTTGGTTTTCTGTTCCTGTGTTAGTTTGCTAAGGATAATGGCCTCTAGCTCCATTCATGTCCTGGCAAAGGACATGATCTTATTCATTTTTCTGACTGCAGAAAGCAGAATTTATAATCTGAGTAATGCCATAAGATATATAAATAGCGGAAAAATAACTTTACTTATTGATAGACAAATTCTTTATGCTGGAATATTTTTATGTTTTCTAGACTAGTGAGTGTGGAGTAATTAGCAATATGAGGTTCAAAGTTTGGGTAAAAGATTTATTTTTGTCTTGGTTTTATTTATTTATATAATATATATATGATATGTATATATAGTATATGTATGAATTTATTTGTAGCTCTGAAGATGGCTGTGGTAGATATCTATCATTCCAGGTTAAAGGAGAGACAAAGACGAAAAAAGTAAGTATAAAAAACCATCCTGGCCTCCTTTCAGCTTTGGATTATTGTTTTGTGTGTGTGTGTGTGTGTGTGTGTGTGTGTGTGTGTCTGTGTCTGTGTCTGTGAGAGAGGCAAGGTCTCACTCTGTTGCCCAGGCTGGAGAGCAGCAGCACAATAATGGCTCACTGCAGCCTCAACCTCTCAGGCTCAATTGATTCTCCCACCTCAGCCTCCTGAGCATGTGGGACTACAGCAGTGCGCCACCATGCCTGGCTAATTTTTTGTATTTTTTGTAGATACGGGGTTTTGCTGTGTTGGCCAGGCTGGTCTCAAACTCCTGGACTTAAGTGATCCTCCCTCCTCAGCTCCCAAAGTGTTAGGATTGCAGGCATGAGCCACTGTGCCTGGCCTCAGCTTTGAGTGATTGACCACATATAGTCCATGAGAGAATGCTCCACTTGTGACTCATCTTTTGACCTTGGAGAAGACTCTTACCCTCCTTAGACCTCAATTTTTCCTTCTCTCAATTGAGGATAGTAATTCCTGTGTTATTTTTATATCCTCTGCCCTTATCCTTTATTGACGTTATGATGAACAATGAATAATATGGGTACACTGTTTTAAGCTATTTGAAGTAAAAGAACAAGATAAAATAAAGGCATCAAGACAGTATTGTTACACTTTTTTTTTTTTAATATTTGTGAATCATTCTTTGCTTTTGTCTTTTTTTTTTTGAGATGGAGTCTCGTTCTGTCACCCAGGATGGAGTGCAGTGGCGTGATCTCAGCTCACTGCAAGTTCTGCCTCCTGGGTTCATGTGATTCTCCAGCCTCAGCCTCCCAAGTGGCTGGGACTATAGGTGTGCACCACCACGCCTGGCTAATTTTTGCATTTTTAATAGAGATGGAGTTTTGCCATGTTGTCCAGGCTGGTCTTGAACTCCCCACCTTAAGTGATCCATCCCCCTCTGCCTCCCAAAGTGCTGGGATTACAGGCGTGAGCCACCGTGTTCAACCTTTTTTTTTTTTTGTTAAATAAGAGACAGAGTCTCACACTTACTCTGTCACCCAGGCTGGAGTGCAGTGTCACTATCATGGCTCACTGCAGTCTCCAACTCCTGGGCTCAAACAATCCTCCCACCTCAGCCTCCCAAGTAGTTAGGACTACAGGTGCGCACCACCACACTTGGCTAATTTTAAAACCTTTTTCTTTTTTTAGACTGGGCGCGGTGGCTCACACCTGTAATCCCAGCACTTTGGGAGGCCGAGGCTGGTGGATCACCTGAGGTCAGGAGTTCAAGACCAGCCTGACCAACATGGTGAAACCCTGTCTCTACTAAAAATACAAAAATTAGCTGGGGGTGGTGGTGCATGCCTGTAGTCCAAGCTACTCGGGAGGCTGAGGCAGGAGAATTGCTTGAACCTGGGAGACGGAGGTTGCAGTGAGCCAAGATCACACCACTGCACTCCAGCCTGGGCGACAGGGTGAGACTCCGTCTCAAAAAAGAAAAAAAACCTTTTTTTTTTTTTTTGAGACAGGGTCTCACAATGTTGCCTGGGCTGGTCCTGAACTCCTAGACTCAAGGCATCCTACTGCCTTGGCCTCCCAGAGTGCTGGAATTACAGGTGTGAGCCACTGCACTCGGACTGTTAGGCTTTTTTATTTTATTTTTATTTTTTATTTTATTATTATTACTTTTGAGATGGTCTTGCTCCGTCACCCAGGCTGGAGTGTAATGGCGCGATCTCAGCTCACTGCAGCGTCTGCCTCCTGAGTTCAAGCAATTATCGTGCCTCAGCCTCCCAAGAAGCTGGGACTACAGGCACGTGCCATCATGCCCAGCTAATTTTTTATTTTTAGTAGAGACACAGTTTCCCCATGTTGGCCAGGCTGGTCTCAAACTCCAGGCCTCAGGTGATCCGCCCACCTCAGCCTCCCAAAGTGCTGGGATTACAGGCATGAGCCACTGCCCCCAGCCCTATTGTGCTTTTTTAATGTTCTCTTTCTAACTGTTCATTTTTTAATGAGAAGTCTTTCATCTAAAAGGATTTCAAAGAAATTCTGAACAAGTTTCAGGCATACTGGTTCTTCCTCTCTTTGCAACATATCAAAAAGTATACATTCAGACTTAGAAATTATGGATCTCAGACCTCTGTTGGTTTCAGAGAAGAGTATGCAGAGGGTATAAGTGTGCATGTGTGTGTATGTATGTGTAGGCATGTATTTACTGTGATGTTACTAACTGTAGACACAGTGATATCTCAGCAATAAAAAGGAGAGAAGCCAGGTGTGGTAGCATGAACCTCTGGTCCTAGCTACTTGGGAGGCTAAGGTGAGAGGATGACTTGAGCCTAGGAGTTCAAGGCCAGTCTGGGCAACCTAGGAAAACCCCATCTCTTAAAAAAAAAAGCAAAAGAAAAAAAAGGGACTTGAGATTCACTCTGGAGGAACTAAGATGTGATCTAAAGCAGCAGTCCTCAACCTTTTTGGCATCAGGGAGTGGTTTCATGGAAGACTGTTTTTCCATGGATGGCTGGGGGCAGGAATGGTTTTGGGATGAAACTGTTCCACCTCAGATCATCAGGTATTGGTTAGATTCTCATAAGGAGCACACATCCTAGATCCTCCACGTGAGCAGTTCACAATAGGGATCGCGCTCCTGTGAGAATCTAATGCTGCCGCTCCTCTGACAGGAGGCAGAGTTCAGACGGTAAAGCTGCTCACCTGCTGTGCAGCCTGGTTCCTAACTGGTCCATGGCCCAGGGGTTGGGAACTCCTGATCTAAAGTAAAACTTACTCTCTGCATGTCTGGAGTTAGCTTCCATGAAATGCTGAAGAAGCATACCCAGTTGCTCCTATGAGAAGCTTCATTGCTAGTTATGAATACCTCTGGTATAAATCAGATTCAAGACACATAACTTTGCCTGGTTTAAATTCTCTTTTGCTTAAAACACAATTCGAGCTAGAGAGTACTGTAGAACTCAGTTGCTGATGTTGCTATCAAATCTTTTGTTTTATAATGCCCTTTCATTAAACATGCACAATATTTATTTCTAGTACCGCCAGTGTTGTGTGAATGCACAGTTGAAAATGTTGAATATGTGATCATGGTGCCCTTTAGCAGATTTCTCTAAAATGGCTGTTCTCAATTATTTCCACAAGCTGAATAGATTAACTTTATGACATGGACAGAGATTCCTTTCGGTTTCATCTTAAGTGACAGACATGTGTTTTTCAGCATTTGTGAGTGGTTATTGATTGATTCATTCGTTCAGCAAATAGTCATGGAGAGTCTACTATGCCCAACAAGAGGAAAAACCCGTGATGCCTGAGAGTCTAAAATTGGGTTAGTGATTCACTGACCTGCAGAAATTTGTGGGAGTGACTTCTTTGGACCTCTGTATTGTATTCCACCTCAGCATGTTTATGTCTGATGATAGCTATATGTGTAAAGCATTAGTAAATGTGAAAATAATTCTAATGCACAAATTATTGTGGCTTTTCATTCTAGAATTATAAGAGACCATGGATTAATCAACCTTAGAAAGTTTCAATGTAAGTATTAGCAGTTTTCTTTATTTTACAATTTTTTTCCAATATTATTGAATAATTTTAAATAAATCACGTATTGTAGTTCTTAATCCAAGTTGCATATTAGCCTGGCTATCACTCCAGACTAATGAAGTAAGAATCTCTGGGGTTGGAGGCACAGCACCTGCATTTTTAAAAAGTCTTCAGGGCAATTCTGATCCATAGTGAGAGTTTAAAGTATTAATTTGGGGCCAGGCGCGGTGGCTCTTGCCTGTAATCCCAGCACTTTGGGAGGCTGAGGTGGGCAGATCACGAGGTCAGGAGATCAAGACCATCCTGGCTAACATGGTGAAACCCCATCTCTACTAAAAATACAAAAAAAAAATTAGCCAGGCGTGGCGGCATGCACCTGCAATCCCAGCTACTCAGGAGGCTGAGGCAGGAGAATCACTTGAACCCAGGAGGTAAAGGTTGCAGTGAGCCGAGATCACGCCAGTGCACTCCAGCCTGGGCGATAGAGCAAGACTTAGTCTCAAAAATAAATAAATAAATAAGCAAATAAATAAATGTATTAATTTGTAGTCAATAAAACTTGTATTAAAATTCTTTTTTAAAAATTTGTATAGTAATTACAGTGTGAATATTAATGAATAATTTTCTGGATAGAGTCATGTTTTGCAACTATGTGTTAAGCATAACATAACCTTAATCTTCAGGTTGTAAAAATATTTTAGATAAATAACAGAAAGTGATCTTTATTTTGGATGGTTATAGACAGACAAAATAAATGATATTTAATATTATATGACGGTGATAAAAATACATATAGTGATTTTTAAAATAAATGCCACCTTTGACCTTACTGTGGTTTTTTGTTGTTGTTTGTTTTTTAAGAGACAGGTTCTTGCACTGTTGCCCAGGATGGAGTGCAGTGGTGTGATGGTATCTTGCTGCAGCCTTGAACTCCTGGGTGCAAGTGATCCTCCCACCTCAGCCTCCTTATTACAGGCTCGAGCTATCGTGCCTGGCCTTTATTATTTTAAATATCAGAGATACCTAAGCAGGGCAGAAAAAGTCCCTGTACTTTTTCTTCTTCCACAACATAGAGGCTTCCACAACTAAGAAGGATGATGTCATAATAACAATCACAATGTTTGTATTAAAATATTTGTAATAGTTGTGTGTCATAATATTCTTTTTTTGTAAAGAATAACCTAATGGTTAGGTTTGTACAATAACCTAATGGTTATTGTAAAACATCCCAGTTGATAGATTCTTGTAGGGGTATTTATTTAATAATATATAGCATCGTAGGGTTCAGTCAACAAGGTTAAGTGTCTTTTTAGTGTAAATAAATATCTAGCCAGGCATGGTGGCTTGCACCTATAATCCCAGCTACTTGGGAGGCTGAGGCAGCGGATCACTTGAGCCCAGGAGTTCAAGGCTGCAGTGAGCTATAATCATGTCACTGCACTCCAGCCTGGGCAACAGAAAATCTATATTTTTTAAAAATATAGCCATCATCATAAGTATGTTACATTTTAGGTCCTTTATTATTTATTTATTTTTTGAGACAGGGCCTCACTCCAGTTGTCCAGGCTGGAGTGCAGTGGCTCAGCTCACTGCAGTCTCCGCCTCCCAGGCTCAGGTGATTCTCCCACCTCAGCCTCCCAAGTAGCTCCATCTCTACTAAAAAATAAAAAAAATTAGCCAGGTGTGGTGGCAGGCGCCTGTAGTCCCAACTACTCAGGAGGCTGAGGCAGGAGAATCGCTTGAACCCGGGAGGCGGAGGTCGCAGTGAGCCAAGATCGTGCTACTGCTCTCCAGCCTGGGCGACACAGCGAGACTCCGTCTCAAAAAAAATAAAAAGGTAAGCTAGGAAAAAAAAAAATAGCTGTCATAAATGAAAGTCTGTATCGTTAGTCCAAGAGTAGATAGAACTAACCTAATTACTGATTGAAACGACCCAAGTAGCAGTTCGAGAGTTACTGACTGCTCCAATCTACCAGTTATTGTTAGTCAGTTTTACTCTCCATCTTCTTTGCAGATACATCTTTGGATTAGTTGTTTGGTCAGTAGTGATCCCCAGAGTTGCTGCTCTGGTGTCTCTGCATGATATTTGCATGACAGTTGTCAAATAAAACTTCATTAGCAGTAAATTAAGTTGTAGTAGTTAATTTAGTTTGGAGAAAGGCAAAATGACCCATATGAAGGATGAAAAAAATACTTACCTTGCTTGAGGATGTGTAGGTGGGACATGCAAGAAATCACACTTTTTCTCAGCTAATGGGAAATCTTCTGGATGGATTATTTTGTCTGTAGCTTCTTTGTTTTCCTGTGGGAGTTAATACCATAAATTTTGGCCATAATTCTTCCTAAGAATGTAAGATCTGCCTTTAATTGTCTCGTCCATTACTGCCAGCAGTTCCTGCCCCTGTGTAGTTTAAAAGACAGTGAGGTGGCCGGGCGCGGTGGCTCACACCTGTAATCCTAGCACTTTGGGAGGCCGAGGCGAGCAGATTGCCTGAGCTCAGTAGTTCAAGACCAGCCTGGCCAACATGGTGAAACCTCGTCTCTACTAAAATACAAAAAATTAGTCGAGCATGGCGGTGTGCCTGTAATCCCAGCTACTTGGGAGGCTGAGACAGGAAAATTGCTTGAACCTGGGGAGGCAGAGGTTACAGTGAGCTGAGATCACACCACTGCACTCCAGCCTGGGCCACAGAGCAAGACTCCATCTCAAAAAAAAAAAAAAAGACAGTGAGGTGGCTGGGCGCGGTGGCTCATGCATGTAATCCCAGCACTTTGGGAGGCCGAGGCGGGTGGATCACCTGAGGTCAAGAGTTCAAGACCAGCCTGGCCAATGTGGTGAAATTCCGTCTCTACTAAAAATTCAAAAATTAGCTGGGTGTAGTGGCGGGCGCCTGTAATCCCAGCTACTTTGGGAGGTTGAGGTAGGAGAATTGCTTGAATCCAGGAGATGGAGGTTGCAGTGCGCCGAGATCACCCCAACGCACTCCAGCCTGGGAGACAGAGCGAGACTCCATCTCAAAAAAAAAAAAGACAGTAGATGTGGGAGATGAGTAGTGCTCAGTGGTGGAGATGATCTCCAGTGTTAACAACATCCCTGTGGGATAGTTGCTATGGTGCTGTCATTATGATTAGTGTTTTGCATTCTTGGCTTTCCTGTTTGCTTCCTGTCATGGATAAGTTAGTCATATGAGGTTATGAATAATGTTCTTCCATTTTACTAATTGTAAAAAAAAAAAAATGCTGAAAACTCAGGGATCCTTACATTTCCCATGACACATTTATGTTTTATTTTCTCTGTAGTAATGGAACGGCGGTATCCCAAGGAGGTCCAGGACCTGTATGAAACAATGAGGCGATTTGCAAGAATTGTGGGGCCAGTGGAACATGACAAATTCATTGAAAGCCATGCATGTAGGTGGTTTTTGAGCCTTGAGCAGTATTTGTGTGTGTATATTTATATAAATAGGAGAGATAATGGTGTGTTTTATGTGAAGTTCTATAAATAAATAAATGGATATTTCTCTCTTTGTTCCCCTTTATTACCATGAGACAAATTTGGGACTATGGGGGTGGCAGAAGAGAGGTTAAAAAGCCCTAATGACTTCCCCCATTGCCCCAGATAAACAATAATTTAGTAGTTTTTCTCCCTACTTTGTATCATGGGAACTTTCAAATATATATAGAAGTAGAGATAATAATATGATGAACTCCCGTGTATCCATCATCCAGCTTCAGCAGTTTTCAACACATGGCCAGTCTGGTTTCATCTTTACCACTCACTCTTCCCTCCTGCCCTCAACTGGATTATTCTGAAGCAAATCCCAGACATCATTTTATTTTGTTCATAAATATTTTAGTATTAAAAGTAGTTTTAAAAATGAGGACAGAGATGGATAGCTTGTGGAGATAGTACTTCCATCGATCTCTTGCCTTTCTGTGGTATTTCTGTGAGAGCTCTACATAGTTACCATTTGATTTTTCACTATAAAAAATTAAAAGTTGTTATGAGGCCGGGCGTGGTGGCTCACACCTGTAATCCCAGCACTTTGGGAGGCCAAGGCAAGAGGATTGCTTGAGTCGAGGAGTTCGAGACCAATCTGGGCAACATAGTAAAACTCCATCTCTACAAAAATACAAAAGTTAGCCAGGCATGGTAGTGCACACCTGTAGTCTCAGCTACTTTGGAGGCTGAGGTGGGAGGATTGCTTGAACCCGGGTAGCCGAGGTTGCGGTGAGCTGAGATCACACCACTGCACTCCAGCCTGAGCGACAGAGTGAGACCCTGTTTCAAAACAAAATATGTTGGTATGGCAGTAAGGCCTAGATTGTTAAAATAATATGGACTCTGGCTTGTTCTGTACCTTTCATCATGACATTTGTGTATGTGGCTTCTAAGTTTAGTTCTGGGAAGGTAGTCTACTAAGGCCCTTATTCTCACCGTGAAAATATTTCTTACATAGCATTGCAGACATTTATCTGAGCCAGGTTGGTTGTCCTCACCAAACACCTTGTTTGGTTAGCATTCTTTGTGTGGTTTGTACCAGGTGACTGATCCTTTACTTCCTGTCCCAGTTTGGGACACACCCCTGGTTTATGTGTCATTCCAAAACACTACACCCCATGGATTGTCCAGGCTCTTCCTTCATTCTCTGTTTCAAAAGCAGCCAAATTAGAATGATTTGTAGAACTTTTAATAGAAGATAGTTAGAGCAGGGAAACTTGGTTGTTAAAAAAATTATATTTTGCCCAGTGCGGTGGCTCATTCCTATAATGCCAGCTACTTTGGAAGGCCGAGGCGGGTGGATCACCTGAGGTCAGGAATTCGAGACCAACCTGGCCATCATGGCAGAACCCCATCTCTACTAAAAATACAAAAATTAGCCGGGTGTGGTGGTAGATGCCTGTAATCCCAGCTACTCAGGACGCTGAGGCAGGGGGAATTGCTTGAACCCGGGAGGTGGAGGTTGCAGTGAGCCGAGATCATGCCATTGCAGCCTGGGCGACAGAGCGAGACTCTGTCTCAAAAAAAGAAAAAAAAAATTGTTACTTTTGTAGACAAATGAATTTAACCATTTCACTAAGTTTTCTAGAAGACAGTTCCAGCTGCTGCATCTGGAGACAGCAGCTGGAAGATAGCTGGAGTAGGTTTTCCTCAGCTCTTGGGTAAAATTTCTAATGAGAAGTTACCAACGAGTAGGATTCTCCAAATGAACTTCCCTAGTCTTATAAGGCAGAATTAATGAAAATGCTCAATAGCAAAAGTGCTCACTAATGTTGCTTTTGTTTTTGTAATTTTTTCCTTCATTCCTTTTGGGGAAAACAGTGGAATTTGAACTCCGAAGGGAAATCAAGAGGCTCCAAGAATACAGGACAGCAGGCATTACCAATTTTTGTAGTAAGTATGCTTCAGCTACATACCGTACTTGAGGGCAAGTATCTTCCAGACACACAGAGGAAGTCTCTGAATTGTTGTGAATTTTTTTTTAAAAAACAAGCTTTCCTTTACCAGAATGCTTTAAACCTTTCCAGTAAAGTTTTGGCTATTTAATCCCTATAAATACCTTTGTATAGATTATCTTTGGTACTACAAAAGTTGTGAGACAAAGGAAAGAGAGGTGCTGCTTTAGATTTAGGATTCTGCCGAGGCTCTTTAAAAAAAGGGAATCTTGGGCCGGGTGCAGTGGCTCACACCTGTAATCCCAGCACTTTGGGAGGCCAAGGCAGGTGGGTCACTTCAGTCCAGGAGTTCGAGACCAGCCTGACCAACATGGTGAAACCCTACCTCTACTAAAAATAAAAAAACTAGCCAGGCGTTGTGGTGCACACGTTTAATCCCAACTACTCGGGAGGCTGAGGCACAAGAATCGCTTGAACCTGAGAAGCAGTTGTTGTAGTGAGCCAAGATGGTGCCACTGTACTCCAGCCTGGGTGGCAGAGGGAGATTCTGTTTCAAAAAAAAAAAAAAGGAATTTTATATTTTAGGTGTGTCACCCTTTTCAAATTTAATGATACATGGTCTTAGCATTTTTATAAAATAATGAAGCTTCAACTGGCTCCAGGTGCTTGCATCCCAGTTACTTGGGGTAGTGACAATAATTATATTATTAGCAGCTAACATCTATCAGATATTTACCATGTACCAGTCTCTATGCTAACCATTTCACTTGGATCAAGTCAATGAATTCTCATGACAAACTTATAAAGTACCGTTACTTCCATTTAGTGAAGAAATTAAGGTATAAAGAGGTTACAGAGCTAGTTAGTACTAGAACCAGGTCATAAGAGATAGTGTATTATAGTAGTTAAGAGCTTGGGTCTAGACTTAAAAAGCTTGAGTATAAATTTTGGCTCTCCAGCTTGCCAGCTCTGTGATGTGATTCTATCCAAATTTATTTTTCTTTCCTTTTTTTTTTTTCCCTAGAGACTGACTCTTGCTATGTTGCCCAGGCTGGTCTCAAACTCCTGGCCTCAAGCAGTCCTCCCGCCTAGGCCTCTCAGAGTGCTGGGATTACAGGTGTGAGCAACTGTGCCTGGCCTCTATTCAAGTTTTAATTTTCTAAGGTTCTTAGAGTTAGTGTAAAGATTTAATTAGAGATACTGCATATAAGCATAGCACAGTATCTGGCACACAATAATTCCTCAATAAATGGCAGTTTCTGTTGTTTTGCTGTCATTGTTGAAATGATCTTTAGCATTCCCTCCTTCTTCCTATTTGAAGTTTTTGTGATTATTGATAGTTGTCACCTACTATCTATAAGAAATAGTTGGCTTCTTTTTTTTTTTTATTTGAGACGGAGTCTGGCTCTGTTGCGCAGGCTGGAGTTCAGTGGTGCCATCTTGGTTCACCACAACCTCTGCCTTCTAGGTTCAAGCGAGTCTCCTGCCTCAGCCTCCTGAGTAGCTGGGACTACAGTCATGCACCACCATACCCGGCTAATTTTTTTTTTTGTATTTTTAGTAGAGATGGGGTTTATCCATGTTGGTCAGGCTGATCTCGAACTCCTGACCTCAGGTGATCCACCCACCTCAGCCTCCCAAAGCGCTGGGATTACAGGTGTGAGCCACCACGCCCGGCAATAGTTGGCTTCTTAACACAGCCCTGTGGGTGCAACATAGCCTTATGGATGTAAGTTCAGCCTAGTATAATGGCTCTTTAACAGTGGAAACCATTTTTGAAATTAAATTTTGTGTGAGCCCCAATCTACAAATAAGATAAAAGTGGGCTGGGCACGGTGGCTCACACCTGTAATCCCAGCACTTTGGGAGGCCGAGGCGGGCGGATCACTTGAGGTCCAGAGTTCAAGACCAGCCTGACCAACATGGAGAAACCCCGTGTCTACTAAAAATACAAAATTAGCTGGGCATGGTGGCGCATGCCTGTAATCCCAGCTACTCCGGAGGCTGAGGCAGGAGAATGGCTTGAACCTGGGAGGTGGAGGTTGCTGTGAGCCGAGATCGCGCCATTGCACTCAAGCCTGGGCAACAAGAGCGAAACTCCGTCTCAAAAAAAGATAAAAGTGGAATTACTTTGGTTGAACTTTAATGGTTCAATTTATGTGTAGAGCCCAGGACCCGCCGGTATCTGGCAGTGCCCTTTCTCTTTACATTAACCTCTAAGATACTCTTGTGGTATCCTGGGGCTCTGTGGAACCTAGTTTGAATTTTGAAACCCACTGGTGCAGTATTTTGGAATCTGTGAACCTTTGTTAACATGTAGAAAACACCACGCAGCTCTTCTGTTTAGCAAGATGCATATAGAGACTCTGATAACTAATTTTGGTTTCCTGATATTGGCTGCCTCTAAGAAATATGGAGAAGAGGTACTACATGTCAAAGAGAACTCTTTTTTTGTAATTCTAATTGTTTTTTAAGGAAAGGCATATGCTTATAGCACTTGTGTGACTTTGAAAAAATTTATAAAAATAGAAAAAACAGGAAGCAAATATGACTATAGTAAAAGTTGGTTACTTTTTGAGAGTGGAAATATGAGCAATTCTTACTTTCTTTGTACTTTTCTGTTGGTTTTTTTCCCCTTATTTCTTACAGATAGAAAAGGAATACAAATGTTTAATATTTAATACTTAGTATTAAGAAAAGGATTTCAGACTAGGGAAAATCTACTTGGGTCTTGGAGAAATAATTGTGAAAGCAGTTTTGCAAAGGAAACAGACTTTAAGAACAAAACCCAAAACCGGTTTCTTGGTCAGTTAGGAAGCCCTTCAGTTCTGCTGCATTGTCATTGTGGTCATTGTGTTTTCTATACCCCCAGGTGCCAGAACCTACGATCACCTCAAGAAGACACGGGAGGAAGAGCGCCTTAAACGCACTATGCTCTCAGAAGTTCTCCAGTATATCCAGGACAGTAGTGCTTGCCAGCAGTGGCTCCGCCGGCAAGCTGACATGTGAGTAATTACTCCAGGGTGAAGGAGGCATTCTTTCTGGGATGCCTTGGCCTTCACATATATTTTTGGGCACCCTAGATGGCAGAGTAATAATAATTGAGTAGCTGGAAGAATTCAGAAATATTTTAGCAGTCCATCTCAGAAACAGTGCCATACTGACAGTTTTGAGAAATAACTGACCTCCTAGAATCATACTTTACTACTTTGATCCTATTTTTTAAAATGAGTGTATTTTCCCCCAGCCTTCTACCCATGACTTCAACTCTCTCTTCATACCTAGATTTTCACTGGGGAATCATGTTTGTATCCCTTCCCCTTGAGTGGTGTTAGTGGTGTTCTAGATTACAAGCTCTTCTTAACAAATCTGAGGAATTTTTCTTCCTCAGAACAGATTTTCTTTCCTGCTCAATACAGTGAGATATCTGTAAAACATAGTTCAGTCTATCTCATTACACTTCTTCAAGGTGACCTACCTGATAAATGGCACCCAGTCTCACCGGGGCTTTTGGAAATCACCTTGTTTGATATGACCTAAGTTTAAATTCCTCTTCTTCGTTGTAGTGATTCCGGCCTGAGTCCTTCCATTCCAATGGCTTCGAATTCAGGTAATTATTTCTCAGGCCAGAACAAGTCTTAATTGTGAAGTTTGCATCGTAGGGGTTATAGTGACCCAGCAATCTTCCTTCCTCTGTGGTGTCAGGGTGCTTAGGCAGAGTAACAGTAATCAAGTGTTAGCCCAATATATAAACATCAGTATGTTTTCAGAACCTTCATGGCCAGACAGAGACTATCCTCAGAGTGACAGTATAGAGTATAGACAGTATAGAGACAGGGGAAAAAAGAACTTCAGAGAGGTAACTTCTTTATTTTACCAATGTTCATGAGCAGTTAGTTTACTGCAGTTGTGTCTACCACTAATTTTGAGACTTATTTCACAGGAGATAAATTAAAAGCTTTTTATTTTATTATTTTTTATTTATTTACTTATTTTTTGAGACAGAGTCTCGGTCTGTCGCCCAGGCTGGAGTGCAGTGGTGTGATCTCGGCTCACTGCAACCTCCGCTTCCCGGGTTCAAGTGATTCTTCTGCCCCAGCCTCCCGAACAGCTGGGATTACAGGCATGCACCACCACGCCTGGCTAATTTTTGTATTTTTGGTAGGGACGGTTTTGCCATGTTGGCCAGGCTGGTCTCGAACTCCTGACCTCAAGTGAGGCACCCACCACGGCCTCCCAAAGTGCTGGAATTACAGGCGTGAGCCACCGTGCCCAGCCTAAACTTTTTATTTTTATATAACATGAGCAAAGAAGCATGTTACTTGCCAGAAACATAAGGATTTCTGAGTTAGAGACCTAAAGTATTTCTATTTCTTCGTTTTACCTCTTTGAGTATGTCCTATTTTGAAATTAGTATACAGAGCAAGATTAAGCCATACGCTATCTGATGATCCTTGGTGATTGGTAATCGATGACTGGGAATTGGGGGAGGTATGTCTCAGTAGATTCAGAATCTGGGTCTCAGATTTGTCCGCGTTAGGGACTTTTTTTTTTTTGAGATGGAGTCTCGCTCTGTCACCCAGGCTGGAGTGCAGTGACGCGATCTTGGCTCACTGCAACCTCTGCCTTCCGGATTCAAGCGATTCTCCTGCCTCAGCCTCCCAAGTAGCTGGGATTAGAGGCGCCTGCCACTATGCCCAGCTGATTTTTGTACTTTCAGTAGAGATGGGGTTTCGCCATGCTGGCCAGGCTGGTCTCGAACTGCTGACCTCAGGTGATCTGCCTGCCTCGGCCTCCCAAAGTGCTGGGATTACAGGCATGAGCCACTGCGCCTGGTCACTGAAGGGACTTTTTTTTTTCCCCCATTTATTCCTTTATTTCAAGTGATTTTTTCTTAATATGGAAAGAAGAAAAAGGTATTGTTTTAGGGGAGTGGCTAAGACAGTGAAATCAAAGTTTTATTTTGTAAGTTTCTTACTGCCAACACTCTACCCCCAAAATCTAAATACAACTAAGTTAATACTGGCTAATTAAAATGAAGGAACTGGGTCAGGTGCAGTGGCTCATGCCTGTAATCCCAGCACTTTGAGAGGCTGAGGCGGGCAGATCACCTGAGGTTGGGAGTTTGAGACCAGCCTGACCAACGTGATGAAAACCCATCTCTCCTGAAAAAAAAATATAAAAATTAGCTGGGTGTGGTGGTACACATCTGTAATCCCAGCTACTCCAGAGGCTGAGGCAGGAGAATCGCTTGAATCCGGGAGGCAGAGGTTTCAGTGAGCCAAGATCGCACCATTGCACTCCAGCCTGGGTGACAGAGTTAAGACCATCTCAAAAAATAAATAAATTAATTAATTAAATTAAATGAAGGAACTGGCTAACATGATCATATATTTTTGTTCTCTGTACTATCTGCACTGACTTGTTCATTGTTTCTTTTTTCTTTTTTTGTGAGACAGGGTCTCCCTCTACTATCCAGGCTGGAGTGCAGTATGTGATCATGGCTCACTGTAGCCTCAAACTCCCAGGCCTAAGTGATCCTCCCAGTTCAGCTCCTGAGTGGCTGGGACTACAGGTGAATGCCACCAAACCTGGAGAAATTTTTTTTTTTTTTTTTTTTTTTTTGGTAGAAACAAGGTCTTACTATATCACCCAGGTTGGTCTTGAACTCCTGGGCTCAAGTGATCCTCCTGCTTCAGCCTCCCAAAGTGCTCAGATTACAGGTGTGAGCCTCTGCACCCGGCCTCTTGTTCATTGTTTGTTCCTAGCCTGTGTTAGCCTTTCTCACCCCTTATATTTAGGCTGAGGAGATCTCTTGCTCTCCTTTATGTTCTGAGTTCTTAAGGCAACTATGTATTGGAAGCCTGGCATCTTTGATTGTAGCCTAGCCTCTGGTGACTTTTGTGAGGAACCAAATGGTTTTATCTCCCTTTTTGAGGATTTGGAATAATCCCTTATGCCTTTTGTTGATGTAACAGAGAAGCCTGTTTTCCACCAGTGGAGCTTGTAACAGTCCCTCCCCTTTCTCTGCCCCACTTGAAAAGCAACCTCTATAAAACTTCGACATTTTCTTTGCTTAACTCAGTCTATCCATTCCCAGCTGAATACCAATCCCTAATACACATTCAAAACAAAACCAAAAAAGTTTTGCTCATCAAGCTTCCCCTCCTGGCCAGTGACCTCCTACTTGGGTTTCTTTCTCAGGTGTGTGAGTTGACCTCAGCCCCTGCTTTGCCATATAATGGCTCATTGTTCCTGTTTGTGGATCTTGCAGGTAAACAGGGCTACTTTGGAAGGAACAGATATTCCCTCACATAATAAAAAAGAAGGGCCTTTTGCTGGCCTAACAGTCTTTCTTTGATCTGAAGGCACACAGTACTTGGTTAATTACCATGTTTGCCTTGTACTGCTGGCCGAGTGGCAAGGATTAGGGAATGTCTGTTCTGCAGTTATTATTTCCATTCGTCAGCTGTCAAAGCAGGCATTGTGTGATGTTTCTTAACTGGATGACATCTGGGCATCAGATTTTAGAGTCTCCTACATGGTTAGGAAGAAATAGGTGATAGTCGGGCATGGTGGCATATGCCTGTCTTCCCAGGTAGTTGGGAGGCTGAGGCAGGAGGATCACTTGAGCCAGGGAGATTGAGGCTATAGTGAGCTATGATCGCAACACTGCACTCCAGCCTGAGCAACAGAGTGAGACCCTGTCTCAAAAATAATAATAATAAATAAGAGATAACTACTGTGGTGAGTAGTTACATTTGATGCTAAGGTATGTGTGACTGTATGTGTATTTTAGCAGATTATGGGTAATTCATGTGCCCTGAATATGTAATTCATTTTCAAGTGAATGTTCGGGTGCCCATGTTGTTAGCTAAACAGGCCTGAGGGAATGGGACAGGATTTCCTAAGCTGGATATAGTGATCCTATACCTAACTGGCCTGGCTGCACTGAACTTTTTAATACTTTACACCTGAGAAATTGTCACTCCTATTAAATCTATGCTGTTTCCTTTCTCTGTCTATAGGTAGACGGAGTGCACCACCCTTGAACCTCACTGGCCTCCCTGGCACAGAGAAGCTGAATGAAAAAGAAAAGGAGGTAACAAAAGGGAGGGGGCTGGGAGAAAGAGAATAGGGGCTGATTATTCATTGAGTTGTCATTAAAAATCCATTACAGGGTCAAACCCCTTTTGTTTCATTCATCTAACATATATGCACAGCTCTGGTGAATCCTAGAAGTCCAAGAGCTAAAGAGCCGTTTGTGGCAGATTTCAGAGAATTGCTTACCTTGTCACCCTACCACCATTCCTCTTTTGGGGAAAGCACATGTGGTATGTAGATGACATAATAATAGCAACTATCATCTATTGAGCACTTACCATGTGCTACTCTACTGAGTGCTTTATGTAAATAAAATTAATTTTTTGTAAACCTAAAGTAACTTCTACATGAAAATAGATATTTCCTATTAGAATGGCTGCCTTGAAAAGTTCTATACTTATTCCAACAACATAATCATTATTTAAAACATTTTTGTAAATTGTCTCCAGAGCATGTTTATAAACCTAAGGAAAAGATTTCTACATCATATATAGTCATGTTAATTTTGATTTTAAAAATTATTTTTTATTTTTATTTTTTTTTATTTATTTATTTTTTGAGACGGAGACTTGCCCTGTCACCCAGGCTGGAGTGCAGTGATGCGATCACAGCTCACTGCAGCCTCCACCTCCCAGGTTCAAGCGATTCTTCTGCCTCAGCTCCCCGAGTAGCTGGGACTGGACTATAGGCGCTTGCCACCATGCCTGGCTAATTTTTGTAGTTTTTAGTAGAGATGGGGTTTCACCATGTTGGCCAGGCTGATCTTGAACTCCTGACCTCATGATCCATCCACCTTGGCCTCCCAAAGTGTTGGGATTACAGGCGTGAGCCACCTCACCCGGCCTATTTTTTATTTTTTATTTGAAAGTCTCGCTCTGTTACCCAGGCTGGAGTGCAGTGGTGTGATCTCGGCTCACTGCAACCTCTGCCTCCCGGGTTCAAACGATTCTCCTGCCCCTGAGTAGCTGGGACTACAGGCGCATACCACCACACCCGGCTAATTTTTGTATTTTTAGTAGAGACGGGGTTTCACCTTGTTAGCCAGGCTGGTCTCGAACTCCTGACTTCAGGTGATCCACTCACACCAGCTCCAAAAGTGCTGGGATTAGAGATGTGAGCCACTGCACCGGCCTGATTAAAAAATTATGTGACCTACTTTTTCCAGTTGCAATCATCAGACATGTCTTCATATTGATTTTATCTGTTTCTAAAATTTAAAGCCAGCCTCATAAGAGTCATCATCAGGAGTTTTCAGAAAACTTTGTCACATCTCTGAAGTCTGTTCCTCTTTTGGAGGAGTTCCTCTTTTGCTCCTCATATGCTCCTTTTATAATTCCCAAGGTCAGTTCCCCATCTCCCACCATATATCATTAGTTCAGTTCAGATAATAAGGAAGGGTCATAGTGTAGGGGATAGTGTTAGTCTTATTTTATCCACCAGGAACAGTAAGGATTAGTTTGGGAGTGGAAGGAAATGTATGTAGTATCTATGTATTGCTGAAGGAGGTCATAGGTCAGCCTGATTCAAATATTGAATGGCCTGGAATTTCAAGCTTTTTTTATCCTTACCCACATAATGGTGACCTCAGACTCCTCATTGCTGGATAATGTGGCAATTTTCTAGATTTTTAGCAGTTAAAGTTACCTCCTCTTAGCAAGGTCTCTTTATCTCCTTTCCCTTTGAAGTAGGAAATGTAATCCCCAAAGCAGGGACTACTGCTTTATGCTGACACTAAAAACAATGTGATGCAGCCTTGAGAATCCAAGTGTCTGTGCATTCTGCCCCCACTGTGCCCCATGGCTCTTCCCTGACCATTGGTGCTGGGACTGTACCTGGGCATTTAGTGTTTGACTCCTGAAAGAGCCAGGCTGCTCCTCAGGAGCACATAGTTGTAAATCCCTAACAAACCCAGGCCCCTGAGCCAGCTGGCATGTGCTAAAGGCTCTTCTAGTATCACACCCTGGCTTTCTCTTCCTGGGTGTGTGTCCTTAGGGAGTGTTCTCTCCAGAGAGGAAGAGACTAAATGGAATGTAGTCCAGCCACCCATCAGCTCCTATAAATAGTTGGAGGTTGATGTCACTTTAAAAAATTTTTTGCTATACCTGCTGGATTAAATTACAAAAATGACAGATGTTAATGTTTATTAAATTTGCCGTGTCTTGCAGCTCTGTCAGATGGTGAGGTTGGTCCCTGGAGCCTATTTAGAATACAAATCTGCTCTATTGAACGAATGTAACAAGCAAGGAGGCTTAAGACTGGCGCAGGCAAGAGCACTCATCAAGATAGATGTGAACAAAACCCGGAAAATCTATGATTTCCTCATCAGAGAAGGATACATCACTAAAGGCTAAGGCTCCAAGAGCTTGGGATCAGAAGTCAGAAGTTTGGAATGTGGTGGGTCAAAGGACAATATGGGTGGGCATTCTGGAGAGTTGTTTTTCAGCTGAATTCTCATGGTGAAAACAGGGGAAAGGACAAAGGAAACCTTAAGTTGTATTGTCTACTTTCTTCTCCATCCTGCTTTAAAACACTCCTGTTGTTGGTATTATGCTGCAGAGTTGTGTGCTACATAAGCTATTATTAAATGTGAGTGGGCATTCATTCCTAACACCTCTTGTAACTAAAAGAACCATAGTACCTCACATCACAGTGCTGGTAGAAATGGAACTAAACCACAGTCTGTAATCCCAGGAGTCCAGCTCAGATCCTTATATTGCGAGGTAAGTTTGCTGATTATCTGTCTTGCCTTCAAACACTGCAGACAGATTTAAAATAAAGAGAAAGGTTTTAGAGCATAAGAAAGCTCTCGTTGAAGGATTTTTTAAGCTGACAACTTTTTTTTTTTTTTTTTGAGACAGAGTTTGCTCTTGTCCTCCAGGCTGGAGTGTGATGGCAAGATCTCAGCTCACTACAACCTCTGCCTCCCAGGTTCAAGTGATTCTCCTGCCTCAGCCTCCCGAATAGCTGGGACTACAGGTGTCCACCACCACACCTGGCTAATTTTGTATTTTTAGTAGAGACAGGGTTTTGTCATGTTGGCCAGGCTGGTCACAAACTCCTGACCTCAGGTGATCTGCCCGCCTCAGCCTCCCAAAGTACTAGGATTACAGGCGTGAGCCATCGCGCCCGGCCTAAGCTGACAACTTTTATGAGTAAAGGGGAAGAAAATATCCTTATGATGGTCTTATCCCAAACTGCATCTTTAACTTCGGCCGGGCAAGGTGGCTCACCTGTAATCCCAGCACTTTGGGAGGCTAAGGTGGGCGGATCACGAAGTCAGGAGTTCAAGACCAGCCTGACCAACATGGTGAAACAGTCTCTACTAAAAATACAAAAATTAGCTGAGTGTGGTGGCACACGCCTGTAATCCCAGCTACTCAGGAGGCTGAGGCAGGAGAATTGCTTGAACACAGGAGGCAGAGGTTGCAGCGAGCTGAGATCACGCCACTGTGCTCCAGCCTGGGCAACAAAGTGAGACTCTGTCTCAAAAAAAAAAAAACAAAAAAAAACCTTTAATGTCTGGCTTTGTACTTTGCAGTCTGCCTGTCTAATCTGCAGTAGTCTTTTGAGGAGGTGGCACCGGATATAACATGTCTCTGTTATTTTTAGAATTAATTAAAATGTTTTGCTATTTAATTTGTGGGTGTGTCAAATATTCTGGTAACTGAAACACACTTAAGGTGTTGGATGCCTGCCCCATCACGCTGCACTGTCTGCTGTCACATGTGTCCTGAACTCACCCTGTTTTTGCCCTGGGTTTCCCAGGATACCAAGCCCCTGAGGATGGAGATGATGCAACAAACCTCAGCTTTGCTTGGATTGTGACTTGAACCCTATTTCTCAATGGTGAAAGGCTAGCCTGCAATAAAAGCTGCTTTTAAAACAGAAGTAAAGCAGCTTTATATATGGGACTCACTAGATATGAGGGTAAGTAGCCCCACCACATGTAAAACTTGGTCCTCAAACGTTTCTGCAGAATAAGAAGCCAAACTTATGGTTATCTTGTTTCTGTTAGAAACAAAGTTGTATATAGAAATAACTTCGTCAGAATCGACACAAATCACATCGAATAGTTGACTGTTTAATTCCTTCTACATTCAAATATCTAATTAAAATACTGTGTGCTTTGTTGGAAGCATCTGCTCAAACTTTTGACTGTTGTAAATATGCATGCAGCTGGGAAGGGATTCATCTAAGGGATAAGAAATGAAAAAGACACTCTAAGGACCTGAGGGAATTCAAATAGAGGACTTCGATTTTTTAAAAAGAATGACGTGGAAATGACCTGTTTTCCTTGTAAAATCATATCTCGTAGAAAACATTTTACCACTACCATCACCCCTAGTTGGTTGTGAAGTGATTGCCTCTTATCCCTGAAAGGAAACTCCTGTTCTGAAAAGTTGGGATGCATTAGCCATCAGTGTTAGGTGACGTCTGTTGTAGTCTGAAGAGTCCTTAACCTTGATTAAGGAAGGCTTCCTGGGAGAGGTGGGCTTTTGGGGCAATTATATGATAGAGAAGAGAGAGAAAAATGGCAGATGGAAGTGGGAGACAATTCCACACACAGGGGGTGGAGAATGATGTGGAGGCAGCAGTGGGTGTAAGGACAATGGTGCCAAGAGATTTATTTGGCTAGAACACAAGGGGCAGCTGGGTAGTTAGGAGTGGGAGGATGGTAGGACAGTCTGACAGAAACCTTGGAAACAGTTGAACTCTGAAAAGCTGATGGCAAATCAGATTTCATGAGGAAAATGGCATGGTTGAAAATAGTAATAGAAAAATAAGACTGAAGTTTTAAATGACTGGATTTTTGAAAGTAGGATTATTATTTCTTTGGTATACCGAACTTTGCAAAGATACGTAGCATTGCATCCTTCCTCTTTGCTTCTAGACAGGGTTGGCCATAAACCAACTACACTGATAGAGGTCTCTCCAGATTGTCTCAGAAGAGAGAGTTTACCCTGAAACTTAATGACATGAATAAAACCTGTTTACTGAAATTTTTATTGCAATTTAACGTTAAAAGTTTCTGCTGGAGTTTTATGCATATTTTTCTCTCTAAGTGGTGGGAAATAAAGAACAAATCTCTTTCCATGTAATGACTCTTCTCTGTGCTCAAAGACCAAGACTCTGTCTCTTGCGATACCAATTAATACTAAATATTCAGTTTATCTTTTCCTGGGTCCCAGTTTCTTTCCTTTTATTGTTAACCGTCTTCACTTCCCCCGCTTTTAAAAATCTGAACTCAGTTAAGCAACCAGTCATTGAAATGACTGGGGGTTAGCTGGAAAAGGGAGAAAACCAATGGCATTCATCAATAACAACAAAATCCCAGTTTGTAGGACATTCTAGCTTTAGGAAATATGTAGGTATGTAACAAGAGAAAAAATCTGCATTGAAGAATCAGAGGCCACATTACACAGCAGTTTGGGAAAACTCACTCATAAATATGTATGAGTTTTATTATTTCTTTGGTAAACCCAGCTTTGCAAAGCTTTATGCCTAGAATCCCTCCAAAAAACACTTTTTCACCCATCTTTAAGCAAACAGTGGTACTGTATTCTCAACAGCATTCTGGGGAACTTCGCCCATTCATTTTTAAGGATATCTTTGTGGACACCTTCTAAATGTACATTGCATTATTCTTGACAACACAAAAGGGTTTTCTGTATCTTATATGCACCTAGCTTTTTGTTTGAATTTCTAAAAATTATATTGAAATAAAAGTTTGATTCAAGAGGTGCTGCTGATCTGGAAGCTTTGCTTTCCTTTCCAACGTGCTTAGCCAAATGCAGCTAACCTTTCCCACATCTGCCAGAAGGGACCATCTTTGGAACACGAGGACACTGCCATGTCTGTGGCCTTGCATAGAAGAGTTGGCCAAGCTAAAAGAATTCTTTTTAATCAGACACTGGCTGGGTGCAGTGGCTCATGCCTGTAATCCTAGCACTTTTTGTGGCTGAAGTGGGAGAGTCACTTGAAGCCAGGAGTTTGAGACCAGGCTGGACAACACAGCAAGACCCCCATCTCTACATTAAAAAAAAAAGAATGCTGGGTGTGGTGGCTCACGCTTTTTCTCCTAGCTACTTGGAAGGCTAAGGCAGGAGGATTGCTTGGGCCTGGGTAGTCAAGGCTGCAGTAAGCCATGATTTGTGCCATTGTAATGTAGCCTGAGTGACAGGGCAAGACCCTGTCTCTACCAAAAAAAAAAAAAAAGACGATACCTAGTCCTTTTGAGCCAAATGTAAGTGAAACAGAGCAAGAGCAGGGTCACAGCAGCCTGAATAGTAATAGTCCTGCTGACATAGGCACTTGATTTGGGAGTGAGAACAATAGTGAAGAGTTTTTAGGCCAGTGGCTCATGCCTGTAATCCCAGCATTTTGGAAGGATGAGGTGGGCGGATCACTTGAAATCAGAAGCTCAAGACCAGCCTGGCCAACATAGCGAATCCCCGTCTCTACTAAACATATAAAAATTACCCAGGCGTGCTGGTTCACGCCTATAATCCCAGCCTCAGGGAGGCTGAGACAGTAGAATCACTGGAACCCAGGAGGTGGAGGTTGCAGTGACCCGAGATTGCGCCACTGCACTCCAGCCTGGGCAACAGAACAAGACTGTCAAAAAAAAAAAAAAGTGAGGAGCTTTTAACTTGGGAATTTGGAACCTAAGTAGCCAGTCCTTGAAGTGTGCATCAGAACTGACGTGTTAGTGTGCTGTGTTTGAGGAGGGAAAAATGAACAGTTGCTGAGAGGTATGGAAAACCAGTTTCTTTGTCTAATGGCAGGGAGTTCTTTTTCTGTTGTTTGTTGCCTTGGCTTCCAGCAGTTAAGGTGTACTGCAATCAAACTGCCCTTTGATTTGATTGACTAAGCTACAAATCAGAGACATTATTTAAGGGAAAGGTGAATGTCGTGCATCTGCCATCACAATTCCTTTGTCACTTGAGTAGCTTGTTATGCATTGTGTCCTAGGCCCCCTTCCCTGTTGACAGTAGGAATAAGGAAATGGAGATAGCACAGGAAGTTAACCACTAAAAGGTTCCAACCCCTGAAAACTACAAAAAATTTATTTCATAGATGTAGCCCTGAAGGTCACTGTACTTACCCTTGTCTTGGAAAACCCTGTAGTTAACTTTTGCCAGCCCAGACTTGGTCTGGATAATTGAGTCTGATGCACCTATTTTCTACGTTAGAGCACCAGAATGGATTTTTGTGGCACCAAACTAATCATTTGGTTGAATTAACCCCCTCTTCTTAACCAAGCAACACTTTTTTCATCTTGGTCTGGTCTCCCCTGAGGCTGTGGGTGGCAAAAAGCTTCCAGGTAGCTTATAATAATCCTGCCTTGGTCCAGAGTTGTGTTGAACAGAATCAGCATCTTAGGAAATGTGGAAAGGAGAAGGTCTCACAGTTGTTTTAAGAAACCAGCACTTTCTTAAGCAGAAATGCTGAAATGCTGCCATCAAATCACCCTTATTCAGTGAACTGACAGCCAAGTGCCAACTCATGACACTTCTAACATATCTCTCCTCTTGTTGGAAAGCTAGCTGCCGAGTATACTCTCCATTTCTGAAATTGTTCGCAATGACGTAAGACTTTCTTCCTATTGAACAATATATAACTATTGATTTGGATCCTTCCCTCGCCCCTCACCTTTCATTATCATCATTTAGGGAATTCCTTTAAAACAGAAAAACATATTAAGAAGTTAAAAATCAACGGAGGGCAGGCGTGGTGACTCACACCTGTAATCCCAGCACTTTGAGAGGCTGAGGTGGGCAGATCACTTGAGGTCAGGAGTTCGAGACCAACCTTGCCAACATGTTGAAACCCCGTCTCTACTAAAAATACAGAAATTAGGCGGGCGTGGTGGTGCATGCCTGTAATCCCAGCTACTTGGGAGGCTGAGGCGGCTGAGGCAGGAGAATCGCTTGAACCCAGGAGGTAGAGGTTGCAGTGAGCCAAGATGGTGCCACTGCACTACAGCCTGGGCGACAGAGTAAGACTCTGTCTTTAAAAAAAAAAAAAAAAAGGAATTTGGGCTGTGGGCTCTTAATCATTTCTGATAACAGTTACTACCAGAGATAACTAGCTCCTGGACCGAGGGAGAGAATAGTGCATTTGCCCAATTGATGTCCCCCTATAAGAAAACTGATGTTTTTATTTCAGTTTCTAATCTTATTTCAGTTTCTAATCTTTAGGAAGTTGTCCAATTTTTGGGGTAATTTAATAGCTTTTCCCAAAAATTATTGAAAAAAGAGCAAAAAGTTCAGAAATGCCTTGAAGACTCTAGCTGAGATGGATGGACTGATTCGAACTTTTAGTAGCAGACGAGACAGCAGGATTCCGACCCTGAGATCAGGTTATTTGCTTTGGAGAGGTGGGGTAACAGCTTTTCCACACAATATCCCTAGTAGGAACCTCTTTTTAGCCTTTTTAAGGGCAAACGGCAGCTGATAAAGCCACTCCCGTGGAGGCAGAAACATTTAAGCTCTAGCCACAGACAGGTGATAGGAATGTCAACCTCACCTGGCTGTCAACCCCAACAAGAAAATCTTGGCCTTGTTCTGGGCGTGCATAGCTTCAGATTCAGGACACTTGTCAGATCTAAGATGGGCATAGGTTTTAATTTCATTTAATTTCAACTTCCAATGATACAAATGGAAGATGCAAAGTGAAATGCTTTTGAGAGCAAAGTCTCCCAGGGGTGCCTCCACCCACCCCCAGCGACTGTGCAAAAGAAGGCGTTTGTGGGAGAGAAGGGTGACTATAGACGTCATTGCATCATCCAGATCCCAGCTGTGACCTGGCTCAGAGTTTTCCAGTTAAAAATAACCATGGCTTACAATTGGGGGAAAAGAGTAAACTGTTCCGTCTCCATGGAAACTAGGAGTGTGTGTTGAGGGGTGGGGGGAAGACAAGCTACAGATTTCTAGCACATGTGGCAAGATGGGGTGGATGTAGGGACCAGAAGCTTAGAGGCCCTCTGATGAAAGTTGATACCCCTATTTAGCATCCAGGATGTGGCCAGACACTGCTCCAGGGCTCTGGAGACACTGCATCAAGGATTTGTTTACAACGATGTGTACATCTTGGGTCTGGTGATGAATTAATTTGAGTCTTCTGACTTCCTGTAACAGATTTGCTACTATTTGGCAAAGCAAAGAGCAGATGAGCAAGACTGTAGGTTAGATGTTGCCTTTTAATCAATCTGGGAACCTCCACTACCTTTCCATTCACATTCTGTTTCTTAGCATATTCAGCACACCTTCATTTGCATATTCAGTAGTTTGGTTATGACACATGTAGTAGTTTATAACTAGAGGAGAAGTCTCCAGGTTTTTTGGGCTGGTTTGGAAATTTACTCCCCTTCAGTAAGACCAGGTTTTCTTCTTTGTTCCATGAGTTTACGCAAAGCATCATTCATTAGCTTGTTTGTCTTTAAAGGTAGGTCTCTTACCATTTCTGGTATACTTACTACCAGAGATAACTGACTCCTGAGGGAAGAATAGTTCGTTTACCCTTTTTAAAAAGGTCTCTTTAAAATTTTCTTTTCTTCAAATACATTCCAGTTGTAAACAAAATCGTTTTAAACACTCATTTTATTTTTATTTTTTTTGAGACGGAGTCTTGCTCCCTCGCCCAGGCTGGAGTGCAGTGGCACAATCTCGGCTCACTGTAACCTATGCCTCCCAGATTCAAGCAATTCTCCTGTCTCAGCCTTCTGAGTAGCTGGGACTACAGGCGTCTGCCACCACGCCCAGCTAATTTTTATATTTTTAGTAGAGATGGGGTTTCACCTTGTTGGTCAGGCTGGTCTCGAACTCCTGACCTCAGGTGATCCACCCGCCTCGGCCTCCCAAAGTGCTGGGATTACAGGCGTTGAGCCACCGCGACCAGCCATTTATTTATTTTTTGAGATGCAGTCTCACTGTGTCACCCAGGCTGGAGTTGGAGTGGTGTGATCTCGGTTCACTGAAACCTCTGCCTCCCTGGTTCAAGCAATTCTCCTGCCTCAACTTCCCGAGTAGCTGGGATTACAGGTGCACACCACCACACGCAGCTAATTTTTGTTATCTTTAGTAGAGACAGGATTTCACCACGTTGGGTCAGGCTGGTCGCCATCTCCTGACCTCAAGTGATCCACCTGCTTCAGCCTCCCAGAGTGCTAGGATTACAGGCGCGAGCCACCTCGCCCCACCAAAACACCCATTTTAAAATTAAGATTTACAGAGCAGGCTGGGCACAGTGGCTCATGCCTGTAATCCCGGCTACTAGGGAGGCTGAGGCAGGAGAATCGCTTGAACCCGGGAGTTGGAGGTTGCAGTGAGCCGAGATCGCGCCATTGCACTCCGGCTTGGGCGACAAGAGTGAAAACTCCGTCTCAAAAAAAAAAAAAAAAAAAAATTATAGAGCAAATAACTGAGGAAGAAGTAGGGATTGTTGACATTACTGGCTCTCTACAGCTAAATGCTTTCTTGTTTACCTGCCTGGTGTACTGAAAAGATCTGAGCACTAATCCCTGTTCTGGTATTTAATAATAATGCAACCTTGGGCAGTTTCTTAATACTTATGTCTAAAGTGTGGTTGGTAATACCTACCTGACTGGGTTGATGAAGATTAAATGAGCCGGGTGTGGTGGCTTACGCCTGTAATCCCAGCACTTTGGGAGTCCAAGGCGGGTGAATCGCCTGAGCTCAGGAGTTTGTTTGTTTTTTTGTTTTTTTGTTATTGAGACGGAGTCTTGCTCTGTCGCCCAGGCTGGAGTGCAGTGGCGCGATGTCTGCTCACTGCAAGCTCCGCCTCCCGGGTTAACGCCATTCTCCTACCTCAGCCTCCTGAATAGCTGGGACTACAGGCGCCCGCCACCACGCCCGGCTTTTTTTTTTTTTTTTTTTGTATTTTTAGTAGAGACGGGGTTTCATGTTAGCCAGGATGGTCTCAATATCCTGACCTCGTGATCCGCCCGCCTCGGCCTCCCAAAGTGCTGGGATTACAGGCGTAAGCCACCGCGCCCGGCCTGAGCTCAGGAGTTTGAGACCACCCTGGGCAACATGGTGAAACCCTGTCTCTACTAAAATACAAAAAATTAGCTGGGCTTGGTGGCGCACGCCTGTGGTCCTAGCTACTCGCACCACAGCACTCCAACTTGGGCTACAGAGTGAGACTCTGTCTCAAAAAAACAAAACAAAAACAACAAAAGATTAAATGTGTTAAGGTATATAACACACCTGGTGCCTCCCTTCCTTTTCTTTTCCCACTGAGCCTTTGACATTTAGTTTCACTGCGGTCAGGTATGAGCAAGTACATGATTTTCCTGTACCACCCAATTCACATCATGCAAAAGTCTCACAGAGAGGGACATGAAGATCTGCAAGAACAAATGTTAAAACAGACAGATGTGCATTTTACAAGGATGTTGTTTATCTTGAAATTCTCATCACTGCATCATTGCTACTGCCCAAGGGTTGAATTAAGGGCAAAACATTTCAGAGACAGATTTGAAATTACCTAATTATCCTAGACATGTTGTAATGTTCCCTTTTATAATGCCTGGCTCAAAAAGCTTGATGTCAGGTTACAGAACTGTATGCATTCTTTGATTGTAATTGTGTTAACAATAGTAAAAAATCTTGCATACAATCAAGACCAGAAAGAAATCCAGATGCTAATTGTTGTTTTGTTAAGTAATAAAATGGTGGTAAGCAATGCTTTTTCTCTTTTTGCTTTTTTTTCTTTTTCTTATCTGTAATGTGACAATTCTTTATTACTTGGAAAGTACATTTTATGAGAACTGTGAAAACTCGGAAAGTAGAAGTTCAAAGTATTTTACATTTAATAACATCTAGCTAATCCTTATGATATCTAGATAAGGTGCTACTTTACATCTTATGAAATAGCACAAGCCTTAGGCAAACTTCTGTAGTAGAAGAAATGTGTTCTGAGACTTCTGAGACTTCTATCTTGCTAGTTTTTAAGATATCTTTTCTCCCAGAAACCTGGTGTCCAGTGTCCCTCTCAAATCTGCCAAAGGACAGTAGCTTAAAGATTTACTTATCTCAGGGGAGTTGCATTTTTATAGCCATCAATGGCATATAATTTGGAATTAGAGGCACAGGCAAGCAGGCCTTCCGAATCTCTGTGAGCCACAAGACCCGATGGCACCCTGAAATCAAACTTCTGTAGACTGGGAGCCTTGTTGACCGCTGTTCCCCAATTCTGACAGATCAAAGCTGTTGCTAATTTGTTAACCAGAGGCAGTGATACAAATGGAAGATGCAACTATTCATTCTGAGGGACGCATAAAAGTCTGATTAATCTAAGGAGCAGTCATTGCCCAAGCAGTTAAGGAGAATATTTTTGGAAAGGCAGACATCAGAAGCTAAGCAGAGTACAAATTTCCACCCTCTACTTACTGTATTAATCATATCAGCTCTCACTCTTCGTAGATGCTGCCCTGCTCGAAAGCACTGGTTATTTAGCTGGGAGTCAGGAGAACCCAAACCCTCCCTGGGCATAGACAAATTGTAATTTTATAGCAGACAGCCTCTAAAATGTTTCTACATCCACAACAGTTGACACTGCCAGGCGCAGTGGCTCATGCCTCTAATCCCAGCACTATGGGAGGCTGAGGTGGGAGGATTGTTTGAGCTTAGGAGTTCGAGACCAGGCTGGGCAACATATTATTTAAAGAGACTAGGTCTCTTTAGTAATAACAAGGCCAGGTGCGGTGGCTCACGTCTATAACCTCAGGGGGCATCACCTGAGGTCGGGAGTTCAAGACCAGCCTGACCAACGTAGAGAAACCCTGTCTCTACTAAAAACACAAAATTAGCCAGGCGTGGTGGTGCGTGCCTGTAATCCCAGCTACTCGGGAGGCTGAGGCAGGAGAATCACTTGAACCCGGGAGGCGGAGGTTGCGCTGGGCCGAGATCGTGCCATTGCACTCCAGCCCAGGCAACAAGAGCGAAACTCCGTCCCCCCCAAAATAATAAAAACTAATTAGCCAGGCGTGGTGGCGTGCCTGTAGTCCCAGCTACTTGGGAAGCTGAAGTGGGAGGACCACCTGAGCCCGGGAAGTGGAGGCTTCAGTGAGCCATGATTGCACCACTGCACTCCATCCTGAAGCCTATCTTAAAAAAAAAAGAAGAAAAAGTGACACCTATAAAAAAACTCACATACTTATAGTCCAGAAATGTGCTGTCCAGTAAGGTAGCCACTAGCCACATGTGGCTATCTAAATTTACTAAAATAAAATTTTAAATTCACTTCCTTAGTTACACTAGCCATATTTCGTGTTCAGTAGCAACATGAGGCTAGTGGCTACTGTACTGGAGAGTGGAGATACAGAACATGTCCATCATCACACAAAGTTCTACTGGACAGTGCTGGTCCAGAAGAGAATAACTTCAAATTGCATTTTTGGTACAGGCATGTATAAGCCCGCACTTCCACATTCTGTAAAGGCATAAACCGCCTCCCTACCCCAGGGCATGTCTGTACAGTCATTAAATGGTCTGACTCCAGCACTTCTTTCTACTTAATCTCTAAATCTCTAAATCTTGACACGCACATCGCACACAACACAAACTCTATTTTAGCCCACCTCCCTCTTCACTGACTCTTCATGGTAGGTTTAGTTCCCATAATCCATGAAAATGCCTAGCTCCTTGTCACTAGAGCTTGTTTTGGAAACCTGCCTACAGTGTAACAAGCTGGAATGTGAAGAGGGATGCATCTATTTGTGTTGCTGAGTCATTGAATTGACTGAAGCTTCAAGGACTAGGGGGTGCTGAGCAGAAATGAAAACACACAATCCTTTCTGTTAGAGATTTGCTCTTTTCGTATTGGCATGTAAACAAGTAAGTCACTAAGTGAACTGACGTCACAATTTAGTTTTAGGAAGATGCTTTTCCCAGGCACGATTTGAACTCAGTGGTTTCCTGAATCTAGCAAAGTATGCTGCTTTGTTTTCTCTTAGATTAATTTTGCCTAATTTTAAAGCTTTGATTCTCTTTTTACGAAGACGAAAATAAATCTCTCTAGTCTGGGCCTTTTTCGTTTCCCAGGATTATGATTAAAATTATCACTAACTTTTAGATAGTCCAGCACGCACCGGATGACTCTGAAGCCGGTTGGGCAGTGGAGATCGGGAAGAACATGAAAAAGCTTCAAAGCTTTTGGTTGAGGACATCGGGAGATGTAAACCCCAAACGCGGGTTTTACTTCTCCCCTCCACCCCTCCCCGCAAACCCATGCCTACTCGTTTTGACTGCTCAGCAATTCTGAGGCCAACCATTTGCAACGGCGAGGAGCAGGGGCTGGTGAGTCAAGGACTGGGCATGGAGTCAGGACTCTTAGGTGCCTTGACTCACGGCAGAGCCTTGAGGAAGTCGCTTTGCCTCCCACGTGTCTCCCTTCACCTGCCAGAGGCGGAGGGGAGGCGGGGCTGTGCTGGAAAACGTCCGTTTCGCACCGACTTATGTTACAGATGGGCAGACCTGAATTTTAAAAGACCCTCAGAGTCACACAGCAAATGAGCCCTCAAATGCCCGTGTCCCGCCTGCGCTCCGGAGAACCCCTGCCCTGCCTCGGGGACTCGGGAGGTGGGTGTGGGCTCCGAGACTCGGACGGCACCTTGGCGTGGCGAGAGCAGGTGGAGATGCGCACGGAGGTTGCATGTTCACCTCCGGGTCTCGGGCGCCACGGCTGCCCGTACCTGTTCCAGCAAGCGTCAGCCAGGAACTGCCGCGCTACTGATTTTCCCTTCGCTCTTGGGTCCCAACCCCCGGGCTCTCCGGGCTAGGGAGGCGGTGGGGTGGGGTCGAGGCCGTCCCGAGCCACCCGCGGCGGCTTCACACCTGTATCGGATTTGCTTTCTCGCCTTTAATCCTCTCCAATCCCGAAAGCACCCCAGCAGAGCGCCCCCGCAGCCCGCCTCGAGCCCGGCTCATACGCAGACGCTGACTGGGGAAGCGAGGGGTCGCCGGTGTGTGAGGCAGGGTAAGAGACCAGGGGACCTGCACGGAGGAGCGCTCTAGGGGAGGCTGCTGCCTCGGGAGCTAGGGCGCGCCCGGACCACACCGCACGGCGCAGAAGCCCAGCGCGCACGCGCGCCGCCTGCCGCCCCGCGCGTCCCCCCGCCCCGCGTCGCGTCCCCCCACCTCGGGAGAGGGCGGCCAGGCGCAGGGAGCGTGCGCGCGGCCCGCCCCGGGCGCGGGCGGAGGGAGGAGGAGGCGGCGCGCGCGGCGCCCAGCCCGCAGAAGCCGGTGGCCGCGCAGGAGGACGGAGCCCTAACCGCAACCCGCTCCGCGCCGCGCCGCGCCGGTAGGGGACCCGCAGGCCCGGGGGTGGGGGTTGTGGGGAAGGTGTTGGGGTGGGGCGGGAGGGCGGGACTTCGCGCTTCGGGTCCCTGGGCGCAGGGGGACCCAGAGGCCCGCGCGACCCCGCCTCTGGAAACTTTGTGCCGGCGCCCCCACCTGCTCCCTGGCGGTCCTTGACTCTTCGGGGCGGCCCGCGGAGGAGAGGCCCGAGACCTTCCGCAGCGCACCCTCGCCGGCCCTGAGCGTGCGCCCCCTGCCGCTCCCCCGCCGCGCCGCGCCGCCCCCGCGACCCTGTCCCTGTGCCCCGGGGCTCCAGCAGCCTCGGCCGCGCCTCCTCCGTCGCCTTCCGACCCCGCTGAGGCCGCCTACTCTCGCTGGCATCCACCCGCTCTGGAGCGCGCCGCCGCTTTTTGCATCTCCCCGAGGTTTCTGGTGCATGGATAGAAGCAACTTGACTTTCAGCGATGCCAAGTGTCCAACTTGAGTCTTTCTCTGCGGTGGTAGATGGGTGTGCGCGGTGCTAACATCTGTCTTTTTATTTCTCCTAAGTACCCTTGCTCCGGAGCGAAGTTGAGTTGTTGTTTGTAAAGAGGGGGTGCGTGCTGTGGCCGCCTTAAGTGGATTGTATAACTGTATTTTATTTAGGTGGATGTTGCCAGTGGTACCAGCCAGTGTTATGGTAACTGGGCATCCCAGAGGCTAGGGAAGGAGGAGCGACTTACAAATGCAGTTTTACCATGCAGAGATTTTTTTTTTTTAAAACCACCTTGTACTTTCTATCCAGCAGGACCTCCGGACATTTAGTGTGTGTTAACTCGTTAGCTGTTCATTATCGTTTTATAAGAGAGGGGGGTGGAGAGCGTTACCATCCCGTTTTACAGATGTAAAAACGGAGGCGAAGAGCAAACTCCGGGTATCCTTAGTAACCTTAAAAGAATAGGGACCAAGAGATTTAACCCAGAGTCTCCTGGAATTCCTAGTCCCTAAGGCCACTCAGAAGTATGATGGAATGTTGGACCGTCCTCCCTGACATTCTACAGATCACTTAAGAGTCAGAGAGGCCGAGGCCAGCCGGCAGCTCCATGCCTGAGACTCAGCTCTGCCACAAAGTTAAGTAACACTGGACAAGTCACAGTTTCTCTCCGCTCATTTCCTTCCTGCTCTCTAAAACCAGGGGAACAAAGGTGCTGTATTCTTTGCAGAGTTGTGCGTGTGTCTGGAAGCTCCACTCCCTTGAGCTGCGATTTGGTTATTGTTAGTTGTTGTGGACTCATAAAGGCCCCCAGTCTTGGTTCCCTTGAGAAATGCAGGGAAGGAGGCACCCCCACAGTGAACGCCTCTTCTTCGCCAGAGACGCCTGAGAATTCACATCAGGGACACTTCACATCAGGGACAGGCCGGGGCAGAGACCCTGACCTGAGGGAGGGACGAGGGTTGCCACGAGGAGGTAGGAAGGAGCCCTGCACAGGAGGCTTGACACATGGGCCCTATTCCTGCCTCCAGCTCTGACTCATCTTCTGACGCTTGGGGGAGGAGAGGTAGTTGCTTGGTATTTTTGGCTTTCCACCATAAAACTGGAGACAGTTTCCTTCATTCCAAGTCGTTTTAATGTCACTGTTGAACGTGTGTGTCCTGAGTTCTCATCTGAAAGCTTTCATATCGGTTGACTGCAGGTATGAATTCTGTAATAATAATTAATAGAATGGCATAAATGTATATTCATATCATAAAAGACTAGCCAAGTATGTAAGTCCAGGAAATCCTTTAATACTTTAACATTTTTAAAAAGTGGGCTTTAGGGAGGGCTATGTTTGATGGGTTCCTTTGCAATTGGGATTTTAAGGCAAAATGGATTAAAAATGCTTTTCCCAAAATCACAAGAAATACATTAACCATTCTCTGTGAGATTTAAACTTTACTAATAAGGTTAAAGCTTTCTTTTGAACCTCTTCCTCAAAAGTAACTGCCGAGTGCATCTTGATCGGTTTGTGTATATCTTTTTAGACTTTTCTAAGCATTTTTATAAATGTCCGTTTGCACAAAGTGGTTTTTTAACCGAAATTAATTATTTTAAAGTTGACTTGTCCTGTTTATAAAGATTTGGCTTCTGTCAAGAACAAGTAATGTGTTTAAGTACAACTGTTGGTAAAGTTTTAATAATCCTGATAGACGGTGTTACTTCCCAGGGCAAGGGGCAAATTACCCCTTTTAAACAACTTCAAAGTAGTAGAATCATTACGATCCTAGGTTTTACTCTTAGGTGCTGAATAAAACTTTCCTATTTAAAAAAAAAATCTAGGACTACTAGCCTATTGTCTTGTCTTTGCTTATAAAGAAACGTCAAAGGGAGTGGAAGACAGGGAGAGTTGCTAAAGCAACCAAGGCCTGGGTATAAACTTACAGAGCTAACATTTAAGATGGCTTTATTATTTATGAAAGCTTCACTTCACCTGGGTGAAGACAAAGGAAAGTGTTAATGTGGGCACCCTTCAAACCGGTAATTTCAGGAAATGGATGGGTTAAAACAAAATTCATGTCAGGATTCTGTGGATTTATATATTATACATTTACCGAGGACTTTTACCATGCTAAAGGTGCTGTGCCTGAATACAGAGGAAGAAGGCAAGTAAGGTCGGTCTCTGACCTTATGAAGCTGACAGGCAAATAGTGACATTCAGAGAGAGTTGGCCAGAATTGTTGTCATGGTTCTGAATTCCCAGAAATCAACATTAGATTTATTGAATTGTGAATTATGTAAAAAAGTGTCTAAAACAAATGGATAATTTGATGGATTATTTTAACGAAAACATAAGTGTAACTGTCTTGCAGGTCAAGAATCTGACTCCACACTCTCTCCCTCCCCCAGAGGTCCTAGCCAGAAACTACCCTGACTTTTATGGAAATCATTTCCTTCTTTTCTATAGTTTTTATCCCCTAAATATAAATCCCTAATTGACATAGTTTTATTTTGCTTGTTTTTAACCTCAGTGCAAACTAAAAGTAGATACTCTTGTGAATCCTTCCTTCTGGCCGGCATCGTGTGTGTGTGTGTGTATGTGTATGTATGTGTGTGTGTATGTATGTATATACACACGCACATATATAATTTTTTAAATTTCTGCAGCATGCTATTTTAAAAGATTTATCCATATCGTTGCCTATGCCTGTAGTTTTTGTGTTTTAATTTTTTTAGAGACAAGGTCTCACTATATTGCCCAGGCTGGTCTTGAACTCCTGGGCTCAAGGGATCCTCCTGCCTGGGCCTCCCAAAGTGCTGGGATTACAGGTGTGAGCCACCACACCCAGCCCAGTTAGTACATTTTTGTCTTATGAACATACCACAAATTACCTTTCCACTGTTGATGGACATCTGGGTTGTTTCTGGTCTGGGGCAATTATGAACAGCCCTGAGTCAGGTGTGCATACCTTCAGCTTTACTAGTTGATACCTGGTTTCCAAAGTGGTTGTACCAATTTACATTCCTTCAGTGGTGTCAGCCTTGAGTTTGTAAGTCACTGTATTTGCTGTTTAACCACAATTATGCTTGAATATTTTCTGAATGAATGAATAAAGGTCCCTGGGTAGTCCGATCCCTGGCCTGTCATGTGCTAGCGTATTTTTATTTAGTTATATGGTTTGGACTAACCACCCAAATACCAGAAATGGTTTTCCCACTGTGTTTGGTTGACAAATATCTAATGGAATCCTTTCATCAATCTTTTTTTTTTTTTTTTGGAACAGATGAGTAGTTACAGGAAATTTTAAATATGCAAAATGAAGTACTAAAAATAAGTGGCTAGTACCTAGATGTTTTTTAAGGCTCTTGAATGAATCCTGCCTCTGGTGAATGCTTCCATTGTGCCCAGCCCTAAATGTGTAGGACAGTGTAGTGTGCAGGAACCCAGGCCTATCCTTGTTAAAGTACCCTCTGAGGATGAGACTCCTTAAGAGGCACTGTGCACAGACCCTAACTCATACTTCTTGGCAATTCCAAAGTAACCACAGACTCTGTGCTACAGGAATCAATGACTCTTTTAAACTTTTTTTTTTTTTTTTTGAGACAGAGTCTCACTCTGTCGCCCAGGCTGGAGTGCAGTGGCGCGATCTCGGCTCACTGCAAGCTCCGCCTCCCAGGTTCATGCCATTCTCCTGCCTCAGCCTCCCTAGTAGCTGGGACCACAGGTGCCCGTCACCATGCCCGGCTAATTTTTTGTATTTTTAGTAGAGACGGGGTTTCACCATGTTAGTCAGAATGGTCTTAATCTCCTGACCTCGTGATCCGCCCGCCTCGGCCTCCCAAAATGCTGGGATTACAGGCGTGAGCCACCGCACCCAGCCTTTAAATCTTTTAAATGTATTTTTCTCCAAATTTTCCTTTGCCTGAGAAAGTAGAAGTAGCTTAGAGCAGAGTTTTTGTCGTTTTTGTTCATTTTCTTTGTAAGAGATGGAGTCTAGCAGTGTGGCTCAGGCTGGCCTTGAACTGCTGGGCTCAAGGGATCCTCCCACCTCAGCCTCCTAAAAGCTGGGACTGCAGCATGTGCCACATCCAGCTTGAATTCCTGCTTTGTGAACAGACAGTTACCAGGCTCACTTTGATTGCCCGTGTTTAGTTTTGCCAGCTGGATTTGAAGTGTGTGTGTGAGAGAGAGTGAGAGAATGTGAGAAAGAGAAGGAGCAGGAGGGAGGGTGTGGGGAGAGGTGGGCAGTTCACCTGAGGGCAGCCGTTAAATTCAGGTGTTCATTGAGTACTTACCATGTGCCTAGTATTATGTGCTGTGTTTCTGCCCTTAGAGCAGAATGTTACGCAATTCTGTAGGTTTACAAAATACCTCAGGGGAATCCTTTTTAGCTGGAGGGATGATGGAAGAACACTAGCACAAAGACTGAGATTTGTAGATCCTTTTTATTTCTTCTCTAAAGCATCTTGGAAAATAGCTAAATCACTCTATTTTCAGTCTTTATTTACATAAGTCACAAAGACTTTTTTGCTCATTATAGTAAAGATTTTTTTTCAGATTCTCTAAAATAATGATAATTTTAGAAACCACATGCGGATAAATTAGAAGTTTTCAGGAAAAGACACCCAAAGGAGGAGGAGTAAGAAGTCGTTAGTATGAGAACCTGTTGATCTGAGTGATGGGGGAGGAGCCCTGTCGTGTTCTTTGTCACCCCTTCGGCCTTCCAGCGGGCAGCTTTCACAAAGGAGCTCCATTTTCCACCTGTTGCAGGGCAGGGGCAGCCTCAGCCTGGGCGAGGGAGGAGGCCTAGGGCTGAGATCACAGCCATGCCCTTTCATGTGCAGCCCACCCAGCTCACCTGGGCACGTCCCATTCTGTTCTTGCACCAACCTAGAGCAACCAGAGGTCCGGTTGGGTCAGCTTTTCACACCCCATGCCATGTTGAAACCTCAGTGGACGAGAAGGTTCTTTTGAAGTTCATATGCAACTGCTGGGTTTACTTCTGTCTTTGTCCCAGAACAGTTTCAGCATCAATGACCTAGGGCAAGTTTTTTTGTTTGTTTGTTTGTTTGTTTTGACTCCTATGTCTTTGAGTGTGTGGGTACATATGAGAAAACTCCCTAACTAGAGCATGCTGCTTCTGTTGACTAGTAAACATTATGTGGCAGAGAGCGCCTTCAAAGCACCAGCCTTCCCTGCCTGGGAAAGTGACCAGTAGGTGAACTTGCTTTAAGTTTTGTTTTTTTTGTTTTTTTGTTTTTTTTTTGAGACGGAGTCTTGCTCCATCACCAGGCTGGAGTGCAGTGGCGCGATCTCGGCTCACTGCAACCTCCGCTTCCCAGGTTCAAGCAATTCTCCTGCCTCAGCCTCCCGAGTAGCTGGGATTACAGGCGCATGCCACCACGCCCAGCTAATTTTTCTATTTTTAGTAGAGACAGGGTTTCACCATGTTGGTCAGGCTGGTCTCGATCTCATGACCTCGTGATCCACCTGCCTCGGACCCCCAAAGTGCTGGGATTACAGGCATGAGCCACCGCGCCCAGCCTGCTTTAAGTTTTAAGGAAGCACTTGTAAAAATAAAATCTGGAAGTACTGTCAACATACAAATTACATACAAATTTGGAGATTTATAATGAAGAATTTTGCCAATTTAGCTAAAATCTAAATCTTAGATTTAACTAAATCTTTTAAATCTTTGTGTTTCATTATAAAACACAAAACATTTATAATGAAGACACACTTCATGTCATCATTATAAATCTTTGGTGTTATCCTGGCTCCTATATAAAGAGCACTGGCAGGCTCAGGCCAGAAGTGGAGAGGGGGCTTGGACCGACAACTATGTGTTGTTAATTTTCTTCTATTAAAAATATTTTTTACTTTTAGAAATTGAAATCATATAGAAAATTATGCTGGGCACAGTGGCTCACGCCTATAATCCCAGCACTTTGGGAGGCTGAGGCAGGTGGATCACTTGAGGTCAAAAGTTCAATCGAGACTAGCCTGACCAACATGGTGAAACCCCATCTCTTATAAAAATGTAAAAATTAGCCGGGTGTTAGGCCGGGCACGGTAGCTCATGCCTGTAATCCCAGCACTTTGGGAGGCTGAGGCGGGTGGATCATGAGGTCCGGAGTTCGAAACCAGCCTGACCAACATAGTGAAACCCCGTCTCTACTGAAAATACAAAAATTAGCCGGGAGTGGTCGTGGGCCCCTGTAATCCCAGCTACTCCAGAGGCTGAGACAGAGAATTGCTTGAACCTGGGAGGCGGAGGTTCAAGTGAGCCAAGATCATACCACTGCAATCCAGCTTGAGTGAAAGAGCGAGATTCCATCTCAAACAAACAAAAAATTAGCCGGGTGTGGTGGCATGCACCTGTAATCTCAGCTACTTGGGAGACTGAGGCAGGAGAATTGCTTGAACCCAGGACGAGGCAGTTGCAGTGAGCAGAGATTGAGCCACTGCACTCCAGCCTGGGCAACAGAGTAAGACTCTGTCTCAAAAAAAAAAAAAAAAAAAGAAAAGAAAATTATTGAAAGCAAATTAACCAGCATCATAACTCACCATTCAAAAATCATTGCTCATACTTTATCTTTTATAATGCTTAGAAATTAAGTATTATCAAGTCAGAGCTTCCTTGGGCCATTTCTCTTCCCTTCCCACTGAGACAACCACTCCCATGAATTTGGTACATTTCCTTCCAACTCTATTTAAATATCAATTTTACTTCAAACTGCATTTTTTTTTTTTAAAGACAGAGTCTCTTCCCCAGGCTGGAGTTCAGTGGCACAATCTCAGCTCACTGCAACCTCCGCCCTCCAGGTTCAAGTGATTCTCTTACCTCAGCCTCCTGAGTAGCTGGGATTACGGGCACATGCCACCATGCCCAGCTAATTTTTGTATTTTTAATAGAGATGGGGTTTCACTGTGTTGGCCAGGCTGGTCAAACCCCTGACCTCAAGTGATCCACCTGCCTTGGCCTCCCAGAGTGCTGGGATTACAGGCATGCGCTACCGCGCCCTGCCTTCAAACTGCTTTTTTGATGAATGTCAAAAGGACATAGAGGCCTGGTGTGGTGGCTCATGCCTGTAATCCCAGCACTTTGGGAGGCCTAGGGAGGTGGATGGCTTGAGCCCAGGAGTTCGAGTCCAGCCTGGGCAACATGGCAAAACCCTGTCTCTACAAAAAACACAAATTAACCGGATGTGGTGGCTCATGGCTATCGTTACAGCTACTTGGGAAGCTGAGGTGGAAGGACTGCTTGAGCTCAGGAGGTCGAGGCTGCAGTAAGCCATGATTGTGCCACTGTGCTCCAGGATTCTTGCTCAAAAAAAAAAAAAAAGACAAGACAAGACTAAGCATGGTGGCCCATGCCTACAATCCCAGCACTTTGGGAAGCTGAGGCCAGCCAGAGTATCACTTGAGCCCGGGAATTCAAGGCCAGCCTGGGCAACGTGGCAAAACCCTGTCTCTACAAAAAATTAGCCAGGCATGGTGGCGCACCCCTGTAGCCCCAGCTACTCAGGAGGCAGAGGTGGGAGGATCGCTTGAGTCCCAGAGGTTGAGGCTGCAGTGAGCCTAGATTGCACCACTGCACTCCAGCCTGGGTGACAGAGCAAGACCCTGTCTCAAAAAAAAAAAAAAGGACAGAAATCTTTACTAGCCTTTATTTTGTACTGTCACATATGTTCTATGTTTAGGGGATGGAACTCTTAGAGCATTTCACATTTCACATGATATTTCTTTTTTTTCCTTTTTGTCACATGATGTTTCTTGTTAACAAAAATTGGAGAAGTATTTAGTGTTTTACAGAGCTTCAATTACTTGGTGTAAACTTTCAGCCAAAGGTGATCCAAAATGGAAATGGAGTAGAACTTGTTTTGTGTACTAGATTGTATCTTTTTTTTTTTTTTTTTTTTTTTTTTTTTTGAGACAGAGTCTCGCTCTGTCGCCCAGGCTGGAGTGCAGTGGCGCAGTCTCTGCTCACTGCAAGCTCCGCCTCCCCGGTTCACGCCATTCTCCTGCCTCAGCCTCCCCAGTAGCTGGGACTACAGGTGCCCGCCACCACACCTGGCTAATTTTTTGTATTTTTAGTAGAGACGGGGTTTCACCGTGTTAGCCAGGATGGTCTCGATCTCCTGACCTCGTGATCCACCTGCCTCGGCCTCCCAAAGTGCTGGGATTACAGGCGTGAGCCACCGCACCCGGCCTAGATTGTATCTTAAATCCAAATGACTACTGTATTATATGAAAGTAATCAGTTTTTTTTTTTTTTACAAAAATTACACTTACGGAGTTTCTTATTCCATTTATCCTCCTAGAAAGTACAGGAGATATTTTTTCCACAATATCAGATTACTCTTAATAATATTTTTAGATTCCTTCTAAAAAGGTACTTACTAGAAATGTGAATTCCCAGGCCTTCACTTCCAGAAATTCTGATTAATTAGGTCTGGGGTGGGGTCTAGGAGTCTGCATTCTAACAGGCAGCCCAGGTGATTCTCGTGTAGGACTCCTTGGGAGCACACTTTGAAGAATGCGTCTACTATGCTGTGATGGTTTTATAACTTACTAATTTCAACCAAGGATTGGTGTAGTAGCCCATTCTCACGCTGCTATGAAGAACTGCCTGAGACTGGGTAATTTATAAAGGAAAGAGGTTTAATTGACTCGCTGTTCCACATTGCTGGGGAGGCCTCAGGAAACTTACAGTCAGTGCAGGCAGGGGAAATGCCAGACGCTTATAAAACCATCAGGTCTCATGCAACTCACTCAAAATCACCAGAACAGCATGGGGGAAACCGCCCCCACCTGGTCCTGCCCTTGACACGTGGGGATTATGGGAATTACAATTCAAGGTGAGATTTGAGTGGGGACACAGAGCCTAACCATATCAGTTGGCAAACTTTCTTTTTTTTATTTTTTAAATTTTTTTATTTTAAGAGATGGGGTCTCACTGTTTGGCTCAGTCTGGAGTACAGTGGCATGATCCTGGCTCACTGCAGCCTCGAACTCCTGGGCTCAAGCAATCCTCCTGCCTTGGCCTCCCAAAGTACTGGGATTACAGGTGTGAGCCACCACACCCGACCCTCTAGAAGTGTTTTTGTTTGTTTGTTTGTTTTTTGTTTTTTGAGACAGAGTTTCGCTCTTTCACGCAGGCTGGAGTGAACTGGCGCGATCTCGGCTCACTGCAACCTCCATCCCCCCGGGTTCAAGCGATTCTCCTGCCTCAGCCTCCCGAGTAGCTGGGATTATAGGTGCCCACCACCACACCTGGCTAATTTTTATATTTTTAGTAGAGACGGGGTTTCACCATGTTGGCCGGGCTGGTCTCAAACTCCTGACCTCAGGTGATCCACTCACCTCGGCCTCCCAAAGTGCTAGGATTACAGGCGTGAGCCACCATGCCCAGCCTAGAAATGTTTTACTAATTAGTAATGTAGTCTTCTAAAGGGAACTATTACATTGTCATATTGTGTTTCCAGACAGTATTTTTTCAGTTAAAGCCAAGGGAATAACTTCAGGATCCTCTGCCTTGGGACCCCTCTCGTTCAGCTGAAAACTTCATCCCTCCCTTTGCTGTAGGATGGCACAGACACCCAGTTGCCCTCACAGTGCAGTCGGACTGCTCTCAGCATGGGAGCGGGCATGGCCTTCGCCAGTTGCCTCCATCCCGCTGAAGCAGAAGACTCAGCTGTTTACCTCACCCTGCTCGGAAACTCTAGCGTGGTAATTATAGGTGCCTTTGATTTGTAAAGAAAAATGGGAAATTAATTTATTAGTACATTATAAGTGAAGTTAATTTGGTATAAAATCACTAAAAGATGTGGAATTGGGCCAGGTATATGGTAAGGAAGTCCTCATAGGGTGAAGGTTGAAACTCTCCGCTGGAGCTTTAAGGATTTTGATATGTCTGATGAGACATCAAAGATGATCAAAGGGTGATTATTAACTACTGAGCTGTTAGTCCTGTGAACTTTATTCTAATTTATAAATTCTGTTCTTTATCTTCCCTTAAAGTAGTAATGAGCTTGTAAGGACTGAAATCTTATTTATGAAAAGACCTGCATTTTCTGAGATGTCATGGTCTTGCTTCTCAGAGGGCAGTAGTAACTTTGACAGTTTTGAGGCAAACTCACACCTACCTGGGTTTTATTGCTGATTAGTGATTTTTTTAAGCACTTTGCCTCTAGATGTTCTGAGTTACATAAATAACAGTTTATCATTTAACCAAGCACATATGATTCACATTTAATTTTTACCACTTAGTCCTGGAAGACTTTAAAATGTTATTTATATAAGCCATTGCTCAAATTGGTTTCCAGTTATCATTAAACAAGTTTAAATACAGCTGTGGACTTTTGCGAGCTTTTTATTGGATATTTCACACCCGAAGACCATCTTGTACCACCAACAGTTTAGGATTCTTAGAGATTACTCCCTAGACTGTAGACGTAAAGCACAATCACATCGACCTGACCTTATGTTCCTTAACTCCTTTCTTGCTGCAGTTTCCCGCCCCCTCCCCGCCCCAGCCAGTGAAATGTACATTTTGGTAGACTTTGAATGGATGGATCCATTGTGGTCCAATTGTATGACTGAGCCACAAATAGACAACTCATGGAAGGACGGTTCTGGTCCCAGTGGGGCTACTAATTTTCAATGTAGAGTCTGGGAAAGCTTCTTAACCTCCATTTACCTCTGATTCTCTGGGAACTGCAACAGCAGAATGATACTGATCCGGGAGAGGCTGAGCAGTGCTTACGTGGCTTATGTGGGACAGATGCCCGAACGTGCTGCCACAGGTCAGATGGGGCAGAATGAGGCAGATTTTCACATTGTATTAAGTTAGTTTTTAATGAGTTTAATCTTCAGTTTGCACTTTTCAAAAACTGTGTATACAGATCACCTGGGATCTTGTTAACCTGCTGGAGCCGATTCGGTAGGTCTTGGAATAGAGCCTGCGTTCTGCATTTCTTTCAAGCCTCCAGGTGGTATTGATGCTGCTGGGGCTTGGATCACACTTGCTAAATGGTGAGGGCTGTAGAAAAGGGCTGTATTCTCCATTCCAATGGAGAATAGCCCCCATTCCAAGTCTAAAACAGGAGGCTCTTTTTTTTTTAGATGGAGTTTCTCATCACCCAGGCTGGAGTGCAATGGAGCAATCTCGGCTCACTGCAACCTCCACCTCCTGGGTTCAAGTGATTCTCCTGCCTCAGCCTCCCAAGTAGCTGGGATTACAGGCGCCCACCACCACGCCTGGCTAATTTTCGTATTTTTTAGTAGAGACAGGGTTTTACCATGTTGGCCAGGCTGGTCATGAACTCCTGACCTCAGGCAATCTGCCTGCCTCGGCCTTCCAAAGTGCTGGGATTATAGGCATGAGCCACCGTGCCTGGCCAAGGGGGCTCTTGAAAGGCAAGAATGGGAGGAGAAAAAGCATGGTATACAATCTATAAAACAACTCCCCAAGAAACAACTCAGGTTTTCAGTACTATGGGCTGTTTTTACTTTGCTTTGATCACCAGTTTTTTTGTACCAGTTGTTTCGTTCACTCAATGGTAGTCCATCTCTTACTGTTATTCAGTTGTTTTTATATGTGTATCTTGTGTCATTTCTGTTAGATGATAAAATCCTAGCACAGGGTTATGCCTTATGTTACCTGTATATCCCTGCTCTAGTTACTACTGCTGCATAACACAGCTCTAAAACTCGTTGTAAAATAACTATTTGTTTTGTTTGCTTATCAAACAAAACTTGTTTACAAGTCCCTGTTTTTTTTTTAAGACAGAGACTTGCTCTGTTCCCCAGGCTGGAGTGCAGTGGTGCAATCACAGCTCCCTGCCCCTTTGACCTTCTGGACTCAAGCAATCCTTCTGCCTCTGCCTGCCATGTAGCTGGGACCACAGGTGCACATCACCATGCCCAGCAATTTTTTTTTTTTTTTTTGTAGAGAGAGAGTCTTCTCACATTGCTTCAGTTGGTCTTGAACTCCTGGGCTCAAGCAGTCCTTCCACTTCGGCCTCCTAAAGTGCTGGAATTACAGGCCTGAGCCACTGCCCCTGGCCTAAAATGACTATTTGTATTGTACTCACAGATTCCTGTAGGTCAGGAATTTGGACCTCACTAGTAGGGGCAACTTGCTTTTGCTTCACAATGTCCGAGGCCTTAGGTAGGAGATTCAAAGCCTGGGGGTGACTTGATGGCTGGGAGCTATAATCATAATAAAGTATCTCTACTTACATATCTAGTGGTTGAGCTTGGGTATCAGCTGGGACTCAGTTGGGATGTTAGCTAAACACCCATGGCCTCTCCGTGTGGTAGCTCTGTTGAGCTAGTTTGGGCTTCCTCACAGCATGGCAGCTGGGTTCCAAGGGCAAGTCCTAAGAGAACAAGGTAGCAGTGTGCGACATGTTTGTGCTCTGGCCTCGGAAGCATCATTTCTACTGTATTTTTTTGTTTGTTTGTTGCTTTAAAGACAGCGTCGTTCTGTCGCCTAGGTTGGAGTGCAGTGGCGCCATCGTAGCCCCCTACAACCTTGAACTCCTGAGCTGAAGCGGTCGTCCTGCCTCAGCCTCCCAAAGTGCTGGGATTACAAGCATGAGCTCCACGCCCAGCCTTTAGTGTATTCTTTTGGTTGAAGCCATCACAAAGGTTTCTCAGGGTTCAAATGAGGGGACATCAGCCCCACTGTTGGATGGGAGGAGTGTCAAGATTACACTGTAGGGTCTGGCCACAGTGGCTTATGCCTGTAATCCCAGCACTTTGGGAGGCCGAGGTAGGTAGATTGCTTGAGCCCAGGAGTTTGAGACCAGCGTGGGCAACATGGGGAAACCCTGTCTCTATAAAAAATACAAACATTAGCTAGCCATGGTGGCGCACACCTGTGGTTCCAGCAACGTGAGGAGGCTGAGGTGGGAGGATCACTTGAACCTGGGAGGCGGAAGTGGCAGTGAGCCAAAATCATACCACTGCACTCCAGCCTGGGCTACAGAGGGAGACCCTGTGTCAAAAACAAAACAAAAAACAAGGTTACATTGTAAGAATGTCATGTGAGATGGGAGATGCTGTGGCCATCTCTGGTGAATACATTCTGCAGCAGTTGGAACAACACTCAGCAGGGTGTTGACCGCATTATATAAACTCAGTGAAAGACTGTTGTGTAAATGAGTGGTAGGTAATTTAAGCACCAAGGTGGGTGAGGACCAAATACAAGAATTCAATTCCAGATGTGAACAGATTACCCCATGGTACCAAGATAAATGCAGACCTTCCACCTTTTATAGTTATTGATAGTCTCTTCTTGCTATCTCTACTCTTTCTGTTTCCAACATGGAGAATCTGTGAATTGATCACGTGGAACTGAACTTCTTCAAATCTTTGCATTTGTGTCACGATGCTGGCATGGTTTTTCCTGCTTATCTAGTGTACTGCCCCTCTCCTTCTTGGGCTGTGGCATATCCCAGCAGCTGGCTAGTATCTTACAGTGATGGGGCTGGGCGTGGTGGCCCATGCCTGTAATCCCAGCAGCACTTTGAGAGGCCAAGGTGGGCAGATCACCTGAGGTCAGGAGTTTGAGACCAGCCTGGCCAACATGGTGAAACCCTGTCTCTACTAAAAATACAAAAATTAGCCAGGTGTGGTGGTGTATGCCTGTAATCCCAGCTACTCGGGAGGCTGAGGCAGGAGAATCACTTGAACCCGGGAGGTGGAGGTTGCGGTGAGCCGAGATCTCATCACTGCACTCCAGCCTGAGTGACAGAGCAAGACACCATCTCAAACAAAAACAAAAACCAATGATCGGCTTCTCTTAGCCTCAGCAAATGCAGTGTGAACAGGCGCTGGTCCATCTGCGGACATCGAGATGGCTGGCCTGGTCACACCTACATAGGCAGCTGCTCTGTGGCTGCATGTCACACTGAGGGACTATCTGTGGCTGAACCGGAGTGTGACTCTCAGTCTTTGGCTTTATGTATCTTATGTGTATTTATCCTCATCATATCCTCATCGTGTACATATCCTCATGTATTATCCTATGATATCAGTTAATTAATACAGTGAGAAAAGCAAAAACGATCCCTCCTCCAAAGTAAGTAGAAGATGTTGAGATGTTTTACCACAATTGCTAAAGCTTTCCAGGTGACAGAACAATTTGTGAATATCTTTTACTTCATTTTACTTTAATATGTATATATGAGACAGGGTCACCCTGGCTGGAGTGCTACAATCATGGCTCACTGCAGCCTCGACTTCCCAGACTCAAGTGACCTCCTCATCTCGGCCTCCTGAGTAGCTGGGATTATAGGCGCATGAAACCATGCCCGGCTAATTTTTAAAATTTTTTTTGCAGAGACAGGGTCTCATTACGTTGCCCCGGCTGGTCTTAAACTCTTGGGTTTAAGGAGTCCTCCTGCCGCAGCCTCCCAAAATGCTGTGATTACAGTTGTGAGCCACTGTGCCTGGCTGAAATTTTACTTTTTTGTTTTTATATTTTGCGACAGAGTCTTGCTCTGTTAACCAGGCTGGAGTGCAATGGCACGATCTTGGCTCACTGCAGCCTCCGCCTCCCGGGTTCAAGCGATTCTAGTGCCTCAGCCTCCCAGGTAGCTGGGATTCCAGGTGCACACCACTATGCCTGGCTGATTTTTGTATTTTTAGTAGAGACAGGGTTTCACCATGTTGGCTTAGCTGTTTTTTGAGTTTTGGGGTAGAAATGGGGTTTCACCATGTTGCCCAGGCTGGTCACCAACTCCTGAGCTAAAGTGATACAACCACCTTGGCCTCCCAAAGTGCTAGGATTATCATTTTCATTACTAAATCAGAAATGTGGGCCGGACCTGGTGGCTCACCCCTGTAATCCCAAGATCTCTTGAGCCTGGGAGATCAAGGCTATAGTGACCTAAGATTGTGCCACTGTACTCTAGCCTGGGCAACAGAGTGAGACTCGGTCTCAAAACAAAAAGAACTAGACAGACATTTACTTTATTAGAAGGAGAAAATGTGATTACAAAAGCTTTTTGAATATAAAAAGGTAACAGTGTAGGCCTCTCCAGTATATACTCTGGCCCTCTGAAATTCCTAAAACTGAAAGTATTTTAGTGAGAGCATTTTACACAGTCATCTGAAGCACTGTTGTGGCCATTTTCTGCTGTTGACTGAACATGAAAAGAAAAGCCGTAGATAGAATTTCAGTTAACTGCTGATTCTGGTGGTTGTCATCTTTTTTTTTTTTTTTTTTTTTTAAAGAAAAGTAACCTCCGTGGCATTAGGATGGATGCTGTCTCTGATTAGGCCATGACCCCATGTAGCAATTCTGAGTGTCAGGTACCACTGCTCCAGGTATGGATGCCAGTGCTGACCACAAGGCTACAAGGCTGATGCCCGCATCCCAGGAGCTCTGTGGAGCAGGGAGCAATCAGGTGTTATTAATATTAGTGTATGCATTACTGAGATTAGAGGCCCGCTGGGAAGACACTAATCTTGTATTTTGTTCAGTACTTAGTGTTCGATGCTTATTATCCAAAAAGACCAGCATCGTCTCTGAGAAGATGTTAAGAACAAACCAGACTGGGCTCAGTGGTTCAAGCCTGTAATCCCAGCACTTTGGGAGGCTAAGGCAGGTGGATCACCTGAGGTCAGGAGTTCAAGACCAGTCTGAGCAACATGGCAAAACTCTGTTTCTACTAAAAAATACAAAAAATTAGCTGGGCATGGTGGCATGCACCTGTAATCCCAGCTACTCGGGAGGCTGAGGCAGGAGGGTCATTTGAACCCAGGAGGCGGAGGTTGCAGTGAGCCGAGATAGCGCCATTGCACTCTAGTCTGGGTGACAGAGAGAGACTCCATCTCCCCCCCGCCCCCGTCCCCCTGCAAAAAAGAAAACAAAAAAACCCAAAAAACCCTGGGGTTGGTTTAGGACAGCTCTTCCTTTCTGTCTTTCACTCTACCCTACCCCCATCCCCCAAGCCAGGAAAATATTTTTTCCTCCAAGAAGCACGTGCCATTGCCAGAGCATCTTGGGAAGGCCAAGTTGAACACCATAGACAGTGATGTGGTCATTCTTAAGCATTCTTCCTGGTCATCATCGTCCCAGAGACCATTGTCCTGCAGTGGGATGGCATGTTCACTCAGAGAGCACCATGCAATTTGTGATCCCTCAAATACGGGTCAAACTCTGCTACCCTATCTCCTTTCCCTGTCTCCCAGGACACATTTACTGAGTAGATTTTCATGCACCTGTGATATAATACCCATGGGTTTTTTATTTTTTACCATCCAGTTCTACTGATCTGATCTGAGAACTGGCTGACTCTAGGGCTTCTTGTAGTGCCTACTCTGGGGCTGCTCCTTGCTGAGGTCCACCCTCTGCAGCCAGGGGGATGTTTTGTGCACCAAATGGTGTACCAGGATGTGGCAGTAGTTCCCTGTTCTGGCACTAGGGGAAACTGGAGCAGCTCGGCCCATCTGGGCTTAGCCTTTCTGTAAGTAGCACTGAAACACCTTCTTAGGCAGATCCACACCCCCCCGCGTGTGTGGCAGACGCTGGCTGGTGGTGTGGAGCGCCGCGAGGCAGGTGATGAGAACACAGCCACGATTTAGTCACCGCAGAGAAGCAGTGTGTGGACTTGAGCTAGAAATCCGGACACCTTCCATCTTTTCCTAGTTTCACTTCTCAAGTTGAAATCTCTCACCCTTTCTGAACCATGTATTTTCCAATCTGTCAAGGGGGTCAGGAGTGTTTGTCAGAGAAGCATCTATAGCATCTGTGCCCTCTACGTGCCCTCTGGCGGAAGTTGTTTTCCTGAAACTTTGGACCAGCTTTGGCATTTTAAGCAGGTTTGTTGGCAAAGAGATGGACTGGCAGCAGCAGGGAGGGAGCAATGTGTCTGTCTCACTTGGATTCTGCCCCGAGGGCTCACAATCTGTTTTCCCTGCAGCACCAAGTACCCTAGCGCCACTCAGCAAATGCGAGTTAACGGAATCAGCCCGGCTTCTACAGGGAACCTGGGCTCCTTTGCCTCAGGAAGGCAAGTGGCTTCCCAGACAGCGTAATTTGGGAGGATGCATCGCTCTGCCACCCAGGCTGGAGTGCAATGGCGCGATCTCAGCTCACTGCAGCCTCTTCCTCCCGGGTTCAAGCGATTCTCTTGGCTCAGCCTCCCTACTAGCTGGGATTATAGGCATGCACCACTGCACCTGGCTAATTTTTGTATTTTTAGTAGAGACGGGGTTTCACCATGTTGCCCAGGCTGGTCTCAGGTGATCTGCCCGCCTCGGCCTCCCAAAGTGCTGGGATTATAGGCGTAAGCCACCGTGTCTATGGCCAAGCCTCTCTGAATTAGACAACAACTAGATAACCTACTTGGAAATTTGATTAGCATCTTCCAGATTTTCCACAATGAGGAGCGTCATCCCCAGCAGCTTGAAGGCCTAATTTTGTGTTTATTACCACAGTGACTTTGCTTTTTAAACCAGTAGGATTCTGCCAGGGAAGACTTGGAAGTGGCAGGAGACCCTGCTCTGCTGTAGGAAAGGATGTTCTCAGAGTTTCTGCCCTGTTCATAGTTTACATCCAATGCACACACACGCAGTTTCCTTATGTGACTGCGTCCTTGTTCCTCCTCATGCTGTGATTTCACCTGTGGACTGCTCTGTGTACTCCCATAGCATTAACCAGTCATGGGATGTGGGCTCCCAAAGCGAGGCCTAGCCTCGAGTGAGGAGGCAGCTCCCTTCAGAGAAGGGCAGTGTCCAGGAGGGACTTGTGGTCTGTTAGCACCAGTACACCTGGTGCCTCAGTCTTCCAGGGGGAATGCAGACAGAGCCACAGCACTCACCTCTGCAGCAGTTCTCAGACGTGCCCCCGACCCGCAGCCTCACCTCAGAAAGGCAACTCTTCCAGCCCCACTCTGGAGGGACGGAATCAGAAGCTGGGGAAAGGTCCAGCAGTCTGTGCGCACAGCCCTCTGGGGGATTCTGAGGCATGCTCAGGTTTGAGAGCCCCTGCATTATAATGATAGAAATAGTTGTAAATGGAGCCAGGCACAGTGGCTCATGCCTGTAATCCCAGCACCTTGGGAGGCCAAGGTGGGTGGATCACTTGAGGTCAGGAGTTTGAGACCAGCCTGGCCAATGTGGCAAAACTCCGTCTCTACTTAAAGTACAAAAAATAGCAACGTGTGGTGGTGCACGCCTGTAATCCCAGCTACTCAGGAGGCTGAGGCAGGAGAATCTCTTGAACCTGGGAGGTGGAGGTTGCAGTGAGCTGAGATTGCGCCACTGCACTCCAGCCTGGGTGACAGAGCCAGACTCCATCTCAATATATATATATATATATGTATGTATAAATAAATATATATGTATATTTATAAACTTTTTTTTTCAAAAACCATTTTAAAATGTTAAACATACGTGTCATAGGACCCAGCCCTTCACTCCTGGGTATTGAACTGAGAGAGGAAGGCATATGTACGCACAAAGACCTGTACGTGGATGCTCATAGCAGCTGTACTCACAATACCTTTAAACTAGAGACAACCCAGGTTCATCAGTAGGTGAATGGATAAACAGAGTGTGGTGTATCTACACAGCAGAGTACTTAAGAAGTGAGCTGTTGATAACCCAGCGTCATGGGTGAATGTCTAAGTTATGCAGAGTGAAAGAAGCCAGACCAAAAAAAAAAAAAACCCATATATATATATATATATATATATACACACACACACACACACACACACACACACACACACACACTCTATATATATATGTACTATGTATATGTGTACTATATATGTATATATACACTATATATACACACTATATACACACTATATATATATATATATATATATATATATATATATATATATATATATATATATAGTGTGTGTGTGTGTGTGTGTGTGTGTGTTTAGTTTTTGAGACAGAGTCTTGCTCTGTTGCCCAGGCTGGAGTGCAGTGGTGCAATTTCGGCTCCACTGCAACCTCCACCTCCTCCTGGGTTCTAGTGATTCTCCTGCCTCAGCCACCCAAGTAGCTGGGATTACAGGTGTGTGCCATCATGCCCGGATAATTTTGGTATTTTTAGTAGAGACCTGGGTTTCTCCACATTGGCAAGGCTGGTCTCGAACTCCTGGCCTCAAGTGATCCACCCGCCTCGGCCTCCCAAAGTGTTGGGATTACAGGCGTGATCCACCACGCTTGGCCTATATATATTTATATGCTATAAATATATAAAAGTCCATTGATAGAAAAGTCTAGAGTGCAAACCATAGTGATAAGAAAGATCAGTGGTTGCCTGGGAATGGGGTAAAGAGCAAGAAAGGGTTGGATTATTAAAAAAAATGAGGAAATTTTGAGGGGGATGATGGATGTGTTTATTATTATGATGTACTGGTGTCTCCATTGTGTACATATGTCAGAACTCATCAGGTAATGTACCTGATCAAGTTGTATAGCAGTTTATATGTCAAGAACACCTCAACAGAGCTGTAAAAAAAACACGACAGGTCTGACAGTTACCTGGGAAAGGTGGGGGAACAGGTGGTAGAAGAACACATTTTTTATGATGTTCATGGTACTTACATAACATAAATGAATAAAATAGGGCCAACATGGAAAAGAAAACAAAATGAAGGAAAATGTCAAATTGCCATCCTGAACACCAGCACCGCCTGTAATTAGCGTTCCTGGCTGCAGCCACATCTGCGGTCCTGCTCCTCATGAAGCCGTCCTCCGTGCCATGTCCCGGCCATGCCTGTCCTTAGCTTCCTGGTGCACACTGTCCTCCACCTTGTGTTCAGGCACAGGGCTGCTTGGCTCACCCTTGCTGCACCTGGCCTGTCCGTCCTCCCACCGCGGTGCCGCCCAGGCCTTCCCACTGCAGGGCTGGCTAACGGTGCATGGAAGAGACTCGAGTCCGTGTTGTGTCCTCATAGCCCACCGAGGAGGCAGCAGTGCCGGACATTTCGCGGATAGGTTGTGGTCTCTGAGTCTCCTCCTCTCAAGAGGATGAGATTTGTCTGTGTTATTGTCAAAACTCTTATTTGTCACGCCGCGGGTTATGTGTCAGTAACAAAAAGCTGAGATTTAGGCCGGTGTTTCTTACTGGTGCAGCCTTTAAATGCACACCTGCGAATGTTCAGTGCACCTTCCGCTTCCTGGCTCTATTTCAGTCAAACCTGAGGTCGTAGTGAAAGTCGGTGAGGAATTCTTTGGAACTTCCTGATTGGCTGTGTCCTTGCCTCCTTGTCTTCCCGCAGATTTGATTTGTATCCACTGTCACCAGCACTGCTCACTTAGGACTTTCTGGATCCGGACCCAGGCAGCGCACACTGGACTCTTGAGGAAGTGAGTACCCCACCACTGCCTGCCTGTTGAACCCGGGGAGGCTCTTGTCTGACTGAAATCACTGCAGGCTTCCCGACGATCCCCTGGGTGTGTGTGGGCAGGCGCACTTGCCACTGGGCACAGGTGATAAAGCATTGTGATTTTTTTTTTTGGTGAGAGGAACGGATGTATCTAAGATCTCAGGAAACTGAGAACTTCCTTTTCTGCTCTTATTAAATGTCAATATATATATAATATATATCAATATATATGTAAATGTATATATTGACATTTAATAGCAAACACTGGAATAATGAGAGGATAGTGACGTTCAGACGTTAAAAGCCAGTGGGCTTCATCGTGGAGCTCAGAATTAAGGTGAAGTTATTTAGCCACACCCAAGGTCAGGTCAGGTAAAATGCTCATTTAACTTACAGGAATGAACTTTGAAGACCATGGCCTTCAAATTGCCTGGGATTATTTCCATGGAAATGCTACTGTGTTTACATTGTCACGAAATGATAGGAAATAGTTTTTGGTTTGGGTTTTTGTTTTTGTTTTGAGACAGAGTCTGTCACCCAGGCTGGAGTATAGTGGCACGATCTCAGCTAGTTGCAACCTCCGCCTCCCAGGTTCAAGCGTGTCTCTTGCCTCAGCCTCCCGAGTAGCTGGGATTACAGGTGCTCGCCACCATGCTCAGCTAATTTTTGTATTTTTAGTAGAGACAGGGTTTCCCAATGTTGGCCAGGCTGGTCTCGAACTCCTGACCTCAGGTGATCCACCCGCCTCAGCCTCCCAAAGTACTGGGATTACAGGCATGAGCTACCTCACCTGGCCTTTCCTTTTTTTTTTTTTTTTTTAGAAGCTGGGTCTCCCTGTTGCCCAGGTTGCAGTGTGGTGGTGGTGCAATCACAGCTCACTGCAGCCTCGACCTCCCAGGCTCAAGTGATCTGCCCACCTCAGTCTCCTGAGTAGCTGGGACTACAGGCATGCACTACCACACCCAGCTAATTAAAAAAAAATAAAAAATAAAAAATAAAAAGTTTTTTTGTAGAGATGGGGTCTCACTGTGTTGCCCAGGCTGGTCTTCTGGTCTTGAACTCCTGGGCTTAAGCAATCCTCCCACCTCAGCCTCCCAAAGTGCTGGGATTACATGTATGAGCCACCATGCCCAGCCACCCCCCCCCCACCCCACTTTTTTTTTTTTTTTTTTGGACAATCACCAGAGAGCTGAATTTTACATTGATTTCACATGTTTGTGTCTTAGGTGACTTTTCCCAACTGTTAATTGATAGAAAATGATTTGTCTGTATCCTTGAAAGATTGTACTGTATTATTTAAAAAAAAACCCTCTAATCTTCCCATTTGACAAATGTGACAGAAGGCTGTGATGAATCAGTAGCATTTAAAGTACTGACACATACCTGTATTTTGCAGGAAGGAGACTCTAATTTTGGATTCCTTGGTGGAGGAAAATAAAACACTCTGGTCTTGCCGCCAACGATGCAAGTGTGACTGCTGGCGTCTTCATGAGCTCCAGAGGTCACAGCACGCTACCAAGGACTCTCATGGCCCCTCGGATGATTTCCGAGGGAGACATAGGAGGCATTGCTCAAATCACCTCCTCTCTATTCCTGGGCAGAGGCAGTGTGGCCTCCAATCGGCACCTCCTCCAGGCTCGTGGCATCACCTGCATTGTTAATGCTACCATTGAGATCCCTAATTTCAACTGGCCCCAATTTGAGTATGTTAAAGTGCCTCTGGCTGACATGCCGCATGCCCCCATTGGACTGTACTTTGACACCGTGGCTGACAAGATCCACAGTGTGAGCAGGAAGCACGGGGCCACCTTGGTGCACTGTGCTGCAGGGGTGAGCCGCTCAGCCACGCTGTGTATCGCGTACCTGATGAAATTCCACAACGTGTGCCTGCTGGAGGCGTACAACTGGGTGAAAGCCCGGCGACCTGTCATCAGGCCCAACGTAGGCTTCTGGAGGCAACTGATAGACTACGAGCGCCAGCTCTTTGGGAAGTCGACAGTTAAAATGGTACAGACACCTTATGGCATAGTTCCCGACGTCTATGAGAAGGAGTCCCGACACCTGATGCCTTACTGGGGGATTTAGTGCCACTGAAGCCTGCGTCAGCAGCCCGAGCGGGGCCGGCATCTGCTCCCCGCCGTCTGCTCCCTCTCCACTCTCTTCTCAAATGGCTGACTTCTGGTTCTCCCTCAAGTGTTTTTTACACTGGGTGTTCAAATTTATTTTAAGAGATAGGGAGGGAGGGGACATAAAGGGAATGCATACATTGCTAGTCACATTTTTAAAATTAACATTTTGGAATAGTGTTTATGGAAATCTTTAGCTTTTAATCATTTTTACCAATTTGAACAGTTTAATAAACTGGTTCTGCTCTCTTCTGAATCTCATGCCTTTGGCACCTTGGTAGGTGCAGGAGGAGCTCAGTGCAAAAATCACTTTGGGGCCTCATTAACCCTTTAGAGACAAGCTTTGCCCCAGGCTGCGGACCAGACAGATGCTTAGGGAAGGTTGATAACCAGCTTCAGTCTCTACTGGATTAGCCCTACTCTTTCCTTTCCCCTCCATTATTTAGTGACTCTGTAAGTAAGTTAAATACACCCTTATTATTTAGCTGTTAAGTAACTATAATGAAATCTGCTGCAAAATCTCTCTTGGAATCCATGTGCCCAGGATTATATTAGCATTATTTTTAATAAATCTATATGCTTAACATATTAGAATTTTTACTAATAATTTCAAGGTGTGTGTGTGTCGATGATGGGAAAAAGGTGCTCTCCAGTAACTAACTAACTAACTGCTGAAATGTGGCTCCTGTGCCAGTTGGGAACATTACTTAAAATACACATCCCAGCAGAGTCTTGTCGGCGCGTCACATCCTGGTGGACAGGCAGACACACCGTCCCCGGTGCTGGGCCGGTGGGAGATGATTGATAGTGCACGCTCTGATCAGGGGTGCTGGTTTTGGTTTCCTCTTGGTTAGTGGAGCGCCCCGAAGCAGCGTGTCCTCCATCAGAGAAACTGGTTTTCAATAAAAGGTGCCTCTGCTTGACTATTATTACCACATACGAAAATGCCCTAAACCAAACCTCAGTATGAGCGATAAGCAAGTAACAAAAACAAACAATGGCTGCCTTTGTTTAACTTTGGGACTGTCTGTCACCCAGTTCACTGCTCCTGATAAAACGGGCAGCACCGCTCATCATCATCAGATACATGGTAGAAGGTGAATGAGCTCGCCCCTGTCCCACTCCTGGGACACTCCTGGGCACTTTCCACGTGCCCCCAAGTAACCACTGTCCTAGGGCATGCCTTTCTTCTGCATGGAGGGCATCCTGGGCGTCTGCCCGTGCAATGGGAACCCGCTGCGGCACTGCTCTTTGGCTTCATTTATCAGGAAGGTTGTAGCTTGCTCACCAGAGGAATAGTTTTCTAGATTTTTTGGGTCAGTTTTGGCAGGAAGCCATACATAGGCCAGTAGCTACATATTTAGACAAATATACTCCACATTTTACCTGGTTTGTGGCAATGGTTTTTTCCCATCTAAATTCTACCTTTTATTGCTTTATACCCGTGGCTGCCCACTGTTATAAACATGCATCATTATTCTCTAGAAAAACTAAAATGAAAAAAATTATTAATAGTTTCTATGGGAAATCAGAGGAAACAACAAATGCTATAAGATCAAAAAAAAAAAAAAAAAAAAAAAATCCAGGGAGGCTCTGGCTGCTTTAGTAGGAGGCTCAGCTTTGAGTCTGGGAGTTTCTGAATAAGAGCACCCAAATAACCATTGTCCTAGGGCGAGAAGACACCTGGTGACAGATGTTCTTGGTAATTAATGAAAATTACCTGTAGAATTCCTGGCAAGCAGCACTACGGGGCTGTAACTAAGAGTTCCTCGCACGTGGGAAGCTGAACACCTTTGTAATCTTAAGCGCATGGGCCCCTGTTCATCCTAGTGACTTGCATCTATGTGAAATCAACCCAACAAAGACAAGACCAAGAAAAGGCTTAGTAGCCTGACATTCTTCTACACTTGTATTTTGGTTAGAGAAGTTTAACAAGGGGTGATTTCAGAACAGACCCTGAAAATATTTTAAAGGTAAAGCTTTATAATGTCTAAACACATCAATTAGAGCAGTTGTTTATTAAAATACAAACAAGGGAGAAACCACACCATCTTTTAAAATACAGGCGCGAATTCCACATCACGCAGAAGACAACGCATTTCGCTAAGGGCCACAGCATTCACTGGTTAATAAAGCCACAGCTACAAAGTAATGAGATGTCCCACATGAATACTTTTTAACCACTTACATTCACGTCAACATATAAATAATGGAATTAAGTAAAAACTTCATTATAATGCTATTTTGTTAGAAAAGTATTTGTAAAGTGGCATTTTTCCCCCAAGAGCTGTTTCACTTAAGCTTTATTTCCTCGGCCTGGCAAGGGGAGGGCTTTTCAGTATTGTTATTTGGTACACACTTACCTGAAGAAATAAGTAAGTAACTTAAACATAAAAAACATAGTCGACACACATCTTGCCCTGCATTCTGACATTTGCTGGAATGGTCTACAGCAGGCTACAATGCTCCCTTCTGAATGGCAAATGTCTGAAAATGTCAGTTTATTAACTGTTCACAAAGGCAGGCATTTGACCTTGAAGGTGTTAAAGGGAATTTTTTATTTTTGAGACAGAGTTTCGCTCTTGTTGCCCAGGCTGGAGTGCAGTGGCGCGATCTCGGCTCACTGCAACCTCCGCCTCTCTGGTTCAAGCAATTCTCCTGCCTCAGCCTCCCGAGTAGCTCGGATTACAGGCACCTGCCACCATGCCCAGCTAATTTTTGTATTTTTAGTAGAGACAGGGTCTCGCCATGTTGGCCAGGCTGGTCTTGAACTCCTGACCTCGGGTGATCCACCCGGCTCGGCCTCCCAAAGTGCTGGGGATTACAGGCGTGAGCCACCACGCCCGGCTAAAGGGAATTTTTGTAGTGGTCCCCAGTACAGGGCCAGCATTTCCTATTTCTGTAACATACAGCCCTATAATCTTTGCAAAGCTGAAGTACACTTGAAATAGGCAAACAGAAGACACCTTTAAACAAATAAGACCCCCCCAAAACCCTTCAAATATGTATATGTACACAAAATATTCAAATAATTAAAAATTCACAACCCCTATGGAATGCTAACTAGTAGCCACAGGAAAAATAAAGCATGGAAAATATCCTCATATATCCAGTACCTCTTCTATCTCAAGCATGTCCAGACAAAAATTAAATTACACACTAAGCCATAAAAATTTTAAAGGCAAAACATCCCACCAAAAAAAGAAAAGTGCTTATTAATGGCCATTCAAGCAGTGGGGTGAAGCGGGCTGACACAATGCACAGTATGGAAATAAGTAACCTTGGCTACAGTTTCCAAGGACACGGGGCTCCTGGCTGACAAGAAGAGCTGAGGTGAAGCTGAATGCAGCGTTGAGCCATTTTAATAAACGTTTATAAAGAAAAGCAGCGCAACCGTGTCCCACACTCCTTGGATCCCTATTGGTGGCATCTAATTAAACATTTCAAGTATTCAAGAGATATGAAAGGTAGTGAATACTTTTCATAGCAAAGGCTTTTTTTCTGTTGACATCTGCTGAATTTTCCTGTGGCACCTCCCAAGGAGTGACTAAGCCTACCATCCTTGGTAAGGAAAATGGGGATTATACTAAGGAATTTTATCTGAGGCATTCTGGAATTTCTCAGGAATAGAAACCAGCCCAGCTACCAAGTGAGCTTTTTAAAATGTTGATACTGGGCCACTGTGACATGACAGGCATCTATATAGCATTTCAAAAAAATGCTTCAGCAATACAAATTCAAACTGGGAAACTTTTTTTTTTTTTTTTTTAAGAGACAGTGTCTCGCTCTGTCATCACCTACGCTGTCACGTGCAGCCTCAAACTCCTGGACTTGTGATCTCCCGCCTCAGCTTACCTAGTAGCTGGGACCACGAATGTCCACAGATGCACTCCACCTACCCGGCTAATTATTTTTTGTATAATTAGCTGGGGTCTTTACCATCATGCCCAGGGCTGGTCTCTAACTCCTGGGAAACATTCTTATTGCAAAGGTAGATTCTGCTGTCATGGTTCTGTTATGAAATTTAGGCCAGGCGCAGTGGCTCACGCCTGTAATCCCGGTACTTTGGGAGGCTGAGGCGGGCGGATCGCCTGAGGTCCGGAGTTCAAGCCTGGCCAACATGGAGAAACCTTGCCTCTACTAAAAATACAAAATTAGCTGGGCGTGGTGGTGCACGCCTGTAATCCCAGCTACTCACGAGGCTGAGGCAGGAGAATCGCTTGAACCCGGGAGGCGGAGGTTGCACTGAGCTGAGATTGTGCCATTGCACTCAAGCCTGGGCAACAAGAGTGAAACTCCATCTCAAAAAAAAACAAAGAATTTTTAAGGCCAATTAGCAGCCTGCTTGCATTCCAGCTCCATGTGGAAGTGGTGCTGTCCAGGATGGAAGCGCCGAGGCCTCAGGAAAAGCCTGCCAAAAGCTGTCCCACTTGTGTTGTTAGAAACACCCCACTAGCCTTGTGGTGGGCAAAAGCTCCAAAGGTGCCCATTCAGAGTGAGCTGCCTCAGTCAGGAATGGCCAGAGACGGTATCATCGGGAGCGAGTGAGAAAAGCCTTTCTCTCCTCGGTGCCTCTCTGTGCATTCGGGCACGCAGAAGGTCAAGCAGAAGCCTCAGCAACAGCTGTTTAATGAAAATGTTCCACACCTTTCTTGGAGAACATGGAAAAGCTGTAAGATGGAGCAAGACAGAATTTGTCCTGAGAGGGGAAAATAAATTATGTAAAAGCAGCAATTATATAGACAAGACCAACTTTTTCAGTTTAAAAATAAAAGTCTAGGTCAGAGGGTCTAAACCACACAAAGTAAAGCACACGAGATTGAAAAATCTCTTCATAAAGCGCATAATCAACAATTCAGAGAGACGTGTGCCCTAGATTGGTAGTTCTTCCCAGGAATAACACAGCTCTTAGCCACTTGGGTTTTTCCCCTAATTTTATGCATTCACATTAAATGGCAAAGACAATTCCCTACTCCAGGAAGCATGAGCCTTTTCTATCTAAAATTCAGTACTGTTTCTGGACAATTTTCTTCTACTTCTTCTAAGTCATGTATCTATCCCATAAATATACATCTTGATACTTTACACTAGGCCGAGAGCTCCACATTTTCACCCTGAATTAATTTTCAGGTTTTTCTCACAGATACTGCAAAGTCAGGCAGTGTTGGTCCCTATGCAGTCATCTTTGGAAATTTGGAGAGAGGCCACTGCAAAGAGATTTCATTCCACTGCCTTTCCAAATCTTGTCTGAGAAAACTCCATGGTCACAGTCTTTGCATGCGGCAGAACAGGTTTGCAGCGAAGGCTCCCGGGGGGAAGGATATTATCCTAATACACAGGATTTGGGCCTCTGTCAAAATGAGCATTCTTCACGGCTGCAGAGTGCCCAGGCATGTTTTGGGAAAAAGTCTTGAGAGTGGACAGAAGTGAAGGGAAGGAGTAGAGAACTGGTTCAGTTGTGACAACCAAGTGGGTAAAATCTGCCCTCACCTGCCTGCTACTGTCCAGGGGAGATGGGCAGAATCTTCTCCATAAAAAGCAGAACATCAGTTTAATCGCAATTTCCTCTTTTTATTCATTTCAGACATTAACAAACTAAATGCAGATAAATGTATTCTACTTCACAGGACAGTAAGTGTCCTAGATAAAAACAAGCACTGGCTCCAAGCAGTCGCCCATTCTAGTCCCGCAACGGTAATCTATTTTTCTTCAAATGTCAGTTCTTCACAGTTTCAATACTGCAGCAGCAAGTTCTTCCTTAGATCAAGAAAGCCGTGGTCCGTATTTCAGAAAATCTTAAGTAGAGATAAGTGAGCAAGCTTCTGGTGCCACGTGCAGTTTGGGTGGGACAATTTTACCTGAAGTCCTGCAGACTGGCCGTGGGGATGACGGGGGCCCCGTCCCTTGCGGTGTTCTTCATATCGATTCAGGGAAGCGAACTGTGCAGTGCTCGCATTCTATTTATTGGTCCCTGTCACCCCGTGGGGTGTCACAGAAAAAAAAAAGTCAATGCTTCACAGAGGAGTTGTTCAGAGCAGGTCAGGCAGGACGAGGCCAGGAGGCTTTGGTTCGACACAGTTGATCCAGAAGTTGGCACAGCTGGCGTGATACTGGTGCCCTCCATAGGCCAGCTTGAAACTGTCTGTTTCTGAGTTGAATGCCTGCCAGAAATAAACAGAGATGTGGGGCAAGTCAGGCTTTTTCTGCATCTCAGAGCTTTTCAGCAACCAACATGTACATCTATCTCTCCAGGTCACAGAGGCTGAGGCCAAAATGGCACACACATAAAAGCTGAGCGGATAGCTACAGGAATTCAAGAGAGAAGGTTTTTTACTGCTAATTAAAGGTATAAAATTGTTACCACTAAACCTAGTTTCAGCAAAAGGTGGCCAAATCTTCCATGGAAAAGGCAGACAGAGGTTATGGGGTGGAGGGGGGGAATCATGATAAGGGGAACTGAAGTAGCCAAGGGCTGTGGATAGCTTTCATCCCTCACTGTGCTGAAGGAAGCCCTCCTCCTAAGGCCGGCATCTGACTACAGCATGCAATCCTTTACACTCCTGTAGCTGACCACAAGCCTATCATGACAAAAAATTACAAGAGAGTTAGAGAACGAGAGAGTTAGAAAACGAGAGAGTTAGAGAACGACAGATAACAACTCTTAGGGTCTAATGGCATTGACCCTAATGCCTAATGAATCTACATTATCAAAAAGTCCAAACAGGTATGGAGTTAAAAAAAAATGCCTCGAAATGAATGGGCATTAAACACATAAGAATTATTTCCAGATGAACAGGCTTATCAGTAAGCTACAGTCAGCCATGGAAAAGTAGAGTCCAAACCTCAACCACTTCCTGGGGTTAGTTTTCTAATATGCACTGCAAATAAACAAAACTCTAAAACCCAATTTGCTGCTTGTCTGTTAAAATGGCTAAATGGCTACATCCTGAAGCTCTTTGATCTCCATCTGTGTGTCACTACAACTTCCAGGCTTCCAGAAGTTGCTCATTCTGTCACCCCATTCATCACAGAGAAAAATAACTGCAACACCAGAAGCCAATTATGTGAAACAAGCATGCAAATAAGACAGAAGTGGACCCACACAGACACATTAGGAGACTCCATCAAACATTATGGGAACAAAACTGACTCAGTGAAGGATTCATGATTGGAACAGTTCAGGATGGCAATGGATAGAATCATCCAATTTGCCCTCCACACTCAAAATTAAAATGGAGACGCTAAGATAAGGTGTAACTGGTTCATACTTTTTTAGGATGTTCTTCTGCAGGCTTCTCTTCTTTCTGAAATAACGTTGAAACCACAGGTCAACAACATTCCCAGAACAGGGCCTCTTGCCTCCAAACACATCTTTACAGGTTCACCCTTTTCCCCTGACCTCCCCACTATGCACAGGGTGCTGCAGGCATGAGAGCCGCGTCCATTCCCTCCACAGCTCCCCCGCTGCCCTCTCGAGGGAATGTGTCTGCTCCTACCATCAGCTTTTAGGACTTGAGAAAATCCCCACCTCTGGTCACAAACTCTGCAGTAAAGTGGGCCAGATGAGGTTGTCCAGAGTCATGTTAGGGAAGCCCTTTGCTGTCTGCAAGGAGGCTGCGTGACTTACCCGGCTCCTCGAGTCCACATTCAAGAGGCACACTCCACAGGCAAGCTCCTGAGCATTTTTAATCCCAGGCCGTAACATACAGGAGGAAAAATCCAGCGAGTTTTCATCTGGCTGTGAGGACGACAAGACAAATGGGTAAGAAGTCCACAAGTCCACACGCTGTTCACTTCACTCCCTCATCACTCACCCCCAGCAGGCCTAGCGGCAAGTACAGTACTCTAACACCACCACTACAAGAATTAACCTCCCACACATCCACTGGGAACCTGCCACGGTTCCAGGTGCTAGGAAGGCCGGCACCAGTACAACACGCCCTCTGACCTCTGAGAACTCAGTCTCAGGTGGGCGCCAGGGGAGCCCGTGCAGTGCCATGAGTGCTGGGTGTGCTTACTTGGGGGAAGTCCTGAGTGCCAGGGCACAAGGGAGCGGCACTTAGCCCAACTCGAGGAGGATGGGGCCTGAAGCCAGAGACTGCGTCCTAGAACTTTTTCTTTTCTTTTTTTTTTTTTTTTGGAGACAGAGTCTCACTCTGTCGCCCAGGCTGGAGTGCAATGGTGTGATCTCAGCTCACGGCAACCTCTGCCTCCCGGGTTCAAGCGATTCTCCTGCCTCAGCCTTCTGAGTAGCTGGGATTACAGGCGCGCCACCACGTCTGGTTAATTTTGTATTTTTAGTAGAGACAGGGCTTCACCATGTTGGTCAGGCTGGTCTTGAACTCCTGATTGCAGGTGATCCACCCGCCTCAGCCTCCCAAAGTGGTGGGATTACAGGCATAAGCCACCGTGCCTGGCCTGCTTCCTAGATTCTAAAATCACCTTGGCTGAGTGTAGATGGGAGCTGCTAGGTGAGGGGGACAGGAGGGTTGGGTGAGGTAGGGGAGGGAAGGATATTCTATGCAGAACAAGCAGCACAGGCAAAGGCTCTGAGCTAAAGATGGGGTATGGGAAGGAATCTAGAGGGTGGGGGCAGGGCCCAGGGAAAGAGGAGATGAAGCCGCAGCACGAGGACTCCAAGGAAGATAAGGAGCATCCTGGAAGCCACTAAGGCTTCCAACTGGATCACGACAGGCCCAGGTTCGTATTACTGACAGATCCCTCTCGCTACAGTATAGGCAATGAATTGGGGGTGGCAATCCTCAGGGCACAGGCCTCAGCCAGAAGTCTGCTGTAGCAGTCCTGGAGACAGATACCGATGGTCAGAATGAAGGCAGCGGCGGTGGGGAATGGAGAGAAATGGGCACGTGAAAGAGCTGACGAGGCAGGAGAATGAGCAGGCCTGGGTGACCTGCTGGATGGGAGAGGTTGGGGGACCCGGGCAGCTGAGAGGATTCACCATAATAAGACACGTGAGAGAAGGACCAGGTTTGAGGATGGAAGCTGAGGAGAAGAGTTCAGTTTGGTCCAAGCTGAGCTGGAGCTGCCTGTGGGACAGCGAAGGCCACATGCTATATAAGCAGGTGGTTGGATACACATACAGGCCTCCTGCTTGTGGAGAGATCTGAAGGTCACCAGCTAAAGACCATAAATAGAACAACAGCTAATACGCCCTTACTTTCAAGCACTATACTAAGCTCTTTATATGCATTATCTAATTCACTACACACACACACACACACACACAATGGTTAAAAGGGTAGGTCTCAATCTTGGAAAGCCGTCCAGTCACTCTGTTGCTCAGGCTGGAGTACAGTGGCGTGATCACAGCTCACTGCAGCCTTGAATTCCTGGGCTCAAGAGATCCTCAGCCTCTCAAATAGCTGGGGCCACATGTGCATGCCACCACGCCCAGCTAATTTTTTGATTTTTTTGTAAAGATGATTATCTCCCTATGTTGCCCAGGCTGATCCTGAACTCCTGGGCTCAAGTGGTCCTCCCAAAGTGGTGGGTTTACAGGCATGAGCCACTGTGCCCGGCCCCGCAGCACACTTTTATTTTTATTTATTTATTTTGAGACAGGGTCTCACTCTGTTGCCCAGGCTGGAGTGTGGTGGTGTCATCTTGGCTCACTGCAGCCTCCGCCTCCTGGGCTCAAGCAATCCTCCCGCCTCAGCCTCCTGAGTAGCTGGGACTACAGGTGTGCACCACCATGCCCAGCTAACACTTTTTTTTTTTTTTTTTTTTTGAGGTGGAGTCTTGCTCTGTAGCCCAGGCTGGAGTGCAGTGGCGCAATCTCGGCTCACTGCAAGCTCCACCTCCTGGGTTCAAGGGATGCTTCTGCCTCAGCCTCCCAAGTAGCTGGGACTATAGGCGTGCACCACCACACCTGGCTAATTTTTGTATTTTGAGTAGAGACGGGGTTTCACCATATTGGCCAGGCTGGTCTTGAACTCCTGACCTCGTGATCTGTCCACCTTGGCCTCCCAAAGTGCTGGGATTACAGGTGTGAGCCACCGTGCCTGGCCACACACTTTTAAGTTTAATCTGCACTAATAACATTTTCTCCATCACTTTTTAGCACTGAGGACATCCCTCAGTCCTGACCAAACAGGGACAGTTGGTTGCCCTGTGATAGACATAAATAACCCTGAAAGCTAGACAAGAGTAAAATTTAAGAACTAGAATGTTTTAAGTATTACCACTATTTTTAATATAATATATGTAACTGCAAGTTTATATCATTTGTGTTTTGTCTTGCTTTTGAGATAGAATCTCACTCTGTCACCCAGGGTGGAGTGCAGGGGCGTGTGTGATCATGGCTCACTGCAGCCTCAAACTCTTGGGATCAAGCAATCCTTTTGCCTCAGCCTCCTGAGTAGCTGGGACTACAGGTGTGTGCCACTACACCTGGCTACTTTTTATTTTTAGTAGAGATGAGGTCTCGCTATGTTGCCCAGGCTGGTCTAGAACTTCTGGCCTCAAGCAATCCTCCCACCTCAGCTTTCCAAAGTGTTGGAATTAGAGGCATGAGCCACTGCACCCAGTCTTCATTTAATTTTTAGTAATAACGGTGTTTAACAACTGGCTCATAAAATTCCTGAACATTTAACAATCCACTCTTGCAAGCCAGTAAGAACTGGATTTAACACACTAGTGCGACAGAATGGAATCTCAGGTGGGAGCCTAGAAGTTGAGGAGTTCCTCTCAGAGGGCTCATCCTCACTCTAATGCAGGAGGTGAGATCATCAGCTGTGTCTGAAATAGCAGTAGCCTTGTGAGCTCCAAGCAGCAAACTCTGGAGGTGTGATTGTCTCCACCAGCACACAGTGGGTCAAGGTGGGGGGAGAAGGTGGATGGCTGCACTGATTCCAGTTGGGTTTGGTCTAATGAGTATGACTGAAGGGAGTGAGGAGGGATGCCCCATGCACTGTGGAGAGTAAGGAGGTGAGAAAAGAAGTGAAGACAGAAGAGGGCTGACAGGAACACAGTAAAAGAGACAACATCCTGTCTTGAGAACCAAAAACAAGAGCAGTGCCAGTGAAGAGTGAGACAACGGGAGGGTCGCCAATCTGGACTCAGGAAGTTCGATGTCGGGGCTCGAGACTGCACAGGCGCTGCACAATGTTTGCTAACACAGCCCATCGTGGTGATGCCAGTGGGTGGCTGAAGTGCAGGGGAAGCGAGGGCTCTGTGGGCCAGGCAGTCAAGCATCTGGGAGCCTGGCATGGCAGTTGGTTTGTCTTCATGGATACTGAGGTGACCCAGGATGATGGCAAATTCCTGCCAAATTAACAGCTACATTTCCCATAGTTCTTCCAGTCTGAACCACTGAGGAGTTTCCACGTCGTTTTTGAGCAACAAAGCAAAATTATATGATCTGTATTTTTCCTCACCAGGAAAAAAAAAGATTTCTCCTTATAAAAATGTGTAGATTATGTATGATGTTCCCTGTTCCTTTCTAATTTGAAATAATAAACCATGAACTAGCTCCACAAATCTTTCTTAAACACATTTGAGCTAGATCCACTGAGATCACAGCAGGGGAAGGAAGAACACACGGTTTTCAGAGAAGAAAAGGTGAGGTGTATGTTTCAACTGTGTGCAAAAGGACTCTGGTGTAGGTGATCAAAGTAAACTTACATGGCCTTAGCCAAGTCATAGGATATTTTTTCTTTTCTCTCTTTTCTTTTGTAGTGCAACTGTGGTCACTCTGGTCAAATGTGGAAGACGCTGGTGCTAACGCTTGTTCTGCAGTCAGTCATCTGTAAAATGGTAACTATTTCACTTGCCCTACACCTCTCTCCCATTTCTATATATCTCAGATGGACATAAAACATGCTCTGGAAGTGAAAAGTAGTCTATATGATGATCACAATTATTCACTTTGACGAACTCTTAGCAAGCTTTTAAAAGAGGTTAAAACATAGTATCATCTCTGTAATCCACATTACAGATAGTCATCATGTTACTGAATCAGGGCTATTTGAGAAATAATTAGAATCTGGGAAAACTCTGAATCCTGAAATCAATCAAATTAATAGAAGCCCCTTAATATCTGTTTACCAAAGGCATAAGGAAAGCAAATGAAAAGATCATACTGTAATCGCCAATGAAAACCATAAGGCTCTGCATAAATGACCCTGTGATCAAATTACTCTTTCAGCTGACAAAATTAACCTTCTTAAGTACACATGTATAAACAGGGTGTTTATTGTAGTGTAATATTAACAGTTTGGCACCAATCATATAAGATAACAGTTTGGCTGTCATCATATAAGAAGGTATGCCCTCTACAAGTCACCTTAAATTGATCATCTCCTTATTTGGCAAGTATTTCATGCATTTAGTTAAGATTTAAAAAAATATATACATATTATATATGGCCTACTGACACTGATAAGTCCCAATGTCAGACTGAGATATATAATCCTGAATCTTTAGCCTACAATAAACTGCTACAATGGTGTCCAGGAAGATCCTTATTAAGGAAGAAGAGTTTGGTAGTAATTAGTGTTCTTCACCAATAATCTTTCTCCTTTTTATGGAATGGTAGGATGGGCCTTCCCTGCCCCTTTTTCAATCAGGCATTGGCCTGTAACTTGCCACAGTCAATAACTAAGCAAAAGTCACACGTAAGCCGGGAGTATGGTGGCTCACACCTGTAACCCCAGCACTTTGGGAGGCCGAGGTGGGTGGATCACCTGAGGTCAGGAGTTCAAGACCAGCCTGGCCAACATGGCAAAGCCCCGTCTCTACTAAAAATACAAAAAAATGCCGGGAGCGGTGGCTCACACCTGTAATCTCAGCACTTTGGGAGGCCAAGGCGGGCGGATCACGAGGTCAGGCTTTGGAGACCAGCCTGGCCAACATGGTGAAACCCCGTCTCTACTAAAAATACAAAAATTAGCCAGGTGTGGTGGCGCTTGCCTGTAATCCCAGCTATTCAGGAGGCTGAGGCAGGAGAATTGCTTGAACCCAGGAGGTGGAGGTTGAAGTGAGCCAAGATCGCGCCATTGCACTCCAGCCTGGGCAACAGAGCGAGACTCCGTCTCAAAAACAAAACAAAACAATTGGCCGGACGTGGTGGCGGGTGCCTGTAATCCCAGCTATTTGGGAAGCTGAGGTAGGAGAATAGCTTGAACCCAAGAGATGGAGGCTGCAGTGAGCTGAGATTGCACCACTGCACTCCAGCCTGGGCAACAGAGGAAGATGCCATCTCAAAAAAAAAAAAAGAGTGTCACCTCTGGGAAGAAGCCTTTAAGACCAATGTGCTATTTCTCATGTTTCCTTGACACTCCCACGGTGACCAGCTATGTTCCACATGGTGGAGGCTCTGTCAACCTGGGTCCCTGGGTAAGGACATGGCACAGAGCCCCCCACCAACTTGAGATGGACACATAGCCTGAGCAAGAAATAAAGCTTTGCTTTTGCTAAGATAGAAGAAACTATTTGTTACTGAAGCATAACCTAGTCTAATTTGACTGATACAAAGGGTGATCTAGACACAGGTTCCATAGGCAATTATAAAGTTTTGGTATTTGCTTGGTTACAATGTCTTGTATAATCTTTCCTATTGCTGCTGTAACAAAGCACAAACTTAATGGCTTAAAACAACATAAATGTATCCTCTTACAGTTGTGGATTTCAGAAGTCTAAAATGGGTGAGAAGGACTGCATTCCTTCTAGGAGTTCTAGGGGAAAATCTGTTTCCTTGCCTTTTCTAGCTTCTAGGGACGACCTCTACATTCCCTGACTTGTGGTCCCATCTTCAAAGCCAGCAGGTAGCATCTGCCACTCTCTTCTTCTCTCTGCTTCTGTTGTCACATCACTTTTTCTCACTCTTCCCCTCCTACCTTCCCCTTCTAAGGATCCATGTGATGACATTGGGGTCACCTGGATAATCCAGGATACCTTCCCCAAAGAAAGGCCTTTAACTTAATCCCATTTGCAAAGGTAACATATTGACAAGTTCCCAGGACATGGGTAGCTTTGAGGGGGCCATCATTCTGTCTACCACAGCTGCCTTCTGTCAACTGAGGACAGCCATGCAGAGACATAGTAAAGATCCTGTCTCTAAAACATTGTGCAGACTGGCAAGATGACAAAAATGCTATCACCATTGAAAATAAACTGTTCTCCTGATATGTCACAGCAATAGGAAATAAGGACTCTGAAATTCACTGGTCAATTTCACATTGAAAGGAAGTAGTAAAGAATTCATATTTCACTGAGGTGAACAGTGGAATCAGAGAGCCTGTATGATTGCCAGTTGACTAAAATTCAGGCGAATAACAACCTTTTCTCTTCTCTTAGATTTTATATGGCAAAAATCGATTAATTTTCCAGGACAGAATTCTCTGTTTGTTCCAAACCTACTGAACTTCAACCCACTTCACAAGATAAAACCTTAGATGACAAGTCACTTGGGAGCCAATCTCAGAGTGCATCACATCTCACTAAACCAGGTGAGTTTCACCTCTTGAGAAAGAAGCAGGCCTTCAGTCTGTGCCTGGAGGAGACATGCTTCTACCACAAGAGGGAGTCTTAGTCCATGGATAAAGAGTATCAAAGAGAAAGAGAGCATAAAGCTTTGCCAGTACAGTCAGCCCTCGGTATCCATGGGTTCCACATCTGTGGGTTCAACCAACCTCAGATCAAAAATATTCGGAGGAAAAAATAGAAAAAAACAAAAATGATACAAATAAAAAAATCCAATACATATAATAACTATTTACGCAGCATTTACATTGTATTAGGTGTTATAAGTAATCTAGAGATTCTTTAAAATACACAGGAGGATGTGCATAGGTTATATGCAAATCCTATGCCATTTCTTATCAGGAACTCGAACGTCTGCAGATTTTTATATCCAGAAATGGGGGATGTCCTGGAACCAATTCCCCCCCCATGGACAGGGGAATGACTGTGTCATTTCCAGCTTAAATAAACATCAAGGAGCCACAATTTGGAGTTTAAGACGGTGTACCCTGCCTTCCTTAGCCCAAGCATGACTACTGTGATGCCGCACTACATTCTGTGACTTTCACTGGAGAAAGTGATGCAGCTGTCTTCCGATAGGAACAGCCTCACAGAGTCTTCATGGGAAGAAATAAGTCATTTTCAGTAACTTAAAAGCTGGAAGTAACATAGAGTAGGAAGAAGAATGGACTCTGAAATGATACAGATTCAAATCACAGACTTGTCAGTTTCAGTCAAGTTTCATCTTCTCAAAGCCCTAATTTCTTCACCTGTAAAACTGAAAATTATACATCTAGAATATAATCTAGCTTCTAGAGATGGCCTCTGCACTTCTTGGCTCGTGGTCCTATCTCAAAGCCAGCAGGTAGCATCTGCCACTCTCTTCTTCTGTCTACTTCTGTTGTCACATCACTTTCTCCCACTCTTCCCCTCCTACCTTCCCCTTATAAGGACTCATCATGTGATTACATGGGGTTACCAGGATTAAATTAGAATGAATGTAAAGCATATAGCACAAGGATCGGCAGGCCCTAGGTGCAAAATATTAATAAATGGTAACCAGTAGTAGTAGTAATAATAGTAATAGTAATAGTAGTAGTATGGAATCAAAGGGCCTCACTGTGGCAATATAGTTCATTTAGGAAGTCATTTACCTGAAATGAAGCAATAGTGTTAAGCATTAAAAGCTTCCCATAAAACCTCAATCATGCCTCTTTCTAATAATGATTTCTCCACTTTGAGCGTCTAATCCAGAGTCCTGGAAGTTTGTATAGTTTTGTTACAAATGATTTGAACTACATAGATGTTGGTTTATGTCATTTACATTTATGCAGCTATTCTTATCAGTTCTGCTAGAGTAAAGGCTTCTTCATGACAAGTAACACCTTACACTATTTCTGTGGAATGTGTGCTATTCCTCATGTAGTGGGCAACTCAAGTTTCACAGACAGAGGACACACCTAGCAGTTATCAAGGGTACAATGACATGGTATAATCTGGGCAAAGAATGATTGTTGTTCTGTCATGGCTAACCTAGTGAAAAAAGCAATTATAACGGAAAGCACATGGGTAATTAGAGAAATGAATACTCTGGTGTTCAGGTTCAATTTACAATACATTCCTGTGTTGTCAAGTTGGAAGATTAATTCATCTCTATAACCTTACCTGGTGTCTTGAAAAACAAAAGTTAGGTAAAACCACTCTTTAGCATCTAGACACTGATGCTAGAAAAGGATGCTTGGAATGGGAGTCTGAGGGAAGGGCATAAATGCCCAGCCCTTTTCTCCATTTACCTCATATTTGTTTACACTAAAGGAGTAAGCGCCACCGTATGTGAACAGGGCAACGCTCCAGGTTAGATGGGCCCCAAACCCAATAGGCTTTCTTCAAAATAACAAAATCAAATTCCAAGGTCTCTTTAAAAAGGTCTGGATAAAACTGATCCTTGGTATAAAAAAACAATCACACCAGGGATTATATCTGAGTAGGGTGATGATTGGGAAGGTGCATAAGAAAACTTCTGGAATGATGGAGTAGTCTATATCTTGATAGAGGCATGGGTTATATGAGGGTATGCATTTTTCAAAACTCATTGAGTGGTACAACCAAGATTTTCGCATTTTATTGTACATGTATATATATTTTACAAAAAAAAAAAAAAAAAGAAAAGAAAAGGTGTGGAGGGGTGTTCAGAGTCTAGAAGGTGCAGCTGTAGCAAGCTTGTAGCCACAGGAGCTTGGGAAAAGGTACAAAAATGAAACTGGCTTGCACTTCACCTGGTGAGAGGAGCTACCTCAAGAAGTAAACGCACAGCAGCAACCCAGGAATCTCCCCACTTATCCTTTCCCCCAAATTCACAAGCTTGGCAAGTACGCCTGGTCTCTGTGATACCTTTTCTTCTAAGAGCTCATGGTAAGGAGAGAGATGCTTTGTAATCACAGTCATCTTTTCCCAGCAGCACTAGGAGAGAAGAGATGGGTGGCTGATTTGGGGGTTGTATAGAAATCTAGTTTTCAAGTGTTAACTGCAGTAAGAACCGATTGCCACCCAAACAAAGAACCTTAAAATCTAAATGTAAAGAAGGAGGCTTTTAAGTTACTCTACAGTCCTGGTATATATATGTACAAGAGCAATGTGCAGAAAAGAACTCGACTGTTTATAACAAGTTGCTGCCAGAAAAGACTCCTGGTGTTTGAACTCATTAACCTTGATGCCAAAATCGACCCACTCCCCCCGACAAAAACTTTAGTACCTGTCTGGTTTTACCCACCCAACCTGTCCCTCTGAAGGAGGCCACAAGGAATAGAGGTTGAGAAAGTTGACTTCTGACTTTCAGAATAAACCCAGGCCTCACCAGTATCTCTGTGCTTCAGTTTCTTCATCTGTAAACGGGGAGAACAGAAGTATCTACTCCTATGATGATATTCAGGCTTAATCTGCTCCATATTAGGACAAGGTCAGGAAGCAGCAGGTGGGTGAATTAGGAAAGACACAGACACATACTGATCTCCAGGTTCACAAATGGTGACACATCCTTCTCTACCCCACAGCTTCACAGGCACCCTCGGCACATATCACTAGCGAATCAATTTCATTAGTAGCTGGAGCTCAGGAAGTAAATGCAGAGTTTAATGCATTTCTCTGATCCAGAGGATAATGAACTGAATTCCAGAAGCTCAAAGAAAATTGGAGGACTGCAGTAAACACGTGCTTTTTCTCCCAAGTTCCTTGGATTAGTCATCATAACAGTTAACCAATCCATTAAGGACAGAACTGGAAGACTCTCATTCAGACCCCAAGAATTCTGCCTCTCTGAATGTAAATAGAGAAATAGAGGATAAGTAGTAAACTACCCCCATTCCTTCTCCCCAGCTTCTGTTCGCAATATTCTGATTCAGCTGCCTTTTAGGGGCAGTGATGTGTGGTACTATAGTCCTCCTTAGTCAGGTGGACTGTCAGGACAAAAAATGTCTGGTAGCTTGGGCATGATTCTCCTCTGCTTCAGGAAAGGATGACGGCAGGGTAAAGATGTCAGGTTGCCATGCAGATTTACTGCAATTAAAGTCCCTAAAGTAGTCTGGGCGTGGTGGCTCACACCTGTAATCCCAGCCCTTTGGGAGGTTGAGGTAAGAAGACTGCTTGAGGTCAAGAGTTTGAGACAAGCCTGGGCAACATAGTGAGGCCCTATTCCTACCAAGCCAGGCATGGTGGTGCATGCCTGTAGTCCCAGCTGTGGGAGGTTGAGATGGAAGGATCACTTGAGCCTGGGAGTTCAAGGCTGTAGTGAGCCGTGATTGTGCCACTGCACTCCAGCCTGGGTGACAGTGTGAGACCCTGTCTCTAAACAATGAACAAACAGGTAAATAAATAAAATTCAGTTTTGAGAACTTCATAATCTATCACTACAACGGAAAGGAGAAGTGGGCAAGGGTAACAAGGGCTATCTACAGGGAGGGTTTGTGCAAGTGAATGGAGGGTAATGACACATTTCTCCTACCAGAGTAAAAACACTTGTTTTTCCATTATAAATGCAACAAATGCTATTGAAAGAAAGTTGAAAAAAATGAAAAAACTAAAAGAATATTTAAAAATCCAGTGTTTTGGCTGGACACAGTGGCTCATGCCTGTAATCCCAGTACTTTGGGAGGCCGAGGTGAATGGATTCCTTGAGCCCACGGAGTTTGAGACCAGCCTGAGCAACATGGCAAAACCCTGTCTTTACAAAAAATACAAAAACATTGGCTGGGCTTGGTGGTGTGCACCTGTGGTCCCAGCTACTCAGGAGGCTGAGGTGGGAGAATTGCTAGAGCCCAGGAGGTCAAGGCTGCTGTGAACTGTGATCACGTCATTGTGCTCCAGCATGGGTGACAGAGGGAGACCCTGTCTAAAAAAGAAAAAAAAAAAAATCCAGTGTCTCATCACCCAGACACATCCCTAATATCATTTTGGCAGATTTCCTTCAAGCCCTGTAGTAACACTTCTGTGTCATTCAAACTTCGTGCTCCTTTACAAAATGGCTGCGTAAGATCCTGGGCTAAAGATTCACCACAATTTACTTAACCAATCCTCTAGATTTGGACTTTCAGGTTGTCTCTAATTTTTCACGTTTACAAAGAACAACTTTGTGCACTTAATTTGCTTCTTTCTGTGAATTCATATTTAGAATCGCTGCCTTAGGATATTTTCTCAGATTTGGAATTACTGAGTCAGCTACTCTGAATGCATATTAAGTCCTTTAATTCATTCAACGTTTACTGAGTGTTTACTGAATGTTTACATAGTGCCTGGCACTGTGCTCAGATAAAGAAGAAAAGATGAAAAACACAGTCTTGATCTCTGTCTTCAAGAAGTTCACAGTCAGGGAGAAAGCATGGTGCCAAACTTCTCTTTCCATAGGTGATTCCATCCTACAGTATGTAGTCCACATTTTACCACATCAACACTATTAGTATTCATACAAACAGACCATACAAAAATTGGGCTTAATTAGTAGGCAGGCCGGGCATGGTGGCTCATACCTGTAATGCCTCTAGCACTTTGGGAGGCAGAGGTGGGTGAATTACTTGAGGCCAGGAGTTCGAGACCAGCCTGGCCAACAGGGTGAAACCCTGTCTCTACTAAAAATACAAAAACTAGCTGGGCGTGGTGGCACGCACCTGTAATCCCAACTACTTGGGAGGCTGAGGCATGAGAATTGCTTTAATCTGGGAGGCGGAGGTTGCAGTGAGCCGAGATTGCACCATTGCACTCCAGCCTGAGTGACAGAGTGAGATCTGTCTCAAAAAAAAAAAAAAAAAAAAAAAATTAGTAGGTAAAAAATGAAACCTTGTTTTAATTTGAATTTATGTTTACTGATTAATTGTACCTCCCCTTTTATGAATCACTTCACGTTTTTGCTCATACGTTACTGGGATGTTGGTATATTTCTCATTGATTTGTATGCTTCCTTTACAGAGCAAAGACATGAGCCTGCCATCTGTATGCACTACTACACCTCCTAGTTTACAATTTAATCTATTTTTTCCACACTTAAAATGACTTCCACTCATACTTTGGAGTTATGCCATTTGGCCTATATTGAGAAATGTAATAAGAAACTACCCAATGAAAACTGTTGCTTTATTTACTGAAAGGATTTCTCTTTTTTTTTGAAGGCAATGTTGATTATATTAGTTTCCTCTTTATGAGAACCCACAGAAGAAATTTCTTTCTGATATTCGTATCAAGGCCAGGCACAGTGGTTCATGCCTATAATCCCAACACTTTTGGGAGGCCAAGGTGGGTGGATCACTTGAGGCCAGGAGTTTGAGACCAGCCTGGCCAAAATGGCGAGACCCCGTCTCTACCAAAAATATAAAAATTAGCTGGGCGTGGTGGCGCATGCCTGTAATCCCAGCTACTCAGTAGGCTGAGGCGTGAGAATCGCTTGAACCCAGGAGGTGGAGGTTGCAGTGAGCCGAGATCACACCACTTCCCTCCAGCCTGGGTGACAGAGTGAGACTCTGTCTGGGGAAAAAAAAAAACAAAACAGTCTGGTAGAGGTGTGCAGAATAGATTGCTAGGAGATTAAAAAAAAAATGGAACCAGTAACCCTAGCTATGAGGTCAGAAGTTCAAAAGTGATAAGGGCTTGAATTAGTTAATAATTTTTTTAAAAAAGATTTCTAATTTCATTATATTTTCTTTCTTTTCTTTTTCTTTTTTTTTTTTTTTTGAGACAGAGATTCACTCCTGTTGCCCAGGCTGGAGGGCAGTGGTGTGATCTCAGCTCACTGCAACCTCCGACTCCTGGGTTCAAGCAATTCTCCTGCCACAGCCTCCCAAGTAGCTGGGATTACAGGCATGCACCACCACACCCAGCTAATTTTGTATTTTTAGTACAGACGGGGTTGGTCAGGCTGGTTTCGAACTCCCGACCTCAGGTGATCCACCCACCTCGGCCTCCCAAAGTGCTGGGATTACAGGCATCAGCCACTAAGGCCTTCGTTATATTTTCTAACAAAAAAAATAAGGTTTCTAAACTTCATTTTCTTTTCTTTTTTTTTTTTTTTTTTTTTTTTTTGAGACAGAGTCTTGCTCTGTCACCTAGGCTGGAATGCAGTGGCACGATCTCAGCTTACTACAACCTCCATTTCCCGGGTTCAAGCAATTCTCCTGCCTCAGCCTCCTGAGTAGTGGGGATTACAGGCACCCGCTACCATGGCCAGCTAATTTTTTTTTTTTTTGTATTTTTAGTAGAGATGGGGTTTCACCATTTTGGCCAGGCTGGTCTCGAACTCCTGGCCTCAATTGTTCTGCCCGCCTTGGCCTCCCAAAGTGCTGGGATTCAGGCATGAGCCACCATGCCCAGCCTAATTTCATCATATTTTCTAACTACTAATAATATGTAGGATTGTTATGAATTTTTGCCAAATGCAATACATTTAAACTCCTGAATTTAGATTAAAAAATATTTTTTTATCTATCTATCTATCTATAGACCGGGTTATGAGACTGGTTAATTTTTGTATTTTTGGTAGAGACGGAGTTTTGACATGTTGCTCAGGCTGGTCTCAAACTCCTGGGCTCAGGTGATCCGCCCACCTCAGCCTCCCCAAAGTGCTGGCATGACAGGGGTGAGCCACTGCACCTGGCTGCTTGAATTTAGATTTTTAAAAGAATTTCATTATCACCAAGTAAACATAATTTTATCTCTTTTTTCAAATATTAATACTCCATTTCTTATTTCACTTGCCAGAACAGTATTTTTTTTTTTAATTATCTACATACAATTTTAGGTTAGAAAATGAGAAGTGATTCAAGGGAACAAGAAAAAGTTTTGGAAATTACTTAAACTCTTAAAGACTTTAATATTACAAACCAGAAGCAACATGACAATGGTGAGAGGATGTGCTGCTGAAGACATGTAGTTGGGGTAGCTGGGTATCCACCTGGCTATCAGTTCAGAAAATTAGAACTGCTTCCTCCCACACAGCTGCAATCCCATTCAGATGGGTCGCAGAGTTCCATGTTAAAAAAAAAATTGGAATAGCATATTTATTCCAGCTGTGGAAGGAAGATAAACTTCTGACTATTGTGAAATAAAGGATATCATCAGAGACAAATTGAATAGGTATGAATATATAAAAATAAAATAGTTTTGCCCAATGAAATGTAAAAAAGGGACAGTAATAGAGGAGGAAAATAGCTGATAAACGTTTACAAGCTTATATATATGTATATAAATCTATTACAAATATGAAATATATAAGGTCAATAACCATATTCCAAGGAATAAATGGTCAAATGGTCAGAAGAGTCCAATCCGTTTATACACAAAGGAAACAGAAATAGTAAATTGTCATTTGGAACACTGCAAAGCCTCTCATGAAATTAAAAAAAAAAATGTAAAAAATACCTTAGGGAATAATTGCATGCTTGTTAAATTAAGAAATTGATAGGACATAATGTAGAGAAATGTATCCATGTACTTACATATTTCTGGTAGCATTGCAACCAATATAAGCTATTTGGAAAGCCTTCTAATAAATGTAACAACAGCTACATACGCATGCATGCACCTGTGCAGACACACACACTGACCTCCTAGTTCACTTGGAGGAAATACATCCCCACAAAGGAACAGTGATTTGTCTATTCAGAGAACTACTCGTAACAGGGAAAAATGAAAATGACCCAAGAACCTAAAAAAAGAAGGGCTAAACAAACTACAGGATGGCAACATGAGGTATCATATAGCTTTTTGAAAGGACACGTATGGGGACATAAATAACTAGAAGTGCAAAGGGAGTATCTCAAACCACTGCTTTGCAAAACTTCCGTGTATTATGTGAATTAAGAAAGGTGTAGCCAGAGTGAATGTTTTCCTGTACTGGTTTTTTCCTTAGGTTCACTGGGCCTTAGAGAGATCAGAAGCCCACCTGGTACTGTTCAACTGACCACACACCTGTGATCTCCCTCCTTTAATATAACATGCTCCAGTTGGCACCTCCAGCCTCTAATAAGTACCATCATAGGAATATACACTCTGCTTTACAACTTAGGTTTCTGGAAAGGAAAGCAACTGCTGAGTTGTCTCATGGGCTTACTGTGAGTGTGGCGAGTGACATGAAGCCGATTAGGTTATTCCATACTTTATCGATGTCCTTCAGCAACTGCTGGAGTTTCTCACTGCACACTGCAGTGGCTTTTATCCCCAGCTCCACACGCTTGGTTACCCTGTACACTTCAACAACACCTGACGGGATGAGAGAGCAGAGAGAGAGTGTTGGCAGTGGAGACACAGAGGACCCAGACAGGGGAGCATTATTGCTTGCTGATATCTGTGAGAAACAATGGGTGTATCTGGACAGAGGTGTACTTACTATTCTTTGGGACCAATCCACTTCTCAATGCTGCTGTATAGCTTACTGGTAAGAGCATAGAAGCTGCACTGCTTGGGTTCAAACCCCAGCTATGCCTCTTACTGGCTACATGACCTTAGGCAAGTCACATAATCTCTCTGTACCTCAGTTTCCTCATCTGTGAAGTTGGGATGGTAACAGTAGCTCCTCCAAGGATGGTTGAGAGGATTAAATAGGGTAATATGGTAAAAGGCTTACAACAGTGCTTGGAGAATGGCAGGCACTATGCAAGTTATTAGCTTTTGTTTTTTGGGAGGTTTATTTATGAGTCCATCTGTTTGAATCTGGGAAATCCCAATAAACTAGCTGAAAATGGGGATAGTAAAAATTTAAAAGAATCTAAATGTTAATAGCATCACAAAGTAATGAAGAAACATCTCACCCCTCTGAATCTGAAGGTCTTACAAACACTTTGACTTCACTTATCTTTAAACACATAACAGGATGCAGAACAGTTCTTTTCCTATGGTCTCTAAATTGTGGTTGAACTCTTGAAGCAAGGATGAGAGGTGCTAAGTACCTCCACATTCTAAGGACAGCCACCAGACACATCCCTAACCCCTGCAATGTAACAGTCACCAAAGACATGACCCCGATCTCTCTAAGTGAACACTGGAGGAATTCCAGGGGATCTTCAGAGCGGGGCCTCAGCAGCCCTGTGTCAGCACTACGGCTTTTCTTCTTCCTTTCCCAAGAGAGGGGCAGAAATTACTGCCCACCCTAAGCCAAGTGAGGGGGCTTCTAAGAGAATCTTCCATAGATACAAGGATACTAGGAGAAAAGACAGGTGCCCCATTTCCTGGTGGACATCTGCTTATGCAGAACTGTGCCTGTTTGAGCAGGAAAAGAAGACCCCAAGTGAGGTGGCAGGAGTAAGGCAGAGACTACATCCCTTCACTCTCCACTCATCCAGCAAATATTTTTGAGTGCCAACTACGTGCAAGACACTAGATTAGGTGTTGGGGACACACCAGTGAACAAAACAGACCAAAATCCTTGCCTTCTTGGAGGTTCATTCTAGTGAAGGGAGACAGAGAGTAAAAACAACAAGTAGCTAGGTGCAGTGGCTCACGCCTGTGATCCCAGCACTTCGGGAGGCCAAGGTGGGTGGGTCGCTTGAGCTCAGGAGTTCGAGACCAGCCTGGGCAACATGGCGGAAACCTGTCTCTACAAAAACTACAAAAATTAGCTGGGTGCATGGTGGTGCACACCTGTGGTTCCAGCTACTTGGGAGGCTGAGGTGGGATGATTGCTTGCGCCTGGGAGGTGGACGCTGCAGTGAGTCATGACTACATCACTACACTCCAACCTGGGTGACAGAGTGTGAACCTGTCTTAAAAAAGAAAAGAAAAGAAAAGAATAATAAGTAACATATGTAAGAAATTAAAGGTAATAGGGCTAAGGAGAAAATCCAGCAGAGAATGGGATGGGAAGTACCGGGGTAGGGAGAGACGATACTCTTTGGAGAGATGGATGCTAGGAAAGATTTCACTCAGAAGCTGACATTTGAGTAAAGATTTGAAAAAGATTAGGGTCCAGCATGTGTGGCTCTGGCCACGGGCCAAGCCTGAGCTTGGGGAAGGGAGGAACACCGAAGTGGACAGAGACTACACTTTCCCGTTGGACTGACACATCAAATTGCTGCAGATGGCCAGGAGGTTAAGGACTCTGTGGTGTCATTAAGCGGTCGAGAGAAAGAATATAGAGTATGGTAAGGAATTGATGGGAGACAAGATGATTTTACTTTAGTGCATCGGTAGTTCAGATTCTTTGATAAACCAGTAACACAGATATAATTTTACATTTTTGCTATTACGTATATAACAAGGATGAGGAAACTTAGCCATAGAGACTTTTTAATTAAGTCCAATAGTTTACTGCCTGTAGCTTGAGTGTCTTACCCACAAATACAGATGCTTCTTACTGAAGTCATATGTAACTTGAGAGATCTAGCTTAAAATAATTAAAGGGAAAACTGAAAATAATGCAAAGGGCCATCATTTTCAATAGTAAAATATGAAAGAACATACCTAATAAATATTCCATGCCTTGAGCTGACTGAATTACTTCTGTGCAAACAGAACTACTACTGATTCCATTTAAGGTATCATTTGCCTTCTTAATGACCTACAAGAAATGAAATCACATCACCTTACATAACTGAGAAAAGTCATTGCAAATCAATTTACTATTAGTAGAAAACCCAACCGAAAAGCCAGGAGGTGTCAAAAAATCTCATTTTATCCTTGAAGAAACAATCCTCCATTTCTCTGGAAGAGAAAATATGTTTTTTTCCTTTTGTTTTGTTTTGCTTTGTTTTGAGACGGAGTCTCGCTCTGTAGCACAGGTTGGAGTGCAGTGGCAAGATCTCGGCTCACTGAACCCCTGACTCCCGGGTTCAAGTGATTCTCCTGCCTCAGTTTCCTGAGTAGCTGAGATTACAGGCACGTGCCACCACGCCTGGCTAATTTTTGCATTTTTAGTAGAGACAGGGTTTCACCATGTTGGTCAGGCTGGTCTCAAACTCCTGACCTCGTGATCCGCCCGCCTTGGCCTCCCAAAGTGCTGGGATTATAGGTGTTGAGCCACCGCACCCAGCCAAGACAGGTTCTTTAGCTTAAATATTATTTTGATTTAGTCAGAGTTAATGAAATCACTTTGTTATTTCTTAAACACAATGACAGATGAGGGGATGACTGACACATGAGCCGGTCTGCTATTGTAAGTGTGAAAGAAGCCTCACCTTAGATGCATGACTTCCACAGAGTTACTCTTTGCCCAGGGACATCCAAGTAAGGCTCTCCTGAAGTTTGCCTCTGTCAATTCAAATGAACCAAGAAGGCAAAAAGGCACAAAAGAGCACTCACATATGTGTGAACGCGTAAGTGACATACTCACATTCAGGGCACTCCCCAGGCATCTCTGCCATTCATATGCATATCTCTCATTTTCCTGTGAATTTGTTAAAAAGAACTGGGTTAAACACACAAACCTGGAATCTTCTATTGATGACTCTGTCAATTCAAAGTGCTTGGAGGACTTTCCTTTTTATTACGATCACTCTAGTTCAAGCAGTTTATGTTTTTTTTGTTTTTGTTTTTGTTTTGAGATAGGGTCTTGCTCTGTTGCCCAGGCTGAAGTGCAGTGGCATGATTTCTGCTCACTGCACTGGACGCAAGCAATCCTCCCACCTCAGCCTCCAGAGCAGCTGGGACTACAGGCACGCACCACCACATGAGGCTAATTTTTGTATTTTTGGTAGAGGTGGGGTTTCACCATGTTGCTCAGGCTTGTCTTGAACTCCTGAGCTCGAGTGATCTGCCCGACTTGGCCTTCCAAAGTGCTGAGATTACAGGCATGAGCCACCATGCCCAGCCGCAGTTTATCTTTTTGAACTCACTAATAACTATGTTAAATTACTAATAAATGTAACTTCTGAGCACAGGACCTGTGAGTCTAAGGGACATGCTTTCCAGCAGCTTCCCCCTGTGAGTGTTGCCTCATTTGTTCCATCAGTAACAGTGTAAGCCTTTCTTCGGAGGCACTCAGCATGTAGCTATCTGGTACAGAAACTGCTATTAAGCCACTGGCTTTCCACGCCCCAGTTATAACGCTGTGTGGCTGTGTGTGAGGACGTGGCCCATGTGCACATGTAACAAGGAGTAGGGAAAGGTGGGAAATTAAGTGTGTTGACCATAGGAGGAACATAGCGTGGCACTAAGATGCAGCAGACAGAAATAAAAAATTCAGAATATTTTCCCTGTCTCCTCTATTTTGAGGTTTCATGAAGACAATAAAGTCTAAGTGCTCAAGAAGAATTATACAAACACTGCCATCCTTGTGAAGTCCCATGAATAGTTTTGGTTTTAGGGTCACTGATTAGTTTCAGTGGGTGCCACACCTGGGAAATGTTTTCACCCAGGGCTAATGTTACCCTTGCCTCACTTTAATTACATAGTTTATGTCTGGTGCTTTGTGTCTTTCTGCCCCTCATTTTCCCCATGTGAAAGCTGACAGCATTCTTTCTTGGGGCCCTGTGTGCTTGCTGGTCTGTTACCCACCCCTTGTAGAAAGCTCTCCTCTCACCTCCACCTCTCCCGTCAGGTCTTTGTACTTGTCTCGGATGACGGGCAGGGCGGGCTTCTCATTCAGAGTATTGGAACGGTCTCTGAAAGGCTGCTCCAAAGCTGGAGAAGGAGAAGAACGGCTTATTTCTTTATCACCAAGGCTCAAACTCCTCTTGTGTGATCCTGGGAGAAGGGGATAATACAGTCAAAGGTTTTGGCTACTCACCTTAGTTCAGGCAGAGGCTCTTCCTCGCTACCACAACCCTCTTCTTTTTTTTTTTTTTTTTTTTTTGAGACAGATTCTTGCTCTGTCGCTCAGACTGGAGTACGGTGGTGTGATCTCGGCTCAGTGCAACCTCCGCCTCCTGGGTTCAAGCAATTCTCCTGCCTCAGCCTCCTGAGTAGCTGGGACTACAGGTGCACACCATCATGCCTGGCTAATTTTTGTATTTTTAGTAGATACACGGTTTCATTGTGTTGGCCAGGCTGGTCTCGAACTCCTGATCTCAAGTTATCTGCCTGCCTCCCCTCCCAAAGCGTTGAGATTACAGGTGTGAGCCACCGCGCCCAGCCCACGACCCTCTTCTTCAGATGCTTATGTCATGAGGCATTCACAAACACATTCCTCATTCATTCTTTCTGGGAAGCTACATGTTAAATCTTTTCTACTGTTCTCTCTTGCACGGTTTCCCTGCGTTTCGTTTTCAACATGACTCTTCTCTGATCTATCACAAGTCTTCCATAATGCCCAGTGCAGAATCACTGGAGTCTGGAGAACAAAAGCACCTTTCTAAATATCAGTATGTAAGAGTTGTGTGGCTTTTCCAGTCATTTGTTATGGATTTGTAACCGAGTTCCTTCACAGTCTCTCAATCCAGTTGAAATCAACGACCCCTCCTGTCAGGATGAGATTAAAGCAGAAGAGGCAAACTCAAATGCCTTCAGAGACCAGGCAAGTAAAGTGAACAACTTAAGTAGGTCCGCTGAGACAGGAAGCGGTGGGGATTATGGTAGGAGAGAGAGAATGACCCACCTACAGGGAGTGGTGCTCTTCGGCTCCAGCTGCCAACATATGGGACTGTAGACCTACTAGTGCCAGATATTATGACTTCTCAAGAAAAGTTGGAAATCCAGATTGGGAAATCTCATGTCTTTTAAATACTGGCAATTACTTCGTACTTAAAAATCTTTTGTGTGGGTCAATGTGATATGCAGGCTAGATGCAGATCCCCGGCCCCCACTTTGCAACCTTTGGATTAAAAGACATTATCTGTGCTCAGGGAACATGAGCGGAGCTAATGTGCCTACAAGTGGCTCGAATCCATTTATCTGGCTCTTTTAACACAGCACACCTCTAACCAAACGAGCTAATGAGCAATACCTGCATGCTGTGCTTGTTTTTAGCCCATAAAGCAGTTATCTGAGGGATGCTGATTTTGACTCCCGTCTCAGGGAAATCTTTATTATAGCTATCTGTAATTGACCCTGATTTCAAAGATTAGAACAATCTATTTCCTGCGAAACCAGAGAGCAACATTTTATTCTTAAGAACATCTAACATCTCAGTGGAAAAAAACCACAATAGTAAAATCTACCTTGGAAGCTACTCACCTTGAACAGAAAGGTCAAAGGTTGCCAGCTCACTTTTGATCATTTCTTCACTGGATTTCATTTTGCTTTGTGAAGTGGCTACTAAGAAGTCAAATTTGCTGATTTTGGGCTTTTCACTTTGAAACTCTCCAAAGTCATCCGAACATTCGTTCGGGGTTTCTTGAGAGGCACCACTGGACGCTGGGCTGGGACACGTGGCCTCCTGGCTCCGTTCAGCCGTAGGCAGGTCCTGTTTTGTGAAATCTTTATAGTCTCTGTTTTCATATTCCTTTTGCTCACTGGTCTGAGGAATCGTGTCTTTAAAACTGGCAAGAGCTGGGAAGGTGGTCTCTGGAAGAGCATCTTCACTTACAAAGGTCGTTACTTTGGAGAGAGATGTCATGGTGATGTTTTCAGAACTGCCAAATGAAGTCTCTTTCTTTTGAAGAATTGAGGTGGCTGAGGGGGATCCACTTCCTGCTGAGAGGACAAATGGAGAGAGTTTTCTGCCCTGAGTTGCATCATCCCTGTCTGACCAGTCATAGCTTGTAAGTGTGCTCACTGCAAAATTGCTACTGTAGCTTCCAAAAGCAGCATATTTTAAGTCCTCTATATCTGAAAGGGAAATAAGACCCCACAATTAGAGGCAAGCAATTTAGGCAAAATGCCCTAAACTCTGTAGAAGCAAAATGCCTAGCATATTTGATTAGTTTTATACTATGTTGAAATTAGCTAAATTTAGAGTTTGTACTAAAATTAAGAGTTGGGCTGTAAAATCTGATCTTAAAAAAACCCACATTAGCCTTGAGTTGGCATTTACATTTAGTTACCAAGAACCATTTTCTTTGGCTATAAAAATTACTAAAAAAAGATAGGAGGTTCATCTACCAAAGTATACACTGTTTGATATAAGATTAGGGTCATTTAATAAATTGTTCCCTTATCAACTTAAAAATGTACTGATATTCCTTGCCTAAAACATGTCTCCCTTCATCTTGACTTTGTTGGAAAATGTGCCTTTAAAACATGGTCATGTGAAATGCACATGGCAAAATAATTAAAAGTTGACAGTTTCTCAAAACTAAAATGAAAATAATGTCATCTAACTTTTAATCAATTATTAGGGTTTCTGTCATAATATTATCAATTATTAGAATTTCTGTCTCAGGCAATGCCAAACATGAGATTTTAATCAAGCAATTACTTACCTAGTTGTTATTTTGGTCAAATTGGACGTCATATTGCTGTGATGAAGTATGAGGAAAGAAAATCAATCTGATCTACTTTAGCCCTTAAAAAAATACAATAAAAAGATCTGGGTCCTGTTGGGCTCCACTTTTTCCTTCAACTATGTATCTACTCCCCATTTTTTAAAAAAAAAGGAAAGAAGAAAAAGAAAGAACTGCTGGGGCAGACGACTGATTTTACAAAGCATTCTTAATATATAGTTAAGTAATTTAAGAGGTAGCATAAAACAGCATAAAGAATGTAGGTTTTTGATTTGGAAAGACCTGAGTTCAACCTTGCTACCTACTATTTGTATGACACTAGGCTAATGATTGAACATTTCTGAACCTCAGTTTGCTTATCAGTAAAATGAGGAGAGGAGAAGACCATGTACTTGGAAGGACTGTGTTATGACCATCAACCATGATCATGTGTGTAAAAGGCCAGGTTGGTGCCTGGTGAGCAATACATAATAGCTAGTGTCTGCTCAGCATAGGTGCCACCAGCCTCAACTTGACAGTTAATTGCTGCTTTAGGGCCTACAGTGGAATTTCAAAGCAAAAATGAAAAGTCAACTCAGCATTTTAGTGGTGTTACTAGGAGAAAATTTTCTTGCTCATTTTCAGAAAGCAAAACCAGCCGAGACTGAATTTGGCTGGTGTGGAGAAGTGGGTTGATATGCATTTCGTTTCATTGTAGTCACTGTACATGAGGCAAGAAGGCCAAATATGAGACTCTCCCTCTGACAACCACATATGTGATTTACAAGGAAAGTGCTCAAAAGTTTTATGACCTAGATTTTCAGAACTAAGTCAATAAGTGAACCAACTTGGAGTCATTCTTCTCTTTCATTCACAGCAATACTGCATAATTTATGAGGGGTAAGAAGCTCCTGACATTTCCATAGCTCTTCTAATGGTATAATCCAAATCTCTCTTTCTTTGAGCTGTTAGGAAAGGGGTGCTAAGTGAATAATAAAAACAAAAAACACTAGTTGTACAAAAAACCAACCAGCAAAAAGCAAACAGCTTTCACAGAATGATGGCATATTTAAAAATTCTGTGGTGCAATGGTACCCTTCAAATGTGGTTTATAAAACAGAAGGAAAAAACGACTCAGGTGAAAAGTTTTTTTTTTTTTTTAATTGATTTTTTGAGATGGAGTTTCACTCTTGTCACCCAGCCTGGAGTGCAATGGCGCGATCTCGGCTCACTACAACCTCCGCCTCCTGGGTTCAAGCGATTCTCCGGTCTCAGCCTCTCGATTAGTTGGGATTACAGGCAGCCGCCACCACGCCTGGCTAGTTTTTGTATTTTGAGTAGAGACGGGGTTTCACCATGTTGGCCAGGCTGGTCTTGAACTCCTGACTTCAGGTGATCCGCCCGTCTCGGCCTCCCAAAGTGCTGGAATTACAGGCATGAGCCATTGTGCCTGGCCTCAGGTGAAAAATTTATAGTTTAGAATGAATGGAAAAGCCTTTAGCCCAAAGCTTTCTTGGTTTTTGCTGTAGTGATTTTTTGTTTTCGTTTTTTTCCCCACGATTTAAAGGGACCAGAAGGTGTCCAGACTCAAATGAGGTGAAATTCAGTCAGGGGATGATGCAGTTAAATACAGGACTATTCTTGGAGAGATACATTCAGAAAAATGTTTCATAATACAGATATTTCTATTACTAGGCCCGACGAAAGCGTTTTGGGAAACTATATTAGGAACTGCTTCCAGAATCTTTCCTATTAAAAGGTTAGCAGGCTGGGCATGGTGGCTCACAGCACTTTGGGAGGCCTGTAATCCCAGCACTTTGGGAGGCTGGGGCAGGTGGATCACCAGAGTTTAGGAGTTCGAGACCAGCCTGACCAACATGGAGAAACCCTGTCTCTACTAAAAATACAAAATTAGCTGGGCATGGTGGTGCATGCCTGTAATTCCAGCTACTCAGGAGGCTGAGGTAGGAGAATCACTTAAACCCAGCAAGCAGAGGTTGCAGTGAGCTGAGATTGCACCATTGCACTCCAGCCTGGGCAACAAGAGCGAAACTCCGTCTCAAAAAAAAAAAATAATAATAATAATAATTAGCTGGGCGTGGTGGCACGTGCCTGTAATTGCAGCTACTCGGGAGGGTGAGGCAGGAGAATCGCTTGAATAAGGGAATCGGAGATTGCAGTAAGCCAAGATGGCACCACTGCACTCCAGCCTGGCGACAGTTTGAGACTCTGTCTCAAAAAAAGGAGACAATTTTCCTAGAAGCAAATGATAAATTTAATGAAAAGATAGCTCCAGTTCAAACACTGCAATCAAGATATTACTATGGTAATAAAAAGATCTTTCTGTGCAATTATGCAACAAGAAAATGTCTTTTGAAAAACTAAAATGACTAATATAATCAGGTAAAAGGCATTACAGGGAATAAGGGATTGCCTAAGCTGAGGCATTTTTAAGCATTTTTAAAATTTCAGGAAATCTTATTTTTGTTAAAAATGATACGCCTGTAACATCTTGCCTTTTGGAGCAACTCCCAGAAAAGACTAAATGAAAGACTAGGAAAGCAAATGAAAGACTTAGAAATATTTTATACTTAAAATGAAGAGCAAATATACAAGAGTCACTAAAATCAAGCCTCAAAATTGAGTTTTAAATTTACTTTTGCTTATTTGTTGGCTATTATAGTGTGAAAAAGTAATTTCGTAAAGTGTAATTCATTTGAACACCAGTACTGATGGTACATAAGGAATGTGAGACAGAACACCGTGCCCCTAAACTTAGAATTTATAAACAATATAATTACAGGGCAGTATGTTCTGGCATAGCAAATATACGTCAACCATTAACTAAGAAAAATGTGGTACATCAGTTCATTGAAGGTAGCTTAAAGTAAGAAAATTCTTCATTTCCCCTGTTAATAGTTCTACATTTCTAAGCAGTCCACTTATCGGTATTATTGTATAATGGTCTTAAAAATATTAAAGATTATGTAAGACCTACAACATAAATGATAGAAAAAATGATGTGGAATAACCCACATTTTAGTTTGTAATCACTGAAGCTAGTATAGATGGATTTTCAATTTGATAGCCGAATTCTGAAAATTGCAAGAGAAAAAGGAAAAAGAAAATGGAGAATGAATGCAATAAAATGAACAGAAAATCACTACTGTATTTCCAGTTCTGCTGCAAAACTCCTAGGCTGTGCTAGGCTGACTGCATTTGCACACAGATAATATGCCAAATTGTTGTTTTAATGCATACATCTGTTTGCAATCAGGGATGTCCTATTACAAAGGCCAAAGAAATAAATGTATACGATCTGTTTTCCATCATGGATCTCAAATCAAAACACATATTTCTTGCTTATGCTGGCAAGTAACCCTATCAGTCTCTTCCATAACCTCTATTCAAATCTCTTTTGAATAGATGTTGTACATGAAAACGGTATTTTTTGGAACAAAGAATGTTGGCTGCTACTACAGGACACAGACGGCCAAGCTCATTCCCAGGGACATTTGCTAAAGCTGTTAAGTATATGCCCAGGTGAGGAAGAGTTACTGGCTTTTGAAGGAGTTTGGAGAAAGAAGAAAGGAGATATATGTACAAATTCCACTATTCTCATTTTATATAGCAATAAAAATGTTCATTGGACTAAGATATATATTTTAATTTACAGTACTCATGTAATCTAAACTTCATTTACTAAAGCAAACCATAAAATACTTGTACATTTCAGTTTCTCTCTACCCTGGGCCCTAATCTCCCTTAGTCCCTATTCTATCTTTGATCTACCTATGAGATCAGTCATATTCATATTCTCTATTAACTAAAAAACCTGGTCTGTGTCCTATAAGTCTCAAACACTGAAGAAAACAGGAATGAAAGTGATCACAGTATAAGTGACAGGCTGAAAAATGCTGCTGTTTAATTGCCTTCCAGTGTTTTCTAATCTGTATGAAAATTTCTTGTTCTTCATTTGTACTGACTCACACAACTTCATGGTATAAATTATATCCACACTATCTAGAAGCACCTTTGGGTTTCTGTGTTAGTGTTTTAAGTTCAAAAAAGAAAACTGGAAATCCTGTGGATATTTTAAGTTAGAGGAAGACAGAAGGCCAAGGAATGGTGTCAGGATACACAGTGGGACTGCCCCTGGTCATCAGTAAAAATCTCACCAAAAAGACACCAAATGAACACAGAAGGCAGGAAGTGCAATTGAGGCCTTTTGGTTCTTTGCATTATTTTAGGATTTAGCACAGGTTTTTTGATATTGCCAGTGTTCCCTTCATGTTCATTTGCTGCTTTTTTTTTTTTTTTGGAGATGGAGTCTCGCTCTGTCGCCTAGGCTGCAGTGTGAGTGGCACAATCTCAGCTCACTGCAACCTCCACCTCACAGGTTCAAGCAATTCTCGTGCCTCAGCCCCCCGAGTAGCTGGGATTACAGGCACGAGCCACCACACCTGGCTAATTTTTGTATTTTTAGTAGAGATGGGGTTTCACCATGTTGGCCAGGCTGGTCTCCAACTCCTGACCTCAGGTGATCCGCCTGCCTTCGCCTCCCAAAGTGCTGGGATTACAGGCGTGAGCCACTGTGCCTGGCCGTCATTTGCTACTTCTAAAAATCAGCAGGGATTCTGATGTGAACAACAGAGTGACTATAGAACAACAGATACATAGGTATACTTTCTCAGGCACTGATACATGAAGTGAAGCACTAACCATATGTTACTTGGCATCAGGGTAAACAAAACAGTATTTTGTTTAAACCTATAGCATAGAATTCTTCAAGTCTTTTTCGCAAAAGAAGTTTAAGTCATTACATTATATTAAAACTACCTCCCTAAAAAGTAATGTTACTTTGGAAATACTCATTACTCAATTTGTGAATGTATGCTTTACACACAGTTACATTCAGTCATTTTCTGCAGCCTGCTCAGATAAATGCAGAAAAGAGTTAAAATAAAGCAGTCCTACATGGACCAATCTAGCATTACAGAATTCCACTGACAAAGAAATTCCTCAGTCAAAGCCATCAAGAGATTGGTTTTATAAATAGCACGGGAAAATCCAAAATAAAGGGCAGCTGGCATTATCACTAGATGGAAGCTACACTAAGATCTCTTTCTTTCAAATTTGTTAGGAAGCACATATCATAAATAAAATATAATGCATTTACACAAGGTTTTTGAAACCAAGTATTATTCAACTTTTTAAAGCAGTATGCTCTGGAAAGTGCTGTATTTTGAATGGCAGGCCTGGCTTTTCTCAGAGTTAACCTAAACCTCTATATGCAACTTTTCTTTCTTAAATGGCATATTTAAGACACTACAAGTGATCTCTTAGGAGTCCTATTCAAAATCCTCATCTTCTTCTAGGCCGGGTGTGGTGGCTCACACCTGTAATCCCACTACTTTGGGAGGCCGAGGCAGGTGGATCACCTGAGGTCAGGAGTTTGACACCAGCCTGGCCAACATGGTGAAAACCCACTTCTACTAAAAATACAAAAATTAGCTGGGCGTGGTGGCAGGCACCTGGAATCCCAGTTACTTGGGAGGCTGAGGCAGGAGAGTCACTTGAACCTCAGAGGCAGAGGTTGCAGTGAGCCGAGATCCAAGATTGCGCCATTCCACTCCAGCCTGGGTGACAAGAGGGAAACTCTGTCTTAAAAAAAAAAAAAAAAAACACACAAAAAAACGGGCGTGGTGGCTCATGCCTGTAATCCCAGCACTTTGGGAGGCCAAGGCGGGCGGATTACCTGAGGTCAGGAGTTCGAGACCAGCCTGACCAACATGGAGAAACCCCCATCTCTATTAAAAATACAAAATTAGCTGGGTGTGTTGGCATGTGCCTGTAATCCCAGCTACTCAGGAGGCCGAGGCAGGAGAATCACTTGAACCTGGGAGACAGAGGTTGCAGTGAGCTGAGATTGTGCCATTGCACTCCAGCCTGGGCAACAAGAAACCTGGTCTCAAAAAAAAAAAAAAAAAAAGTCCTCATCTTCAGTGATTTAATTTCCTTCCTTCCTCAAATTCTAAAAAAGAACAAAGAATTAAAGCCTCAAAACATAAGAATACAAAATGTAAACCATGGAAATATCCCCTTTCCCAGGGATTTTATTGCTTTGGGGTTTCTAACCTGAAAAACAGTAATATTCTCAAGGTTTTTTTACTGTTACCATACTCTAAAATGGAGAAAATATTTTCCATGTTTGGCCTACGCTTGTTGCCACATTTCATTGGTCCTTCTAGAAAATGTTTTCTTAAAAATAAGAATGGTTCAAACCTTACTTTGTTAGACACACCCCCTAAAGTAACATGTTTTAAGAATTTGCTTTATGTACTATGAGTGAAAAAAAAAGGCTGAGGGTTGCTTCATCATACAGAACACATACTGCAAACCTAACATGCTCTGCAATTAGAGGATGGAGTACCCAATTTTTCTTTCTTTGAGACTAGGTCTTGCTCTGTCACCCAGGCTGGAGTGCAGTGATGTGATCACAGCTCACTGCAGCCTCTACCTCCCAGGATCAACTGATCCTCACACTTTAGCCTCCTGAGTAGCTGGGACTACAGGAGCCCACCACCGTGCCCGGCTAATTTTTGTATTTTTTGGTAAAGATGGGGTTTTGCCATGTTGCCTAGGCTGGTCATGAACTACTAGCCTCAAGCAATCCACCCACCTTGGCCTCCCAAAGTGCTGGTACTACAGGTGTGAGCCACCGTGCCCGGATGAGTACCCAATTTCAAACTCAAATCAAATTCCATCCTCAAGACTTCCTGCTATTAATACAGAACACTTTCCATTATGCAGATTATCAATTTAAATACAGTTTACATTTACTGTGCTCAGAAGTCCATTTCAATATTATTTGATGATATATATCTAATAACTAGTTATTACATAACTAGATAGTTATAGTTAACTCTTTCCACAACACTCAACTCTTAGGTCTTTTTCCCCACCTTCCCCTTCTCTTCTCTTCAATGTAATGCCTAGTAGAGACAGATTCTCTACAATAAAATATGATCAGTTTCTTCAAGAGAAGAAACTGCAATAAATGTTCTTTCTCCCTATCATGTAAAGTAGTGTAAGGTTTATTCTTATTTAAGTTTAATTTTCTATTTCAATCCAATGCCATGTTAAAAACTTACATTAATGGAATTATAAGAAACAAAGGCTAAAATGTACCAATACTTTCTCAGGAGACAAGTGTTTGACGAAACAAAACAAAAGGGGAAAACCCTCTAGTCTTAGGATACTATTGCTTTAAACTTGGTATCAGCCAGGTATTTCTTTGGTCTAACCCTGAAAAAGTACAAATTACACACATCCCCACACTTTCAAAATATGCCAAAGAATTATTTATTAACACAAGACTTACAGATCACAAAAGAGAGTGATACAGAAGAGCTGGAAAAGAAGTCATCAGAATAAGCATGCAGATCAGTATTTGCAGAGGAATATACTAAAGTAAATTTGAAGGCACATTCACACAGAAAATGTCTAAATTGAAAAAAAGACATCAGAAAAGCAGCCAAAAAAAAAAAAAGGTGCTAATTAAAATACAAAGATTTTCAATGTCAAAGAAGAGCTACTTTACAGATAGGTAGGTAGGTAGCTACAGAAGTCTTGCTAACCCTTTGAAAATGTCACAGATGAGGGTCAGCTCTTGCTGCCAATAAAACCATATGATTTTAATGACTGCACGTCAAGATGCTTCAGTGCCGCAGATTAAATTTAGTCAGGGGGAAAAAACAGCCTAGTTGAAATTATATGCAGCAAGGCCTCAAAGGGTTAAATGTAATAATACGCAGAGAAATCAGGCAATGTTATCAGTATTATCTACCTTCCATACAAATGATTATAGCAAGAGTTAAAAGAGACAGTATCCCCTTCAGAGTTAAGTTAGGGCTTCTAAACAGGATTAAGGTCCGCAGATAGCAATCTACCAGGTTTTATTCTCTCTTCATCAGCTCACTTCTTATTTCTCCAACAAGAAGTACCTTTAACCCTCAAACTAAGAGAGCAAGAGATACTGTGGTGAACATGAGGATAAAATAAAACTACATTACTTTGAATAAGTCCTTGCCATTTACCCTCTACAATACATTGATGCAGCAATTTTGCACAACAGCAATATAGCGCATTGGTCAGACATCAACCCCTTTTAACAACCGCTCTAAAGGGATACTGCTCCTTTCTGACAGGAGGTTTACAGATCAATGGGAGGAAACAATCTGCTTTTAAGAATATCCTCCAACTGAAGAGTTAGCTTGAACATTACAGGCTCCAAGCTGAGGATGTTCCAAACATACATAAAAGAACATGAGCACAGAAGATTATTTTAACAGGTCAGTAAGAACAAGCTTGGTCAAAAAAACCAACCTCCAAATAAAATGGGGGAAAAAAAAAGACACCCCAAACCCGGATTAGCCTCATTTCATAAAGACATCTACCTTGGCACTGTGAAAGAATATAGATTCACTTTCAGAAAAATAGTTTCTAATTAATAACTTCAGAGTCCAAAAGGCTAGTATACATGTTATGAGATTTTTAAATAAAAATCCAATATTGTTCAGAAAACAGAGCACTTTGCAACCAACTGCTGTGGTTCAAGCAGCTCATAAAAAAAAAAAACCAACAAAACAAAACCCACAATCACTCTATCAAACAAACAGCAGCAAAAAAATAAGAAAATTTCTGAGGAAAAGTACAAAAAAAAAAAAAAAGACAGAAAGTAGACAGTCAAGGGCACAGGAGCTCTTCAGACCGCCCACTGCATTTGAAAAATACCTTAGCAAGTAGCAACATGAAACATGCAATGTCTCTGCTAACTTGCTCCTGATTCAGCAGCCTGTTTAGCAATACCTACAACATTTCCATAACCAAAGGATGGATGCAATTTTGTTTTCCGACTTGCCAATTTGACATATGCAAAAGCTATAGGACTTTACAATTTCTGCCTGAATCTGTAAACTTGGAAGTGTCTCACGTGTCCCCCCTAGTTAGACAAAACCAAATCCTTCATATGCATAATACATTTTCTAGAATAATACAGTGATACTGAGATATTTCTCATTATTAAAAGGCCACAAAATAGGTTTATCTTTCTATATACATATCAAAAAACAAAACAAAAGAAAAACCAGGACACTTGGGAATCTAGTTTTTATGACAGAAGTTGAACTAGAGAGTAAATTGCTACATGTAAATCTACACAGAATTTAAAGAGGGCTCCCTAATAAGATGTTTTCAAACATTTTATCAGAAAGTTAGCAGTTACCCTATCCTAGCATCTACAGATTTGTTACAACTTAATATTTCCAGTAATAGAGTTAACACTGAAAACAGCTCCTGGATTCCACTGACAACACACACCCTCCTCTTTGCCAGGCCCTGACATACAGAACATTCATATATAAACTCTTTCCCTCTTCTTCTCTTAAAAGGATGTGGCAAACTGCACTACAAGTGGTTAGAAATTTTTACTTTCTTGACCTAACAAGAGTTAATTTCTGTAAATCAAACAGAATACTATACTGGCAGTTGCTGTGTATACCCAAGAGAAGAAAAAAGGAGAGGGAAACACTGATTTTACTCACAGAAATGAAGGAACACTGCCGGCACTGCAAAGGTCTTTATCAAATTTCTGGCAATGTGAGGTTCACTTAGCAGTGACTTTTTATGTGCCTCTAACACCAAGCTGGTGCTAGATTTCAAAAATAAAAATATCTTAGCTACCCAATCTAAGTTCCACAGTAGCCATAGTATCCATATCAAGTATCCATAGAATCAAATTTAACACTGCTTTAAGGAGACTGGCAATAAAGAGGTTGATTATTAGAGATTCATAAAGCTAAAGGGCCAGAGCCTTACTCATGTAAATCAACACCCGCAGAATCATCTTTGAAATCTACAACACCATCACCAGAGCAATCTCACCAATTCCTCACCTGCAGCAGGAGGATGCTGGCCACTAACTGTTGGTAAATCCAAAGAGCTATCAGACATGACATGCTTAAGATCTCCTCCCACATCAGCCAATTTCATGTCAAACTGAACAGAGAGTGCATCTTCAGAGTCCTCCTTGCCAACACTGCTGCCACCAATGGAAGGGAGATCTAAGGACTTCACTGATGCAGAGTCTTCTTTGGTGTGTCTGAAAGCCACTGCTTTCTCTCCCAGGGATTTGTCCGAGTTTATGGAAGAAAATTTACTGGAGTGGAAGTCAGCAAAATCATCATCACTTTTTCCTGAAGGAGTGTTATCTTTCAGGTCTTCAACACCTAGTCCAGACCCTTCCAGAGAAAGTTGTCTGAAGACATCGTACTTGGTAGACGCAGCAGTCGAGTTTTGTCCACCCTTCACTGTGCTGCCCACGTTGCTGGTTAGAGGAACAGGACTGGCTTCCTCTTTAAGGGCATCATATTTGTCATCCGGCTTTTGCTCAGATGAAATAGAGCTATTACTGAAAGCCATAAAATCTGCAAAGTCATCCTGCTCCCCAACAGGTGCTAGACCAGAATATTCCCCAAAAAGGCTGAATTCTCCAAAATCATCAGCCAAACTAGAAGTTTTTGTTGCTGCCAATGCTGTCATAGTAGCAGCAGAACCTGTTGACTGTGGTGTAGAAACTGATTTTGATGTGCTAAACACAGCTGAAAAAGACAATGGTTTCTCGCTGCTGCAATTAACTGAGGAAAACATATCTAGGTCTGCTAAGTTCAGAGGGTTTTTCACTTGTGTTTGTTGTTTCTGTTGTATAGTTCCTGAGGGGAAGGATGGTGGAAAAGTTTTGTCTTTTGTTGGTGGCTCTAGTGGTGATACACTATCGGCTGTTTTAAAATCGGTGAAACCATCATCAGTTCCTGCAGATCTGAATTCTGCAAAGCTTTCTCCTGAAAGAAAAAATACCACCAAACAAATGGGAATGCTGAACTGAAAACCATATAATACACAGTATATTAAACTGCAAGCATAATTTTACTGACTTTTCTCCACTGACTTGACATTACTTAATAATGTTTACATACTTTAAACCCTATCGAACTACACATTTATTTCCACACTGAAGTCTAGTGATACTGAAATAAATAGAAATCGAACTGAAAGTACCTGACGGTACCATTTTCATTTGCTCATGCTTTTAGTGTGGGATCTCTCTTAGCTCTAGATCCTACAACTGGCTAAAAGTACTCCTCTCAAGACTTTTTGTTCCCACAGCTAGCCAGCCAAGCAGACAATACAATAAGAAATAGGGCTAGAGGTTCTTGAAGAGAGGCATATTAAAACAGTGGCCCTTTAAAGATAAACATGTTACCCATTAAAAAAATCAGAGGTACCAATAAAGTATTATGAAAAATCCTACATCTAATATTCAGGATGTACAACACTTGGTTTAGCCAGGCACTTTAAGAATAACATTAGATACTATGTGGTCTTGCTCAAGTAAATGAAGGCATTAATTTGAAGGGAACTTTGATGAAAATTTTTGAAAAGGTATCTATTTATTTGCAAAGCATTCTAGGTGGGGCACATTGTAAAGCAGCTCCTCCCTATAGTCTCTAATAAGCTGAATCTCACAGAAAAAAAGTCCTTGAGCACTTGAGCTTTTCTAGAAATCAGCTGTCTCACTGTATCAATGAGCACTTATTTTTATTTATTAAAATTCAAAAGGATTTGAATAAATACCAACTCTATTATATAAAGTTTTAGAGGGTATGACTTAGACTTTAGTTTACATTATGCTACTCTGAGGATGGGGTAACTGACGGAATTGTTTATTTATTTATTTATTTTTTAAATAAAATTTCTTTTGCCCATGACACAGCTCTCAAGAGATCCTGAGAAACATGTGTCTCAGATTTGTTTATTTTTATATTCTGGTTAAATAGAGTGGGTACTTATGTACTTCTCATAAATAATTAAACAGACTCAGTTAAGACATTGATAAAAATTTAGGCCTATGATTCTTTTTTTTTTGAGACAGAGTTTCATTATTGTCGCCCAGGCTGGAGTACAATGGTGTGATCTCAGTTCACTGCAACCTCCACCTCCCAGGTTCAAGCGATTCTCCTGCCTCAGCCTCCCAAGTAGCTGGGATTACAGGCACCTGCCACCACGCCCGGCTAATTTTTGTATTTTTAGTAGAGACGGGGTTTCACCACGTCACGTAGGCTGGTTTTGAACTCCTGACCTCGGCTGATCCACCTGCCTCGGCCTCCCAAAGTGCTGGGATTACAGGCGTGAGCTACAGCACCCGGCCCAAGGCCTGTGATTCTTAAAAGGTTTCTATATTCTTTATTATCATAGTAATGTTATCATCACTCAGGTACAGCATCAGGATACAGATGATCTCAGTTTTCTAATAGCATCTGAAGGTCTACCATAAAATCCACTAGGCTATACCAGGTAATAAAAACCAGAGATAAACCAAATGTAAATATAGTTATGCCAAGGCCGAACACAGTGGCTCACACCTGTAATCCCAGCACTTTGGAAGACCAAGGAGGGTGTATCACTTGAGGCCAGGAGGAGTTCAAGACAAGCCTGGCCAACATGGAGAAATCCCATCTCTACTTAAAATACAGAAAAATTAGCTGGGCATGGAGGCACATGCCTGTAATCCCAGCTACTCGGGAGGCTGAGGCACAAGAATTGTTTGAACCTGGGAGGCGGAGCTTGCAGTGAGCCAAGATCCCACCGCTGCACTCCAGCCTGGGGGACAGAGAGAGATTCTGTCTCAAAAATAAAAATAAAAAAACAAATAAATATAGCTATACCAACCAACATCATTTATTATTTTAAAAAATGACTGCCATTTCTGGAGATTAAAATTAAGTAAATTAAAATATAAGCTTTAATTTCCTCACCCATTTTTAAAAATTACATTTTCCCCTAAAAATGACATATAAGAGCATATCAATAATAAAAATGTATTGAGAACCAAAATCCAATTCTTAAATTGGCATATAAAATAATGCAGGCTTAAAATATACTGTGCTTGGGCCAGGCACGGTGGCTCACGACTGTAATCCCTGCACTTTGGAAGGCCAAGGCGGGTGGGTCACCTGAGGTCTGGAGTTTGAGACCAGCCTGGCCAACATAGTGAAACCCCATCTCTACTAAAAATACAAAAAATTAGCTGGGTGTGGTGGCAGGTGCCTGTAATCCTAGCTACTTGGGAGGCTGAGGCAGGAGAATCGCTTGAACCCTGGAGACAGAGGTTGCAGTGAGCCGAGATTGTGCCATTGCACTCCAGCCTGGGCAACAAGAGCAAAACTCCGTATCAAAATAAATAAATAAATAAAATAAAAATAAAAATAAATTTAAAAAATAAAATATACTGTGCTTGTAACAAGATATGTACTTGGATATAGCAGATGAAAAAAAAAAAGCACCAAAAACAATACAAGCTAATTTTTCCTCCTAACCTGAGATAGTTAACCAATTCACCAGCATAATTCATCAACACCAAGGAATTCATCTAATAAGAGAGGAACAGCATTCAGATTTCCTGTAATTTATATTTGTAAGACATACCACTAGTAAAACTCAAGTCAATTTCACAAACTGACAGAAGATGTAAAACTTTTAAAAATCACCCTAGAATTTTAGATTAGTAGTATCACTGATTATACTTGTATTATTTCTGAAAATGTAGAGGTGATAAGCGGCCATTTTTATCACAGCCTAAATTTTTAATGTGTTGCTTTGAAATATCTGTGAAATTGACAAGTATTGCTTTGTTTGTTTGTTTGTTTTAATCACCACAGCAAACTACACTTACTGATGAATTGTAAACTTTTCCATTGGAAATGTAAGCTGGGTGAAAGGGCTAAAAGGAAATAAAAGCGGGTGAGTTTACAAAGGGAATTTGTTGGCAAATAAATTAGTCACAGTCAATGGAAGCTTGTCTATCAGAAGGCATATTAAGCATATTATTTCATGGTTAGATTTTTGGTTAATGTCTACATACTTGTAAGTTTCCCTCTCCGTCACTTTTTAGACTCCAAAAAATCTCAAAAGGGACCACTTTTTTGCTAAAATTTCAATAAAAATGTGTCATTTCTTTATACAGAACATTTCCTCATTTACTTTAATTTATGGCTTAAACTCTGGAGATGGAAAAAAGGAAACATTATTAAACTCTGTCATTCAGTAACCTAAGAAACCCACAGCTCTGAACAACACAATACTATAAGATTCTTCATAAATTCTAAGATACTAACGTACTTTGACGAAGTCAAGCCAATGTATTTTTTGAGTATAAAAAATATATCACACCATTTAGGAAAATAAAATCTATTCTCCTAAAATGAACAAAGTTGGCAACTCTACTTGGAAAACCTTAGAATTAAAGTTAAGATAGGAATGAAAGCAAGTAAATGAAAATAACAACAATCTGGAACTTTGTTTAAAAAGTACTGAAATGTGGCTGGCCATGGTGGCTCACACTTGTAATCCCAGCATTTTGGGAGGCTGAGCTGGAAAGATTGCTTGAGGCCAGGAGTTCAAGACTAGCCTGGGCAACACAGCAAGACCCCACTGTGGTGATGCACATCTACAGTACCAGCCACTTGGGACGGAGGCTGAGGCTGCTTGAGTCCAGGAGTTGGAAGCTGCTGTGAGCTATGACTGCGCCACTGCACTCCAGGCTGGATGACAGAGCAATACACTGTCTCTCAGAAAAAAAAAAAGGTATTGAAAAGGCAGGACTAAGGTACTGCTTACATTTTGGTGACACCACTGTCTTTTCCTATTGTCTATTACGGGAATACACATTATGGTCATTAATACCATATTACACAAGAATCCTCATGTTAAACCATGTGCTCTTTACTCCAAACTTATCTTGGCCCAAGTGTTGATGAAAGCATTGCTAGGTGTAAATAAAAACCTAACAAGTCAAAAGATCCCCTCAGGTTTATCTCTGTTACTCCCACTGTGTATCTGATACAGGCACTGAGGAAGAAATGGCTATTACATTCTAAAAGCTTGGATAAAACACAAGAAAATATTTCTAGAACCTAACAGTTATATGGGGCTGAATATTCTTATAAGAGGTGGGCTTTCCTTCTTTAAAGATGATTAAGCAATACAGTTTCTACCATACCTACCTACCTTCTCTCCCCTACCCCTAGCAGAAGAGTAGAAATAAAAGATTGCTGAAGGATGTCCCAAGTTTGAGCATTCAATACGTAAAGATAGAATGTGGTATTGTTCCCAGAAGGAAATTCTCATTAGAGTATACACATTTCATAGCATGCATAGTTAAGCTTTGCAGAACATAATTTGACCTATGGGTTATCTAAACCCTACCCATCATGTTTACAGTAGGATTTAACCACAAACATAACTTTCAGTTTTTACATATATGACTCCCAAATGATCATTTTATATTCCCTTGTACTCTAAGTCTTACTATCGGAGATGGTAACCACATGGGCACATAAATCCCTCTCTCTTCATCTTTCTCATTAAATTATAGCCAATCTTGAAAATCTTGTAAAGTGGTGATTGAGTTTAACACAAGCAAAGTATAGTAACTGATCACTCATTCTTACTGGATTAGTGCGCAGATGATTGAACACTGGCGTCTTGACGTCTGTATCCTTGAACATACTAAGTGAGCATTGTTTGGTTACTGCTTCTGTTTGAAATGATCCTGTGTCTTGGTTGTGGCCCGAGCTTTGAACTGCTACTTGCCATTCCCTTTCCTTCACAGAGCTCTCACCATTCTAACATGAAGGATTTGGTAAAATACGAGTTCGGTTGAGTCCTGCTTACTCCCACTTGGTCATCTTTGTAGGAATCCAATGTTTCATTGGTTTGTTTTTAAATTATTTTTAGCTGATGTTCATGAAGAAAAGTGAGTACCTATAACCATGCTACTAATGAAGGAAAATCCTAGCTAAGAAGGTATATTTCTGTATGAGAGCTGTGTCCTACCATCCTTTGGGCTCTCTGCTGGAAGAGTAGAATCAAATCTTATATAATGCCTTTTTAATTGTACGCTCTAGTATTATAGATGTAAGACAGTACTGTAATACACCTCTGTGAATGTATCTTGTACCTGCTTTGTGATATGTAGCAGTGACTATGCCTTAATCAAGTCATTTTTAATAATGTTATTCTAGAATATTTTCTTTCTAGATCATGAGTGAAAGGCTAAAAAAAACCAAATAATAATGGTACCAAGTACCGCAACAACAATAGAAAAAAAAATCTTGAAAAGAAAAAGACTGGCCAAGTGTGGTGGCTCACGCCTGTAATCCCAGCACTGTGGGAGGCCGAGGCGGGCAGATCACCTGAGGTCAGGAGTTTCAGACCAGCCTGGCCAACATGGTGAAACCCCGTTTCTACTAAAAATATGAAAATTAGTCAGGCATGGTGGCAGGTACCTGTAACACCAGCTACTTGAGAGTCTGAGAAAGAAGAATCGCTTGAACCCAAGAGGTGGAGGTTGCAGTGAGCCAAGATCATGCCATTGCACTCTAGCCTGGTTGACAAAAATAAAACTCTGTTTCAAAAAAAAAAGACTAGTTGCTGCCTTTACAGTCCGCAGATTGCTGTACTGCTAATACTTCAAGCAGTGTAGTTTGAGTATTAGCAGTACATTGTTGAGCAGTGTAATAAATCAGAGTAACCATGGCTCTCATTTGACAAGGGAATTTAACTTGTCATGCAAGCTTCCCGTGAAAGGGAATGTCCTATCTTCAGAGGAAACTACACTGATTTGGAATTTGCCCTGAATTTTATTTTATTTTTACTGTGACCAGGCTGGGGTACAGTGGCACAATCATGGCTCATTGCAGCCTCGACCTCCCAGGCTCAAGCAATCCTCCCACCTCAGCCTCTGGAATAGCTGGGGCCACAGGTGTGCACCACCATATCTGGCTTATTTTTTATTTATTTATTTTCATTTTTTGTAGAGACAAGGTCTCACTATGTTGCCCAGGCTGGTCTCAAACTCCTGGGCTCAAGCCATCCTCCCACTCTGGCCTCCCAAAGTGCTGGAATTACGGGCATGAGCCACTGTGCCTGGTATGCCCTAAATTTTAGAAAATAAATAATTCTCAATAGCTGAAGCACATTTACCTCCTTGTAATCTCCAGAACCATAAGAAGTAATCTTATCCCCCTTCTACTAGATAATCCCCCATTCAGCACCTATCATTTTTTTTTTTTTTTGAGATGGAATCTTGCTGTGTTGCCCAGGCTGGAGTGCAGTGGCATGATCTTGGTTCACTGCAACCTCTGCCTCCCTGAGTTCAAGCGATTCTTGTGCCTCAACCTCCTGAGCAGCTGGGACTACAGGCATGTGCTACCATGCCTGGCTAACTTTTTTGTATTTTTAGTAGCGATGGGGTCTTACCATGTTGGCCAGGCTTGTCTGGAACTCCTGACCTCAGGTGATCCGCCCACATCGGCCTCCCAAAGTGCTGGGAATACAGGTGTGAGCTACTGTGCCCGACCCTATCATGATATTTTTTAAAAACAATAGCTATTTTTTTTTTTTTTTTGAGATGGAGTCTTGCTCTGTCACCCAGACTGGAGTGCAGTGGCACAATCTCAGCTCACTGCAACCTCTGCCTGGGTTCAAGCGATTCTCTTGCCTCAGCCTCCCGAGTACCCGGGACTACAGGTGCGCACCATCACACCCGGCTAATTTTCATATTTTTAGTAAAGACAGGGTTTTGCCACGTTGGCCAGGCTGGTCTCAAACTCCTGACCTCAGGTGATCCACCCTCCTTGGCCTTCCAAACTGCTGGGATTACAGGCGTGAGCCACTGCACCCAGCCTAAACACGGTTGCTAT